>NC_000002.12:72917625-73542625 GCF_000001405.40 Homo sapiens | reverse complement strand
TGAGACAATGGGGTTTTCTAGATATACAATCATGTCATCTGCAAACAGGGACAATTTGAGTTCCTCTTTTCCTAATTGAATACCCTTTATTTCCTTCCCCTGCCTGATTGCCCTGGCCAGAACTTCCAACACTGTGTTGAATAGGAGTGGTGAGAGAGGGCATCCCTGTCTTGTGCCAGTTTTCAATGCTTCCAGTTTTTTCCCATTCAGTAATGATATTGGCTGTGGGTTTGTCATAGATAGCTCTTATTATTTTGAGATATGTCCCATCAATACCTCATTTATTGAGAGTTTTTAGCATGAAGGGTTGTTGAATTTTGTCAAAGGCCTTTTCTGCATCTATTGAGATAATCATGTGGTTTTTGTCTTTGGTTCCGTTTATATGCTGGATTACATTTAGTGATTTACGAATGTTGAACCAGCCTTGCATCCCAGGGATGAAGCCCACTTCATCATGGTGAGTAAGCTTTTTGATGTGCTGCTGGATTCGGTTTTCCAGTATTTTATTGAGGATTTTTGCATCAATGTTTATCAGGGATATTGGTCTAAAATTCTGTTTTTTGGTTGTGTCTCTGCCAGGCTTTGGTATCAGGATGATGCTGGCCTCATAAAATGAGTTAGGGAGGATTCCCTCTTTTTCTATTGATTGGAATAGTTTCAGAAGGAATGGTACCAGCTCCTCCTTGTACCTCTGGTACAATTCGGCTGTGAATCCATCTGGTCCTGGACTTTTTTTGGTTGGTAAGCTATCGATTATTGCCTCAATTTCAGAGCCTGTTACTGGTCTATTCAGAGATTCAACTTCTTCCTGGTTTAGTCTTGGGAAGGTATATGTGTTGAGGAATTTATCCATTTCTTCTAGATTTTCTAGTTTATTCGCATAGAGGTGTTTGTAGTATTCTCTGATGGTAGTTTGTATTTCTGTGGGATCGGTGGTGATATCCCCTTTATCATTTTTTATTGCGTCTATTTGATTCTTCTCTCTTTTCTTCTTTATTAGTCTGGCCAGCAGTCTATCAATTTTGTTGATCTTTTCAAAAAACCAGCTCCTGGATTCAATGATTTTTTGAAGGGTATTTTGTGACTCTATTTCCTTCAGTTCTGCTCTTAGTTATTTCTTGCCTTCTGCTAGCTTTTGAATGTGTTTGCTCTTGCTTCTCTAGTTCTTTTAATTGTGATGTTAGGCTGTCAATTTTCGATCTTTCCTGCTTTCTCTTGTGGGCATTTAGTGCTATAAATTTCCCTCTACACACTGCTTTGAATGTGTTCCAGAGATTGTGGTATGTTGTATCTTTGTTCTCACTGGTTTCAAAGAACATCTTTATTTCTGCCTTCATTTCGTTATGTACCCAGTAGTCATTCAGGGGCAGGTTGTTCAGTTTCCATGTAGTCGAGCGGTTCTGAGTGAGTTTCTTAATCCTGAGTTCTAGTTTGATTGCACTGTGGTCTGAGAGACAGTTTGTTATAATTTCTGTTCTTTTACATTTGCTGAGGAGTGCTTTACTTCCAACTATGTGGTCACTTTTGGAATAGGTGTGGTATGGTACTGAGAAGACTGTATATTCTGTTGATTTGGGGTGGAGAGTTCTGTAGATGTCTGTTAGGTCTGCTTCATGCAGAGCTGAGTTCAATTCCTGGATAGCCTTGTTAACTTTCTGTCTCATTGATCTGTCTAATGTTGACAGTGGGGAGTTAAAGTCCTCACATTATTGTGTGGGAGTCTAAGTCTCTTTGTAGGTCTCTAAGGACTTGCTTTATCAATCTGGGTGCTCCTGTATTGGGTGCACACATATTTAGGATAGTTAGCTCTTCTTGTTGAATTGATCCCTTTACCATTATGTAATGGCCTTCTCTGCCTCTTTTGATCTTTGTTGGTTTAAAGTCTGTTTTATCAGAAACTAGGATTGCAACCCCTGCCTTTTTTTGTTTTCCATTTGCTTGGTAGATCTTCCTCTATCCCTTTATTTTGAGCCTATGTGTGACTCTGCACATGAGATGGGTTTCCTGAATACAGCACACGGATGGGTCTTGACTCTTTATCCAATTTGCCAGTCTGTGTCTTTTAATTGGGGCATTTAGTCCATTTACATTTAAGATTAATATTGTTATGTGTGAATTTGATCCTGTCATCGTGATGTTAGCTGGTTATTTTGCTCGTTAGTTGATTGATGAAGTTTCTTCCTAGCCTCAATGGTCTTTACAATTTGGCATGTTTTTGCAGTGGCTGGTACCAGTTGTTCCTTTCCATGTTTCGTGCTTCCTTCAGGAGCTCTTTTAGGGCAGGCCTAGTGGTGACAAAATCTCTCAGCATTTGCTTGTCTGTAAAGGATTTTATTTCTCCTTCACTTATGAAGCTTAGTTTGGCTGGATATGAAATTCTGGGTTGAAAATTCTTTTCTTTAAGAATGTTGAATACTGGCCCCCACTCTCTTCTGGATTGGAGTTTCTGCTGAGAGATCAGTTGTTAGTCTGATGGGCTTCCCTTTGTGGGTAACCCGACCTTTCTCTCTGGCTGCCCTTAACATTTTCTCCTTCATTTCAACTTTGGTGAATCTGACAATTATGTGTCTTGGAGTTGCTCTTCTCGAGGAGCATCTTTGTGGCATTCTCTGTATTTCCTGAATGTGAATGTTGGCCTGCCTTGCTAGATTGGGGAAGTTCTCCTGGATAATATCCTGCAGAGTATTTTCCAACTTGGTTCCATTCTCCCCGTCACTTTCAAGTACACCAATCAGACGTAGATTTGGTTGTTTCATATAGTCTCATATTTCTTGGAGGCTTTGTTTCTTTTTATTCTTTTTTCTCTAAACTTCTCTTCTCGCTTGATTTCATTCATCTGATCTTCCATCACTGATACCCTTTCTGCCAGTTGATCAAATCGGCTACTGAGGCTTGTACATTCGCCACGTAGTTCTCTTGCCATGGTTTTCAGCTTTATCAGGTCCTTTAAGGACTTCTCTGCATTGGTTATTCTAGTTAGCCATTCGTCTAATCTTTTTTCAAGGTTTTTAACTTCTTTGCCATGGGTTCGAACTTCCTCCTTTAGCTCGGAGTAGTTTGATCATCTGAAGCCTTCTTCTCTCAACTCGTCAAAGTCATTCTCCATCCAGCTTTGTTCCATTGCTGGTGAGGAGCTACGTTCCTTTGGAGGAGGAGAGGCGCTCCGATTTTTAGAATTTTCAGTTTTTCTGCTCTGTTTTTTCCCCATCTCTGTGGTTTTATCTACCTTTGGTCTTTGATGATGGTGACGTACAGATGGGGTTTTGGTGTGGATGTCCTTTCTGTTTGTTAGTAACAGTCAGGACCCTCAGCTGCAGGTCTGTTGGAGTTTGCTGGAGGTCCACTCCAGACCCTATTTGCCTGGGTATCAGCAGCAGAGGCTGCAGAACAGCGAATATTGGTGAACAGCAAATGTTGCCGCCTGATCGTTCCTCTGAAAGTTTTGTCTCAGAGAAGTACCCGGCCGTGTGAAGTGTCAGTCTGCCCCTCCTGGGGGGTGCCTCCCAGTTAGGCTACTCAGGGGTCAGGGTCCCACTTGAGGAGGTAATCTGTCCGTTCTCAGATCTCCAGCTGTGTGCTGGGAGAACCACTACTCTCTTCAAAGCTGTCAGACAGGGACATTTAAGTCTGCAGAGGTTTCTGCTGCCTTTTGTTTGGCTATGCCCTGCCCCCAGAGGTGGAGTCTACAGAGGCAGGCAGGCATCCTTGAGGTATGGTGGGCTCCACCCAGTTCGAGCTTCCCGGCCGCTTTGTTTACCTACTCAAGCCTCGGCAATGGAGGGCGCCCATCCCCCAGCCTCGCTGCCGCCTTGCAGTTTGATCTCAGACTGCTGTGCTAGCAATGAGCGAGGCTCCGTGGGCGTAGGATCCTCCGAGCCAGGTGCGGGATATAATCTCCTGGTGTGCCATTTTTTAAGCCCGTTGGAAAAGCGCAGTATTAGGGTGGGAGTGACCCGATTTTCCAGGTGCCTTCTGTCACTCCTTTCCTTGGCTAGCAAAGGGAATTCCATGACCCCTTGCGCTTCCCGGGTGAGGCGATGCCTTGCCCTGCTTCGGCTCACGCTCGGTGTGCTGCACCCACTGTCCTGCACCCACTGTCCTACAATCCCTAGTGAGATGAACCCAGTACCTCAGTTGGAAATGCAGAAATCATTCGTTTTCTGCATCGCTCACACTGGGAGCTGCAGACTGGAGCTCTTCCTATTCGGCCATCTTGGCTCTCTCCGCTTATTTTTTAAAATAACAGTGATTGTAATGGGTGTGAAGTGGTATCTTACTATGGTTTTGTTTGGTATTTCCCTCATGATTAATGATATAGAGAAGATTTTCAGGTGTTTATTGGCTATTTGCACGTCTTCCTTGGAGAAATGTCCATCAGATTCTGTGCCCATTTATGAATCAGATTGTTTGGGTTATTGTTGTTGAGTTGTAAGGGTTCCTTACATATTTTAGGTATTAATCTCTCAACAGATAAATGATTTGCAAATATTTTCTCCTATGCTGTGAGTCACCTTTTCATTCTTTTGACTGGGTTTTGTGTACAAAAGTTTTGAATTTTGATAAAGTCTCCCATATATATTTTTCTTTTGTTGCCTTTGTTTTTTTGTTTTTTTGTTCTTTGAGACATGGTCTCACTCTGTTGCCCAGAGTGGACTGCAGTGGCGCAATCATAGTTCACTGCAGCCTTAAACTCGAGGGTTCAAGTGATACTCATGCCTCAGCCTTCCGAGTAGCTGGGACTACAAGCGTAGGCCATCATGCTTGGCTGATTTTTAATTTTTTGTAGAGACAGGGTCTTACTACATTGCCCAGGCTGATCTCAAACTCCAGGGCTCAGGCAATCCTCCCATCTTGGCCTCCCAAAGTGCTGGCATTACAGGCATGAGCCACCGCACCCGGCCTGGACATTTAAGTAATACAATGCGCCAACTCTGGAAACCAGATTCTACTTCCATCTCAGGGTTTGGTGTTGTTGCTTTATGTTGTTTTAATAACTTCTCTGAATTAATTCTGTAAAGTCTATATTCTTTTTATATATGGCCACTGAAGTTACTACTCAATTAGCTTAATGGTCAGCTAATGCCTGAACAGGGATTTCCTTAAATGCCTAGAACCAATAAATCTCCCGGCCTTCATCAAATGGCTCCACACATATGTTGGGATGTACCTTCAACACTGACCTAGGCAGCTGTCAACTTTACCTTAGCCTTCCCTTTTCTTCTTGTACAGATCCTCAAGGTCAGCCAGAGATAAGACCTAGCGCCTTGGGTCTTTCCTGAGCATACACAGGCCTACGCATACATGGGGTCTCCCAGAGTCTTAGGAATATGTCAGCGCCTTTCAAAGAATCTATCAACATCTTATCCTCGGGTGTTACTTTTAAGCTTTCCAGTTAGTTTACTGTTTACCTCAACTGCTAGTCCACACCTCAGCCATTATGATATTAAAATACTTGTCTGTAAATGTTTTTGATAAACATCTTTCCCTCCCCTTCACCAGAGGCCTTTAGCACTGGATGGCTCCCAGTCAGGTCAAGTAAAGATAAGCCTTTTGTGTGGAATCTTCACGGAACCACTAGATAGGTCAAATATTAACAATTCTTTGGGAAGGAACTTTTAAAAGAGGCCCAGCTCCATTTTGCATCCTCTGGTCTTGGAAAAGAAAGCTATATTTCTGAAGGCTATCACTGAGCTGAGGTACTGGGAATGGGACTAGGGCAAGTTAAAATGCTAACGCTTACTGTGCTTAGTGGGATTTGGCCATTTTTCTTGAATAAATACTCCCTGGGTTGCTATTAAGACTGGTTTATTTGCAGACATTTATCTCTTTCTTTGGATGGCTGTTTCCTTTGCCCCAGTTTTTTGCCGTCGTTGTTTGCATCAGTTCTATTATTTACTGATTCTCAACTGAAGAACAGTTATTTGGCCCAAATATTTGCTAACAATGATGTATGTCTTGCTCTTGGCCCCAAACTCTAATTGGCTCCTCTCATAGCTATAGATGTACAACATATTCATAGATAACGGCTAGGAATTAGAACAATTTCTAGGCTTTCATCCAGTGTAGGTCTACTGGTCTAAGAAAGGATTATTTTCTATTCCCAACTTCCTCACTCTCAGAATAGATGAAAACATGAAAAAACAATCTCAAGTGTGTATGGCAACTAGATCTCTTTTTGTCGTACTGATGCATACAGTACTTTATTACAGAAACTATATTTATCAGGATACAGTGTGCCAGTCCTGAGTCATTTTCTTCTCCCATCACCTACACTGTTCAGTCTTTCTCTAAGTTAATCTCTCCAACCAGATGGAAGTGTTAGTGACGTATATCGATAGCAGGACACTGGAGGCCTCAGAAAGTACTGGCACATCTGACCAGGTTTCTACTGTTTACAGACATTCTGTCTTCTGAACTATGAGTAAGTGGGACAGAAGATTTTCCTACCTACAATCAATTAAGTGAGCTTGTTTTCTTTCTGGTAGCCATTAACAGTGTTTTTAAAACCATAGCCTTGCAAGGAGTAAACATTTCTTCATTTATGGCTATAAACTTAACAATCTTAACTTGTGGTGAGTATTTTTGTGGTTCTTTTTTTTCAATGCCATCATTGTGGGAAATCAGGCGAGGTTGTATCAGAGGCTTTAGTGCAGTTACTATCAGAAGCTAGTTTGGTTCTCTTTCATATCAAAGTAACAAAAATGTCTGCCTAAGACCAGGGGCAACTTCTCCTTTCTTTGTAATTTCTATATATATAATGACATTTATAGACAATCATGGAAAAAACAATTTGTCTAAAGTGAATCAAGTCATATCCCGTCGACAACTCAAAATACTGTCCCACCAATCAAAACCCTACACCACACTAACTCTGCACCCTTAACTTAAAATCTCCATAGGAAATATTTATCTAGTGCCTCCATGGGGTATTATTCATTTCCTAACTCTGCACCTCCTCTGTAGTGGATTCACAGGGATGCTGCAGGATAGTTTAAAATTCTAGGGAAAGGACAGTGATAAACTACTAGCTCAAGGTCAAAGTGTCAACATCAGATAGTGCTATGTTCTTTTCAATGCTGTTGTGCCTTGGCAAAAGCTGGATTTTTGGCAGCTGCTGTAATAAAAGGCAGAAAATAAGAGGGTCCAATCTCATCTCATGGTTTGGGAAGTTGCACAGTGTCCAACAGCTACACATATGTCATTAGTAAGTCATCATTGTTATTTATGAACAAATTTTTTTTTCAAAAACCAAAACCAAAAATAAATAACAAATTTGTTAAATTAGTTGTCAGAGGAAAACAATTAGTATTTATGTTCTAATTCCTTAGTTGCTATTTGAAAAAAATAATTGCTTATTATATATAAAGCGGAGAAAATAAATCAGTGAAACAACTAAGGGTACTGTGAACCAAGAAAGCTTAGAAACTTTGCCCTAGATGGAGCCCACTAACCCAAATAATGATCCATACAATTTCCTTCATCAAATATTTATAAATGCTTATGTGTATATATCTGATCAAATAACTCACCTATCTGAACCAGAGATCAAGGTATGAAAAGTTCCATATTTCACTGAAAAATTAAAGAGCACTGGACTTTTGTCACTCCAGAATCAACTAGCCAATACACAAATAAAATATCAAACAATAAAACTTCGAATAATTTCTGCATAATACCTGAATGGGAGCTTTCAACGGTGGTATCTGATTTGGAATCCGGAGATGGAGGAATTTGTCTTAATTGTGGAACATAATACATCTTGGTACTACCAGAAGGCTTATATGGCAATAATAAAGGCTGGCCTAAGGAGGTAAAAATCAGAACAATTAATATGAAAAACATTTGTTAATTCATTGAACAAATATGGAATGCCTTCTATGTTTCAGGCAGTGTTCATGACTTTTGGAATTTATGAGTAAACAAAGAGAAATGTATCTCTGCCTTCAAGAAGAATGAGAATTCTAGAGGAGGAAAATATACAGTAAATAATTAACATACTAAATGAGTAAATTATCTAGCATTTTAATACATTATAAGTGATACAGGGAAAATATAGAAATGCTGAAGGTAATTAAGAATACAGGAGAAATTGGGGTTTAAATGCAGGGGAAACAGTTTAAGTAGGATGGTAGGGATATGTTTCATTGAGATGACTTTTTAGCAATCCATTCCATATATAGATGACTCTAACTAAAAAACATGTTATCTTACATCGAACCCTAACCTGGTCATAATTAAGCCCTTATACTGGTCTTATTCTGCTTCCAGAGTCATAGAAAATAAGTCTAATTCTCATCTATGTGACAGGGCTTCAAAACATAGTTTCCACTGCAAGAGTATGAATTTTCAATATTAAGAAAATATATAAACGTAAAAATTACAAGGTCCTACCACTCAAGGATAATTATTGTTAACATTTTAATGTATAACTTACCCATCTTTTCCTGTTTTTTATTTGTTTACAAAGTTGTCTGCATATAGTATGCATAATTTGAAATTCAGCTTTTCTATTATTTATAATAAAAATATTCATTTTACTTCCTATTCTTCACATTTTTATGGTTATACCAGATTAAATATAGTCAACTCTTAGCCTAATGTTGAAAATGCAGGTTGTGTTAAAATGTTCAATTATAAAGAATTCTGTGAATAAAGATTTTCCTGTTTATACTTATTCTCCCCCATCACCCATCCAAGGTAAATTCTTTTTACAAAGTGAAAAATTACACCATTCATGAAGTTTTCAAAAAAGTACTGACTGCTAAATTGCTTATTAATATGTCTGCGACAATTTACTCTTCCTCCAACAGCACGTGTATAGTCATTAAGAAATGATTAATTGCTAATAGAGGTAAATGGAATCTCATTTTAAAAATATGCCCTCATCTTACTATTATGGACATTTTTTTTCTATATACTAGTTTTTCTTTCATGATTGGTAGAAACTGTCAAATATGACCTCGTGTCCAACTTCCCTACCTCCTTACACCTATACATCTATATACACTTCCAATCTCCCTTACAGCCATGTGTGAACATATGGGTAACTTTGTTCAGCCCATGGGAAGAGTGCAAGAATGTGTGAAACTTCCAGGCATTCCAGTAAAGGTATCCCATTAAAGCCCCCCACTTCCTAGATACTGCAGATCATGATAGCTGTAGCAGTTACTCTAGACCCAGAAATGGAAGTCACACTTCCAGAGATGGAAGGATGCCACAGCCACCAGATATGCAACTCAGCTATCTGCTCTAGACTACTTACCTGTAATTTAGGGTTTCTGTGATAAAATAGCATATACCATAGCCTAAAGCAATAAGAAACACAATTCCCAGGAAAGTCTTGGTGATGTGCTGGAATCAGAGCCAGCTGACTTGGGCGTATGCAACCTAGTAAGACACCAGCCAAAATGGCCAAGGGAAGCACTTGCACCACTCCATACCCAAACCTAGACAGCACAGCTTGCTCCAGGAGAGGGTCCTTCCTTTCACTTCGGAAGACGGAAGATTAAACAGACCTTTCTCTTGCAACCTGGATACTAGCTCAGCCACAGAATGATAGAGATGCCAGGCAGAGTCCTGAGGCCTCCATTCCATGACCTAGTTCCTGGACATTTCTAGACATACCCTGGGCCAGAAAGGAACTTGCTGCCTTGCAGGGAAGGACCCAGTCCTGGCAGGATTCATCACCTGCTGACTAAAGAGTACTTGGGTCCTGAATAGTGAGCAGTGGTAGCCAGGCAGTACTCACCTGGGTGAGACTCAGAGATGTGCTGGCTTCAGGTGTGACCCAGCACATTTCCCAGCTATGGTGGCTATGAGGAGAGACTCCCTTTGCTTGAGAAAAGGAGAGGGAAGATTAAATAGGACTTTGTTTTGCAGCTTAAGTGCCAGCTCAGCCACAGAGGGGTAGAGTACAAAGTAAGCTCCAGGAGTTCCTGATTCCAGGTGTTGGCTTATGGATGGCATTTCTGGACCTGCCCTGGGCCAGAAGGGAGGCCATTGCCCTGAAGTGAGAGTTCCAGGCCTAGAAGCATTCACCCAAGGTGACGAAAGAGCCCTTGGGCCTTGAATGAATATCAGTGGTAGGCAGCCAGCAGTCACCACAAGCCTGGGGCAGTGGTGGCCATGGGGAGTGACTCCTCTGTTTGTGGAAAAGAGGAAAGAATAAGAACTTTTTGTCTTGTGGCATGGATGCCAGTTCAGCCACAGCAGAATAAAGCACTAAGGTTTCTGACTTCAGGTCATGGCTCCCAGACAGCAATTCTGGACCTGCCTAGGGCCAGGGGGAAATCGCCACCCTGAAGGAAAGCACACAAGACTCCCTGGCTTTGCCACCTGCTGATTGTAGAGCCCCAGGGCCTTGAACAAACATAGGCAGTATCCAGCAAGTGGTTCCTGTAGACCTCAGGCGAGAACCAGTGTGTGCTGGCTTCAGGTCTAACCTAGAACAGTCCCACTGGTGGTGGCCACAGGGGTGCTTGTGTCACAGCAGCTCCAAGCAGCTCAGCACAGAGACAGACTCCATTTCTTTGGGAGAAAGTAAAGGAAAAGAACAAGAGTCTCTACCTGGTAATCCAGAGAATTCTTCTGGATCTTATCAGAAACTTCTGATATGGTTTGGCTCTGAGTACCCAACCAAATGTCATCTCAAATTGTAATCCCCATATGTTGAGGCAGAGACCTGGTGGGAGGTGATTAGATTATGAGTGTGGTTCCCACCTTGTTCTCACGATAGTGAGGGAGTTCTCAGGAGATCTTGATGGTTTAGAAGTGGCAGTTTCCCCTGAGCTCTCTTTCTCCTGCTGCCACGTAAGATGTGTCTTGCTTCCCCTTCACCTTCCGCCATGATTGTAAGTTTCCTGAGGCCTCCCCAACCATGTGGAACTGTTAGTCAATTAAACCTCTTTTACTTATAAATTACCAGTCTCAGGTAGTATCTTTAAAGCAGTGTGAAAATGAATACAAAGAATTGGTGCCAGAAGTGGGGCACTGCTATAAAGATAACCTGAACATGTGGAAGCAACTTGGGAACTGGGTAACAGGCAGAGATTGGAACAGGCTGGAGGGCTTAGAGGAAGACAGGAAGATGTGGGAAAGTCTGGAACATTCTAGAGGCTTACTGAAAGGTTTTGACCAAAAATGCTGACAGTGATATGGACAATGAAGTCCAGGTTGAGGTAGTCTCAGATGGAGATGAGAAACTTGTTGGGAACTGGCATAAAGGTCACTTTTGCTATGCATTAGCAAAGAGACTGGCAGCAATTTTCCCCTGCCCTGGAGATCTGAACTTGAAAGAGATGATTTAGGGTATCTGGCAGGAGAAATTTCTAAACAGCAAAGCATTCAAGAGGTTACCTGGCTTATTCTGAAAGCATTCAGTTATGTACATTCACAAAGAGAGGGTTTGAAATTGGAACTTATGTTTAAAAGGGAAGCAGGGCATAAAAATTTGAAAAATTTGCAGCCTGACTATGCAGTAGAAAAGAAAAACCCATTCAAGGAATTCAAGCTGGCTGCAGAAATTTGCATAAGTAACGAGGAGCCAAATGTTAATAGCCAAGACAATGGGGAAAATGTCTCCAGGGCATGTCAGAGATCTTAACGGGAGTCCCTTCCATCACAGGCCTGGAGGCCTAGGAGGGAAAAATGGTTTTGTGGGCCCCGCCTAGGGCCCAGCTGCTCTGTACAGCCTTGGGACTTGGTGCCCTGTGTCCCAGCTGCTCCAGCTCCACCTGTGGCTAAAAGGACAGCTCAGGACATTGCTTCAGAGGGTGCAAGCCCCAAGCTTTGACAGTTTCACGTGGTGTTGGGCCTACAGATGCACAGAAGACAAGAGTTGAACTTTGGGAGCCTCCACCTAGATTTCAGAGGATATATGAATGCCTAGATGTCCAGGAAGAAGTCTGCTGCAGGGGCAGAGCACTCATGGAGAACTTCTACTAGGGAAATGCAGACTGGTAATGTGAGTTGGAGCCCCCACTAATAGTCCCTACTTGGGCACTGCCTAGTGGAGCTGTGAGAAGAGGGCCACCATCCTCTAGACCTCAGAATGGTAGATCCACCAACAGCTTGCACTGTGCACCTGGAAAAGCCACAGGTACTAAACACCAGCTCATGACAGTAGCTGTGGGAGCTGTGCCCTGCAAAACCTCAGGGGTGGAGCTGCCCAAGGCTGTGGGAGCCAACCCCTTGCATCAGCATGCCCTGGATGTATGACATGGAGTCAAAGGAAATTTTGGAGCTTTAAGATTTAATGACTGCCCAGCCAGGTTTTCAACTTGCATGGGGCCTGTAATCCCTTTGTTTTAGCCAGCTTCTCCCGTTTGGAATGGGAACATTTATCCAATGCCTGTACCCCCACTGTATCTTGGAACTAACTAACTTGTTTTTTATTTTACAGGCTCACAGGCAGAAGGGACCTACCTGCCTTGTCTCACATGAGACTTTGGACTTGGACTTTTGGGTTAATGCTAGAATGAGTTGATTCTGGGGGACTATTGGGAAGGCATGATTGGTTTTTAAATGTGAAAAGGACATGAAATTTGGGAGGGGCCAGGAGTGGAATAATATGGTTTGGCTCTGTGTCCCTAGCCAAATCTCATCTCAAATTGTAATCCCCACATGTTGAGGGAGGGACCTGGTGGGAGGTGATTGGATCATGGGGGCAGTTTCTCTCATGCTGTTGTTGTGATAGTGAGGGAGTTCTCATGAGATCTTGATGGTTTTAACGTGGCAGTTATCCCTGAGATCTCACTCTCTCCTGCCCCCATGTAAGACGTGCCTTGCTTTCCCTTCACCTTCTGCCATGATTGTAAGTTTCCTGAGGCCTCCCCAGCCATGCAGAACTGAGTCAATTGAACTCCCTTTCTTTATAAATTAACCAGTCTCAGGTAGCATACTTCTAGGAGTTTGAAAATGGACTAATACAACCTCCACGGTGGTACCTCTACAAGTCTGCAAGAGCCACAGTGTTACTAGGCTTGAAGTGCCCCCTAATGGAGATATGGCTACAGTGACCAAAAACTCAGATCATAACACCCAACTCCCTTTGAATTCCTTGAAAGCACTCCCAAGAAGGATGGGTATAAACAAAGTCAGACTGTGAAGACTACAATAAATACCTAATTCTTCAATGCTCAGACACCAACAAATATCCACAAGCTTCTAGACCATCTATGAAAACATGACCTCACCAAATGAACTAAATATGACACTAAAAACCAATCCTGGAGAAACAGAGATGTGGAACCTTTCAGACAAAGAATTCAAAAATATCTGTTTTGGCTGGGTGCAGTGGCTCACGCCTGTAATTCCAACACTTTGGGAGGCCGAGGTGGGCAGATCACCTGAGGTCGGGAGTTCAAGACCAGCTTGGCCAACATGGTGAAACCCCGTCTCTACTAAAAATACAAAAATTAGCTGGGTGTGGTGGCGCACCCCTGTAGTTCCAGCTACTCGGGAGGGTGAGGCAGGAGAATTGCTTGAACCCAGGCGGCAGAGGCTGCAGTGAGCTGAGACTGCACCACTGTACTCCATCCTCAGCGACAGAGCAAGAGTCCATCTCAAAAAAAAAAAAAAAAAAAAAACTGCTTTGAGGAAACTCAAAGAAATTCAAGATGACACAGAGAAAGAACTCAGAATCCTATAAGACAAATTTAACAAAAAGACTGAAATAATTAAAAAGAAGCAGAAATACTGGAGTAGAAAAATACACCTGACACACTAAAGAATGCATCAGACTCTCTTAACAGCAAAATTGATTAAACACAGTGAGTTTGAAGACAGGCTATTTGAAAATACAGTCAGAGAAGACAAAAGAAAAAAAGGAATAAAAAAGAATAAAGCATGCCTACAGGATCTAGAAAATAGCCTCAAAAGGGCAAATCTAAAATAAAAAATAAAAAGCAGTAGACTAAATCCTCCTATCCAAAGACATACAGTGGTTGAATGAATGCAAAAAAAAACAAGACCCAACCATCTATTTCCTACAAGAAACACAATTAACCTATAAAGACCATGAATAGACTAAAAATAACAGGATGGAAAAAGATATCCCACGCAAATAGAAACCAAAAGAGAGGAAGAACAGCTATACTCATATCAGACAAAATAGACTTTAAGACAAAAATTATAAAAACAGACAAAGGTCATTATATAATGATAAAGAGGTCAATTCAGCAAGAGGATATAACAACTGTAAATATATATGGACCCAACGGTGGAGTACCCAGATATATAAAGCAAGTATTCTTACAGCTAAAGAGAGAGATAGAACCTAATACAATAACAGCTGTAAACTTCAACACCCCGCTTTCAGTATTGGACAGATCATCCAGACAGAAAAATCAACGAAGATACATTGAATGGACCTAATAGATATTTACAGAACATTTCATCCAACGGCTGCAGAATACACATTGTTCTCAGCACATGGATCATTCTCAAGGACAGGTCATATTTTAGGCCACAAAACAAGTGTTCAAAAATTCAAAAATAATTGTAATTATATCAAGTCATTTCTCTGATCACAATGAAATAAAACTAGAAATCAATAATGAAAGGAACTTTGGAAACTATACAAATGCATGGAAATGAAATAATGTTTCTGAATGACCAGTGGGTCAAGGAAGAAATCAAGAAAGAAATTTACAAATTTCTTGAGACAAATGATAATGGAAACACAACATACCAAAACCTACGGGATACAGCAAAACCAGTACTAAGAGGAAAGTTTATAGGTATAAGCACCTACATTAAAAAAACATAGAAAAACTTCAAATAAACAACCTAACAACGTATGCTAATGAACTAGAAAAGAGCAAATGAAATCCATAATTAGCAGAAAAAAAGAAATAAAGATCAGAGCAAAAATACATAAAATTGATATGAGAAAAACATCGCAAAATGAAACAAAAAGTTTGTTTGTTGAAAAGATAAACAAAATCGACAAACCTTTAGCCAGACTAAGAAAAATAGAAGACTCATGTAAATAAAATCAGAGATTAAGAAGGGAGACATTACAACCTATAGCACAGAAATTTAAAGGATGATGAGACACTACTATGAGCAACTTTACACCAATAAATTGAAAAAGCTAGAAAAAAATGGACAAATTCCTAGAAACATACAACCTATCAACCAGGAAGAAATCCAAAATTGAAAGAGACCAATAACAAGCAACAAGGTAAAAGTTGTAATAAAAAGTCTCCCAGCAAAGAAAAGCTGAGGACTCAATGGCTTAACTGCCGAATTGTACCAAATAGTTAAAGAAGAACTAATACTAATCCTACTCAAACTATTCCAAGAAATGGAAGAGGAGAGAATACATCCAAACTCCTTCTACAAGACCAGTAAACCAAAGACACATCCAAAAAAAAAAAAGAGAAAAAAGAAAAGAAAACTACAGGCCAATCTCCCTCATGAATATTGATGCAAAAATCCTCAACAAAATACTAGCAAACCAAATTCAACAACACATTAAAAAGATCATTCATCATGACCAAGAAGTATTCATCCCAGGGATGCAAGGATGGTTTAACATATGCTAATCAATCAATGTGATGCCTCATCAACAAAATGGAGGACAAAAACCACATGATCATTTCAATTGACGATGAAAAAACATTTCTTAAAATTCAACATCTCTTCGTGATAAAAACCCTGAAAAAACTAGGTATAGAGAACACATACCTCAACATAATAAAAGCCATATATGACAGACCCACAGCTAGTATCATACTGAATGGGGAAGAAACTGAAAGCCTTTCCTCTAAGATGTGGAACATGACAAGAATGCCTACTTTCAAAACCGTTATTCAACATAGCACTGGAAGTCCTAGCTCGAGCAATCAGACAAGAGAAAGATAGAAAGGAGATCCAGATTGGAAAGGAAGAAGTCAAATTATCCTTGTTTGCAAATGATACAATCTTATATTTGTAAAAACCTAGAGCCTCCACAATCAATAAATTCAGTAAAGTTGCAGAATACAAAAATGAACATACAAAAATCAGTTCACATTTCTATATGTCAACAGTGAACAATGTGAAAAGGAAATTTAAAAATAATCCCATTTACAATAGCCACACATAAAATCAAATACCTAGCAATTAACCAAAGAAGTGAAAGATCTCTATAAAGGAAACTATAAAACACTGATGAAGATAATTGAAGAGGACAACAAAAAAATGGAAAAATATTCCATGTTCATGAATTAGAAGAATCAATATTGTTAAAATGTCCATACTACCTAAAGCAGTGGGGTATTCCACTGAATCTGTATTCAAGGCAATCCCTATCAAAATACTAATGACATTCTTCACAGAAATAGAAAAAATCCTAAAATTTATATGGAACCACAAAAGACCCAGAATAGACAAAGCTATCTTAAGCATAAAGAACGAAACTGGAGGAATCACAATACCTAACTTCAAATTATACTACAATACTATAATAACCAAAACATCATGGTACTGGCTTAAAAACAGGCACATAAACCAATGAAACAGAACCAGAGAACCCAGAAACAAATCCACACACCTACAGTGAACTCATTTTCAACAAAGGTGCCAAGAACATACACTGGGAAAAAGACGGTCTCTTCAACAAATGGTGCTGGGAAAGCTGGTTATCTACATGCAGAAGAATAAAGCTAAACCTCTATCTTTCATCATATACAGAAATCAAATCAAAATGGATTAAAGACTTAAATCTAAGACCTCAAGCTATGAAACTACAGGAAGAAAACACTGAGAAAACTCTCTAGGACATTAAATATTGGCAAAGATTTCTTGAGTAATATCCCACATATACAGGCAACCAAAGCAAAAATGGACAAATGTGATCACATCAAGTTAAAAAGATTTCACACAGCAAAGGAAACAACACTGAAGAGACAAACCACCGAATAGGAGGAAACATTTGCAAACTATCCATCTGACAAGGGATTAGTAGCCATAATGTATAAAGAACTGAAACAACTCTATAGGAAAAAAAAAATCTAATAATCCAATTTAAAAACGGGCAAAAGATCTGAACAAACATTTCTCAAAAGAAGACATATAAATGGCAAACAGGCTTATGAAAAGGTGCTCAACATCAGTGATCATCAGAGAAATGCAAAGCAAAACTACAATGAGATACCATCTCACCCCAGTTAAAATGGTTTTATTCAAAAGATATACAACAACAAATGTTGGCAAGAATGTGGAGAAAAGGGAACTCTTGTACACTGTTGCTGGGAATGTAAATTAGTACAACACTATAGAGAACAGTTAGTTTGTAGATTCCTCAAAAAACTACAATTAGAGCTAACATATGATCCAGCAATCCCACTGCTAGGTATATAACCAAAATAAAGTAAGTCAGTATGTCAGCGATAAATCTGCACCCCATGTTTATTGCAACACTGTTCGCCATAGCCAAAATTTAGAAGCAACCTAAGTGTCCATCAATAGATTAATGGATAAATTAATCTATTACATATACACAATGTAGTACATATACACAAAGGCAGTACATGCACAATGGAATACTATTTAGCCAAAAAAAATAATGAGATCCTGTCATTTGCAGCAACATGGATGAAACTGGAGGTTATTATATAAAGTGAAATAAGCCAGGCATAGGAACAGAAACTTCACATGTTCTCACTTATTTGTGGGATCTAAAAATTAAAACAACTGAATTCATGGACACACATGAGAGAGAAAGATGGCTACCAGAGACTGGGAAGGGTAGTGAGCAGTGTGGGGGAAGTGAGGATTGTTAATGGGTATAAAAATATAGTCAGATATAATCAGTAAGATATAGTATTTGATAGCACAACAGGGTCTACAGTCAATAATTCACTGTACATTTTAAAATAACCAAAAGACAGCTAGGCATGGTGGCTCACATCTGTAATCCAGCACTTTGGGAGGCCAATGCAGGCAGATCACTTGAGATCAGGAGTTCGAGACCAGCCTGGCCAACATGGTGAAACCCTTTCTCTACTAAAAATACAAAAATTAGCCAGGCGTGGTGGCGGGTGCCTGTAATCCCAGCTACTCAGGAGGCTGAGGCAGAATTGCTTGAACCAAGGAGGCAGAGGTTGCAGTGAGCTGAGATCATGCCACTGTACTCCAGCCTGGGTGACAGAGCAAGACTCCATCTCAAAAAAAATAAATACTTAAAAAATAAAATAACCAAAATAATGTAACTGGATTGTTAACACAAAGAATGGATAAATGCTTGAGGTGATGGATATCCCATTTACCTTGATGGGATTATTATACACTGTATGCCTATATCAAAATAGCTCATGTACCTCATAAATATCTATGTCTACTATATACCCAGACAAATTAAAAATAAAAATAAATTCATAAAGATAAATTACACAGTTCAAAAGAACAGTTCCATTAGAACTTTGTGCAGAATTACTTTAGAGTATAAATTTATGTGGGAATAAATGATACCTTTACAATATTCAGCCTTCCATTCTAGAATCATACCTTTTAATTTAGTAAATTATTATTTTCTATCTTTACAAAAAGGATTAGTGTTTCCTGCATTAGGTCATTTAAAATTTTTGTTTAGGTTATTTCTGAGCATTTCATAGGGTTGTATTGCTCATATGATTATGAATTTTCAATGTAGCTACCATTTCTCATGGCCGAATGCCTCCAGCTCCTTCCGTTTATCTTTATTCTTATAGACCACGGTTTTCTCTTATATCCTGTAACCATTTCTAGATGGACTCCTAGTTGCTCATCTCTAGTTAATAAAACCCAAAATCCTCTAGACTGATTCTGATAGTCCTGGAGTAGAATGAGCTCTCCTCTGGAAACAATAATCTTTTTTTTTTTTTGGTGGGGAAGGGGGAAGGAGTCTCACTCTGTCGCCCAGGCTGGAGTGCACTGGCACGATCTCTGCTTACTGCAACCTCCACCTTCCGGGTTCAAGCAATTCTCCTGCCTCAGCCTCCCGAGTAGCTGGGATTACAGGCATGTGCCATCATGCCCGGCTAATTTTTGTATTTTTAGTACAGATGAGGTTTCACTATGTTGGCCAGGCTGGTCTCAAACTCCTGACCTCAGGTGATCCACCCTCCTCGGCCTCCCAAAGTGCTGGGATTATAGGTGTGAGCCACCACGCCTGGCCAGAAACAATAATCTTTATATTACTTAGAACTGTGTCACCATCTTTGGCAACTCTATCATTCTGATGACATTTTGGCAATGAATTCCACATTGTTAGTAGCCTGCTTCTAAGGAAGAAACTCACTTCCAAATGAAGGAAATGAGACAAAAGGTTGATGCCTAAAGGGATTTACTGTCCTTATCCATGCCTTATGGACCATAACTATGCTAAACCTAAAAAATAAATAAATAAATAAAGTGAGCAAGCTATTTACTGAAAAGTGTTATGGCATAAGCTGGGGAACACCACTTTCTGAGTCTACAATGCTTTCTTATGGGATTTGGGATATGCTCTGAACCATAGATGGTACTTGCCTATACCGAGTACCAGATAGAATGCATGCATTTGGGAACAAACAAGCTTTTTAAGAAGTTTTTGCTTTCAACCTTTGTGACTATGAGTGTTGTTAGATGGAAGATCTTAGAAATAAGAAAGGGACAATTCTACCAGGGACAGGAGCCACCTAGCTACTTAACATTTTTTATATCACTAAAGCAAAACATAGAGCAGCTTACAGAGTGCTGACTAAATCTATGATAGACCTGAATTATCCACAAGAAATAAGGTTACTTTTTAAAAGGAGTATGATTAACACCTAGAGGCATTAATTTCTATCACTGGGCATGGCAAAGTGACCTCTAAAGAAAGTCCAGTCAAGAAATTAATAAAAAATGACCTTGGCCAGGCGCAGTGGCTCACGCCTGTAATCCCAACACTTTGGGAGGCCAAGGTGGGCGGATCACAAGGTCAAGAGATCGAGATCATCCTGGCCAACATGGTGAAACTCCATCTCTACTAAAAATACAAAAATTAGTTGGGCGTGGTGGTGCGCGCCTGTAGTCCCAGCTACTTGGGAGGCTGAGGCAGGAGAATCCTTGAACCCGGAAGATGCAGGTTGCAGTGAGCCAAGATTGCACCACTGCACTCCAACCTGGAGATAGAGTGAGACTCCATCTCAAAAAAAAAAAAAAAAAAAAAGGACCTCAACCTTAGTCTGAGACAACTTAGGAATATTTGTACCACTCTATCAGGAAAAAAGGAAAAAGAAAAAGAAAAAAGCTGTAGCCTCCAATTCTATTTGGTCGTTCCCGTAGTTATTGTTAGAATACTGATTTATTAATTTTCTTTCTCCATCGGTATATATTAAGCTTGATAGCAATGGCTGAATATGCCATGCAGTTCACAGGTTGGAGAAAATTAACAGCAACGATTGGACAAAATTACAATGGACCCAGAGCAGAAATGACTATCACATGGCGATGGACCTGAGACAAATAAAGAATTTTTTGAAGTTCTCAAGAACTTTGTTTGGATGCAGTAGTCTTAAGGTTACACTGGACTGCCTGTCTAGGGGAAGAAGTGAATACATAGCAAATAATGGCTGCTTCCGGGAAAGGAAAAAAGCACTGGAGAGGGGTAGAGGAACTTGTTAATTCAGACTAATGGGTAAGCAGTCATGTAGTTAACATACGATTTTTTGTACCTTAAAATGTTTTGTACAAAAAACAAACAAACAAAAAAAAACACCTCATAAAATTTTACTTTTGACCCACAGTGTTGAAAATAACACTTATTACTAAACCAAATAATATCGATTCTTTGATAAAAAGTTTATATGAACCATAAATCATGGCCTCTATAAATTGATCCGTTTGATGACAGTAGAAGTTTAAAATATGCTTTTTTTTTGTTTTTGGAAACGGAGTCTCGCTGTGTCGCCCAGGCTGGAGTGCAGTGGCACGATCTCGGCTCACTGCAAGCTCCGCCTCCTGGGTTCATGCCATCCTCCTGCCTCAGCCTCCCAAGTAGCTGGGACTACAGGCACCCGCCACAGTGTCCGGCTATTTTTTTTTTTTTTTTTTTTTGTATTTTTAGTAGAGACGGGGTTTCATTGTGTTAGCCAGGACGGTCTCGATCTCCTGACCTCGTGATCTGCCCACCTTGGCCTCCCAAAGTGCTGGGATTACAGGCGTGAGCCACCGCGCACTGCTTTTATAGCTGTTTCCTCTCTTGTGTTTCTGCCACCACCATGAGAACACCACACTCTAGGATAGCTATTGACCCATTAGCCTGAGTCTCAGAAAGAAGTATCTGGAACAGACCCAAACCATTTCTGCAGCTTACAGCCAGCCCAGCCAAAGTCCAATTGACCCATAAGCCTGTGAGTAAGAAAAACAAATGTCTGCTGTTATAAACCATAGAGATTTTTTAGGTTGTTTGTTATACTGTACCACTGTAACAACAGGTAACCAACACATAAAGGTGTTCTTCGTGATAATTTATTAAACTATATATATATTTTTGGTATGCTTTAATTTCACAAGAAAAATGTTCAAGAATTATAACCATCTTAGTATATAAATGCACTTACTTAAATTCAATGCAATTTAAATGCTGAACTAAACAATTTTCTTTACATTTAGGTATATTCCATCTACGTGTGTAGGTGGACAAGTTTTTTGTATAAGTAGAGAAACTTAAGATGTACTTTGAGTAGACTTGTCCAAAATAGTAAATATTTTAAAAATTAGTAAAGTCTCCATCTTCATTTGGGGAAGAATGGAAACTTAATTGTTAATTTTCCTGCTACTTACTCAAAAAAAGAAAATAATTTACAATTTGGTCTAATTCTAAATGTTACATGGTAAAAGTACTATCAAAATATCACTGAAACTATAGCATATAAAACACTCTAAATGTTCACCTTATGGTAGAGACTGCTACCTATTCACCAAAATCCATTTCTTCTTCATTTTGGAAAACACAGCTAAACTACATTCCTGGCCAGTGGAAAGTGATTTGGGTTACTTCCAGACCTGACCTGTAAACATCTCCTATATGTGCTCCTCAATGCTTTTTGTTCCTTCCTGTTGACCATGAAGGTAAATCCAACATAACCTTGGGTTATATATTTTAAAGAAAACAGAGCAAGAAGACAACCTGGGTCTCTGGTGATTGCTTTATAAGTAAGAGATAAACTGCTATTGTGTTTGCACTATCACATGTTTATGCATCTATTTGTTATAGTATTTAGTATATACATACTCTCCCTATATACGCACTATATAGTAATAACATTACTGTTACTGTAATACAAGATAATTTATCCGCCATTTTAAAAGCAGACCTCAATTACTTTCAAGTTGTTATGAACTACTTGCATTTTTATTGCAAATATGATGAGACAAAACTAAGTTTTAACACAAACAGCATGAGTTCTACATGTTAACTGTGCTTGAAATTAAGATAAAATATAATAAATCATATTCTGTTGACAGCTATGCAAATAAAAGACAGATATAATCATATGGACCCTAATTCTTAAATTAAAATTAGGTTTTCTGACTAGAAAGACACAACCACAAATTTCTAAGATAACTACACAAAAGAGCTGGTCTAACAATCTAAAATGCAATCACATTCTCTTACCATCTGTGCCGCGAGAAAAAGTAACCTGTTGGACTGAAGATGATGAGGCAAACTTGACAGGAGCTTTGCGTAGCTTCTGGTTACCAGGCTCTATAATTTCATGTCCACGATCTTCAGCATTAATAAAAATCTCAGATGAAAATAGGGTCTTTTCTGGACTTTCTGTTGTTATCTGAGTGACTGCATCAGATGACAATTTTTCAGAGAAAGCAGAAAGTGGGGTCTTCATCTTCTCTGGTAATCTGACCAAAAAAGAGAAAGAATACAGCAGATTATATCCTTGGCCATTAGAGACTGAAATCTCTTTCCAAAAGTGGTTTCAAGGAATATTTAAGTAGCTATAGGAATATATTGTGGACACATCAATGTCAAACGTTATTAAGGTAAAATTTCAGCAGTACCCTTTATTTTGTTTGATACAATGTTATCACACATGTTTACTTTTATCTTAAAACCTACTTTTAATTTAGAATGTTAAATTATATAATTTAGTTGAGGAAATGCTATTTTTCAGCTGAATTGAAAATACATTTTTTTAAATTACTAGATGTCCACCATAAATTAGGGGACTGTGCTAAATACACACAGTGTACAAAGATAAACAAGAAACAGAGCATTCTGTCAAGGAGTTCTGGGAGAACTAGGAGTTTTCAAGGTTGCAGTTATATCTTGAGATCATAGGGAATTAATATTAAAACAGAGTGGAGCAAGTAAATAATTGAACACATAAATAATTGGAAAGAAGAAGCAAATTTTGCTTTAAGAAGAAGTCCAGATAACAGATGTGAATACCTCCCACCAAAGAAGGTTAAGCTTAACCTTCCCCTCCTCCTTTGTGTATGCACTGAACTAAGTGACTGGATTTCAAAAAACAGAGTATAAGAAGGAAGAAATAGTAACTTATTTCCATCTTGGAGACACCTAGCAAGCACTGCCTTATCCAAGTGATCAGTTAACATCACCAGTGATGATGTGGATACCACATATGCAACCTAGACAATACCATTCCAGACACAGAAACAGGCAATTTCACGACGAAGACACCAAAAGCAATTGCAACGAAAGCAAAAACTGACAAGTGGGATCTAATTAAACATAAGAGCTTCTGCACAGCAAAAGAAAAATTATCAACAGAGCAAACAGACAACCTATAGAATGGAAGAAAATATTTGCAAACTATGCATCTGATAAAGGTCTAGTATCCAGCATTTACAAGGAACTTAGTGGGCAAAGGACATGACAGACACTTTTTAAAAGAAGATATATATGCAGCCACCACGCATATGAAAAAAGCTCAATATCACTGATTACATAAATGCAAATCAAAACCACAATGAGATACCATTTCACATCAATCAGAATGGCTGTTATAAAAAAGTCAAAATATAACAGATGCTGTCAAGGTTGCAGAGAAAAGGGAGTGGTTATACACTGTTTGTGGGAGTGTAAATTAGTTCAACCATTGTAGAAAGCAGTGTGGCAATTCCTCATAGAGCTAAAACCAGATGCACCATTTGACTCAGCAATCCATTGCTGTGTACATACCCAAAGAAATATATGTCATTCTACCATAAAGACACGTGCACACAAATGTTCATTATAGTACTATTCACAATAACAAAGACATGAATCAACCTAAATGCCCCATAAATGACAGACTGGATAAAGAAAATGTGGTACACTTACACCATAGAATACTATGCAGCCATATAAAAGAACAAGATCATGTCTTTTGCAGAACATGGATGGAGCTGGAGGTCATTATCCTTAGCAAACTAATGCAGGAACAGAAAACCAAATACTGCATCCTCACATTTATAAGTGGGAGCTAAATGATGAGAACTCATGGACACAAAGAGGGGAACAACAGACACTGGGGCCTACTTGAGGGTGGAGGGACAGGGGAGACAAACAGAAAAAAAAAAAAAACTACTGGGTACCACGCTTAGTACCTGGGTGATGACATAATCTGTAAAACAAACCCCCATGACACAAGTTTACCTATAGAACAAATTGGAACATGTACCCCCTGAACCTAAAAGTTTAAAAATAAAAAATAGGTCAGGCGTGGTGGCTCACGCCTGTAATCCCAGTATTTTGGGAGGCTGAGGTGGGTGGATCACCTGAGGTCAAAAGTTCGAGACCAGCCTGGCCAACATGGTGAAACCCCATCTCTACTAATAATACAAAAATTAGCCAGGCGTGGTGGTGCATGCCTGTAATCCCAGCTACTCAGGAGGCTGAGGCAGGAGAATCACTTGAACCCAGCGGGCAGGGGTTGCAATGAACCGAGATTGCGCCATTGCACTCCAACTTGGGCAACAAGAGCAAAACTCTGTCTTCAAAAAAATAAAAATAAAAATAAAATGAAAAAAAAAGATGTTAACAACAGGAGAAGCTAGAAGAGTGGTATAAGGAACTCTACTATACGTGTTTCTTTTTTGTAACTCTAAAATTACTTGAAAATAAGGCCTGGCACAGTGCCTCACATCTGTGATCCCAGTTCTTTGGGAGGCTGAGGCAGGAGGATCACTTGAGCCAAGGAGTTAGAGGTCACCCTGGGCAATGCAGCAAGATCGTCTCTACAAAACATAAAAAAAATAGGCACAGTGGCATGCGCCTATAGTCCCAGCAACTGAGGAGGCTGAGGCAGGAGGACTGCTTGAGACCAAGAGTTCGAGGCAGCAGTGAGCCGTGACTGCACCACTGTACTCCAGAGCCTGGGTAACAGAGCAACACCTTGTCTCTATAAGAAAAAAAAAAAAAAAAAGACTAAAACTTTCAAAAAATCACTTGAAAATAAAGTTTCAAGAAAAGAGAATAATGTCATATTGTATTAGAGTAATATCTAGAATATATCACAAAAGTAGAACTTTTGAGTCTCTACCGTATGTCTACCATTCACTAATTGAAAAGGACAATTATGAGAAAAGAAAAAAAAGGTCAATTTCCCTTTTTTTGGTGGTATGGGAGGCTGGGGGCTGAGTCAGAGTAATAGACTGAAATCTCATTCATACTCATGGCACTATAAGAAACCAAGTCCCACTAGATGGAGAGGCCTGGGACAAACACACATCAGCTCTCCTCCTTAAAACATTTGCCAAATGTTGTACCTGCTTAAGGCAGGGGGCTTAATAACTAATGCTTGAGGGAGAGAACTTTTAAAGGTAAGGAATTAAAGACTCACTAGACTCTCAGTCAAAAGTCAGAAGGGCCAACCCCAATAAAGGGGCTGAGTCAGAAAAACAGTAAAATTATTTGCAAGAGTACTAATGAAATGAATTTCCCTTGAGAAAGTTTAACTGCAAGAAATGCATGACTGTTGTTCCCCTTACAACATTTACCATATTCTAAAGTTGTGAGGGCAAAGAGTCTAAAGAGCTGAGTTCAAACACCTGAAAGCCTCAACTGAGTTCTTACAATATTTAGTTGTTGAAAAACCAAAGATCTGTCAGGCTTAAAGCAAAAATTGTTTTTTGTATTCCATGTCTTTGCTATTGTGAATAGCAATAATATGATATTGATTATATGTGTTTTTTCAGTAGAATGATTTATTTTGTTTTGGGTATATACCCAGTAATGGGACTGCTGAGTTGAATGGTAGTTCTGTTTTAAGCTCTTTAAGGAATCTCCACAGTTTTCCCCAGTGGCTGAACTATGTTATGTTCCCACCAACAGTGTACAAGCCTTCCCTTTCTTCTGCAACCTCACCAACACCTGTTATTTTTTTTACTTTTTATTAATAGACATTCTGACTAACATGAGATGGTATCTCATTGTGGTTTTCATTTGCACTTCTTGAATGATTAGTAATGTGGAACATTTTTTCATATATTTGTTGGCTGCAAGTATGTCTTCTTTTGAGAAGCGTCTGTTCATGTCCTTTGCCCATTTTTTAAATAGGGTTGTTCTTTGCTTGTTGAACTGCTTAAGTTCCTTACAGATTCTGGATATTAGACCTTTGTTGGATGCACAGTTTGCAAATATTTTGTCCCATTCTGTACGTTGTTCATTTACTATGCTGACGGTTTCTTTTGTCGTGAAGAAGTTTTTTATTACTGACTCAATTTCAGAACTCATTATTGGTCTGTTCATGATTTCCATTTCTTCCTGGCTCAATCTTGGGAGATTGTATATTTCCAGGAATTTATCCATTTCTTCTAGGTTTCCTAGTTTGTGTGTGAATAGGTGTTCATAATAGTCTCTGAGTTTGTGTGTGTGTGTGTGTGTGTGTGTGTGTGTGTGTGTATTTCTGTGGAGTCAGTGATAATGTCACCTTTGTCATTTCTGATTGTACTTATTTTGTCTTCTTTTTTCTTTAACAATTTAGTTAGTGGTCTGTCAATCTTGTTTATTCTTTGGAAGAATCAACTTTTGGTTTAGTTAATCTTTTGTATGGATTTTCGCATCTCAATTTCATACAGTTCAGCTCTAATTTTCGTTATTTATTTTCTTCTGTTAGCTTTGGGGTTGGCTTGCTCTTGTTTTTCTAGTCCCTCTAGATGCAAATACCCTCAATCTCTATTATCCTCTTATTTACAATATCCAACACACAAAACATTATGTAACATATGAAGCAGGAAAAAATGATCAAAAATTGAGAGGAAAAAATAGACAAGAAAAACTGATTTACAGGGGATTTAGCTACTAGTTAGCACAAAAAGACTTCAAAATGGTTATTAATATATTGAGAGCAAAAGATAAAGGGAAATAGATAAAATATGGAAAATCTCAACAGAAAACTACAATCTATTAAAAAAAGAAATGAATATTTCAGAATAAAAATACATTATCTAAAATCTGATTCAACTGTAGTAGAAGCAAATAGACACTGTGTAAAAATAATTTGTAAATTCAAAAAGTCTACAGAAAACTGCCAAACATAAAAAGAACGAACGGATGACAGCATAAGAGACTCACGGGGCACAGTCATATAATCCAATACATGTGTAATCTTACTCCTAGGAGAAGAGGGAAGAGTGCAGAAACAATATTTATGAGTTAATGGGTAAGAATTTTCCAAAACAGGTAGAAGACTTAATCTACTGAGTTAAGAAGCTCAGTGAACACAAAGTAATACTAAGAAAAACCAACTCTTGGGGCATCAAAGCCAAACTGCTGAAAATCAAAGGTGCAAAAATAAGAACGACACTTGGCCTTTCAACAAAGATAGTAGCTCTTTAAAGTGCTGAAATAAAAACCTACAATTCTATAACCAACTGAAATACATTTCTTAAACCAAACAAATAAAAACTAAGATAATCCCCAGAAGACTTCAGGAAATACTAAAGGAAATTTTTTAGGCTGAAGGAAAATGATCCAACATAGTACAGAACTGCTAGAAAGAATGCAGAACACTTAAAGGATGTGTGTATGTAAATATATACATGTACATATACATACATACACTCTTGTGTATATATACATATTTTACGTTGCTTTATATTTCTTATATACATATATATGGAAAAGAATGTTGTTTGTTCAAAGCAACAATAATAATGTCCTGTGGGATTCAGAACATGTAGAACAGAAATATATGACAACAAAAGCACAAATAGGAGGAGTGAGTAAATAGAGTTCAACTGTCCTAAGATACTTTGCTGCTCATAAAGCGAAAAAAGTACTAATTTAAGGTAAACTATACAGTCAAGGAAGTATATTATAATCTCTAGAATAACCACTAAAAGAAAAAAAAGTAAAAGAAGCCAATAGAGAAAATAGCATGGAATAAAAATAATTAATTAATCTAAAATAATAGAGGATAGCAAAATCAACTAGCTCAATAATTATATTAAATGTAAATGAACTAAATATCTCAGTTATAAGATAAAGATTAACAGACAAGATTAAAAATGAATAACATTCAACCATATGACATTGACAAGTGATGCACTTTACTGTGAGGTCACAGATAGGTTGAAAGTAAAAGGAGAGAAAAGATATATTAATCACAAAGTAACAAAAAATAAGCTTCCTATTCTCTTTCCCCTCTCCTGTGTTTCTATTCTCCCTTTCTTTTATCTTTCCCATCCCAAACAATACAATCTTAAAACCATTAGGTAGGCAGAACAAGGCGGGAATCTGTAGCAAATGGAGTGACAACGGGCCAGAGCAAGGTATCAGAATCTCATTAGGGTAAGGAAGGTGCCCATGTAAAGAAGTGTCCTAGCACAGAGTATTAGAATTCAAGCAGGGCAAGAAGACAGTCTCTGCAGACGTGTGGCTTAGTGTGCAATAAAAGCACCAAATCAGGATATGGAGGGCTTCCATGAAGAGGGAGGTCCACCAGACATGTGGAGTTAGAGCCCAAGCAGAATGAGGTAGGTGTCTCCACACTGGGGTGGCCTTACATGGAGTGGCAGAGCTGCAGTAGAGAAGGAAAATACCTACACAGAGAGATAGCCTAGGCTGGGAAGTCAGATTTCCTGCAGGATGAGAAGGGTGTCATACAGGGTAAGGGCAGTGTGGTGAGTCACTACTCAAGCAGGGTGACAGGAGTCAGTCTGACCTTGAATGTCAGAACCTGAGTGAGGAGGCTGTCTAAATGGCGTAGCCTGACATCTTGAGTCAAATCCTAAACAAGATGAGGGCATCCAAGTAGAGGGAGACCAATGTGAGGTGTCATGAGCCTATGCAGCATGAGGAAGAAATCCATGTGAGGGGGTAGTTCAGCATGGGGAGTCAGAACCTACGTGGGGTGGGGAGAGTGTCCATACGTTGAGGGTGATGAGCATTCTGACACAGGGAAGTCAGAGACCAAGTAGGGAGGGGTGCTATACATGTTGAGGAGTGGTCTAGCATGGAATGCCAAAGCCCAAGCAGGGTGAAAAGAGCATCCACCCAAGGAGACAGACAATAAAGTGTTTGAATCCAAGTGGAGCGTTAGGGTCATCCTTGCTGGGGAGAGGTTGGCAAGAAATGAGAGAATTCGTTATATAAAGCACACTGGAAGTGAGGTTACTCACTATTAGATATGAAAGTTACAAAAACAAAGAAAAAAGTAAAAAATGAGATGAACATATGGTTTTTAATATATACAGATAGAGAAATAAATATTAATGTAAATAAGTGTAGGGCTGGGAGCAACACATATGCCTAGTGTTTAAATCCTAACCTCTAAATAGCACATTCCACTGGAAGAACAGGCTTCTTGGAGAAGTAGTTGATTCCAGAGCTGGAGAAAGAAAAGTATAAGATGAGCCTGAAATATCTTGTGCCAGAAAGCAAAGACATGATCAAAAGATGACGGGGACATACAAAAAGGATATAGAGCCAGCTTGAAGGGGCTGCCACCGGCCACCAAATCTGTATTTTGAGCATCAAAACAAATTACAATAGTAACAATAAATAGAATAAGAAAACTTGGTTTTGTACAATGTAAAAATTTGCAAGTCTGAAATCTAATAAAGAATTTGTATCCAGAATATATAAAGATTCTCTAAATTCAACAGTAAAAAAAATGCAATTAGAAAATGAGCAAAACAATTTTAATAGAAAACATATAGATAGTAAATGGGCATATTAAAAATGTTCATTGTCAGTAGTAGAGAAATGCAAATTAAAGCAATAATGAGATAACCCCTATATACCAATCAGGAAGGCTAAATTAAAAAAAAAAAAAATCTGACAGTGGACAGGCGTGGTAGCTTACGCCTGTAATCCCAGCACTTTGGGAGGCCAAGGTGGGCAGATCACAAGGTCAGGAGTTCAAGACCAGCCTCACCAATATGGTGAAACCCCATCTCTACTAAAAATATAAAAATTAGCTAGGCGTGGTGGTACGCACCTGTAGTCCCAGCTACTCGGGAGGCTGAGGCAGGAGAATCGCTTGAACCCGGGAGGCAGAGGTTGCAGTGAGCTGAGATCCTGCTACTGAGCTGAGATCATGCTACTGCACTCCAGCCTGGGTGACAGAGTGAGACTCCATCTCAAAAAAATAAAAATATAAAAAATACTGACAGTATAAATGCTGATGAGGATGTGGAGGAACTTGATCTCTCACACATTGTTATTGGAAATGCAAAATGTTATAACCACTCTGGAAAACACTCTGGCAGTTTCCTATAAAATTAAACATATACTTACGTACAACTCAATAATCACACTCCTGGGTCTTAATCCTAGTGCAGTTTCTCAACCTCAGCACTGACATTTTGAAACAATTCTTTGTTGTGGAGGACTGTCTTGTGCATTCTAGGATATTCCACAGCACCTCTATGTTTTATTTACTAGACACCAGTAGCATTTCTTTCCTAGTCATTACAATCAAAAATGTCTTCAGACATTTCCCATGTTCCCTGAGAGGTAAAATCACTCCTAGTTGAGACCCACTGTCATAGAGAAATAAAAAACTTATGGTCATGTAATAACAAGTACATGAGGGATTCCCGGGCAAGATGGCCAAATAGAACAGCTCCAGTCTGCAGCTCCCAGCAAGACCAACGCAGAAGGCAGGTGATTTCTGCATTTCCGACTAAGGTACCCAGTTCATCTCATTGAGACTGGTTAGACAGTGGGTGCAGCCCACAGAGGGTGAGCAGCAGCAGGGTGGGGGTGTCGCCTCATTCGGGAAGCACAACGGGTTGGGGAACTCCCTCCCCTAACCAAGGGAAGCCATGAGGACTGTTCCAGCCCAGATACTAGGCTTTTCCCACAGTCTTCGAAACCCACAGACCAGGAGATTCCCTTGGGTGCCTATACCACCAGGGCCCTGGTTTCAAGCACAAAACTGAGCGGCCATTTGGGCAGACACCGAGATAGTTGCAGGAGTTTTCTTTTCATACTCCAGTGGCGCCTGGAATGCCAGCAAGACAGAACCGTTCACTCCTCTGGAAAGGGGGCTGAAGCCAGGAAGGCAAGTGGTCTAGCTCAGTGGATCCCACCCCCAAGGAGTCCAGCAAGCTAAGATCGACTGGCCTGAAATTCTGACTGCCAGCAGAGCAGCCTGAAGTCGACCTAGGATATTCAAGCTTTGTGAGAGGAGGGGCATCCACCATTACTGAGGCTTGAGTAGGCAGTTTTCCCCTCACAGTGTAAACAAAGCCGCTGGGAATTTCCAACTGGGTGAAGCCCAGACTGCCTCTCTAGATTCCTCCTCTCTGGGCAGGGCATCTCTGAAAGAAAGGCAGCAGCCCCAGTCAGGGGCTTATAGATAAAACTCCCATCTCCCTGGGACAGAGCACCTGGGGGAAGGGGCAGCTGTGGGCACAGCTTCAGCAGACTTAAACGTTCCTGCCTGCCAGCTCTGAATAGAGCAGCAGATCTCCCAGGACAGCCCTCGAGCCCTGCTAAGGGACAGAATGCCTCCACAAGTGGGTCCCTGACCCCCGTGCCTCCTGGTGGGGAGACACCTACCAGCAGGGGTCGACAGACACCTCACACAGGAGAGCCCTGGCTGGCATCTGGCGGGTGCCCCTCTGGGACAAAACTTCAGAGGTAGGAGAAGGCAGCAAACTTTGCTGTTCTGCAGCCTTCATTGGTGATACCCAGGCAAACAGGGTCTGGAGTGGACCCCCAGTAAACTCCAGCAGACCTGCAGCAGAGGGGCCTGACTGTTAGAAGGAAAACTAACAAACAGAAAGCAAAAGCATCAACATCAACAAAAAGAACGACCACGCAAAAACTCCATCTGAAGTTCACCAACAGCAAAGACCAAAGGTAGATAAATCCACAAAGATGAGGAAAAACCAGTGCAAAAAGGCTGAAAATTCCAAAACCAGAATGCCTCTTCTCCTCCAAAGGATCACAACTCTCACCAGCAACAAAACTGGATGGAGAATAAGTTTGACAAATTGACAGAAGTAGGCTTCAGAAGGTGGGTAATAACAAACTTCTCCGAGCTAAAGGAACATGTTCTAACCCAATGCAAGGAAGCTAAGAACATTGATAAAAGGTTAGAGGAATTGCTAACTAGAATAACCAGTTTAGAGATGAACATAAATGACCTGCTGGAGCTGAAAAACACAGCATGAGAAATTCGAGAAGCATACATAAGTATCAATAGCTGAATCGACCAAGTGGAAGAAAGGATATCAGAGACTGAAGATCAACTTCATGAAATAAAGTGTGAAGACAAGAAATATGGGACTATGTGAAAAGACTAAACGTACGTTTGATTGGTGTACCTGAAAGTGACAGGGAGAATGGAACCAAGTTGGAAAACACTCTGCAGGATATTATCCAGGAGAACTTCCCCAACCTAGCAAGACTGACCAACATTCAAATTCAAGAAATACAGAGAACACCACAAAGATACTCCTCAAGAAGAGCAACCCCAAAACACATAATCGTCAGATTCACCAAGGTTGAAATGAAGGAAAAAATATTAAGGGCAGCCAGAGACAAAGGTCAGGTTACCCATAAAGGGAAGCCCATCAGACTAACAGCAGATCTCTTGGCAGAAACCCTACAAGCCAGAAGAGAGTGGGGGCCAACATTCAACATTCTTAAAGAAAAGAATTTTCAACCCAGAATTTCATATCCCGCCAAACTAAGCATCATAAGTGAAGGAGAAATAAAATCCTTTACAGACAGGTAAATGCTGAGGGATTTTGTCACCACCAGGCCTGCCTTACAAGACCTCCTGAAGGAAGCACTAAATATGGCAAGGAAAAACCAGTACCAGTCACTGCAAAAATAATAATAATAATAATAAAATGTAAAGACCATCAACACTATGAAGAAACTACATCAACTAATGGGCAAAATAACCAGCTAGCATCATAATGACAGGATCAAATTCACACCTAACAATAGTAACCTTAAATGTAAATGAGCTAAATGCCCCAATTAAAATGCACAGACTGGCAAACTGGATAAAGAGTCAAGACCCATTGGTGTGCTGTATTCAGGAGACGCATCTCATGTGCAAAGACACACATAGGCTCAAAATAAAGGGATGGAGGGAGATCTACCAAGCAAATGGAAAGCAAAAAATAACAACAACAACAAAACAACAAAAAAAAACAGGGGTTGAAATCCTAGTCTCTGATAAAACAGACTTTAAACCAACAAAGATCAAAAAAGACAAAGAAGAGCATTACATAATGGTAAACGGATCAATGCAACAAGAAGAGCTAACTATCCTAAATATATATGCACCCAATACAAGAGCACCCAGATTCATAAAGCAAGTTCTTAGCGACCTACAAAGAGACTTAGACTCCCACACGGTAATAGTGGGAGACTTTAAAGCCCCATTGTCAATATTAGACAAATCAACGAGACAGAAAATTAACAAGGATATTCAGGACTTGAACTCAGCTCAAGGATATTCAGGAATTGAACTCAGGTCTGGACCAAGCAGACCTAATAGACATCTACAGAACTCTACACCCCAAATCAACAGAATATACATTCTCCTCAGTACTACATAGCACTTATTCTAAAATTGACCACATAATTGGAAGTAAAACACTCCTCAGAAAATGCAGAAGAATGAAAATCATAACAAACAGTCCCTCAGACTACAGTGCAATCAAATTAGAACTCAGGATTAAGAAACTCACTCAGCCGGGTGCGGTGGCTCACATCTGTAACCCCAGCATTTTGGGAGGCCGAGGCGGGTGGATCACAAGGTCAGGAGATCGAGACCATCCTGACTAACACAGTGAAACCCTGTCTCTACTAAAAATACAAAAAGAAATTAGCCAGGCGTGGTGGCAGGCACCTGTAGTCCCAGCTACTTGGGAGGCAGAGGCAGGAGAATGGCGTGAACCCAGGAGGCAGAGCTTGCAGTAAGCCGAGATCGCGCCACTGCACTCCAGCCTGGGCAACAGAGTGAGACTCGGAAAAAAAAAAAAAAAAAGAAGAAGAAGAAAGGAGGGCAGGGTGGAAAGAAAAGAAAAGAAAGGAAAGGAAAGGAAAGGAAAGGGAAAGGGAAAGGAAAGGAAAAGAAAAGAGAAAAGAAAAGAGAAAAGAAAACTCAAAACCGCACAACTACATGGAAACTAAATAACCTGCTCCTGAATGACTACTGGCTAAATAACGAAATCAAGGCAGCAAGAAATAAATTCTGTGAAACCAATGAGAACAAAGGCACAACATACCAGAATCTCTGGGACACATTTAAAGCAGTGTGTAGAGGGAAATTTATAGCACTAAATGCCCACAGGAGAAAGCAGGAAAGATCTAAAATCGACACCCTAACATCACAATTAAAAGAACTAGAGAAGCGAGGGCAAACAAATTCAAAAGCTAGCAGAAGACAAGAAATAGCTAAGATCAGAGCAGAACTGAAGGAAATAGAGACACGAAAAACCCTTCCAAAAAAATCAACGAATTCAGGAGCTGGTTTTTCGAAAAGATTAACAAAATAGATAGACCACTAGCCAGACTAATAAAGAAGAAAAGAGAGAAGAATCAAATAGACACAATAAAAAATGATAAAGGGCAGATCACCACTGATCCCACAGAAATACAAACTACCATCAGAGAATACTGCAAACACCTCTACGCAAATAAACTAGAAAATCTAGAAGAAATGGATAAATTCCTCGACACATACACCCTCCCAAGACTAAACCAGGAAGAAGTCAAATCCCTGAACAGTCCAATGACAAGTTCTGAAATTGAGGCAATAATAGCCTACCAACCAAGAAAAGCCCAGGACCAGATGGATTCACAGCCGAATTCTACCAGAGGTACAAAGAGGAGCTGGTACCATTCCTTCTGAAACTATTCCAAACAATAGAAAAAGAGGGACTCCTCCCTAACTCATTTTATGAGGCCAGCATCATCATGATACCAAAACCTGGCAGAGACACAACAAAAAAGAAAATTTCAGGCCAATATACCTGATAAACATCGATGCAAAAATCCTCAATAAAATACTGGCAAACCTAATCCAGCAGCACATTCAAAAGCTTATCCACCAAGATCAAGTCAGCTTCATCCCTGGGATGTAAGGCTGGTTCAACATACACAAATCAATAAATGTAATCCATCACATAAACAGAACCAATAACAAAAAACCACATGATTATCTCAATAGATGCAGAAAAGGCCTTCGATAAAATTCAACACCCCTTCATGCTAAAAACACTCAATAAACTAGGTATTGATGGAACATGTCTCAAAAAAATAAGAGCTATTTGTGACAAACCCACAGCCAATATCATACTGAATGGGCAAAAGCTGGAAACATTCCCTTTGAAAACCGACACAATGCAAGGATGGCCTCTCACCACTGCTATTCAACACAGTATTGGAAGTTCTGGCCAGGGCAATCGGGCAAGGGAAAGAAATAAAGGGTATTCAAATAGGAAGAGAGGAAGTCAAATTATCTCTGTTTGCAGATGACACGATTGTATATTTAGAGAACCCCATCATCTCAGCCCAAAAACTCCTTAAGCTGATAGGCAACTTCAGCAAAGTCTCAGGATACAAAATCAATGTGCAAAAATCACAAGCATTCTTATACACCAATAATAGAGAGCCAAATCACGAGCAAACTCCCATTCACAATTGCTACAAAGAGAATAAAATACCTAGGAATACAACATTCAATGGATGTGAAGGATGTCTTCAAGGAGACCTACAAACCACTGCTCAAGGAAATAAGAGAGGACACAAACAAATGGAAAAACATTCCATGCTCATGGATAGGAAGAATCAATATTGTGAAATGGCCATACTGTCCAAAGTAATTTATAGATTCAATGCTATCCTCATCAAGCTACCATTGACTTTCTTCACAGAATTAGAAAAAACTACTTTAAAGTTCATATGGAACCAAAAAAGAGCCCGTATAGCCACAACAATCCTAAGCAAAAAGAACAAAGCTGGAGGCATCATGCTACCTGACTTCAAACTATACTACAAGGCTACGGGAACCAAAACAGCATGGTACTGGTACCAAAACAGATACATAGACCAATGGAACAGAGCAGGGGCTTCAGAAATAACACCACACATCTACAACCATCTGATCTTTGACAAACCTGACAAAAGCAATGGAGAAAGGATTCCCTATTTAATAAATAGTGCTGGGAAAACTGACTAGCCATATGCAGAAAAGTGAAACTGGATCCCTTCCTTACACCTTATACAAAAATTAACTCAAGATGGATTAAAGACTTAAATGTAAGACCTAAAACCATAAAAACCCTACAAAAAAACCTAGGCAATACCATTCAGGACATAGGCATGGGCAAAGGTTTCATGACTAAAACACCAAAAGCAATGGCAACAAAAGCCAAACTTGACAAATTAGATCTAATTAAACTAAAGAGCTTCTGCACAGCAAAAGAAACTATCATTAGAGTAAACAGGCAACCTCCAGAATGGTAGAAAATTTTGCAGTCTATCCATCTGAAAAAGGGCTGAGATCCACATAACTGGAAGTAAAACACTCCTCAGCAAATGCAAAAGAACAAAAATCAAGGAAACTTAATTTACTTAAGAATGAAAACAAGGAACTTAAACAAATGTACAAGAAAAAAACAAACAACCCCATCAAAAAGTGGGCGAAGGATATAAACAGACACTTTTCAAAAGAAGACATTTATGCAGCCAACAAACATGAAAAAAAGCTCATCATCACTGGTCATTAGAGAAATGCAAATCAAAACCACACTGAGATACCATCTCACACCAGTTAGAATGGCAATCATTAAAAAGTTGGGAAACAACAGATGCTGGAGAGGATGTGGAGAAACAAGAATGCTTTTATGCTGTTGGTGGAAGTGTAAATTAGTTCAACCATTGTGGAAGACAGTGTGGTGATTCCTCAAGGATTTAGAACTAGAATACCATTTGACCAGCAATCCCATTACTGGGTATATACCCCAACGATTATAAATCATTCTACTATAAAGACACATGCACATGTATGTTTACTGCAGCATTATTCACAATAACAAAGACTTAGAACCAACCCAAATCCCTATCAATATTAGACTGGATAAAGAAAATGTGGCACATATATACCATGGAATACTATGCAGCCATAAAAAAGAATGAGTTCATGTCCTTTGGAGGGACATGGATGAAGCTGGAAACCATCATTCTCAGCAAACTAACACAGGAATAGAAAACCAAACACTCCATGTTCTCACTCATAAGTGGGAGTTGAGAATATATGGGCACAGGGAGGGGAACATCACACACTGGGGCCTGTTGTGGGGTAGGAAGCAAGGGGAGAGATAACATTAGGAGAAATACGTAATGTAGATGACGAGTTGATGGGTGCAGCAAACCACCATGGCACATGTATACCTATGTAACAAACCTGAACATTCAGCACATGTATTCCAAAACTTAAAGTATAAAAAAAAAAGTACATGAATGTTCATAACAGCTTTATTAGTAATAAGCATTGGAAACAATGTCCTTCAACAGGTGAATGGATAAACATACTGTATAAATTCCAAATAATGGAATGCTGACCAATACAAAGAAATTAACTACTGATACACACAAGTTGAATGGATCTCCAGGTGAGTATGCTGAGTAAGAAGAACACATCTCAAAGTTTACATGTTATGTTCCATCTATGTAACATGTTGGATTCCATCTATATAACTTCTCAAAATGACAAAATTATACAGTAGAAAAACAGATCACTGGCTTTCAGGGGTTAAAGAAGGCTGGCTTGAGGGAACAGGGTGTGACTAGAAAAGGGAAGGCACAAGGGAATTCCTTCACAGTGACAGAGCACTTCTGTATCTTGATTATGATGGCGGTTACATAAAGCTATACATGTGTTTAAATTTTACAGAATTACACATATATGCATTAGAATAACTGAGTGCATGCAAAAACTTGTGAAATCTGATTAGCGTCTGTAGTCCACTTGACTGTATTGTGCCAATATCAATTTACTGGTTTTGATAATGCATTATAGTTATGTAAGGACATTATCAATGGGGAAGCTGAGTGGGGACCTCCCTTGGCTATTTTTGTAACCTCTTGTGAGTCACATATTTTTCTTGTGAGTCTATATGTATTTTCAAATAACAAGTTAAAAAGAAAAAAGGTAGAAATTGATCATAACTCACTGAATAAAATAAGGAAGATTCTGTACAGATACAAATTAATAAGTAAGTTTGCTGATGAATAAGATGTTTACATAATTTAAACATACCTTCCATAAAACACTTAATTACAAAAGGGAAAAGAGTATCTTGTTTGGGGTATTAAGGTGCCTAAGAGCTTTCATGCCTACTGTGGGATGAAAAGGTACCTAACAGCCACAACCTTATTGAGTTTTAAAATGATAAAGGCACCTAACAGCCACAACTTTATTGAGTTTTAAAGTGATAAAGAGGACATGGAAAAATAGGAACACTTTTACACTGTTGGTGGGACTGTAAACTAGTTCAACCATTGTGGAAGTCAGTGTGGCGATTCCTCAGGGATCTAGAACTAGAAATACCATTTGACCCAGCCATCCCATTACTGGCTATATACCCAAAGGATTATAAATCATTCTACTATAAAGACACATGCACACGTATGTTTATTGCGGCACTATTCACAACAGCAAAGACTTGGAACCAACCCAAATGTCCAACAACGATAGACTGGATTAAGAAAATGTGCCACATATACACCATGGAATACTATGCAGCCATAAAAAATGATGAGTTCATGTCCTTTGTAGGGACATGGATAAAATTGGAAATCATCATTCTCAGTAAACTATAGCAAGAACAAAAAACCAAACACTGCATATTCTCACTCATAGGTGGGAATTGAACAATGAGAACACATGGACACAGGAAGGGGAACATCACACTCTGGGGACTGTTGTGGGGTCGGGGAAGGGGGGAGGGATAGCATTAGGAGATATACCTAATGCTAAATGACGAGTTAATGGGTGCAGCACACCAGCATGGCACATGTATACACATGTAACTAACCTGCACATTGTGCACATGTACCCTAAAACTTAAAGTGTTATAAAAAAATAAAAATAAAAAAAAAGACATTACTGGGAGAACTGGAGAAATCTAAATAATGTCTGTAATGCACTAGTATGAATTTCCTAATTCTCATGGTTTTATTGTGGTCCTATAGGAGAATGTCCTTTTATAGGAAATGAGACTATATTACACGAAAGTGATTGTGCAGCAGGTCAACAACGTATTCCCAAATAACTAAGGAGAAAGAGAAGTTCCTTGTGCCATATTTACCTTTTCTATAACTTTGTTATTGTTCCCCTCCCCACAAAATACTCCAAAGAAGATCTAAAGGAGAAACAGAAAACACACAAACATAACTGGAGATGTATGCTGTTTTCAAATGCTGATTAAACAAGCAGATAAAAATTCAGTAAAGATGACAATTTCAACAATACAGTTGATCAACTGGACCAATGTAATTCACTACATCAGTAGAAAAAAGGAGAAAACATGTATGATCATATCCATAGATCAGGAAAAACATCTGAAAAATTAAACACCCATTCATGATAAAACTCACTTAGAAAACATCCTCAAGCTGATAAAAGGCACCCATTAAAAATCTACAGGTAATATTAAACTTAATGACAAAACACTACTCTACTCTCCTGCCCTCCAGGAATAGGGAACAGGGCAAGATGTCTGCTTTTACTACTTGTTTTGGTATCATATTCAATGTTCTAGCCAGTGCATTAAGCAAGAAAAAGAAATAAAAGGCATGAGAACTGCAAAGGAAGGAGTAAAACTGCTCTGTTCTCTGGTGAAATGATTATGTATGAAGAATAGACTTTATACCTGAGGATCCCAGTAAATTTAAAGAAGAAACTCTTGAAATCTTAGAGGAGTTACTGAACATAAAACAGAGAACAAATAGATATATGTCAACCACTGGAACTTTTGCCTTGTATAAATTCTCTACAGCACTCATTGCCCTAAAACATCCCACAGTAGGCATGAAAGCTCTGACCCAAAGAATAATAAATTAAAATTAAAATTAACTTGTTGGGACCTACAAATTGGCATGACAACAGTATTTCTATATATAAGCAATGAACAATGAGAAAACTTAAATTTTAAAATGCCATATACCATAGTATATTAACTACTTAGGAATATATTTAGTAGATGTGTAAAATCTACACAACGAAAATTACAATATGTCACCGGGGGACATTAAAGATGACTTAAATAAGTGGGGAAGAAAAATCTCACCATGTTCATGCATAGGAAGACTGAAAATTCAAATGTCAATCTACAAAATTGATCTACAGATTCCATACAATCCCCAAAAAAATCCCAGTATGCTTATTCTAAAATTTGTATGAAAATGCAAAGGACTTGAAATAGCAAAAATAATTTTGAAAACAAAAACAAGGTTGGAGGACATAACCTGATTTCAAGACTTACTATAAAGCTACAGTAATCAAGACATTGTGGTACTGGTGTAAAGATAAATAAAAAGAACAAAGAAACAGAGTAGAAACTCTAAAACTTACACATATAAGGCCAACTAATTTTGACCAAGGTTCCAACTAACTTCAATAAGGAAATAATCATTTTTGAAAAGTGGTGCTAGAATATTCCTAGGAAAGAAAATGATCCTCAACTGCATAACTTACACCACAAAGGAGAATTTGGAAACAGATCACAGACTTGATCACAAAGTTAAGACCATAACATTTCTACATGAAAATACAGGAGAAAACTTTTACAACACTTGATTAGGCAACATTTCTTAATCAGGACACAAAAAAGTACTAATCATTAAAAAAAAATTACCAAAGTGGAATTCATCAAAATTAAAGCTTTCTGTTCCCCAGAGACACCATTAAGAAAACAAAAATCACACCACAGACTATGAGAAAATATTCACAATACACAGAGGATTTGTATCTGGAATATATTATAAAAATTCCTATAATACTGAGACAAATAATCCAATGGATAAAAGTGAACAGATACTTCATAAATAAAATCATGCAAATGGGCAAGAGACACAGAAAAGATGCTCAGCATCATTAGTCATCATGGAAATACAAATTAAAATTACAATACCATACTGTTTCATACTCACATTTAGAATGAGTGAAATTAAAAATAACTGTTAATACCCAGTGTTGGCAAGGATGTGGAATAACTGAAACTCACATATGCAGTTAATGGGAACAAAAAACAGTAGAAGTGGTTCCAGTTCCAGGTTAGCGTATCTAATCCTAGATGAGATGAGCTATAAAACCTAGATAGACTACATGGAGCAGCTATTGGAAGACTGTGGAAAATAACAGAAGCAGGCAGATTGAAGATCATAAAATCTGAAATATCATCAAAATGGTAATGAGTTTGCCATCATTTTTGTTTCCTCTGTCATTCCTTGGCCTGAACTCAATATAGCCTGAAACCTAAAAGTGGATATTAGCATAGAGAGAAAGACTTCACAGCGAAGCCTTCTAGTTCAGGCTTCAGGAATGAAAGAAGGGTCTCCCAACACTCTATATAGAGTGTGGAATCCCCTTTTTCCTTATCTCTGTATATTAGTCATAGCATCCCAGTAATCTCATGGTGGCAATGGTACAAGCAGTAACAGAGGCTGGCAGGAGCCTAAAGTTCTGAAGAAGGGAAACCTTCAACTTACACCAAAGGAAATGTGGTCTCAAGAGTGACCACTCCTGGTTGGCTTTTTCTCCTTCTGTCCTGTGCCACTCAGCCCTGACACAATGTAGTCACAGAAAGTACATAGAAAAGGGATAAAAGTACCTAGAAAAGGGCCACTAGGCACACACACAGACAACAGATGTGAACAGCACTGCAAAATCTTTGAAAACTGAATGGACTTGGAACAACAACCTACAGAAGGCTGGCTGGAATTTTTAACCTGAAACTAGTTGGGTCATTGTCTGCTAAAACAAAAACATCAACATTCTCTATGGCATTTAAACAAGACTTGTCATTTCATAACACGTCATTATGAAATACAATCCAAAATTATTCATCATATTTAGAACCAGAAAAATCTCAGCTCAAATGGTGTCTTAGTCTGTTTGCACTGCTATTAAGGAATACTTGAGGCTGGGTAATTTACCAAGTAAAAAGGTTTGTTTGGCTCACAGTTCTGCAGGCTGTGTAAGAAGCATGGGACCAGCATCTGCTTCTGGTGAGGAACTCAGGAAGCTTCCAATCACAGCAGAAGTGTAAGGGGAGAGCCCACATCACACGGGAAGAGAAAAGAAGTGGAAGGTGGGGAGGAGGGGAGTCATTCTTTTTTAAACAACCAGCTCTTGGGTGAACTACGAGCCAGAACTCACTCATTACCACAGGGAGGTCACTGAGCCATTCATGAGGGATCTGCCCCCATAACCCAAACATCTCTCTTTAGGTCCCACCTCTAATGCTGGGGATCAAATTTCAATATGAGATTTTGAAGAGACAAATATAAAAACTAAATCACATGGGAACAGACACCAAGGCTAGGATAAAAGAGATATCAGAATTCCCTGACAAAAACTATAAAACAGCAGAAATAAATGAAAACTGGATACTTACATGCAGAAGAATGAAGCTAGAACTCTATATCTTTCGCCATATACAAAAATCAAATCAAAATGGATTAAAAACTTAAACCTAAGACCTCAAATCATGAAACTACTACAGAAAAACATGAGGGAAAATCTTTAGGATATTGGTCTGGGCAAAAATTTCTTGAGCAATACCCCACAAGCACAGGTAACCAAAGCGAAAATGGACAAATGGGATCACATCAAATTAAAAAGCTTCTTTACAGCAAAGGGTACAATCAATAAAGTGAAGAAGACAACCTACAGAATGGAAGAGAATATCTGCAAACTACCCATCTCACAAGGGATTAATAACCAGAATACATAAAGAGCTCAAACAATTCCATAGGAAAAAATCTAATAATCCAATCAAAACACTAAAACTAAAAACTACAATGAGATATCATCTCACCCCAGTTAAAATGGCTTATATGGAAAAGACAGGCAATAACAAATGCTGGTGAAGACGTGGAGAAAAGGGAACCCTTGTATACTATTGCTTGGAATGTAAATTAGTGCAATTGCTAAGGAGAATAGTTTGGAGGTTCCTTAAAAAAACTAAAAACTGAGCTACAATATGATCCAGCAATCCCACTGCTGAGTATATACCCAAAAGAAAGGAAATCAGTATATGGAAGACTGATTTTGTTACTCAAAAGCAATCTACAGTTTCAATGCAATCCCATGTTTGTTGCAGCAGTGTTTGTGGTAAGCTAAGATTCGGAAGCAGCCTATGTGTCCATCAATAGATGGGTAAGAAAATGTGGTACATATACACAGTGGAGTACTATTCAGACATAGAAAATGATGAGATCCAGTCATTTACAACAATATGGATGGAACTAGAGATCATTACGTTAAATGAAATAAACCAGGCATAAAAAGACAAACACTGCATGTTGTCACTTATTTGTGGAATCTAAAAATCCAAACAATTGAACTCATGGACATAGAGAGTAGAAGGATGGTTACCAGAGGCTGAGAAAGGTAGTGAGGGGTTTGGGGAGAGATGGGGATGGTTAATGGGCACACACACACACACACACAAAATAGAAAGAATGAATAAGACCTACTATGTAACACAAAAGGGTGACTATAGTAAATAATGACTGTACATTTTAAAATAACTTAGTGTAATTGCATTGTTTGCAACTCAATGGATAAAAATGCTTGAAGGGATGTACCCCATTCTTCACAATGTCCTTATTTCACACTGCATGCTTGTATCAAACATCTCATGTACCCATAAACATATACACCTACTATGTACCAATGAAAATTAAAAAGAAAAAAAAAAAGAAATTTCTACAGCCACCTCAATCTTTAGCAATCACCACCCAGAGCAGTTAGCAGCCACCAACATCAAGGTAAGACTGCCACCAGCAAAAAGTAACTCACTGAAGGTTCAAATAATTGTTAGCATTTTTAAACAATAAAGAATTTTTAAATTAAGGTATGTACTTTTTTTAGACATGACACTATTATACACTTAATAGAGTACAGTATAGTGTAAACATCACTTGTATTATCACTGGGAAACCAAAAAATTCATGTGATCGGCTTTATTGCAGTGGTCTGGAACTGAACCTGCAATATATCTGAGGTATGCCTGTAAACCTATAGGCTTAAAAAAACTCAGCAAACCCCAAACAAGATGTACCAAAGAAATCTATACCTAGAAAAAGAAGACATTAAAAAGACACGTGCACACACTTGTACAGCAGCACAATTTGCAACTGCAAAGACATAAAAACCTAAATGCCCATCAACCAATGAGTAGATAAAGAAAATGTGGTATATATACACCACGGAATACTACTCAGCCATAAAAAGGAATGAAATAATGTCTTTTGCAGTAACTTTGATGGAGCTGGAGGCCATTATTCTAAGTGAAGTAACTCATAAAAACCTAAGTGCCCATCAACCAACGACAATTTTTAAATTAAGGTAGGTACATTTTTTTAGACATAACGCTATTATACACTTCATAGAGTACAGTATAGTGTTAACATAACTTGTACATGCACTGGGAAGCCAAAAAATTTAGGTGACCGGCTTTATTGCAGTGGTCTGGAACTGAACCTGCAATATATCTGAGGTATGCCTGTAAACCTATGGGCTTAAAAAAACTACATATTGGGTATGGTGTGCATACTACTCGGGTGATGGGTGCACTAAAATCTCAGAAATCACCACTAAAGAACTTATCCATGTAACCAAAACAACCTTTATCCCAAAAACTACTGAAATGAAAATTTAAAAATTAAAAAAAAGAAGAAACCCATATCTAGAAGCATAATCAATGTGCTGGAAAAAAATTAAAATAATCAGAGAAAAATAACACATTGTTCTTACATAGAAAACAATGACTCAAATGACTATGAATTTTTTGCCAGAAACCATGGAATCCAGAAGGAAGGAGCATATTTTTTAAGTGCTGAAAGGAAAGTATTGCCAACCCAATCACACGATCCATTTAAAAATCAATTAATTGGACTTGATCAAAAGGAAACACCTTTGTTTTTTGAAAGCCTTTTTTAAGAGGATAAGAAGACAAGTCGCATACTGTGAAGAGATATTTGCAAATAACATATCCAGAAAAGACTCGTATCCAGAATATATTAAGAACTCTCAAAACTCACCAATAAGAAAGCAAACAACCCTATTTAAAAAGCACTTCACCGAAGAGGATGGCAAATAAGCTCTTGAAACGGTGTTCATAATAATTAGCCATTAAGGAAGGACATGCAAATTAAAACTATGTTGAGATACCACTGTACAACTATAAAAATGGCTAAAATATATTGACAATTTACACATCGGTGAGGATGTGGAGTAACTAGAATGCTCACCCATTGCTAGCAGGAATGCAAAATGATACAGACACTCTGAAAAACCAGTATTAGTTTAGCTCTGAATAATTCTTACAAAGTTAAATATACACCTGTACCATATAACTCAGGAATCCTCTTTCTTAGTATTTACTGTAGAGAAACAAAAACCTGTATATAAATGTTTACAGCAGTTCTAATTTTAATGGTCCCAAACTAGAAACAACTCAAATATCCTTCAGTGAGTGAATGGATAAACAAACTCAATTACAATAAAATATTACTGCATTTAATAAAGCAATAAAAAAGCACTACTGATCCACACAAGATGGATGTGTCAAATGCATTTTGCAAAGTAAAAAATTCAGACCCAAAAGGCTGTTACATATTTTATGATTCCATTTGTGTGACACTCTAGAAAGGCAAAACTCTAAGGAAGAATACAGACCAGGGACTGCCAGGGGTGAGGGATCAGAGGAAAGACTGTCTCCAAAGGAACGGCATAGGGGAATTTGGGGATTGATGGAACTGCTCATATGAAACTGTAGCAATGGATAGAATTGTAAAGCACAGAAAGTGAAATTTATAAGTACGGAAATTTTCAAAGGTGAACCAGGATATGAGGCAAAGATGGAATGCAGAATGTGACTAATGAATCTATATTATAAATGAATCACGTACTCATACTGAAGAATATGGGGAAGGGAGATGCTGACTTAAGAAACTTTAGCAAACAGCATTTTTGTCTAGATATTTTAATGATAACTTCGAAACTGCAGATAAACACTGTACTCTAGATGCAGAATTTGTTTTTCATGTGGGTAGGGGCTATGAATTCTGAAACTATTTATATATTAGGGTAAATATATTACAGATAATGAGAGCCAGTTTTATCGCTATTAGAGACAGAAGTTACAAATAAAGAAAGGGGAAAGGCTAGAATCAACCTTGTGGATCTGTACTAGAGTCAGAGGTATCAATATGGACACATGATTTAAAACACACACACACGTTAAAAGATACAGATATGAGTATACACATAAATTTACAAATCTACCTATATTTCTTAGCTTTATTCACTGAGAAAGGCTAGACACAGCAACATCCCACCAGCAATGAGCATGCCAGGTCCTTACATCTTGCTTTCTAAATACTGTACTCCTTCCTCCCTTCAAAAATAAGAGGGTTTTTTGGCTGGGCATGGTGGCTCACGTCTGTAATCACAGCATTTTGGGAGGCCGAGGTGGGCAGATCACCTGAGGTCAGGAGTTCAAGACCAGCCTGGCCAACATGGTGAAACCCTGTCTCTACTAAAAATACAGAAAATTAGCTGGGTTTGGTGGTGCAGACCTGTAATCCCAGCTACTCTGGAGGCTGAGGCAGGTGAATTGCTTGAACCCGGGAGGTGGAGGTTGCAGTGAGCCAAGATCACGCCACTGCACTCCAGCCTGGGTGACAGAGCAAGACTCCGGCTCAAAAAGAAAGAAAACAACAACAACAACAACAATAAAAAGAGGGATTTTTAATGAAACAGTTGATTCCAGCTCTGGGGCAGGGTACAGGAGCCAACCTAAAAGTGCTCTAAAGAGCTAAAAAGAGAACTTGAGCAACAAAACAGTAATGGTAGCATTGGATTATAATCCAAATAATGAAATAAACACTAATGAGTCTACAGTAATGTAAATAAATAACCTAGGGCGGAATAAATGAGGGAAGAACAATTCTCCTTACAGAAGAATTCCAATTAACAAATGTAAAAGAGATGACAGACATAAAAAAATTAAAACACCAGAGTAATAACTGCTACAGCCAAGATCCACTCATGAATGCTAAAATTAGTAGTCAAAGTTTAAGCAGAAACAGGTTATTTGTATAGTCTAACAAAATCTCCCTCAAATGTTTAGTATCTCCAAAGGAAAAACAATAACCTTACAGTGGAGAATCCTAGCAGATACCACTTTAGCCAAGTGATCAAGGTTAACATCACCAGTAATGTATATCAACATAATGTGCTCTCTGTTGTGACGTGTTGAGAATGCATAACCCTAATCTAACCTTGAACCATCAAACAATGCTAAATTGAAGAAGCTTCTTCAAAATAACTGATTAGCACTCTTCAAAGCGTCAAGGTCATGAAAGACAAAAAAAGACTGGGAAACTGTCATAGATTGGAGGAGTCTAAGACATGACAACTAAAATGCAAGACGGAATCCTGGGTTGGATCTGAAACAAAAAAGGTTCATTTGTGGAAAAACCTGGTGAAATCAATGTTAGACTATATAGTTTTACACCAATAATAATTTCTTATTTTGATAAATATTTTATGGTTATGATGTTACGGTAAGATGTTAACATAAATGGAAGCTTCAGTAAAGGTTACATGGACAACCTCTAACATATCCCCCAATGACATCTACCTCCTGGTATTCAGGACCTTGTGGAATTCCCAACCCTTGGGTGAGAGCTTTAGACAGTGACTCATTTCTACTGAAGAGAATGTGGCAGAGGTGACGAGATGACACATCCAAGGGTAGGTTACAAAAAGACTGTGGCTTTTGTTTTGGGCACCCTCTCTTGCCCTCTCACTGCCTCACTAAGGGAAGCTTAGGTGTCATATTATGAGTGCCTTATAGAATCAAAAAGCCCATGTCTCTGGCCAAAGCCATGGCCATGTGAGTGAGGCTGGAAGCATATCCTCTCAGGCAAGCCCTGTGATGAGACCACATTTGCAGCCAATACCTTGTTTGCAACGTTCTGAGACAACCTAAGCCAGAAGTACCCAAATAAGCTACATTTAGATTTCTGACCTACATAAATTTTCACGTTTATTAAGTTGCTATATTTCAGGGTAACATGATACACAGCAATAGATAATACAGAAACTCTCTGTGCTATTTCTGCAACTCCTAAGTCTAAAATTATCTCAAAATGAAAAAGTTTGAATATATTTTATACACATATACTTTATAAATATTTTATACATACATACTTTATAAATTTTTTTTTTGAGGCAGAGTCTCGCTTTGTTGCCAGGCTGGAGTGCAGTGGTGCAATCTTGGCTCACTGCAGCCTCCGCCTCCCAGGTTCAAGCGATTCTCCTGCCTTAGCCTCCTGAGTAGCTGGGATTACAAGCATGTGCCACCATGCCCAGCTAATTTTGTATTTTTAGTAGAGATGGGGCTTCTCCATGTTGATCATGCTGGTCTCAAATTCTCAACCTCAGGTGATCCGCCCACCTTGGCCTCCCAAAGTGCTGGGATTACAGGTGTGAGCCACCGCACCCAGCCCTTTATAAATATTTTATAAGGTATTATATATATATTTACTTATATATATATGTTTTATGCATCTGTGTGTGTGTGTGTGTGTGTGTGTGTGTGTAGTTTGCCTTATTTATGGACTGTGGAGTTTGATAAACCTAGGTTCAAATGCCACCTCCAATGCTCAATGGCCATGTGATCTTGGGCAAAATATTTTCTCTAAGTCTCAGGTTTTTTAAATCCACAACTGAGGTAATAATATCTATTTCTGATTATTACACTAAGTATAATATAAGCATCCACTACAAACGTACACCCTGAACAAATGGCATTATTGTTAGTTCATATATATAATCATCTATTACTTTCTTCTCATTCATAGCTTTATCTCATTTTTAAGGTATTCAGTACAATACCTTAGCATTTAACCTTTGAAGAGTTTAAAAATTGTATATGAAATTGTCAATGTTTTAATTTCTAAACTTTTTTTTTTTTTTTTAAGTATCAATACTGACCAGCCTTGCCAACATGGCAAAACCTCGTCTCTACTAAAAATACAAAAATTAGCCAGGCATGGTGGTGCACGCCTGTGGTCCCAGCTATTCAGGTGGCTGAGGCGGGACGGGAACCCAGGGGGCGGAGGTTTCAGTGAACCAAGATCACATCACTGTACTCTGGCCTGGGTGACAGAGCGAGACTCTGTCTCAAAGAAAAAAATTTTAAAGGTATCATTACTGATCTCTATGGCACTCTACTATTTTTAACATTGAAATCAGAGATTGACCTTGTTTTTTTGCCCCAATCTATTATCTCAATCCCTAACTTTTAGAGCTATAAGGGACTTTTCAGCATTCCAACCCTTTCCTTCTACATATGAGTGCCAAGGATATTAAATCAGTTGTCCAGCATCATGGTTGGAAGTGTTGGAATTAGGGTTCAAATTCTAGGACAGAGTACTGTGTAGAGGAACAAATCCTTACTCTGATTAAACAGAATGCATTTGAATGCTCTTTCTCTTGCCCACAAACAACATCTTTTGGCACAAAAGATTTCCCAGTAGGAAAATAGAGATATCATCACCTGCTTCATAGGATCATGATGAGAACTAAGTAGGATAGCATATCTAAGTTCCTTATTGCCATGACTACTACCACATGTAGATTATGAATAAACATTTCTTTCTTCCTCCTTTCCAAGCCTAGCGCTCTCCACTGTGGTACGATGCCTCTTCAACTATAAGGTAAAATACTAAACATACAGGTAGTTCTGCTTCACCATATCATAAGAGGCTCATTAAGTAAAACTGAATTAATGGCAATGTGCTAAAATTGGGCTGAATAATATAAATCTAACGAACTTATCCCTGAATTGGGTTTCCTTTCCTACAATACTCTATGAGGTGGGGCATCATATCAGGGAGCACATTATGTTGACAGATGTTTTACTGGCGATGCTAATCTTCATCATTTGACTAAACTGGTATCTGCCAGGATTTTCCACTGTAAAGCCACTTTCTTTGTAAATACTAAATATTTGAGGGAAGTCATGAAATGGAACCAGAGAGCTGGAGAAGAGAGAGAGAGAGGGAGAGCGGGAGAGAGAGTGACCAAGCACCCATGTATGTGTGTGCAACCTCCAAAGGAGATCTTCAGCATATGTCCAACACAGTAAATAAATTCGTAATTGTATCATTGGATGATCAAAGATTCTTTTCAAGGTCATTCAATTTTTAAAAACACTTGATGTCAAGTCTTGCCAAAAGCCCTCTGAAATATAAATGCATTACTGTCACATGTTCTCTCTTACTTAACACATTTATTCCTTGAAAGACTTCTAGTAATTAGCCAGACACAACCTCCACTCAGAGAAATCACACGGCCTTTCCCCCAAGAACCGATATCTACTTAAGTATTTGAAACCCTTTATTACAAAGTCCATCCAGCTTGCTTGTTATCACAATGAGACTCACCGATCTGCAAATACTGGGGTCCCCTCTGGATTGGAATGTCCTTCGAAATCTGAAATGTTCACTTGTATTTGCCTGGAGGTTACTATCTGGCTATTCTGAGAAGGTATGGTTTTCAAGTCCTGAGTAATAGTGTTACTGTCTGGAAGAGAAGGCTGTACGACTTGGAAATCCAGTGAAGATTTAGGTCCTAGAAAACCTAAAGATTCTTGATCCTGTGCTACAGGTTTACTGGTCAATAATTTGGAGGTTGGTTCCAGTGATCTCGAAGATACAGTATGTAAGTCAAAGTTAAACTCACTATTCATCCTCGCTTTAGAAGCAGCATCCAATGAATGGAATCTTTCATCTAAAGTTCCACTATCCAACTTGGAAGAAGTCTTGGGACAAAGAGTTATATGAACACAAGAAAGTGCTTTTCTATTTGAAGGAGGAGTAGATGCAGATGCTGCTAATGTACAGTGATTTGGGGCTGACTGGGAGACCACAGTATTGAACTTGGCTTCAACATTTATATTAGAAATGTGTGATTTAGGCTTATGTTGATTATTCTTTTCCACTACACAATCCTGACCTTGAGGAAGGGGAAAATGGTGTTTATTCATTTGGTCATCTACACCTGGCGCTTTGCTTTGGCATTGTTCAAGAGAAATGGGAGACGGAAGGTCTGAAGCTATAGAATCCTGACCTTGAGGAAGGGGAGAATGGTTTTCTCTCATTTGATGATCTACATATGGGGCTTTGCACTGTTCAAAGAGTTCTCGTTGTTCAAGAAAAATGCAAGAAGGAAGGTCTGGAGCTACATAATCCTGATGTTGAGGAGAGGGAGAATGGTGTTTCCTCACATGGTCATCTGCACGTGGGGCTTTGCTTTGTTCAAAGAGCTCTCGTTGTTCAAGAAAAATGCAAGAAGGAAGATCTGGAGTTATAGTTACATTCTTCTCTTTTACTCCTAGTCTGGAACTCGATCTGTTTACTCCTAGGGTGGAACTTGGTCTGCCCATGCTAATAAGGGTATGGTTATCAGAAATCTGAATTTCCTTGAAATTGCTACAATTTGCCCTGGTACTGGGCTCAGAATGACTGCCTGTAAAATCTGATCTTTCTAAGGGTTTTTCTTCTTGAAAAGAACGCTCAAAATCAACAGGTAATTTTTGGCTTTGCCTTCTACCTTCTGCTAAAATAGTCACTTCTTTATCTTGTGAATTACTATGCATTTTAAATGATGAAGGGGAAGAGGTTTTCTGTTTAAGATCTCTGGGAGGATTTTGTTCTTCAGTGAAATGAGAATTAAATACCCCCACAGATGCTCCAGTACACTGGCTACCTTCAGTAACACCAACCTTAACAACAGAGGAATTGGAAATGCATTTAGAATGTCGGTGAGATGAAAAAGTGATGGAGGTAGTAAACTTTTTCATGGGTTCTGGGGACGGCATTTGTGATGAAGAATGAAAATCCACTTCTTTAGGTGGCACAAAAGCAGGTTCTACTAATTCTGACAGCCAAGGGTCCATCTTTTCATCGAATGGCATTCGAAGACCTTTGCTGATTTTGAATTCATCAGGTATAAAGTTCTGAAATGGGGAATGACTTTTTAACTGCAAGGAATTCCAAACTTTGAAATGGGAGTTGTTCTGGTCTAAGGATGCAGAAAGGTTGACATGCTTGGCTCTGCATGATGATGGGTTCTGCCGTCCTCTGGTCATTTCTGAGGGTCCAGCAGATCTGAAAGCACAAGGGTGTCTATCTAGTTGTGGATGTTCAGAAGTTAGAGTCCGGAAACATCCCTTTTCATGGCTCTCAATAATAATGTGACTACATACAGCTTCTGGCTTGCATCCCATTCCCCGTGGACTCTGTAAACCCTAGAAGATACAAACAAACAGGTTCTTATTTGAAGTAGTCCAAGTAGTTATAAACAAATCAGTTTTATACAAATCAGTTTTATACCCACGCTAAGATTAGACCATGAAGGTCATGTCATTCTTTTATAATATAACAGGACAAAGAGCACAGCAAGCAAAAAAGACAGTTAACTACAGAATAAAATGGCTCACAATGATTAAGACCACTCAGAGAGTTCTTCTAAAAAATTTCCACTAAAGTAAACAGCAAAGATTACTATTGTCCACCAGTAAGTATTCTCACCTTTCTTTTAATAATAGAAATGCCTTACTCAAATTTTTGCTGGCCACATAGCCACCAAGTGGGAGACATTTCCTGTTTCTTCTGCAGCTAGTTGTAACCACATTACTAGACTGACACCAATGGGATATGAATGAAGGCATCAAGTACAACTTCTGCTTCCTGTCCTTAAAATCAAGTTCTTGACCTGCATGTTCCCCCAATATCACCACCACTATCATCACTATTTTTCTTGCCTCCTGAAAATGGTAATGCATGGAACAACCTTGGAAGTCATGTGTAAGACAGCTTAGTTGTCCAGCCAGCTTGGGTCCCTGGATGACATCAAGGAACAGAGCTCACTTTCCTAACATGAACAATGACGTGAAAAAATAAAATTCTATCTTATTTGAGCCACTCTATGTTTGGCTATTACAGAAGCTTGACCTACATCCTAATATTTTACCCCTAACAATGGGGGGAAAAAACCAAGACCTTGTTTCCTGGCGCATAGGATCAGTACTCAAAGCTACCATAAATATAACATTTCTTTGAGATTTCTGTATTTTACCTATACAGTCATTATAACTTGGCATTCTATTTGATGATATAGCAACATCTGATTTCAGATAAAAATATTTTAAATTATGCTGCATCTCCCCAGGTGATGGAGTAGATATATTTTTGATGGCAGCGGCATCCCATCTGGAGTGGCTGCTGCAATGATGCCAGCTGCAGTGGGGAAGGAACAGCTAGGGCTACTCGCTGTACTGAGGTGGTGGGAGCCAGGAACAGGCAGAAGCCCCACTCCCTTCTGAGTTGGAGGGGCAGGAACCCCACCCTCCTGGGCACAGCTGCAGCTGCCCAGTCACAGCTGTAGACCCAGGCACCACTGCACTTTCGGGGATCTGGGAACTCCCCCTGCCCCTGCAGGCTCAGAAGTGCCTGCTCCCACTGCCAGGCCTCTCCCCACTCCTGGTTCCCGCTCCAATTACACAGCAAAGTTGAGGCCAAGTCCAGGCACTGTTGCGACCCAGCCAGGTGTGCGCACACTTGGGACAGCACTGTCACACCAGCCCCCTGCCGCCCCTCCAGACACTGGGCACCCACAAGCACAGGAGGGAGGTTGCAGGGGCAGGGAGGGCTGAGGGCAGCTCAGAGTGGGCCTGCAGGCGCCCCCTGACATAAACAGCCTGGGTGTGCCATGGGTACCGTAGATGGCAGAGATGGCAGACAGGCTCCTGGGCAGAAAGGGGCAGGTCACCAGTGAAGCTCCACCTTTAAGCCAGGGATGGGTTGAAGGGCTGCCAGTTTCGCAGAAAGGAGAACTTATAGTGCTTTTTCCGGGCCTGCCCATGGACCAATTGGCATGCATCTCCTCCCCTTTGAAGCCCATAAAAACCCTGGACTCAGCCAGACTTGGAGAGACAATGGAATGACCTGCCTGCAGATAGGAGCTAGCCACTCCGGGTCTCTTCTCTGCTGAAAGATGCAGATTATGGGATGACCTGCATGCAGGTAGGAGCTACCCACTCTAGGTTCTCCTCTCCACTGACAGATGGACAGTCATCAGGATGACCTGCCTGCAGAAAGGAGCTACCCACTTTGGGTCTCCTGAAAACTGTTCTGCCACTCGATGAAACTCCTCTCCATCTTGCTCACCCTCCAGTTGTCCACATACCTCATTCTTCATGGATGCAGGACAAGAGCTCAGGATCCACCAAATGGTGGGACTAAAAGAGCTGTAACACAAACAGGGCTGAAACATGCCCCCTCCCCGCCTGCCATGTTGCAGGGAACAAGAAGAAGAGACAAGCTGTGGCCTTTCGGGAAGCCCAGACCTAGGGGGTCCCTGAGCCAGGACTATGACACCCTCTTTGGGGTTTTGTGGTTCCTGGTGTCTTCCAAGCTTCCAGTTGCCACCACCACATTTCCCTCACCCAGATGTGGGTGCCCACAGCAGAAGCCACGCACAGTACATCTGGTCCAGCTGCAGCCTTGCGTGGCGCCAGCACCAGTGCCAGCACTGGAGCTGCCTGCCCTACCACAGCCGTCAGCATGCCTGGCTGTGTACAGTGGCTAGACCCCACACTTGCTTGCCCACACACCCCTCACCACTCCACACCTGGCTCATGCTTGGCAGGTGTAAGACATAGCATAGTAGTGCGAGCCAAGCACAGCCTGCCAGGCCAAGTGCGGAGAATGTGCCCAGCAGTGTGAACAATACTCAGGCAGAAGGTGCTGCTGGCCACAGTGGTTTCCAGCTTGCAAACTGACACCCTGAGGATCCTGTGACATTTTTCTTTCTTTTCTCTTCTTCTTTGTTTAAGACAGGGTCTTGCTGTGTCACCCAGGCTGGAATGCTGTGGCACTATCACTGAAGCCACGACCTCCCAGGCTCAGGCGATCCTGCCACCTCAGCCTCCTGGATAGCTGGGACAACAGGCACATGCCACTACACCGGGCTAATTTTCTTATTTTTATTTTTGTAGAGACTGGGTCTCACTTTGTTGCCCAGGCTGGTCTCCAACTCCTGGATTCAAGGGATCCTCCTGCCTCAGCCTCCCCAAAGTGCTGGGATTACAGGCATGAGCCACTGCGCCTGGCCAGATGTACTTTTCCCTATTTCTCCTGCTAAGTATAATTCAGCCCACTGGAAAATATATATAAAACAAATGTAAGAAGAATCTGAAAGATGTAGAGAAGAACGTAGATTAGCTAGAGATCTAGGGACCTGAGGAATTATGCTGTGGTGCAATCACTGGGTTTTCTTTTTCTCTTGCATATACAGACTTGGAGCTGAAGAAGTCAGCTACCCAGGAACAATGGACACAGACAAAAAACCCTAACAAGAGCTTTTCTCACTAGCTAAAAACCCAGTAGAGGTGAAGCCTAGCAAAAGAGAGAACTTTTAAATAATAACCATTCTACTCCAGCCAACCATCACAGAAAAAACTAGACCCACTCACACCAACACCAGCAAAGGCCAAGTGAGGAACCCAGGACTTACTTTCATCTCTGCTGGCTGATAAAGTGCTATCCCTTCCTTGCGGCGTCAGTGAAAGTCTAGCGAAGCCTACCTAGACTATCCAGCAAAACAAAATGCCCCTCTCTCTCCCAGCTACAGGTTACAAGAAAATATTTGCAAACCTCATATCCAACAAAGGTCTTGTATCTGCTAGCCTTACATCTAACATATATACTAACATATATATACAATTCACAACAGTAAAAAGGGAAAAAAAAGACAATCCAATTAAAAAATGGGCAAAAGAGGGACAGGAGCCAAGATGGCCGAATAGGAACAGCTCCGGTCTACAGCTCCCAGCGTGAGCCACGCAGAAGACGGTGATTTCTGCACTTCCATCTGAGGTACTGGGTTCATCTAACTAGGGAGTGCCAGACAGTGGGCGCAGGTCAGTGGGTGCGCGCACCGTGTGCGAGACGAAGCAGGGCAAGGCATTGCCTCACTTGGGAAGCGCAAGGGGTCAGGGAGTTCCCTTTCCTAGTCAAAGAAAGGGGTGACGGACGCACCTGGAAAATCGGGTCACTCCCACCCGAATACTGCGCTTTTCCAACCGGCTTAAAAAACGGCGCACCACGAGATTATACCCCGCACCTGGCTCCGAGCGTCCTAGGCCCACGGAGTCTCGCTGATTGCTAGCACAGCAGTCTGAGATCAAACTGCAAGGTGGCAGCGAGGCTGGGGGAGGGGCGCCCGCCATTGCCCAGGCTTGCTTAGGTAAACAAAGCAGCCTGGAAGCTCGAACTGGGTGGAGCCCACCACAGCTCAAGGAGGCCTGCCTGCCTCTGTAGGCTACATCTCTGGAGGAAGGGCACAGACAAACAAAAAGCAGCAGTAACCTCTGCAGACTTAAATGTCCCTGTCTGACAGCTTTGAAGAGAGCAGTGGTTCTCCCAGCACACAGCTGGAGATCTGAGAACGGGCAGACTGCCTCCTCAAGTGGGTCCCTGACCCCTGACCCCTGAGCAGCCTAACAGGGAGGCACCTCCCAGCAGGGGCACACTGACACCTCACACGGCAGGGTATTCCAACAGACCTGCAGCGGAGGGTCCTGTCTGTTAGAAGGAAAATTAACAAATAGAAAGGACATCCACACCAAAAACCCATCTGTACATCACCATCATCAAAGACCAAAAGTAGATAAAACCACAAAGATGGGGAAAAAACAGAGCAGAAAAACTGGAAACTCTAAAAAGCAGAGCACCTCTCCTCCTCCAAAGGAACACAGTTCCTCACCAGCAATGGAACAAAGCTGGATGGAGAATGACTTTGACGAGCTGAGAGAAGAAGGCTTCAGACGATCAAATTACTCTGAGCTACGGGAGGACATTCAAACCAAAGGCAAAGAAGTTGAAAACTTTGAAAAAAATTTAGAAGAATGTGTAACTAGAATAACCAATACAGAGAAGTGCTTAAAGGAGCTGATGGAGCTGAAAAACAAGGCTCGAGAACTATGTGAAGAATGCAGAAGCCTCAAGAGCCGATGCCATCAACTGGAAGAAAGGGTATCAGCGATGGAAGAAGAAATGAATGAAATGAAGCGAGAAGGGAAGTTTAGAGAAAAAAGAATAAAAAGAAATGAGCAAAGCCTCCAAGAAATATGGGACTATGTGAAAAGAACAAATCTACGTCTGATTGGTGTACCTGAAAGTGATGGGGAGAATGGAACCAAGTTGGAAAACACTCTGCAGGATATTATCCAGGAGAACTTCCCCAATCTAGCAAGGCAGGCCAACATTCAGATTCAGGAAATACAGAGAACGCCACAAAGATACTCCTCGAGAAGAGCAACTCCAAGACACATTAATTGTCAGATTCACCAAAGTTGAAATGAAGGAAAAAATGTTAAGGACAGCCAGAGAGAAAGGTCGGATTACCCACAAAGGGAAGCCCATCAGACTAACAGCGGATCTCTCGGCAGAAACCCTATAAGCCAGAAGAGAGTGGGGGCCAATATTCAACATTCTTAAAGAAAAGAATTTTCAACCCAGAATTTCATATCCAGCCAAACTAAGCTTCATAAGTGAAGGAGAAATAAAATCCTTTACAGACAAGCAAATGCTGAGAGATTTTGTCACCACTAGGCCTGCCCTAAAAGAGCTCCTGAAGGAAGCACTAAACATGGAAAGGAACAACCAGTACCAGCCGCTGCAAAATCATGCCAAAATGTAAAGACCATCAAGACTAGGAAGAAACTGCATCAACTAATGAGCAAAATAACCAGCTAACATCATAATGACAGGATCAAATTCACACATAACAATATTAACTTTAAATATAAATGGACTAAATGCTCCAATTAAAAGGCAAAGACTGGCAAATTGGATAAAGAGTCAAGACCCATCAGTGTGCTGTATTCAGGAAACCCATCTCACATGCAGAGACACACATAGGCTCAAAATAAAAGGATGGAGGAAGATCTACCAAGCAAATGGAAAACAAAAAAAGGCAGGGGTTGCAATCCTAGTCTCTGATAAAACAGACTTTAAACCAACAAAGATCAAAAGAGACAAAGAAGGCCATTACATAATGGTAAAGGGATCAATTCAACAAGAAGAGCTAACTATCCTAAATATATATGCACCCAATACAGGAGCACCCAGATTCATAAAGCAAGTCCTGAGTGACCTACAAAGAGACTTAGACTCCCACACATTAATCATGGGAGACTTTAACACCCCACTGTCAACATTAGACAGATCAACGAGACAGAAAGTCAACAAGGATACCCAGGAACTGAACTCAGCTCTGCACCAAGTGGACCTAATAGACATCTACAGAACTCTCCACCCCAAATCAACAGAATATACATTTTTTTCAGCACCACACCACACCTATTCCAAAATTGACCACATACTTGGAACTAAAGCTCTCCTCAACAAATGTAAAAGAACAGAAATTATAACAAACTATCTCTCAGACCACAGTGCAATCAAACTAGAACTCAAGATTAAGAATCTCACTCAAAACCGCTCAACTACATGGAAACTGAACAACCTGCTCCTGAATGACTACTGGGTACATAACGAAATGAAGGCACAAATAAAGATGTTCTTTGAAACCAACGAGAACAAAGACACAACATACCAGAATCTCTGGGACACATTCAAAGCAGTGTGTAGAGGGAAATTTATAGCACTAAATGCCCACAAGAGAAAGCAGGAAAGATCCAAAATTGACACCCTAACATCACAATTAAAAGAACTAGAAAAGCAAGAGCAAACACATTCAAAAGCTAGCAGAAGGCAAGAAATAACTAAAATCAGAGCAGAACTGAAGGAAATAGAGACACAAAAAACCCTTCAAAAAATTAATGAATCCAGGAGCTGGTTTTTTGAAAGGATCAACAAAAGACTGCTAGCAAGACTAATAAAGAAAAAAAGAGAGAAGAATCAAATAGACACAATTAAAAATGATAAAGGGGATATCACCACCGATCCCACAGAAATACAAACTACCATCAGAGAATACTACAAACACCTCTATGCAAATAAACTAGAAAATCTAGAAGAAATGGATAAATTCCTCGACACATACACTCTCCCAAGACTAAACCAGGAAGAAGTTGAATCTCTGAATAGACCAATAACAGGATCTGAAATTGTGGCAATAATCAATAGCTTACCAACCAAAAAGAGTCCAGGACCAGATGGATTAACAGCCGAATTCTACCAGAGGTACAAGAAGGAACTGGTACCATTCCTTCTGAAACTATTCCAATCAATGGAAAAAGAGGGAATCCTCCCTAACTCTTTTTATGAGGCCAGCATCATTCTGATACCAAAGCCAGGCAGAGACACAACAAAAAAAGAGAATTTTAGACCAATATCCTTGATGAACATTGATGCAAAAATCCTCAATAAAATACTGGCAAACTGAATCCAGCAGCACACCGAAAAGCTTATCCACCATGATCAAGTGGGCTTCATCCCTGGGATGCAAGGCTGGTTCAATATATGCAAATCAATAAATGTAATCCAGCATATAAACAGAGCCAAAGACAAAAACCACATGATTTTCTCAATAGATGCAGAAAAAGCCTTTGACAAAATTCAACAACACTTCATGCTAAAAACTCTCAATAGATTAGGTATTGATGGGACGTATTTCAAAATAATAAGAGTTATCTATGACAAACCCACAGCCAATATCATACTGAATGCCCAAAAACTGGAAGCATTCCCTTTGAAAACCGGCACAAGACAGGGATGCCCTCTCTCACCACTCCTATTCAACATGGTGTTGGAAGTTCTGGCCAGGGCAATTAGGCAGGAGAAGGAAATAAAAGCTATTCAATTAGGAAAAGAGGAAGTCAAATTGTCCCTGTTTGCAGATGACATGATTGTATATCTAGAAAACCCCACTGTCTCAGCCCAAAATCTCCTTAAGCTGATAAGCAACTTCAGCAAAGTCTCAGGATACAAAATCAATGTACAAAAATCACAAGCATCCTTATACACCAACAACAGACAAACAGAGAGCCAAATCATGAGTGAACTCCCATTCACAATTGCTTCAAAGAGAATAAAATACCTAGGAATCCAACTTACAAGGGATGTGAAGGACCTCTTCAAGGAGAACTACAAACCACTACTCAAGGAAATAAAAGAGGATACAAACAAATGGAAGAACATTCCATGCTCATGGGTAGGAAGAATCAATATCGTGAAAATGGCCATACGGCCCAAGGTAACTTACAGATTCAATGCCATCCCCATCAAGCTACCAATGCCTTTCTTCACAGAATTGGAAAAAACTACTTTAAAGTTCATATGGAACCAAAAAAGAGCCTGCATCGCCAAGTCAATCCTAAGCCAAAAGAACAAACCTGGAGGCATCACGCTACCTGACTTCAAACTATACTACAAGGCTACAGTAACCAAAACAGCATGGTACTGGTACCAAAACAGAGATATAGATCAATGGAACAGAACAGAGCCCTCAGAAATAATGCAGCATATCTACAACTATCTGATCTTTGACAAACCTGAGAAAAACAAGCAATGGGGAAAGGATTCCCTGTTTAATAAATGGTGCTGGGAAAACTGGCTAGCCATATGTAGAAAGCTGAAACTGGATCCCTTCCTTACACCGTATACAAAAATTAATTCAAGATGGATTAAAGACTTACATGTTAGACTGAAAACCATAAAAACCCTAGAAGAAAACCTAGGCATTACCATTCAGGACATAGGTGTGGGCAAGGACTTCATGTCTAAAACACCAAAAGCAATGGCAACAAAAGACAAAATTGACAAATGGGATCTAATTAAACTAAAGAGCTTCTGCACAGCAAAAGAAACTACCATCAGAGTGAACAGGAAACCTACAAAATGGGAGAAAATTTTCGCAACCTACTCATCTGACAAAGGGCTAATATCCAGAATCTACAATGAACTCAAACAAATTTACAAGAAAAAAACAAACAACCCCATCAAAAAGTGGGCGAAGGACATGAACAGACACTTCTCAAAAGAAGACATTTATGCAGACAAAAAACACATGAAAAAATGCTCATCATCACTGGACATCAGAGAAATGCAAATCAAAACCACAATGAGATACCATCTCACACCAGTTAGAATGGCAATCATTAAAAAGTCAGGAAACAACAGGTGCTGGAGAGGATGTGGAGAAATAGGAACACTTTTACACTGTTGGTGGGACTGTAAACTAGTTCAACCATTGTGGAAGTCAATGTGGCGATTCCTCAGGGATCTAGAACTAGAAATACCATTTGACCCAGCCATCCCATTACTGGGTATATACCCAAAGGACTATAAATCATGCTGCTATAAAGACACATGCACACGTATGTTTATTGCGGCATTATTCACAATAGCAAAGACTTGGAACCAATCCAAATGTCCAAGAATTATAGACTGGATTAAGAAAATGTGGCACATATACACCATGGAATACTATGCAGCCATAAAAAATGATGAGTTCATGTCCTTTGTAGGGACATGGATGAAATTGGAAATCATCATTCTCAGTAAACTATCGCAAGAACAAAAAGCAAACACCGCATATTCTCACTCATAGGTGGGAATTGAACAATGAGATCACATGGACACAGGAAGGAGAATATCACACTCTGGGGACTGTGGTGGGGTGGGGGGAGTGGGGACGGATAGCATTAGGAGATATACCTAATGCTAGATGACAAGTTAGTGGGTGCAGCACACCAGCATGGCACATGTATACATATGTAACTAACCTGCACAATGTGCACATGTACCCTAAAACTTAAAGTATAATAATAAAAATAAATAAATAAAAATAAAAATAAAAAAAGAAAATGGGCAAAAGATACAGACATTTCACTTAACAGGAGAAAGAGACTGGAAACAGAAATATTAAAAAATGTGCAACATCAAAAACCATTAGGGAAATACACATTAAAAACTTAATAAGATACCACTACATACCTATTAGAATGACTAGAATAAAAATAGTGACAGTATCAAATGCTGGTGAGGATATGGAGTAGACGGATTACTCACACACTGCTGGTGGGAATGTAAATGATATAACCACCCTGGAAAAAGGTGTGGCCTGTCTTTCAAAAAACTAAACATGCAACTACCACATGACCCAGCAATTGCAATCCTGGGCATCTACCCCACAGAAACAAAGACATATTCACACAAAAACTTGCATATGAATGTTTACAGCAGCTGTACTGGTAAAGCCAAAAACTGGGAAACAACCAAGATGTCCTTCAATAGTGAATATTTAAACTGTGGTGCATTCATACTTTGGAATACTATACATCAATAAAAAAGAAAAACTACTGATACATAAAACAGTCTGGATGAATCTCCAGATAAGTATGCTGAGTGAAAAAAAGGCCAATACAATAAGGTTGCATACTATATGTTATCATTTATATGACATTCTTGAAATTACAAAGTTATAGAAACAAAGGAACAAATTAGTGGTTGCCAGGAGCTCAGTAAAAGGTGGGGCAGGAGAGAAGTGGAAGTAGCTATTATAAGGTATCATGAGGCACCTTTGTAGTGATGTAAATGTTCAGTATCTTGGCTGTATCAATATCAACGTTGTGGTTGTGATATATCACCACAGTTATGCAAGATGTTACCACTTGGGGAAATTGGGTGAAGGGTATATGTGATATCTCTATATTATTTATCACATGTGAAACTACAATTATTTCAAAACAAAATGTTGACTTAAAAAAAATTAAATACCACTGGACAAAACTAACACTTTAAAAATGCCACTTTTTGCCCATCAATGATAGACTGGATAAAGAAAATGTGGCACATATATACCATGGAATACTATGCAGCCATAAAAAAGAATAAGACCATGTCCTTTGCTGGGACATGGATGAAGCCGGAAGCCATCATTCTCAGCAAACTAACACAGGAACAGAAAACCAAACACCACGTGTTCTCACTCATAAATGGGAGTTGAACAATGAGAACACATGGACACAGGGAGGGGAACATCACACACCGGGGCCTGTCGGTGGGGTCAGGGGCAAGGGGAGGGAGAGCATTAGGACAAATACCTAACGTATGCAGGGCTTAAAACCTAAATGATGGGTTGATAGGTGCAGCAAACCACCATGGCACATGTATACCTGTGTAACAAACCTGCACGTTCTGCATATGTATCCTGGAACTTAAAGTAAAATAAATAAATAAATAAATAAATAAATAAACGAATAAATTACTAAATAAATAAAAATATTCGTCATTAGCTGATAAAAATAGATGTAAAAATTTTATTTGGGCAAAAAAAATGTTGTTTTTATTCTGTGGCTTCTTATTGCCTTGATACCTCCTGACATATCAGTGGGAAGCAAATATCCGAATTTGAGAAACATAAACCTATTCCAGCCTCTTAAAAGTATGCATGAGTAGATTTATACTCATCCCAAAATATATTTCTCTTCTTCCTTTCCAACAATTATATCTTACAAATTTTTTAACACTTCATGCTCTACCTCCTCCCATTGCATCTTTCAAGCTTTCATAATAACCTTTCCATTTTAAAAATTCTTGTAGCTTTAGTATTTGCCAAGTAAATTTCAGTATTTTCACATAACCATTTCCAAGTAATTTTACAACAAACCAACCACATGTCATTAGATATGTAACAGGCTCTTAAAAGCTACTGTTCAGTTCAACAAAACCCAATACGTTTTTGTGATAAAATTTCTCAGCAAACTAGGAATGGAAGGGATTTCTTTAACCAGATGAAGAGTACCTATGAAAGACTCAGCGCTAACATAATACCGAATAATGAAAAGCTAGATGCTTTCTCCCTACAATCAAGAACAAGACAAGTATGGCCATTCTTACCTCTTCTATTCAGTATCATATTGGATGTTACATATTGCCAGGGCAACCAGGTTAGAAATTAAAGACATCTAGATTGGAAAGAAAGAAGTACAACTATATCTATTTGCAGATGACATGAACTTCATACAGGAAATCCCAAGGAAACCAGGACAAACCAATTAAGACTAATAAGTTCAGCAAAGCTGCAGGATGCCAGTGCAATATACAAAAATCAACTGTATTTTAATACACTAGCAATTCACAATCCAAAAATAAATTTTTAAAAAAAATTCAATTTACAACAGCAAGAAAAAGAATTAAATACTTGAGAATATATTTAGCAAAATAAATATATGTCTAGTATACTAAAAAACATAGAATGAAATGGAAGAAAATCAAAATAACTAGAAAACTGGCTCATGTTTATGGACTGAAAGATTAATACTTCCTAAACTAATCTAGAGATTCAAGTGGTAATATTTCCCATAGTAATCTAGAGATTCAATGCAACTCTTATTAAAAGCCTAGCCTTTTTTTTTTCAGTAATTGACAAGCAGATCATAAACCCAGAACAGCCAAAATAATCTTGAAAATGACAAACATCGTTGGAGGACTCACTCTTTCCGATGTCAAAACTTACTCCAAAGCTACAATAATCAAGACAGCACAGTGCTGGCATAAGGACAGTCATGTAGATCAATGGCATAGAACCGACAGTCCAGAAATAAACACTAACATTTATGGTAAATTGATTTTCAGCAAAGAGGTCATGAAAATTCAACAGGGAAAGAAGAGTCTTTTCAACAGTGCTGAAACAACTCAATATCTATATGCAAAGACGAATTTGCATGCCATACATAAAAACTGACTCAAAGGAGAAAGGCAACAAAAGTAAAAGTTGATAAATTGGACTAAATCAAAATTTAAAACTTCTGTTCACCAAAGGACACCATCAACAGAGTGAAAAGGTAACCTAGAAAATGGGAGAAAATATTTGCAAATCATGTACAATAAGTCTTCACTTAACATCATCAATAGGTACTTAGAAATTGCACCTTTAAGTGAAACAATGTACTGAATACCATAGGAACTTAACTCTTGTTTTATCAATTAACTTATATCAGTTTGTTTTGCTATGCTATACGTCACTTCACTTACAGGTCAGTTTCCAAGAACTTAACAAAGATGTGAGGCAAAGACTCACTGTATCTGATGCAAGGTTAATATCCAGAACATATAAAGGACACTTACAACTCAGGAACAACAACAACAAAACCTGATTCAAAGATAGGCAAAAATAATAGACATTTCTCCAGAGAAGGTATACAACTGGCCAACCAAAAATGAAAAGAAGCTCAATATTACTAATCATAAGGGAAATGAAAATCACCACCACAATGAGACATCAATTCAGACCTGTTAGAATAGCCATTATTAAGAAGGAAAAAAAAAAACAAAAAAAAACAGAAAATAACAAGTATTGGCAAGGATGTGGAGAAATCAGTACCCTCGAATACTGCTGGTGGGAATGTAAACAGTGTAGCCCTTATGGAAAACAGTACGGAGCTTCCTCAAAAACTTAAAAGTAGAATGACTGTATGATCCAGGAATTCCACTTTTGGGTCTGTACCCAAAAGAAGTGAAAGCAGGACCTTGAAGAGATAATTATAACAAGCATGTTCACAGCAGCACTATTCACAATAGCCAAATGGCAGAAGCAACTCAAGTGTCTATCAACAGATGAATGGATAAACTTTTGTTTGTGGCATACACATACAATGGAATAATATAATCTCAAAAAAGAAGGAAATTCTGACATATAGTACAACATGGGTGAATTTTAAGAATATACTACTGAATGAAATAAACCAGTGGCAAAAAGACATATACTGTGTGATTCTGCTACTATAAGGTACCTAGAGTAGCCAAATTCATAGAGACAGAAAGTAGAATGGTGGTTGCTAGGGCCTAAGGGGAAGGGGAAAATGGGGAGTTGTTGTTTAATGGATATAGAGTTTCAGTATTACAAGATTTAAAAAGCTATAGAGATTGGTTAAACAACAATATGAATGTACTTAACGCCACTGAACCATATACTTAACAATGGTTAAGATGATAAATTTTATGTATATTTTATCACAATTAAAAAAATAAAAATTTTAATTGCCTCAAATAGAACCACAGATCTAAATATAAAAACTAAAACTAAATCTCTCAGAAGAAAACACTAAATCTTTGTGACCCTGGGTTATGCACTGATTTCTTAGATATGTCACCAAAAGTGCAAAGAATAAAAGTCTGATAAGTTAGAGTTCATCAGAATTTAAAACTTTTGCGTATCAAAGGTCACCATCAAGAAAGTAAAAAAGTCTACAGAATGGGAGAAAATATTGGTAAGTCCATAAATCTGCTAAAGGTCTAATATCCAGAATATAAAAAGAATGCTTGCAACTCAACAAATTTGTACAGTGATAAATTTATAAATGGGTAAAGAATTTGAATAGGTATTTCATCAGAAAAGATAAATGACCAATAAGCACATGAAAAGATGTTCAACACCATTAGTTGTTAGAAATAGGTAAAAAACACAATAAATACCCCTTAACACCCAACCAGGCTATAATCAAAAAGACAGAAAATGACAAATGTTGGAAAGGACGTGGAGAAACTGAAACCCTCATATACTGCTCATGGGAATGTAAATAGTGCAGCTACTTCAGAAAAAAGTTTAGAAGTTCCTCAACATGTTAAACATGGAGTTACTGTATGTCCCAGTAATTCTACTGTTAGGTATATAACCAAGAGAAATGAAACACCTACCCTAACACATAAACACTATGTTCATAGCAGCACTATTCACAATGGCCAGAGTGGAAAATCCAAATGTCTACCAACTAATGAGTAAACAAAGTATCTATACAATGAAATGTAATTTGGCAATAAAAAGGGATGAAGTACTGATTCACATTACAACATAACATGAATGACTCTTGAAAACACTATGCTAAGTAAAAGAAGGCAGTCACAAAAGATCATACATTACAATTCTGTTTATATAAAATGTCCAGAATTGGCAAAAAAGAATTGGGAGAGAAAGTGGACTGGTGTTTGCCTAGGGCTAGGGAATTGGGGGAGAGGGGCTAATGACAACAAAGTTCTAAAATTATGCTATTGTAAAATTCTATAAATAAACTATACACTTTAAATGGGCAAACCTTATGTATTATAGTAAATTATACTGAGATAAAGATGTTATGAAATTACTGGTTAGCTAAAATATGTCTTTTACTGATTTCCAGATGCTATTTCACAATTAAAATTATCTCTTCTCAAAAGATCTACATGAGTTTTATCAGGTTATATTATTCTCTCATCATCCAGCTTAATGACACATCAGCCAGGTGCAGTGGCTTAAGCCTGTAATACCAGCACTTTGAGAGACTGAGGTGGAAGGATAGCTTGAGCTCGGGAGGTGGACATTGCAGTGAGCTAAGATCCAGCCACTACACTCCAGCCTCGGTGACTGAGCAAGACCCTGTCACAAACAAACAAACAATGTCAAAGACTTCATGTAACAAACCAAAAAAGAAATAAGTAGTTCTTCACCGTCATGTAAACCAATAGACACACACACACACACACACACACACACACACACACACAGAGTCAACAAGCACTAAAAAGTAAAAATCTACTTTCTACAAATAAAAGAAACGTATTACCATGTGATACAAAACTTACTTAAAAATCAATAAGCTTTTGGAAACACTTGTTTTAAAAAAATTCTCAATTTTTTAAATATATAAATTACCACAGTATTTACGGCAGGAATAACTTTGTAAGAAGCTCATAGTTTTGTATTTTATGACTTCAAAACCAGATTTAAAAAAAAAATCTGTTAAAGCTGACTTCATTAAGGAAAGTATATTTCTACTAATAGAACCAACATCTATGCTAAATATTTAACAATTTGACTATAATGTGACATGGTGTGGGTCTCTTTGAGTTTAACCCATTTGAAATTCATTTTTCAACAAATTAGGGAAGTTTTCAACCATTATTTCTTCAAATATTATTACCGCCCCTTTCTCTCTCTCTCTCTCTCTCTCTCTCTTCCCTCTAAGAATCCCATAATGCATATGTTGGTATGCTTGGGGATGTCCCATAGCCCTGTTCATTTTCTTTATTCTTTTCTCTTTCTTCTCCTCGAATAAATAAATCATCTGACCTTTCTTCAAGTTCACTGATTCTTTGTTCAGACTACTCAGCTATTGAATCCTTCTAAAGAATTTTTGTTACTGTACTTTTCAGCTGCAGAATTTCTATTTGTTTCCTTTTTATAATTTCTCTTTGTCGATATTTCTTTTTGGTGGGAAATCCTTTTCTTGGTTTCCCTTAGTTCTTTGCTGATGGTATTGTTCAGCTCATTGAGTACATTTAAGGTGGGCTTCCTCAGGGATAGTTTCATTAATTTCTCTTTTTTCCTTTGAATGAGTCACACTTTTTTACTTCTTTGCATGCCTTATAATTTGTTGAAAACTGGACATATTGAATATTATAAAGTGACAACTCTGGATACTGGATTCTCCCCCTTCCCTGGAGTTTGCTGTTACTGCTTGTTGTAAGTGTTGTTTAGTGACTATTTCATAAAGCTTACATTCTTTGTTGTGCATGGAACTGAAGTCTGTGCTCACTTAGCTTCAGGGTCAACTACTATTTTGACAGGTTCCTTAAACACCTGCAGCCAAGGAAAGAAAAAAGGTAATAGGAAAGAAAAAAAACACTCCCAGTCTTTTTTGCTCTGTGTTGGGGCATTCCATCAACACTAAGCCAGGCTGTTTACAACTATATCTTAGCCTTCACATCCTACTTAGTTAGGCAGAGCCTGAAGGTCAGCTAGTGGTGAAAGCTTAGGGTCTTCTCAAGCCTTCTCTGAGGAGTTGTCCAATCCTAGGCATGTACGTAGCATTCTCAATTTCTCAGCATACAAAAAAGCATTTAAAAGTCCTTATACCACCCCGTATCTCCTTTTCAACCGTTCCTTCCTGGCTTTTTGTCTACCTATTCATTGTCCTAATTTTTATCCCCAGACTCAGGCTTCTACAGCTGATACTCTGGCTTTTAAATACTTTTGACACGTGATGACAGACAAGCCACCCCAGTCCCAGGAAAGCTCTGAGCTGTGTAAAACAAAAGGAAGCTCTATACTGGTCCTTCAGATACTTCAGACAGGTTAAAACGATCACAATTTTTTGAGAGCAAGATCTGTACTAATCCTTCTCGTGCTAACAGCCTGCACCATGAGTATAAGCTGCTGTCTTCAAAGTCATTGTTCATCTAGGCACAAGGAATGGTAGGTGAGCAATTTAAGGTGCCATAGTGTTCTGTTTCTGCAGCGCTACAGCTCCCTACTTTTCCTGGTTTTTAATGTTAACTAAATTCCAGAGTTCTACGAAAACTAATTCTGATAGTTTCTGGAAGCTTATTAGGTGTTTTTGCAAGAGCCCTAGAGTTCCCTACTCCACCATATTATATGACTTTTCTCACAAATGTTTTATATGCATAACAAAAGTATTTGACTTTGATTATGCTGATTGCAAATTTCAAATACATATTCTTTATCATATTTGAGGTATTATTCTACTATAAAGAAATATTCTACTCTAAAGAAATATTTTTAATTACAGATTTTATTTTTATTCCCAAATACTTTTTGGAGCTTAATGAAATAATCATTTCTCCATTAGATCTACTAATGTAAAAACTTGTTTATAAATTTCCCAATATTGAACTATCTGCTTTGCCTGTGATACCTACCTAACATCAATTCCCAATTTCCCCTTCCTCCCAGTCCTTGGCAATCACCATTCTACTCTCTGTTTTCTGAATTTGACTATTTTTAGATATTTCATATAAGTGAAATCATTCAGTATTTGTCCTTCTGTGACTGGATTCTTTCACATAGTGTAATGTCTTGCAGGGTCATCCATGTTGTCACATACAGCAGGACTTCCTTAAGGTGGAATAATATTCCATTGTATGTATATACCACATTTTCTTTATCCATTCATCTATAGATGTTTATACATCTTGTTTATATATCTTGGCTACTGTGATTAATGCTATTGTGAACATGGGATCTCCTCAAGATTCTGATTTCATTTCCTTTGGATATGTACCCAGAAGTGGGATCATATGGTAATTCTATTCTTATTTTTTAAGGAATCTCCATACTATTTTCCACAGCAGCTACACCATTTTACATGACCATCTACAGTGTACAGGGTTCTAATTTCTCCACATCCTCTCCAACACTTGTTACCATTTGTTTTGTTTTGATATCAGCCATCCTAACAGATATGAAGTGTTCAGTCATTGTGGTTTTGATTTGCATTTTCCTGATGATTAGCGATATTGAATATCTTTTCATATACAGCACCTTACACATTTGTATGTCTTAAGAAATGTTCATTCAAGTCCTTTACCCATGTTTTAACCAGGTTATTTGTTTTTTGTTTTGGGGATTTTTTTTTTTTTTTTTGGCTGTTGAGTTGCAGGTGTTCCTTATATACTTTGGATATTAACCCCTCATTAGATACATGGTTTGCAAATATTTTCTCCTATTCCATAGATTACCAGTTCAGTCTCTTAACTGTTTTCTTTGCTGTGCAAAAGCTTTTTAATTAGATGCAGTCCTGTTTGTCTATTTTTTTAAATTGCTTTCGCTGTAGCTATAAGTTGTTTTCTGTTAAGACTTTGGTAACCACAAAGAAAATACCTATAGAAGATACACGAAAGAAAAAAAAAAAAGGAAGGATCAAAGCAAAATCAACAAATCACAAAGGAAGACAGCAAGAGAGGACAAAAGGGACAAAACAACTACAAGAAAGAAACCAATTAACAAAATGGAACTAGTAAGTCTTTCCCTATCAATAATTACTTTAATGTAAATGGAGTAAACTCCCTAATCAAAAAACATATAGTGGCTGAATTAATTTTAAAAATAAGATCTAACTATATACTATCTAGAAGAGACTCACTTTAGATTTAAGGACACACAGGCTAAAAGTGAAGGAATAGGAAAATATATTCCATGCAGATAGCAACCAAAAGAGCACAGGTGTGGCCACACTATCAGACGATATAGACTTTAAATAAAAAACCATCCCAAGAGACAAAGAAGGTCATATGATAAAAGAGTCAATTCATTAGGAAGATATCACAAGTATAAACATATATACACCCAACATTAGAGTACCTAAATACATAAAGCAAACACTGACAGAACTGAAGGGAAAAATAGCAATTAGCAATACAGTAGAAGATGTCAGTACCCCATTTTCAATAATGAACAGAACACACATATACTGAATATTCCACCTAACAGTTGCAGAATACACAGTCTTCTCAACTGCACATAGAACATTCTCCAGGATAGATCACATATTAAGTCATAAAACAAGTCTGAACAAATTTAAGAAGACTGAAATGATACCAACCTTTTTTTCCCAAGCACAATAGACTAAAATTAGAAATCAGTAACAGAAGGAAAACTGGGAAAATCACAATTATGTGGGAATTAACAACACACTCTTAAAACAACCAGTGGATCAAAGATGAAATCAAGGAAAATTTTAAAAAAGACAAAAACACAACAAATGAACACTTACAGGATGAAGCAAAATCAGGACTAAGAGGGAAGTTTCTAATGATAATTGCCTATTTTTAAAGGAAGAAAGATCTCAAATAAGCAACTCAACTTTACATCTCAAGGAACTAGAAAAAAAAGAACAAAACTAAGCCCAAAGTTAGCAGAAAAAAGGAAAGAATAAAAATTAGAGCAGAAATAAAAAATAGAAAAACAGGAAGAAATCAACTAAATTGTTAGTTTTTGAAAAGGTAAAAACAATGTTAACAAACATTTAGCTAGACTAAGAAAAAACTAGAAGACTCAAATAAATAAAATCAGAAATAAAAGTGGAGACATCACACTGATGCAAAAGATTCATAATTTCAGGTATGTCTTCTGAGGTTTTTGTTAATGTCCTCAAGTAAATTAGGAAGTTTTTGTTAGTGTATTGGAACTGTTTATATGGCACAGGAGTTATCCATTACTTGATAGCTTGAGTCACCCATATAAACATCTAAGTCAGGCATTGTTTTTTTCTTTTTGTTAAGAGTATACCAAAAAGTTGATAGAATGTTAAAATAAACATGTGAATTCCTTCTATTTAGATTCAACAATTGTCGAACATTTTCCCCTATCCCTCCACAAAGCTTTATCCCTCCACAAAGACACTGATTTGACACTTCGACCCTAAATAATTCACCTATCATATAACCACAATGTCATTATCATGCCCAGGAAATACTTCATAATGTTACCTAATATTGAGCTAGGTCAGGTACTTTTCTTGGAAGCCAAATGTTTGATCAATAAAGTTTTTCTCTCTCATAATGTTTAATCTGTTACACGCTTCTGTTTAATTATATTATCTAAGAAAATCAGTCATTTCATGAAAATTTTATACCTAACGAGAGTTATATGTTATACATTATATTCTCCTATTATTTCAAATTTTCTAAGTGGTATATCTGGCATGCTCCTTTTCATTTACCACATTGTATGTTTTTCCTTCTCATCTTCTAGCTAGTCAGAACTTGTCTGCTGATTTGGAATTTTTCCAAGGTCCAAATCTAGATTTTAATGCTCAATTCTATCATTTTTCTGTTTTCTAGTTCATTAACTGATAGATTTTATTTTATAATTTCCTCCTTACTACTTTCGTAGTTTGGTTTGGTTTATTTTAGAGTATAAGTAAAGTTTACTTCATGGTTTTTTTTTCTAAACTTGTTGAGTTATTGGTCCATATACTAAATGATATAAAGTACTGACTTCAAACTTTTCTTCTCTTCATTACCAAACAGAAGAGAGAAGGAGAAGAGACAGTATTCTGCCGAGAGAAGTCAGTAAATCATTGGGTACAGTGTGGATCTCGTTCTCATAGCATGGAAGGGGCCAAAATGATCTCAACAGTTTTTGACAAGCAATCTAAGAGAGTTTCCTTTAGGAGCCTACAAATGTGATTTGTTGGCCTCTGCATTTCTGTGGGGTAGAGGACAGTTAAGATAAATCCTCATCGTGGTTTGGAATTGTATCTGAACATAAAATTTGTACCTTGATGTAGAAAACAAATAGAAAAAGGACAGAAGCAGGTTCCTCCTTATTGTTAATTACTTTAAAAGTAAATAAATTTAATCAATAGAGATTGGCAGAATGATCCAACTATATACTGTCTACAACAGACTCACTTTACAAAATTATAACATATGCTACAACATGGATGAACCACATGAGGCTAAGTGAAATAAGCCAGTCACAAAAAGACAAATATTGTATTATTCCATTTATAGGAAGTACTCAGAGTAATCAAAATCATATGAGACAAAAAGGAAAATGGTGGCTGCCTGGGGCAGATGGGAAGACAGAATGAGAAGTTATTATTTAATGGGTATAAGTTTCAGTTTTACAAGATGAAAAGAGTCTTGGAGACGGATGGTGGTGGTGGTTGCACAACAATATGAATGTACTTAACACCAGTAAACTGTACACTTAAAAACAGTTGAGGTAAATTTTGTGTTGTGTATTTTACCATGATAAAAAAAATTTAAAGAAACATCTGCCTTGATTCATTGAAGCAGTTTGTGCTAGGTGGATATAGAGTCTTATTAATAAATACAGTGTATTTCTCTATGTACTTAGGACTTCTACTAGCCTTTCAAAATAAATTTTACTATTCTCCAATAAAAGATCTCATAAATCTTGTTAGATTTATGCCTTGATGCTTTTTATAAAGTTTTTGCTATGATTAGAAATGGTTGCCTTCTTAAAGTTCCTTTTCTATGATTTCAATTGTATCTCTTGTTCAATGTTTCCTTTTAATTAATATATAATAAATCTTTAATAAGGTGTACAAATCTGAAGTCAGGTAGTTTATTTTTTATATGTGATGACAGCAATGTAAATGCTGCCCATATCCAGATATACAAAAACTTCCTATACCTGAGAAGACCTCTTGTGCGTCTTCCCAGTCAATACCACACACCTGACTCCACCAGAGGTAACCATTCTTATCACTTTTCTCACCATTGATTAGTTTTTGAATTTCATATGAATGGAATTATTCAGTATGACTCTTTGTGTCTGGCTTTTTTGCTAACCATAACGTGTGTGACAGCTTTCAAGGTTGTTGAGGCAGTAGTAGTTTGCTATCTTTTATGGCTACACAGGATTTCACTGGATGAATAAAGCATAATTGATTCATCTATTCTACTCTTGATATACATTTATGTAGTTTTCAGTTTGGGGCTATAATTATTATTGACCATGTCTTCTACTGAACATATGTACTGATAGTTCTTGAGTACGTACCTAAAAAGAAGTAGGAATGAAGTGTCCCAGGTAAGGCATGTTTACCATTATGAAATAACTATAAATTATTTTAAGAGTTGTGTACCAGTTTACCTTCCCATCAGCAATAAATGACTATTCCAGTTGCTTCATAACTTTACCAATATTTAGCATTGTTCTTTTTAATTTTAGCTACTCTGATATGAAGCAGTATCTCATTATGGTTAACTTGCATTACCAAACAGGCAGTGATATTGACAATGTTTTCAAATGCTTACTGTCCACTTGGATATCTTCATTTATGAGACACCTAGTGAAGTCTTTGGGTAGGAATAATTGATTTGCATGACTTCCTTATATATTCTGAATTTATGTCCTTTATCAAATATATGTATCCGAAATACCCTCTTCCACTGTGTAGCTTGACTTTTCACTCTTCATGCTGCCTTTTGATTACCATTCTTAACTTTCATGAAGAGCAATTTAGCAATCCTTTCTTTTATGAAGTGTATTTTTGTTCTTGTTTAAGAAACCTTTGCCTAACCCAACATCATGAAGAGATTTTCAAGAAACTTTATTTTACCTTTCAAAGTAAAGTCTATGATCCATCTCAAATTAATTTTGTAGTAAGGTATGATGTAGGGGACAGGGTTATTATAGAAATTATAACACATATAGTTATCAAGCTAAAGTAAATAACAGCTTTTTCCCAAACACTTAAGAAACTTGGAAAAAATTAACTCCATTTATGCAGCTTCTAACCTGTAAGATATTGTTGTCATATATTTTAAGTTTATAACATTTCATCTCAGTCATGAAGGTCCTAGTATTTTTGTTTCATATACTTAAGTATTTAGCTTTATTTATCCACATACTTAACACATCTTTTGCTCTTTAATATTTCCTACATCACAAATTTCCCATATTAGATTATTTCCGTTTAGTCTGAGGTAACCACTTAGAATTTTTTTATTTTATTATTATTATACTTTAAGTTTTAGGGTACATGTGCACAATGTGCAGGTTTGTTACATATGTATACAAGTGCCATGTTGGTGTGCTGCACCCATTAACTCGTCATTTAACATTAGGTATATCTCCAAATGCTATCCCTCCCCCCTCCCCCCTCCCCCCACCCCACAACAGGCCCCAGAGTGTGATGTTCCCCTTCCTGTGTCCATGTGTTCTCATTGTTCAATTCCCACCTATGAGTGAGAACATGTGGTGTTTGGTTTTTTGTCCTTGAGATAGCTTGCTGAGAATGATGGTTTCCAGTTTCATCCATGTCCCTACAAAGGACATGAACTCATCATTTTTTATGGCTGCATAGTATTCCATGGTGTATATGTGCCACATTTTCTTAATCCAGTCTATCATTCTTGGACATTTGGGTTGGTTCCAAGTATTTGCTATTGTGAATAGTGCCGCAATAAACGTACATGTGTATGTGTCTTTATAGCAGCACGATTTATAATCCTTTGGGTATATACCCAGAAATGGGATGGCTGGGTCAAATGGTATTTCCAGTTCTAGATCCCTGAGGAATCGACACACTGACTTCCACAGTGGTTGAACTAGTTTATAGTCCCACCAACAGTGTAAAGTGTTCCTATTTCTCCACATCCTCTCCAGCACCTGTTGTTTCCTGACTTTTTAATGATCGCCATTCTAACTGGTGTGAGATGGTATCTCATTGTGGTTTTGATTTGCATTTCTCTGATGTCCAGTGATGATGAGCATTTTTTCATGTGTTTTTTGCCTGCATAAATGTCTTCTTTTGAGAAGTGTCTGTTCATATCCTTCACCCACTTTTTGATGGGGTTGTTTTTTTCTTGTAAATTTGTTTGAGTTCATTGTAGATTCTGGATATTAGCCCTTTGTCAGATGAGTAGGTTGCGAAAATTTTCTCCCATTTTGTAGGTTTCCTCTTCACTCTGATGGTAGTTTCTTTTGCTGTGCAGAAACTCTTTAGTTTAATTAGATCCCATTTGTCAATTTTGGCTTTTGTTGCCATTGCTTTTGGTGTTTTAGACATGAAGTCTTTGCCCATGCCTATGTCCTGAATGGTATTGCCTAGGTTTTCTTCTAGGGTTTTCACAGTTTTCGGACTAACATGTAAGTCTTTAATCCATCTTGAATTAATTTTTGTATACGGTGTAAGGAAGGGATCCAGTTTCAGCTTTCTACATATGGCTAGCCAGTTTTCCCAGCACCATTTATTAAATAGGGAATCCTTTCCCCATTTCTTGTTTTTGTCAGGTTTGTCAAAGATCAGATGGTTGTAGATATGTGGCATTATTTCTGAGGGCTCTGTTCTGTTCCATTGATCTATATCTCTGTTTTGGTACCAGTACCATGCTGTTTTGGTTACTGTAGCCTTGTAGTATAGTTTGAAGTCAGGTAGTGTGATGCCTCCAGCTTTGTTCTTTTGGCTTAGGATTGACTTGGCGATGCAGGCTCTTTTTTGGTTCCATATGAACTTTAAAGTAGTTTCTTCCAATTCTGTGAAGAAAGTCACCGGTAGCTTGATGGGGATGGCATTGAATCTATAAATTACCACTGGTAGCTTGATGGGGATGGCATTGAATCTATAAATTACCTTGGGCAGTATGGCCATTTTCACGATATTGATTCTTCCTACCCATGAGCATGGAATGTTCTTCCATTTGTTTGTATCCTCTTTTATTTCATTGAGCAGTGGTTTGTAGTTCTCCTTGAAGAAGTCCTTCCATCCCTTGTAAGTTGGATTCCTAGGTATTTTACTCTCTTTGAAGCAACTGTGAATGGGAGTTCACTCATGATTTGGCTCGCTCTTTGTCTGCTGTTGGTGTATAAGAATGCTTGTGATTTTTGTACATTGATTTTGTATCCTGAGACTTTGCTGAAGTTGCTTATCAGCTTAAGGAGATTTTGGGCTGAGACAACGGGGTTTTCTAGATATACAATCATGTCATCTGCAAACAGGGACAATTTGAGTTCCTCTTTTCCTAATTGAATACCCTTTATTTCCTTCTCCTGCCTAACTGCCCTGGCCAGAACTTCCAACACTATGTTGAATAGGAGTGGTGAGAGAGGGCACCCCTGTCTTGTGCCTGTTTTCAAAGGGAATGCTTCCAGTTTTTGCCCATTCGGTATGATATTGGCTGTGGGTTTGTCATAGATAGCTCTTATTATTTTGAGATACATCCCATCAATACCTCATTTATTGAGAGTTTCTAGCATGAAGGGTTGTTGAATTTTGTCAAAGGCCTTTTCTGCATCTATTGAGATAATCATGTGGTTTTTGTCTTTGGTTCTGTGTATATGCTGGATTACGTTTATTGATTTGCATATGTTGAACCAGCCTTGCATCCCAGGGATGAAGCCCACTTGATCATGGTGGATAAGCTTTTTGATGTGCTGCTGGATTCAGTTTGCCAGTATTTTATTGAGGATTTTTGCATCAATGTTCATCAGGGATATTGGTCTAAAATTCTCTTTTTTGGTTGTGTCTCTGCCTGGCTTTGGTATCAGAATGATGCTGGCCTCATAAAATGAGTTAGGGAGGATTCCCTCTTTTTCTATTGATTGGAATAGTTTCAGAAGGAATGGTACCAGCTCCTCTTTGTACCTCTGGTAGAATTCAGTGTGATTCCATCTGGACCTGGACTTTTTTTGGTTGGTAAGCTATTGATTATTGCCTCAATTTCAGATCCTGTTATTGGTCTATTCAGAGAGTCAACTTCTTCCTGGTTTAGTCTTGGGAGGGTGTATGTGTCAAAGAATTTGTCCATTTCTTCTAGATTTTCTAGTTTATTTGCATAGAGGTGTTTGTAGTATTCTCTGATGGTAGTTTGTATTTCTGTGGGATCGGTGGTGATATCCCCTTTATCATTTTTAATTGTGTCTATTTGATTCTTCTCTCTTTTTTTCTTTATTAGTCTTGCTAGCGGTCTTTTGTTGATCCTTTCAAAAAACCAGCTCCTGGATTCATTAATTTTTTGAAGGGTTTTTTGTGTCTCTATTTCCTTCAGTTCTGCTCTGATTTTAGTTATTTCTTGCCTTCTGCTAGCTTTTGAATGTGTTTGCTCTTGCTTTTCTAGTTCTTTTAATTGTGATGTTAGGGTGTCAATTTTGGATCTTTCCTGCTTTCTCTTGTGGGCATTTAGTGCTATAAATTTCCCTCTACACACTGCTTTGAATGTGTCCCAGAGATTCTGGTATGTTGTGTCTTTGTTCTCGTTGGTTTCAAAGAACATCTTTATTTGTGCCTTCATTTCGTTATGTACCCAGTAGTCATTCAGGAGCAGGTTATTCAGTTTCCAGGTAGTTGAGCGGTTTTGAGTGAGATTCTGAATCCTGAGTTCCAATTTGATTGCACTGTGGTCTGAGAGATAGTTTGTTATAATTTCTTTTCTATTTGCTGAGAGTGCTTTACTTCCAACTACGTGGTCAGTTTTGGAATAGGTGCGGTGTGGTGCTGAGAAAAATGTATGTTCTGTTGATTTGGGGTGGAGAGTTCTGTAGATGTCTATTAGGTCTGCTTGGTGCAGAGCTGAATTCAATTGCTGGGTATCCTTGTTAACTTTCTGTCTCGTTGATCTGTCTAATGTTGACAGTGGGGTGTTAAAGTCTCCCATTGTTATTGTGTGGGAGTCTAAGTCTCTTTGTAGGTCACTAAGGACTTGCTTTATGAATCTGGGTGCTCCTGTATTGGGTGCATATATATTTAAGATAGTTAGTTCTTCTTGTTGAATTGATCCCTTTACCATTATGTAATGGCCTTCTTTGTCTCTTTTGATCTTTGTTGGTTTAAAGTTTGTTTTATCAGAGACTAGGATTGCAACCCCTGCCTTTTTTTGTTTTCCATTTGCTTGGTAGATCTTCCTCCATCTCTTTATTTTGAGCCTATGTGTGTCTCTGCACATGAGATGGGTTTCCTGAATACAGCACACTGATGGGTCTTGACTCTTTATCCAATTTGCCAGTCTTTGCCTTTTAATTGGAGCATTTAGTCCATTTACATTTAAAGTTAATATTGTTATGTGTGAATGTGGTCCTGTCATTATGATGTTAGCTGGTTATTTTGCTCATTAGTTGATGCAGTTTCTTCCTGGCCTTGACAGTCTTTACATTTTGGCATGTTTTTGCAGTGGCTGGTACCAGTTGTTCCTTTCCATGTTTAGCGCTTCCTTCAGGAGCTCTTTTAGGGCAGGCCTGGTGGTGACAAAATCTCTCAGCATTTGCTTGTCTGTAAAGGATTTTATTTCTCCTTCACTTATGAAGCTTAGTTTCGCTGGATATGAAATTCTGGGTTGAAAATTCTTTTCTTTAAGAATGTTGAATATTGGCCCCCACTCTCTTCTGGCTTATAGGGTTTCTGCCGAGAGATCCGCTGTTAGTCTGATGGGCTTCCCTTTGTGGGTAATCCGACCTTTCTCTCTGGCTGTCCTTAACATTTTTTCCTTCATTTCAACTTTGGTGAATCTGACAATTAATGTGTCTTGGAGTTGCTCTTCTCGAGGAGTATCTTTGTGGCGTTCTCTGTATTTCCTGAATCTGAATGTTGGCCTGCCTTGCTAGATTGGGGAAGTTCTCCCGGATAATATCCTGCAGAGTGTTTTCCAACTTGGTTCCATTCTCCCTGTCACTTTCAGGTACACCAATCAGACGTAGATTTGGTCTTTTCACATAGTCCCATATTTCTTGGAGGCTTTGTTCGTTTCTTTTTATTCTTTTTTCTCTAAACTTCCCTTCTCGCTTCATTTCATTCATTTCATCTTCCATCACTGATACCCTTTCTTCCAGTTGATCGCATCAGCTCCTGAGGCTTCTGCATTCTTCACATGGTTCTCGCGCCTTTGCTTTTAGCTCCATCAGCTCCTTTAAGGACTTCTCTGCATTGGTTATTCTAGGTATCCATTCGTCTAATTTTTTTGAAAGTTTTTAACTTCTTTGCCATTGGTTTGAATTTCCTCCTGTAGCTCGGAGTAGTTTGATCATCTGAAGCCTTCTTCTCTCAACTCTTCAAAGTCATTGTCCATCCAGCTTTGTTCCGTTGCTGCTGAGGAGCTGCGTTCCTTTGGAGGAGGAGAGGCGCTCTGCTTTTTAGAGTTTCCAGTTTTTCTGCTCTGTTTTTTCTGCATCTTTGTGGTTTTATCTACCTTTGGTCTTTGATGATGGTGACGTACAGATGGGTTTTTGGTGTGGATGTCCTTTCTGTTTGTTAGTTTTCCTTCTAACAGACAGGACCCTCAGCTGCAGGTCTGTTGGGAGTTTGCTAGAGGTCCACTCCAGACCCTGTTTGCCTGGGTATCAGCAGCGGTGGCTGCACAACAGCAGTGACTGTAGAACAGCGGATATTGGTGAACCGCAAATGCTGCTGCCTGATCATTCCTCTGGAAGTTTTGTCTCAGAGGAGTACCCGGTCGTGTGAGGTGTCAGTCTGCCCCTCCTGGGGGGTGCCTCCCAGTTAGGCTGCTTGGGGGTCAGGGACCCACTTGAGGAGGCAGTCTGCCCATTCTCACATCTCCAGCTGCGTGCTGGGAGAACCACTACTCTCTTCAAAGCTGTCAGACAGGGACATTTAAGTCTACAGAGGTTACTGCTGCCTTTTGTTTGGCTATGCCCTGCCCCCAGAGGTGGAGCCTACAGAGGCAGGCAGGCCTCCTTGAGCTGTAGTGGGCTCCACCCAGTTCGAGCTTCCAGGCTGCTTTGTTTACCTAATCAAGCCTGCACAATGGCAGGCGCCCCTCCCCCAGCCTCGCTGCTGCCTTGCAGTTTGATCTCAGACTGCTGTGCTAGCAATCAGCGAGACTCTGTGGGCGTAGGACCCTCCGAGCCATGTGCGGGATATAATCTCCTGGTGTGCCGTTTTTTAAGCCCGTCGGAAAAGCGCAGTATTAGTGTGGGAGTGATGCGATTTTCCAGGTGCCGTCTGTCACCCCTTTCTTTGACTAGGAAAGGGAACTCCCTGACCCCTTGCACTTCCCGAGTGAGGCAATGCCTCGCCCTGCTTCGGCTTGTGAATGGTGCGCTGCACCCACTGTCCTACACCCACTGTCTGGCACTCCCTAGTGAGATGAACCCGGTACCTCAGATGGAAATGCAGAAATCACCAGTCTTCTGCGTTGCTCACACTGGGAGCTGTAGACCGGAGCTGTTCCTATTTGGCCATCTTGGCTCCACCCGAATTTTTTAATGAGTGCTGAATGAACTGTTTTTGTCTAAAATCATTTTTATATTACCACATTCTTAAAACAGATTTTCACTGACATGCAATTCTAGATAGATATAATTTATTTTCTTTCAGCACACTGAAGGTATCATCCTAATATATCACCATTCATTGTTGAAAGAAATCATAATGGAAATTTAAAAATATCTGGAATGGTATAATAATAATTATATTACATATAAAACTTGTGGGTTGAAAGAGTTGGGGCTGGGAAAGAAATTCAATCTGTTGCAGGCATGAAGAGCAGTGGGGCTGAGGGAGAAACATACAAGGGAGTTTAAACAAGTAAATATATGGAGGATAATGGGAGCCAAGTTTCTTACTATCAGGGAAGTGAGTTACAAATAAAGAAAGAAAAAAAGGCTAGAATAACCCTGTAGTACTGGAATGGAATTGGATGTACTAGTATAAACTCAGCTCTCATTTTATAATAAAAGTAATAGATAAGGAAACAGGCCTACAGGGGAGAGGGGGGTGCGTGTAATTATGTACACACACATTGTCTGCTGAAAGGGCATAAAGGCAACAGCATCATAGTATCAATAAGCACACCAAGCATACAGATCTTAGTTTCTACATGCCACTCTCTGCTAAAAAGAACCAGCGCCCCTTGGAGAAATGGACAGCTCTAGGGTTGGTGAAAAGAAAATATAAGATATTCCTAGAGTGTCTTCCTAGCTCAGAAAGTGGGTGAATGCTCATGAAATGATGGGATCATAAGAACACACAGGAACCAGCTTAAAATGGTTCCAGTGGGCAAGTGTGGGATAATTTGAGTATCAAAATAAACAATGATAGTGATAGGTTGTGACCCTTTGAGTAAACGAAAAATCCAAGAGTCCATAATGATATAAATAAATAAATGGAGAAGGGACACTTTTAACTTACCACAGAACTCCAATGAAATGTTGAAGCAATGATGGAATTTTTTTCAATAACCAAATTAAAGCTATTTTATTAATAAATTATTCAGGCAAGTATAAACACTAGATCCTAAACTAGAGATATTTACAGTCTCAAAGAATCTCTCCCTAATATTTATTAACTTATTAATTAATATGTAAAACACACAAACCAGCAGATACCACCTTAACTAAGTGGTATGAGTTAACATTACAAGTATTGAGACAAATCAACATAATGTGCCTCCTGACAAGCATGAAAAGCACATCACTTCTGTGGCTTTCCTACATAAAAATCAAATCTGAATCAAATCATGATAAAACACCAGATAAATTCAATTTGAGGGAAATCTGCAAAGTAACTAGGTTGTACTCTTCAAAAATGTCAGTCATGAAAGAAAGAAAAAACAGAAGAAACACCCTATACTAAAAAAAAAATCATTTAAAACATGACAAACACTGAAGTAATTTATAACAGGTTTTTCATCAACATTAATATCTACAGGGACATTCAAAAGCTGTATGTGACAAGGGACAACTCTTCATTGTGTGGAACTGTCTTGTACATTATAGAAATAGTAACATACCTGACACCTATCTACTGCATTCCAGAAACAATCCCCAATTACAGTGATGACCCAAGAAAAATCACATAATTTTCCAAAATATCTCTTTGGGAGGCATTTACTACCCGTCAAGAACCACTGCCTTCCACAATCTAGTCTTCTCCCTTTCACTCTCACTCTCCAAACACACTGGCCTCCTCCCTTTCCTTTAACACTCCCTTTCCTTTCACACACTTTACCTCAGCAACTGTGTGCATGCTATTTCTGTCTGGAATGCTCTTGTCACTGTTAACTGCCTTACTTTCTCACCTTACTCAGATATTTAATTCAATACCTCTTTCTCAGGTTCTGTGTTGACCATTCTGCTTTGTCTCCCTGGCTCTTATCCCACCATCTGACATTTATTTTACTTGTTTGGTTGTTATTCATATACTCTTCCTTAATGTAAGCTCATGATGAAGAAATGTTTGTCTATTTTGTTCAGTGGTGTGTCCTCAGGCTATAGATGAGGATGGCGCATATCAGGCATTCAATATGTATTTTTGGAATGAATGAATAAATGTCCAACAGTAGGGTAGTGAATAAATTGTTATGTTCATACAATGGGATATTACATACCTGTGAAATTATGCTTTTAGAGAAGTTTTAAAGGGAAATCCTAATATATTTAAGTTAAAAAAATAAAAGGTCCAAAACCGTACACAGTGTGGCCAATATGGGTTCCCTAAGGACAAGGCATATCTAGACAAACACTATTTCGCAACTACTCAGTTAATAGACTGAAAAAAGTCAATCATAAGATGGTGAAACACAAGATGGTTGAATGACAGTATAGTGAAGTACTCAAAATAGGTGTGAGAGTAATCTTATTCAAAAGTTTTAGACCTTTTTTTTTTTTTTTTTTTTGAGACAAAGTCTCCCTCTGTCGCCTAGGCTGGAGTGCACTGGCACAATCTTCGGCTCACTACAATCTCCACCTCCCAGGTTCAAGCAATTCTCCTGCCTCAGCTTCCCGAGTAGCTAGGATTACAGGCATGCACCATGACACCCAGGTAATTTTTGTATTTTTAGTAGAGACGGGGTTTCACCACGTCGGCCAGGCTGGTCTCGAACTCCTGACCTCAAGTGATCCACCCACCTTGGCTTCCCAAAGTGCTAGGATTACAGGCATGAGCCACCGCGCCCAGCCAAAAGTTTTAGACTTTTTATCCATAGCCCTTAGTAAACATTTTTATTGCTAATTTGGATAAAAATACTTATCAAATATATAAATGGCACAAAGCTGAAAGGGATATTTTAATAAAATAAATGATCAAATTTGATTAAAAATCATTCCAATAGGCTTGAACACTGATATAAAAGCAATAAAAAGAAATACAGGAGAGTTAAAAAGTATTACATAGGGCGAGGCGTAATGGCCTGTAATCCCAGCATTTTGGGAGGCCGAGGCAGGCGGATCACTTGAGGTCAGGAGTTCAAGACCAGCCTGGCCAACATAGTGAAACCCCATCTCTACTAAAAATACAAAGATCAGCTGGATGTGGTGTCATGCGCCACTCACACAGCTGTAATCCCAGCTACCCGGGAGGCTGAGGCAGGAGAATCACTTGAACCTGGGATGTAGAAGTTGCAGTGAGCCAAGATCATGCCACTGCAGTCCAGCCTGGGCAATAAAGTGAGACTCTGTCTCAAAAATAAGAAGATTTTTAAAAAAGTATTATATAGATACAAGAAATGAGAATAGGAATCTTGGCAGCAGTTCATGGTTTTTGTTTGGTTTGTTTTGCTTTGCTTTTTTCCTACAGCTTTAAGTTTTGAAAGCAGTACATGGTTTTTTTTAATGCCCAATTATGCTGTGACCATTAAAGATCTCACAGTACATTGACAGAAAGAGAATTACTGAATATACTTCATGCTGGTCAGATCAGAAGTGAAATTGTGTTTCATCTAATTCAGGACACCTTATTTTAAGAAAAACACAGACAAACCAGAGTCTACCCAAAGGAAGGCAACTTGCTTGCTGAGGGATCTGGAAATATGAACGCAAGAAAATAATTTTTAAAAATAGGGAAACACAGATCACTGAGAAAACTATGTAATTTTAAACAAATGATGCTAGGATAGTGCTCACTTTGGCAGCATATATACAAATGGTGCTAAGACAACCAATTGCCCATTTTATTATTCTTATTATTTTGTCAATTTTGTTTTTCACAAGCATATACGTAAAACCTAAAATCCAATCTAATTTGTACTTTTCAAACTTTTCCAAAATTGAGATAATCCAAATAAACTATATCACTGGAGAATAGTTTTCTAAGAAACTTTGTATGAATCAGGCCATGAAATCCTTGCATGATAGCTATATCAATTCTTTCAGGATTAATAATAGTAATAATAGCTGCCAGTTACTGAGTACTAACTAGACATCACACGTTCTACTAAGCATTTTATAGGCATTATCTCACATAATCCACACCAAAACCCTCTACGATAGGCATTATTATACCCTATTACTATGCAAAATAGCAGACAAAATGCCTTATCCACAGGAGAAAGAATAAATTATCATGTAATCACACACTGGAATACTGTACAGTAATAAGGAACAAATGAAAACTCTGCACATCTACATAGAAGCAGCTCAAAACCCTAACACTGTGTGAAACACCTAGTTCTCAAAAGAATATGTATCATATTGATTCCATCTTAGAGTTCAAAACCATACTGAAGAGAAGGAAAATCATTATATATCAAAATAAGAAATAAAAAAGATATGACTGGGAAAGGAGAAACAAAGAACTTCAACAGTATTTGGTAATGTTCTATTTCTCAAGCTCGATAGTAAATATATGGGAATTATTTTTACTTGCTGCTATTCTTTACATAAATGATTCATATATGCTCTTTTCTACATATGAAATAGTTAATAGAAGGAAAATATGTACTATTAAAATGAAAGCCATTTATACATAAGCTATTATAGCTGTGTACTCAAGTATTTAAAATAAACATTTGAAAATAGCTGGATTTCAAGATACCACTTTCAAGAGAAAATAAGGGTGACATTTAGTCTTCTCTGTTCTTAAAAAAAAAATTGATAAAACAAGCAAATCAGTTCTTATTTTTCTAAGAAGATAAATTTTTCAAAATATGAATTTGGAATCAATAAAAACAACATATCTAGACTGTAAGAATCTAATACTTATATCTTAACTTTTGAAAAATTAAGATGCCTGCCTAGGCACAGTGGCTCATGCCTGTAATCCCAGCATTTTGGGAGGCCAAGGCAAGAGGATCGCTTGAATCCAAGCGTTCAAGACCAGCCTGGGCAACGTAGAGACCCTGTCTCTGCCAAAAATTTAAAAATTAGCCGAGCAGGGCGGTACACACATGTGGTCCCAGCTACCTGAGAGGCTGAGGTGGGAGGATTCCTTGAGTCTAAGAGTTCAGGGCTGCAGTGACCTGTGATTGCACTGCTGCACTTCAGCCTGGGCAACAGAGCAAGACTGTCTCAAAAACAAAACCAAAAAAGGCTTTAGCCAAATATTATCAGCAACTCAACTGATGCCCAAGTAAGAGATCCTAATTCCATCACCCATTCTTTCATATTTACTTTCTTCATTTCCAGATTTCTTTTATACCTTGGACAAGTCAGTTGTTCTTCCATGACCAAATAACTCTGCCTTGATCTCTTCTACTTTCCTCCTGTCATCTTCATTTAATTCTGAAATGGAGTATCCACAATCATGTGCTAAATTGAACTTCATATTCCAGGCTGGAGAGAAAGCATACACTTGAGATAATACAATGCAAAAGTGATAATTTGTCAACAATTGCAACACAGAAGATCATCAATATATGCAATTTAATACCCACTGCAATGCTTAGTATGTCTTCTTCTCAATTATGACAACCTATTAGAAATTCTTGACAGAGATCCTTTCACTGCAAAGTCTGATTTTCTTAAGTCATGCTCTATAGATAATTCTACAAAAAAGCCACTTTAAATCGGGTAATCAATCATATTTATCTTAATCCTCCTTTTAATCATGAGTTTCTTTACCTCTCCCTTTAGTTCCTGCTACAATTACTCATAATTCCATGACAGCTGATATTTAAAAGTAATAAATACAACTTGGAGGTTTTTTTGTAGAATAAAAATGTGCAGGGAACAGCGTAGGAAGTTAACCTCAAGGGACGATTTCTAGGTAGGCCTAAATTGCTTTTAAATTGCCTCCCAAAATATATTCCCCATATTGTCTTACAGATTTTTGTTTTTAATGGAATTCTATTAGAAATTAATGAGATTTGTAAATATTCTCTTTTAAACCTCTAACCCAAGTTTTAGTATAAAATACATTGATTTTTTTTTCAAATGTCTGAGATCAACACCAAGAGTTCTATTAGAAAAGGGAAAGAGAAAATATATGTAGTTTTAGGACAAAAAGCAATTTAGAGCACAGCAAATTGGAGGCTCTTTCTGCCTTCAGAATAAGGATACTATAATGGGAGGATTAGAGAAACGTGATAGCTTTAGGAGCTCAGGAGCCCAAGCGACCTCTTTACTCTCTGTCATACATCAGAATCTACTTCTCCTAAGAACAAGAACGTAAACTCAGGCTGGTACTATTAATACTGTAACTTAACTACATTATTGGTTAAATAGGCTTTTTATGGATTGTTAGAAGAAATATAGTCATTCTAACAATTCTATTGGAAAATACATTTAGAACTCCAAATATCTAACTTCATTTTTTTTCTTGATCTTGCTTGTATTTTTCATTGGCTAAGCTTCCTCAAAACATAAATATCTAACTTTAAACACATTATTAAACTATAACGTTTATAAGCCTGAAACTTTCTTCTTACCATGTGCTCGTACCCGGCTTTCCTCTTCCTCTGCATTTCTGAGTATTTCTTTAGCATGATTCAGTGAGGATTCACATTGCAGAAGGTTTTTCACATGTGCAGCCAGTGAATCTACACTGCTACCACCACCATCCTCACTCTCTGACACACCCTCTTCCTCCCTGCTATCTGTTATACTTGTCTTGGGTGAAACATATGGAAAGAAGTTTAGAAGAACATCAGAAACTGATTCCAAAGACTCTGGTAAATTACTGTCCCACGAGCAGGAACCATTTCCATCACTGGCATCACTACTTGAATCACTTTTTATGACAGTCATCATAGGGATAATAATTTTATTCCCAATGGTTCCACTACACCCTTCAGGTTCAGACCTCATTACAGATTTGGCTGCTTGATATTGCCTAAGAGTTTCTTCTAATGCCATACTGACTTTGCTCTCTGCTTCCTGTAGAGGACTTCTAACTGTAGTTGAACTAATAAACTCCCAATTTTCAATGCCTCTCCGGCATTTCAAATTCGTCTGTGTGCCAATATCCTTCTGTATGCACCTGCTGCTTGGGCTTTCCTCTGTGAATGGCTGTCTGTGAAGCAAATCACCATTAGATACACCCGTGGAAGAGGGTTCTTTGAAGCAAACCACCTTCTTAGATTGTATAAATGAAATATCACTAATATCTCTGAAACGGGCAAGGGGAGCAGGAAAATTGCATCGTTTCAGTGCCATATTTTCTGCCTCCATCAAAAGTGTCCGAATTTCCTTAAGAGTTTTAGCACTATTTTCTGCATCCTGGATTTCTTCAGAGCCAACATCTCTAAAACCTGCAGATTCTGGTTTATTTATTACAACTCTGTCATCAGCCTGAGAATTTAAAAGCACATTATTTGAGCTAACACTGGAGTCAGAAGAATTCAAATTATCTATTAGCCTTTGGACATGTTCTGAAACAAGCTTGTGATTCTCACCATGTGAGTAAGTACCAGAGGGAACTGTTTGTAATCCGGTAATTTGATCAGCTTGCCCAAGAGCACTTGAGATCTTTAGAGCATCTTCAGTTAGATGTCTATCTGGCAAATCCTTTTGATAGAAAATATCTGGTTTCTCTCGATGTGAAAAGGAACTAGGAAGAGCTGTTGGTAATACTGTTTTCTGGCCAGCTGGTCCAGGAATTGTTGAAACCTTCAGCACATCTTCAGTTACATGACTACCTGGCAATTCCTGTGGACTGAAAATATTCGATTTCTCTCTGTGAAAATAAGAACTAGAGAGAGATACTGGTTTTCCAGTATTCACATCAGTTAGTTCAGGGACAGCTGAAATCTTTAGAATACCTTTACTTTGATCTCTATCTGGCAACTGCTGTTGAAATAAAATATTGGGCTTTACTGTTTGAGAATAGGAACTATGAAAAGCTGTCTGGGATGGAGTCTTCTGGTCATTTGGTCCAATCACAGTTGAAATCTTGGGCTTCTCTATTTGTGAGTAGGAACTAAGGGTAGCTGCTGGAAACTCAGTTTTCTGGTCATCTGGTATATGCACAGTTGAAATCTTGAGTTTCTCTTTATGTGAATGTGAGTAGGAACTAGACAGTCCTATTGGTATCCCAGTCTTCTGCTCTGCTGGTATAGAAACAGGTGAAACTTTCAGAGCCTCTTCTGTGAGATGACTGTCTGGCAACTCCTGTTGAGAGATAACACTGGGCTTCTCTCTACGTGAGTAGTAACTTAAAGGTACTGTTGGTATCTCAGTCTTCCGGTCACCTTGTCCAGGAACAACAAAAACATTTAAAGCTTCTTCAGTAACATCTGGCAACTCCTGCTGATGAAAAATACTGGCCTTCTCTCTATTTGAGTAGGAACTAGAGGATGCTATTTGTATCCCAGTCTTCTGGTCAGCAGGCCCAGGAACCCCTATTGCTTTCAAAGTTACTTCAGTAAGATCTGGCAACTCCTGCTCATAAGAAATGACAGAGTGCTCTCTCTGTGGGTAGGAATTAGAGGGCAGGATGTTTATTCCAGTCTTCTGGTCAGCTGGTCCAGGAACTCTTAAAATTTTCAAACCTGCTTCAGTAAAATGCGGCAACTCTCGCTGGTAGGAAACAATGGGCTTCTCTCTGTGTGAGTAGGAAGTAGAGGTTACTGTTGATACCCCAGTCTTCTGGTCAGCTGGTCCAGGAACATTTGAAACTTTCAGAGCCTCTTCAGTTAGATGACTATCTGGCAACTCTTGCTGGTAAGAAATATTAGGCTTCTCTGTATGTGAATAGAAAGAGGAAGTTACAGTAGATAACCCAGTCTTCTGGTCAGCTGGTTGAGGAACAGCTGAAACTTTCAGAGCTTCTTGAGTTAGCTCACTGTCTGGCAGGGCCTGTTGGTAGAAGACAATGGGCTTCTCTCTATATGAGTATAAACTAGAGGATACTGATGGTGTCTCAGTCTTCTGGGCATCTGGTCCAGGAACAGGTGGAACTTTCAGAGCTTCTTCAGGTAAATGACTGTCTGATAGGGTCTGCTGGTAGAAAATGACAGGCTTCCCCCTATTTGAGTAGCTAGTAGAATGTACTGGTAATGTCTCAGTCTTCTGGTCAGCTGGTCCAGGAGCAGCTGAAACTTTCACAACCTCTTTATTTAGAGGACTGTCTAGCAGAGCCTGCCGGTAGAAAGTAATGGGCTTCTCTCCAAGTGCACTGGAACCTAAAGGTCCTGCTGGTATGTCAGTCTTTTTTTCAGTAGGTCCAGAAACAATGGAAACTTTCAGAGCCTCTTCAGGTAGATGACCATCTGGAAAGGCCTGTTTGTAGTTAACAATCGGCTTCTCTCCAAATGAGTAGGAAGTAGAGGTTATGGTTGGTATGCCAGTTGTCTGGTCAGCTGGTCCAGGAGCAGAAGAAACTCTGAGAGCCTCTTCAGGTATTTGACTACCTAGCAATGCCAGTTGGTAGAAACTGCCAGACTTTGCTCTATGTTGTGAGTAGGAAGGAGAGGTTATAGTTGGTGCGCCAGTTGTCTGGCCAACTGGTCCAGGAGCAACTGAAACTTTCAGAGACTCTTCAGGTAGATGACCCTCTGGAAAGGCCTGTTTGTAGATAACAATGGGCTTCTCTCCAAATGAGCTGGAAGGGGAGGTTACAGTTGGTGTGCCAATCGTCTGGTCAACTGGTCCAGGAGCAACTGAAACTTCCAAAGCCTCTTCAGGTAGATGACTATGTGGCAAGACCTGTTGGTAGAAACTACCAGGCTTCTCTGTGTGTGAGTAGAAAGTAGAGGGTAAAGTTGGTATCCCAGTCTTCCGGTCACCTGGTCCAGGAACCGCTGAAACGTTCTTAGCCTCTTCAGTTAGATGACTACCTGGCAACGACTGTTGGTAGAAAATACTCGGCTTCTCTGTATGTTGTGAGTAAGAAGTAGAGGTTACAGTTGGTGTGCCAGTTGTCTGGTCAACTGGTTCAGAGGCAACTGAAATTTTCAGAGCCTCTTCAGTTGGATGACTATGTGGCAAGACCTGTTGGTAGAAAACACCAGGCTTCTCTGTGTGTGAGTAGAAAGTAGAGGGTAAAATTGGTATCACAGTCTTCTGGTCAGCTGGTCCAGGAACCGCTGAAACATTCTTAGCCTCTTCAGTTAGATGACTACTTGGCAACGACTGTTGGTAGAAAATGCTGGGCTTCTCTCTATATTGTGAGTAGGAAGTAGAGGTTACAGCTGGTGTGCCAGTTGTCTGGTCAACTGGTTCAGAGGCAACTGAAATTTTCAGAGCCTCTTCAGTTGGATGATTATCTGGCAAGACCTGTTGGTAGAAAATACCAGGCTTCTCTGTGTGTGAGTAAGAAGCAGAGGTTGGAGTTGGTGTCCCAGTCTTCTGGTCAGCTGGTCCAAGAACAGGTGAAACTTTCTGTGCCTCTTCAGGTATGTGACTACCTGGCAAGGTCTGTTGATAGAAAATACCAGGTTTCTCTCTTTGTGAGTAGAAGGTAGAAAGTACTCTTGGTATCCAAGTCTTCTGGTTACCTGGTCCAGTAACAGCTGAAACTTTCTGAGCCTCTTCAGGTATATGAGTACCTGGCAAGGCCTGCTGGTGGAAAATGCTGGGCTTTTCTCTATGTTGTGAGTAGGAAGTTGAGGTTACAGTTGGTGTGCCAGTCTTCTGGTCTGCTAGTCCAGGAGCTACTGAAATTTTCAGAGCCTCTTTAGGCAGATGACTCTCTGGCAAGGTCTGTTGGTAGAAAATACCAGGCTTCTCTCTTTGTGAGTAGAAAGTAGACGGTACTGCTGGTGTGTCAGTCATCTGGTCAGCTGGTCCAGGGAAGGCTGAAACTTTCAGACTCTCTTCAGGTAGATGACTGTCTGATAACACCTGTGGGTACAAAACACTAGGCTTCTCCCTCTGTGGGTAAGAACTAGACTGTACTGCTGGTATCTCAGTCTTCTGGTCAGCTGGTCCAGGGCCAGTTGAAACTTTCAGAGCCTTTTCAGTTGCATAACTATCTGGCCACTCCTGTTGATAGAAAATACTGGGCTTCTCTCTATGTGAGAAGGAACCTGAAGGTACTGTTGGTGTTGGGACAGTCTTCTGGTCAGTCAGTCCAGGAATAGCAGACATTTTCAGAGATTCTCTAGGTAGATCACTGTCTGGCAACTCTTGCTGGTAGAAAACACTAGATTTCTCGCTATGTGAGTGAGAATTAGAGGACACTGTTGGTGTCCCAGTCTTCTGGGCAGCCAATACAGAAACAGCTGAAACCTTCAGAGCTTCTTCAGGGAAAAGAAAGTCTGGCAGGGTCTGCTGGGAAAAAATAATGGGCTTCTCTCTGTGTGAGTAGAAACTAGATGGTGCTGAGGGTATCCCAGTCTTCTGATCACCTGGTCCAGGAACAATTGATACTTTCAGAGCCTCTTCAGTTAGATGACTATTGGGTAAGGTCTGCTGATAGAAAGCACTGGGCTTTTCTCCAAGTGAAGAGGACGCAGAGGAAGTAGAGGTTACAGCTGGTGTCCCAGTCTTTCCGTCAGCTGGTCCAGAAACAGCTGAAACTTTCAGAGCCTCTTCGGGTAGATGGCTGTCCAGCAAGGCCTGTTGGTAGAAAACAAGGAGCTTCTCTCTGTGTGAGTATGCACTAGAGGGTACTGTTGGTAGGCCAGTCTTCTGGTCAGCTGGTCCAGCAACAGCTGAAACTTTCAGACCCTCTTCAGGTAGATGACTGTCTGCTAAGTCCTGTGGGTACAAAATACTAGGCTTTTCTCTTTGTGAGTAAGAACTAGACTGTACTGCTGGTATCTCAGTCTTCTGGTCAGCTGGTCCAGGAGTGGCTGAAACTTTAGTAAGAGTCTCTTCAGTTTGATGACTGTCTGCGAACTCTTGTTGGTAAAAAATACCAGGCTTCTCTCTATGTGAGTGGGGAGTAGAGAGTACTGTTGCTGTCCCAGTCTTCTGGTCAGCTGGTCCAGACACAGCTGAGACTTTCAGAGCCTGATCAGTTAGATGACCATCTGGCAAGGTCTGTCGATAGAAAAAGAGGAGGTCCTCTACATGTGAGTGGGATGTAGAGGATACTGTAGGTATTCCCGTCTTCTGCTCCACTGGGCCAGGAGCAGCTGAAACTTCCAAAGGCTCTTCGGTTAAGTTACTCTCTGGTAACTCTTGTTGGTAAAAAGTACCAGGCTTCTCTCTATGTGAGTAGGAAGTAGAGGTTAGAGTTGACATGCCAGTTGTCTGGTCAGCTAGTCCAGGAGCAGCTGAAACTTTCAAAGCCTCTTCAGTTAGATGACTGTCTGGCAAGCCCTGCTGGTAGAAAATGCTGGGCTTCCCCCTATGTGAGTGGGAACTAGAGAGTACTGTTGGTGTTGCAGTCTTCTGGTCAGCTGGTTCAGGAATAGCTGTGACTTTCAGAGTCTCTTCAGTTAGATGAGTATCTGCTAATGTCTTTTGGTTGAGAGTATCAGTGTGTTGACCAGTAGTAGTTTCTAGAGGAGAACTTACAGCCAACTGAGACAGGTCCTCAAGGGACAAGGATAAATGAGATCCAATGTCTGAATCAACAGGAGTGGTAGTGATGCCTGACTTCAAGTTGGATTGAGTAACTTTAGCTATGCCTCCTTTAGAAGTGTCTCCTAAAGAAAAAGAGATTTGTTAATAGTATATAAAATTTTCTATTTTAAAATTCTATGTGCTGGAAAAAAGCCAGCTTTGAGCCTTTAAAAAGCTTCTAGAAATGAATCCTAAGGAAACAGCCATCAAAGGAGATAAATATTTGCACACAAAGATATTAATTAGAAAACTAAAGTAAAAACATTTTAATCTTCAACAACAGAGTAATGGTTATAAACAACAGTATATCCAGTGGATGAAATATTATATGGATCTTACAACTTGGATTTTTAAGAGAATTTTCAATGAGATGGGATAATGCTATTGGGTCTAGGATTTGATTTCACCCTACTTACAATCTGTTATTGTGTCTTGCAGGCTGGCAGAAGACATAAGGTCTTCAGTCAGAGACAAAAGACTTCATGATCCCTGGTACAGCAAAGGCTCATCAGCTTATTTTCACGGGTTCCTCCTGCCCCCAAGTCCCACAGGGGCAGTACAATATGGCCTAGAGGGATGCTATGCGTGCAGTGAGTTTGAAGGACTCTCCCAACAAATGCACCCTGTATAATATATATATATTTAAGTACATAAAACTGAAAAAACTCTAAAGGTTACTCTGAAGAGTTTTAACTTAATTCTGTATAGCATGGCAAGTTGTTTACAGTTTTAAAGTTTTCAAGATGAGTGAGAAGGGAATGTAAAAATCTAGGTTGCACAATCCAACAAACATTTCTATAGAAATGTTCTATATTTGCACTAATACAATAATTCTAAATGAAAGCAGTTTTAAACAGCAGTGTAAAGTAAGTGACTGCAACAGAAATGACAGGATTTGACAAGCTGTCCCTTCATTCATTGTTCATTCAAAATACATGAATGCTTACTATGTTCCAGGCACTGTTCTACATACAGCAATAAACAGACAATAATCCCTACCTCACAGAGCTAATTTGTATTCTAGCAGGAGGAGGCTGACAATAAATTGGTAAAACATATGATGTGTCAGATGGTGTTAAGATGATTGATATATAGAGCAAGTATTATCTATTTTTTACGTATAGGGAAACCGAGTTGCAAAGATGACCATGTAACAGTGCTTCTCAATGTTGGGATCTTGTTAACTTGCAGATTCTGACTCAGTAGGTCTGGGTGGGACCTGAAATTCTGCATTTCTAACAAGCTCCCCAGGGATGCCCAATGTTATTGGTCCTCAGACCACATTTTAAGTGCAAAGATACATAGTTTTTCTAGAATTGTAGGTGGGTAAGTGACAAAAACTGGTACTTTAACCCTTAAACTCTAAATCCAAGTTCTGAGCTCTTTCCACTACAACTGACTGGCTTTCTATGGCCACTGACGAGCTTCAAAGGAGCTGAATATAGAATGAAATGGGTTGAGGAGTGAATTTCAAAGTAAAGAACTAGAAGTATCAAGTATTAACTCTTCAAGAAAAGTAAAAAATTTAAAAATGTAACATGCATTGTAACCTGAGAAGGAATATGAGTTACAAAATTTTGTGAGGTTCTTGCCTGCTGGGTCTAAAGAAAATAAGAAAAGTTTTTGTGAGGAAACAAAACAGGCTCAAGAAGCTAATAAACCAAAACAGATTAACAAAACAAAACCTTGTTTTTCTAAATGATTTCCTGATTTCTCAAAGTTTTTATATCCCTTTGGCCATTACAAATTATTAGTGACACCATGAATGGGGACAAATGAGATAAATAGCTAAGGAGTTAAGATGTACAGCCCAGGTCCTTGAAAGATCCAGGTTACATAAGATAAGGTCTTTTTAACCTCAGGGGTAAAGGAAAAGATTAGTAAAGAAAACTGGAAGAACGACTATAGGTTAAGCTGTTAAAAGCGAGGGAGGAGATGCACGATGTTAAAGAAGAATTCTTGTCAGTTCTATATAAAGTTAAGGACATATATGTCAAACTGTCAGAAGAATGGTGATCACAAATCCATTAACTATGATTTATAAAATGTGTCTATGTACATAAGGAGTTCATGATGAAAAATGGTATGTTTTTAGAGTCCTTATTATTCTCTCAGCCCTGGGAAAGAAGAATACACTAAGTGTGAGTGTTAACAATATTACTACATACTGATATAATCTTTGGAGATTCATTTTCAGAACTAGGGGTGAGTTGAAGAGGTAAGTTTCGACCAAGAAGAGGAAGATGGCTGCCAGAAAAGACTATACTACACCAAAGTTGTATATTGGGTGGGAACTGTATGCCTCTTAGAGATGACATTAAGACTAACAACCTGGGTACAATTTACTCAAGAACTCTTCTCCATACTAAGGTGCTTAGTAACACAGAAGGCTTCCTAGGTGACGAAGACAGCACGGTTTTATTTCCCCAAGTATATTCTGACATAAGAAGAATAAGCAAGCCCTTTATTTCTCACAGACAAAATGAGGTACAATTCCATACTTCCATTTTACATATGACTAAGAGCCTCTTACTAGTAATCGTTCCAAGTCAATTATTATGGGTTTTAATACTAGCACACACAAATAAATTACTATAGCTCTCATTTTGAGCCCTCTAATTCAGTCACTAATAAGTCTGTAACGGGGCTGGGAAGGTAGTGAGGAGGATGGTTAATGGGTACAAAAATGTAGTTAGAATGAATAAGCTCTAGAATATGATATAGTACAATACGGTGACTACAGTCAACAATTATTTATAACGCATTTTAAATTAAAAGAGTATAACTGGAATTTTCACAACATAAAGAAATAATGAATGCTTGAGGTGACAGATACTCCATTTACCTTGATGTGATTATTACACATCGTATGTTTGTGTCAAAATATCTCATGTACCCCATAAATATATACACCTACTATGTTCTCATAAATATTAAAAATAAAAAAGATTTTTTTTTAAAAAGTCTGGCAAAAGCACCTATTGTGTGTACAGAGAAGTAAACTCAAATTCATGTTTTTTTAAAAAGACACCAGTGATATTTTAAATGGGTCTTTGTCTTCATTGTTGTTATTCTTGCTTTCTAATTAATTACTATATCATTTTTATAAGTTCCTAATTATTAATTATTGATAACTAAATAATTATAATTGTGTTGTATTTCGTTAATCCCTCAGTTAACTCATAGATGTTTATCTCTACATTCATTATCTTAAACTATATTCTCTCATAACTAAACTTAACACAATATATCACAGTTCAAACAGGATTTTTGATACCCTTATTACCACAGTGGACGTAAATATAACCCTTCCAAAGTTCCTGCATACTGATAATTCATTAACGTTGTCCTGTTGATAAATGTATGCCATTTAAATAACTTGCAATACAAAATCAAGTTAAATGTAATAAAATTGCTTAGTTTCAAAAGATAATAGGGCACTGTTTTATAACACAAAAATCACATACACGAGCTAACATTATAGCCTGTAATTTAATTCCTAATTTTGTTGTTGCTATCACTAAGTTCTTTTTCAATGCGAAAGCAGGAATTGTTAGGTAAAGTGCGTTATAGACTCTTCCTCATTCCTAAGTGGGCAGAGGTTTCAAAAAGCTAATGAACTGCTGGTGTTGTGAAAAGTTCATGAACTCTGTACTCAAACATCAAATCCCAAACACTATTTCCTAACAGAATAACCCTGGGAAAGTTATAACCTGGTCATAGTAATACCCAGTCATCAAACCACCCTGATAGGTGCACCCCTACTCAAAGAAATTCCCTCTGGGACAGGAGAAGATGTAATTTCAGATCTTGCTTCCAGGCTCCTCATCTTTAAGAGAACCCTTCAAAGTCCTGCCCCAAACTAAAGTCCTCCCTTACTCTGAGCCACACGCAGGTTCCCTCCCTGCCCTGAGTAACTTGCATCTTCAAGGGAGAAGATATCCAACAAATAACAACCTAAGGTAGTAAGGTTAAACAAAAGACTGGGCGTCAATAAAAATTATGGCAGGAAAACTAAAAGATAAATCAATTAGGTTTAGAGGCAGGGAACATAAACCCCAATACCCACCAAAAAACATAAAGAAAGACATATAGGCCATTCAAGTCACAGAGACAGCCTCATGTTAACCAGAGATCAATAAAATAGTGATAAGACACTAATCCATAGGCCTTCATTACAACTGACATATAGTCAATGAAATATGATACTTACATTTATTTGATCCACTTTCTTGAGAACTGATCCCTGCCAAAATACAAAGCCTACCATCTTATTCTACCCCTCCCCCAGTCTACCCAGGCATGTTAATTCATTTAATATTCATCAATTCATAAAGTCATTCAACAGATATTTATTGAGTAGCTTTCACAGCCAGGTGCAAAAATATATATATTAGCAAAGCCCGAGCTCTACCCTCAAAGAGCTTAAAGTCCTGTGGGAGACAGAAACAAGTAAAAAAAAGCAATTACTAAATTCAGTGTAAGGGCAGTGATTAGGGAGGCTGTTTACAGGATACTATAGCAACATATGTAAGGAGTATCTGGCTCTTTCTTAAAGAGTCATGGTGAACAGTGAAAAACAGAAACATTTTCCTGAAAGACAGCAAAGCTCAGAATGAAAGGATAAAAACCAGAAATTAGGCAAAGATGGGCATATAAAAAATAGGGAAGCATTCCAAGTAGAGAAAATAGCATCTATGAGATCAAGGAGACAAGAGGGTCTAGCATCATGAAGAAATGAGAGTAGTTCACTATGAAAAAAGAGGCAAGTATAAGGCTAAGAAGGTAAGCAGGGACCTTCTACTATGTACTAAGGAGTTTAGAATTTACCCCAAGGTTAACAATGGAAAGCAAGAACTCCAAACTAGGAAGTGACATTATCAAGTCTGCCCTGTAAACAGACTATTTTGGCTTAATACTGAAAATAAGTGGCAGAGAAGATGATCAGTTTTCCATTACTAATGCAGTAATTCAGAAAAGAGAATGGGAGTCTGATAGAATCAACGAGATTAAGTGATTGGGCAGGGATGAGGGTGAAAGAAGAATACAAGTTTCTAGCTTGGCTAATAAGTAGACACTCATTCACTGAGAAGAAATAGAGAAGGAAGAGTAGGTTTAAAGAGATGATTGGCTCCATTTTTAAAGTTCTGACATTAAGATACCTATGGGACATCCAAATGAAGACATTTCATAGTAGTCAGATACAAACATTTGGAGTATGAGATATATCTAGATAGAGTCCTACAATTGGAACTCATCAGTCATAGGAAATAACTGAAGCCCTGGGTGTTGATATTACCTAGGAAGAAGTTAAAATCCTTTCTTGCACAAAGCATTGTTTCCTACTATGTCACTACCTGATGCTGTAAACAAGCTGAGGCAGCCAGTACTGTACCACTAACTGATGAACTCTTCAGTTAGCAAACAATCATCGAGACTCTTTCATGCCTTTATCATATGCCAAGATTAGTGTTAAGTATATAATAGAAATTAAATTGGTGCCCTCTCTGAGAAAGAATTTGGAAAAACTGATGGTGTGATATGTTTATGGTAAGGTTATAAAGGCATTTAAAACTTGAGAAACAGAGAGAACAATATGGAATGAAGCTATCAAAATCCTCTTAGAGAAAGTGGGACTTTGGGCAAGTCACTCTAAGTTTCATTTTGCTCAGATAGCAAATAGAATAATAGCAGTGCCCATCATCATAGGTCAGATTAAAAATATAAAACAATATGGCATAATAATAATATGATAAAAGAACATATTGTGCATACCTAATCCAAAAATCTGAAATCCAAAATGCTCTAATGAGTATTTCCTTTGAATATCATGTCAGCAGTCAAAAAGTTCCAGATTTTGGACCATTCTGGATTGTGGTTTTTCAGATTAGGGATGCTCAACCTGTATTATATAATATACATTATAATAATAATACATAAAATGCTTAGCAATGTGAACAAGCAATAAATGTCAGCTATTATTAATAGTTCAGGACACGGGCTGCAGATTTTAGAAAAGTTAGGAAAGTTTCATGGCATAGGTGTCCCCATCTTCTGTGGCTTGAGATCCCTGAGTTTATTCAATATTGCCTGAGAAAGATCTTTACCTCACTTCCCCCATATGATTATTTCTACCAACAACCAAAGACAATAGCACATCTAAGTCAAGTTTTCAAAACTCCAGTTGTCTTCTGGTCCCTGACAAAATGATATAAATTTGCTTTTCCCTCCACTTCCCTAGAAACCAAAAGACAAAAAAAAAACTGAAAGGTAGAAAGTGAAACGCAGACTAGCTAAGGACCTCCAGACTGGAGAACAACATGGCAATGACTTCCTTAGTTTTCTTTTTAACTCTCTTATATCTGAGGCTGGACCCTGGAGAGGCCTGCAGTGTGGAACTAAGACCAGAAATAGGAATAGGAATAGGAATAGTGGGAAGGAGAAAGGGAACAAAGGAGGGCAGAAAGAAGTCCAAGAAAAGCCTGCTGTCTGTGGGCCATGGACCAAGAAACGGGCAGCCCAGCAGACTTAGCAGACAGTCCCATCTCCCCACACCCTACTCCAACCCAGCAGCAACAGGTAGGCTTGCACCACCAGAACTGTAGTGCCAGCAAAAACCAGGCAGAGAGTCCCAACAGGTTTGGCATCTCCCTGTCCTCTAGCCAGTAACAAAAGAAGACCTAGGTCCACCATCTCCTAACTCTCCTGTGGTAAAAGACAGCTCAGGTAGGCACTTTCCTTCCCCAGTGGCACTGGCAAAAATTGAATGGGAAGTCCACCAGCATTGAGAAACCCAGAGAGTAGGTTCAAGGAAATGTTCTCCATCGCAGGGGCCCAGCATCCTACCTAGATGCATCAGGAGGCCTAGAAAAGCATTTTCTACCCCCATGAATGCCATCAACAAGAATCAAGTGGGTGACCCACTGACACCAGTTGGTCCAGGGGCAGGCCCAGGGAAATGTTCTCTACTCTGTGGGTTAGCATCTCCCCCTTCCCACACAGCACCAGCAGGCCTTGAGGAAGACCATTCCACCCACATAAGCATCACCAACAGGGACTGAGTGGGAGCCTCAATGGTACCACTGAAGTAGACCAGAATGCAACTCCCCTGAAAACTAAATTATCTTTGGGATCACAGCCACATAAATAGGCCAGAGCCTATATGGAAAACCTAAATAGAGCAACTGCCTGCTAAACAGAAGATTATAAATAGGAATCAAAGTCTCCTAACATAATATCCAAAATGTCCAGGATATAATCAAAATTCATTTTTACCACTAAGAACCAGGAAAATCACAAACTGAGAAAAGACAATCAAGGCTGGCTGTGGTTGCTCACGCCTATAATCCCAGCACTTTGGGAGGCTGAGGTGGGTGGATCACTTAAGGTCAGGAGTTCAAGACCAGCCTGGCCAACATGATGAAACCCCGTCTCTACTAAAAATACAAAAAATTAGCTGGGCGTGGTAGCACACGCCCATGATTCCAGCTACTCAGGAGGCTGAGACACGAGAATTGCCTGAACCCCGGAAGCAGAGGTTTCAGTGAGCCGAGAGAGAGAAAGAGACAGCAAGAGAGAGAGAGAGAGAAAGACAGCGAACGCGAGAGAGAGGGAGAAGACGATCAAATGATGCAAATAAGATGAGTCAAATTCAAAGAAACAAAGTCTGAAAACATCCCAAATTTGATGAGACATAAACTTACAGATTAAAGAAAGTAAGTCAGCTCCAAACAGGAAAACCCAAAGAAATCCACACCAAGGGCCGGGTGCATTGGCTCACGCCTGTAATACGAGCACTTTGGGAGACTGAGGCAGGTGGATCACTTGAGGTCAGGAGTTCGAAGCCAGCCTGGCCAACATGGTGAAACCCCGTCTTTACTAAAAATATAAAACAATTAGCCAGGCGTGATGGCACACACCTGTAATCCCAGCTACTTAGGAGGCTGAGGCAGGAGAATGGCGTGAACCCGGGAGGCGGAGCTTGCAGTGAGCCGAGATAGCACCACTGCACTCCAGCCTGGGCGACAGAGCGAGACTCTGTCTCAAAAATAAATAAATAATTTTTAAAAATTAAAGTGAAATTCTAAAGTATGTTCATGAAACCCATAGTAAGGCAAGACAAGAGAAACAGGAATAAAGTGAAAATAAATAATAAAATTGCAGACTTAAGGCATAATAGACCAATATTAACTTTAGGTATAAATTGTATAAATAAACAAACTACACCTGTAATCCCAGCACTTTGGGAGGCCAAGGCGGGTGGATCACAAGGTCAAGAGATGCAGACCATCCTGGCCAACATGGTGACACCCTGTCTCCACTAAAAATACAAAAATTAGCCTGGTATGGTGGTGTGCACCTATAGTCCCAGCTACTCAGGAGGCTGAGGCAGGAGAATCGCTTGAACCTGGGAGGTGGAGGTTGCAGTGAGCCGAGATCACACCACCGTACTCCAGCCTGGTGACAGAGCAAGACTCCATCTCAAAATAAATAAACAAACAAACTAAAATACAGATATTAGCAGACAGGATTTTTTTTAAATGACCCAATTATATGATGTCTACAAAAAATTCACTTCAAACATAATGACATAGTAAGGTTGAAACTAAAAGACAGATAAAAAGGCCGGGTACGGTGGCTCATGCCTGTAATCTCAGCACTTTGTGAAGTCAAGATGGGAGGATCAGGCTTTGAAAGGCCAGGAGCTGAAAACCAGCCTAGGCAACATAGCAAGACCTTGTCTCTACAAAAAAAAAAAGATTAGCTGGGCATATTAGTGTGCATTTATAGTCCTAGCTACTCAGAGAGTGAGGCAGAAGGACTGCTTGAGCCCAGGAATTCAAGGCTGTGGAGCTATGATCATATCACTGCACTCCAGCCTGGGCAACAGAGTGAGACTTTATCTTTATTTAAAAAAAAAAAAAAAGAGGAGGAGGAGGAGAAAAAGAAAGAAGAAAGAAGAAAAAAGAGGAAGAAAGAGGAGGAGCAGGAGGAAGAAGAAGAAGAAAAAAGAAGAAAAAAAGGAGGAGGAGGAGAGGAAGAAGAGGAAGAAGAAGAAAGAAAAGAACTATTCTATAGGAGTGGCTATATAAGATAATCTTCAGAACAAAGAAAATTACGAGGGACAAAGAGAATTCTTACATAATTGTAAAGGATCAATCCACCAAGAAGACAAAGCAATCCTAAATGTTCGTGCAACAAAATCCAGTGTGATATAGTAAAGGCACTAAGAAATTGGAATGGAAACTGAAGAGGTAAGAACTAAATCAGAGTAAGAATTTAAACAAAATATCTGTCTTTTTTGATATTTTCTATTGGCCTCTTTCTGCTATTGTATTCCATGAGGTACCATCCTTGACATTTTGCTTTTCTCTCTACCCATGCTCCTTCAGAAAGCTTAACTACTCTTACGGCATAATTTTAATCACAAATTATTTAAGATCTTCCAAATTTGTATTTCCTATTTCCCATTTGTTCAACTGGCTTTGAAGACACTTCAAACCAAATGATCTCCCGACAAATCAAACTCAGTATGTCCAAAACTAAATTCACTACCCTACTTTCTAATGGTGTCACCGATTCTTTTTCAATAATCCAGATCCAAACTTGTTTCCAATTTATCTTGTAATCTAAACTATTCAAATTATGTTAAGTGTGTCTACTTTACCTGATATGTAAATTATCTTGACTCATACTTTGGAGCCAATTTGAAATGAAGCTTGGCAGTTACTTTCTGCTTGTTATAAAATAGGACCCAGAGGTTTGCCAATAAAAAAATAAGAAATCAGGGCAACTAATATCAAGGGACCATTTCAATACAATATGAATCAAACATGGACACAAATATTTCTTTCTTTTGCCTCCTCTTCACCCTATTGATGAGGGAGGGATTGCTGCCTGATAGATCTGGATTGGCTAAATACAACACTGCACAGAGGAGACTGACGGTAGTTTATTAGTCACATATACTCACAGCTGGGGAAGACACAGGACATGCAGGGCCACACAGGGATTGTACATGGGAACAGAACGAGTAAACAGGAACCATAGGAGGCAGGCTTGTAGTAGCAAGAAAAGAGCGTGATTTTTTTTATTTCTGTAGGAGGGTGTGATTGGCTTGTTTGAATAATTTCACAGGTTAGCATGGGATGGAAATCTGAGGTTGAGTACCAGGTAGAATACAGTTGGTCTCGTTGATAGAAGAACTGGCTGTGTAGGAAGCCTCTCCACTGAGTAGAGGGCATATCTGGCAGGTAAACTTGTGGTTAGGCCCTTTGAGGACCTCGCAGTTTCAGATGTCAAGACTGTGCATAATATTAAATCTTTAATGTCAGCCCATACAGCACAATACTACTCTGAGAGATAAGTGAGGAGCTCAGGATCTTACTGGTAGAAATGAGATGTACCATTTTAACCAAATAATTAAAATGGTACAACTGGGTACATCAGTAGATACGATCCATAAAGTAACAAGGCAGAATGGAAGGGATGTCATGGGAGAAAGGCTGTAAAGAAAGAACACTGGCTGTTGATGTTAGCTAATAAGTGAAAAAGAAACAACACAAGAAGCAACCTACCTTCACCCAGTCCCCACTTATAGAGTGGAAGATTTATCCCAACCTGAGAATACCAAGCTCTAATCATCCCTACCCCCAGCTCACTTGTAGGTGGAGTGAGGGTCCACTCCAGGAGAGGCAATCCAAGAACAGGGACTAACTACTACCCCTTTCAGCATCACAATCATAGAGAAGGGGTGTGTTATTCCAAGAGAAGTAGACCAATGAACCTGCCCCCAGATACAGAGCAGTGCCACAAAGCTTCTGCCCAGCAGAGGCAAGCCATAAGAACAGAGAGCTCCACACATCTCCATAAGGAGAATGACTTTGTTTGAAACAGAGCATAAAAAGCTCAAGCCTAAGGACACTGACAAAAACAATGGAGATCTTGGTGGTGAGCAATTAAGAACTAATCCAAACCAGACACTAAATAACGAAACAACAAAAATATCAAACGTTACCAGCCCAGAGAAGGGATCAATATCCAGAGCTGCAACAAGATATTATCCAAAACGTCCAGTTTAGAACAATAACAGAAAAGTAAGATGTGCAAAAGAAAGTGTGACCCCTTCACAGGGGGAACAAAATAGGCAAATTTACCTTTCAGAGGGCACACACATTGGGCTTAGCCAGTAACAATTAAAAGCAGCTATTATAAACATATTCAAAGGGAAGAAAAGGATGCTTAAAGAATTAAAGATAGGTATGATGGCAAAGTCACATCAAATACAGAATGAAAGACAGAACTTAGAAAATAACAAAATGGAAATTCTAAGGCTGAAAAGTACAGTAACTGAAGTGAAAAATTCACTAGAGGCTCAACAGTAGATATGGACAAGACAGAAGAAAAAAATCAGCAAACATCAAGATAAATGAATAGAGACTATGCAAACTGAAGCAAAGAAAGAAGAAACAAAAACAAACAAAGGCTTAGAGACCAGTGAGACAAGATTAGGGGTGCTGATATATGTGGACTGTGATGCAAGAGATGATAACTGGGCAAAAAAGAGAAAGAAGCAGAAAAAATCCTCAAAGAAATGATGGCTGAAAACTTCCCAAATTAGACAAAAGATATTAACTATACATCTGACAAGTTCAGTGAGCTCAAAGTAGAATAAACACAGAGATTCACATAGAGACATATCATAATCAAGATACTGAAAGTGAAAGACAAAGAGCATATCTTGGAAGCAACAAGAGAAAACAAATTACATACAAGAGAACATGAATAAGATAACAGCTGACTTCTCATCCAAAACTATGAAGGCCAGAAGATAGTGAAGAGACATATTCAAAGTGCTGAAAAGAAAAAGACTGTCAACCAAGAATTCCAAGCCCAGCAAAACTATCTTTCAAAAAGATGAAATAAAAACACGCCAGATACATAAAACAGGGAACTTGCAGATCCATCTTACAAGAAATAACATAGGAAGTTCCAAAGGCTGAAAAACAAGTAACACCAGATAGTAGTAACATTTTCATAACAAAACAAATAGTGCTAGTAAAAATAACTACATCGGTAACTACAAAAAGACATACTTCATTTCCTGTATTCTGTTAACTGATTTAAAGAGCAATTTGAAAATATATAAAGCAGGCTGGCATGGTGGCTCACACGTGTAATCCCAGCACTTTAGGAGGCCAAGGTGGGAGGACTGCTTGAGCCCAGGAGTTCAAGACTAATAACATAGTGAGATCCCATCTCTACCAAAAAAATTTTTTGAAAAATTAGCTCAGTGTAGTGGTACACACCTGTGGGCCTCACAACAGAGGAGGCTGAGGCAGGAGGATCACTTGAGCTCAGGTTAGAGTGAGCTATGATCATGCCACTGCAATCCAACCTGGGCAACAGAGCAAGTCCCCGACTAAAAAAAAAAACAAAAACTTAAAGGCATTTATATACGTGTGTGAGTAGTATGTATAACAATAATAGCACCAAAAAAAAAGAGGGAATAGAGCTATACGGGAGTAAAGTTTCTGTACCATACTAGAATTAAGTTAGTATAAATTGAATCAGAAGTATATTCTGATAAGATAAATATTATAAGCCCCAGAGTAATCACTAAGAATATAACTTTAAAAAAAACTACCTAGAAAATCATTTTAAAAATTAAACTGAAAGTGTCATACTAGAAAATATTCACTTCATGCAATAATAAAAGGGGAACAGAAAAAGGACACAAGACACATGAAAAACCAAACGTAAGCCAGAAAATGTGAATCCAATCACATCAATAATGACATTAAATGCAAACAGATTAAATAATCACATCACAAGGCAAAAACAGATAGAATTTTAAAATTAAAAACTCAAGATTTAACTATATGCTCTTTACAGCAGATACATCATTTTTGATAATACAAATAGGTTGAAAGTAGAGGGATTTTAAAAGATAAACCATACAAACAGCAACCATAAGAGCTGAAGTGTCTATTCTAACCTAAGACAAAACAGACTTTAAAACAAAAAGTTACTCAAAATATGGAGGAACAATTTATAACAATTAAAAGGTCAATTCTAATTAATTGGGCATGGTGGGCACACGCCTATAGTCCCAGCTACTCAGGAGGCTGAGGCACGAGAGTCGCTGGAACCCAGAAGGTAGAGGTTGCAGTGAGCCACGCACTGCATTTCAGCCTGGGCAACAGAACAAGACTCTGTCTCCAAAAAAAGGTCAATTCATCAGGAATATATAACAATTATAAACATATATGGATCTAACATCATAATGTCAAAATATGTGAAGCAAATCTGAGAGAAAAAAGGGGAGAAATAGACAATTAAACAAAAAGAGTTGAAGACTTCAGTACCCTTCTTTTGAAAATGGAGAAAACAGCTAGTCAGAAGACCAACAAGGAAACAGAAAATTTGAACAGCTAAACCCACTAGAGCTGAAAGACATCTATAGAACACACCACCTAACAACAGCAGAATACACATTCTTCTCAAGTACAAACTGTACATTCTACAGAATAAACTACATGCTAAAACATAAAACGAGCCTCAATAAAACTTAAAGACAGAAATCATACAAAGTATGTTTTCCAACAAAAATTGAACCAGATGAAACATAATAACAGAAGGAAATTAAACAACACATTCCTAAATAACCAAAGGGTAAATGTAGAAAAATCACAATGTAAACTAGAAAATAAGTTTAGATGAACTAAAACAAAAATATAATAAACCAAAACTTAGGACATGCAGCTAACACAGTGCTTAGGAATTTATCAATTTGTATACATATTTGTAATAAGAAGAAGAAAGAGCTTAAATCAATAACCTAACTGTCCACCTTAAAAAACAGAATAAAAGCACAAACTAAACCCAAAGCAAATGGAAGGAAGGAAAAATAATGACTAGAATGAAAATAAATGAAACAAAAATCAGAAAAGAAAAATAAAGATTAGAAAAAAATAAAGAAACCAGTTTATTTGAAAAAATCAGCAAAATTGACAAAATTTAACTAGATTCACCAAAGGGAGAACAAAAGAAGGGAAAACTTAAGTTACTAAAATCAGGAATGAAAGAGAGGGCATTGTAACTAACCTTACTGAAATGAAAGAGATTACATGGGAATATTATGAACAGATATATGTAAACAGATAGCCTAGCTAAATGGACAAATTCTATTTAAGACACAAATTGCAAAAGCTGATTCATGAAAAATATAAAATCTAAATAGACTTATGGCAAGGAAAGAGATGAAATTAGCAATTTAAAAACTTCCTACAAAGAACAGCCCAGGTAGTTTCACAGTAAATTCTATTCAAAAACAATTAATACCAATCCTTTCCAGACTCTTCCAAGTGATCCTCCCACCTCAGCCTCCCAAAGTACTGAGATTACAAGCATAAGACACTGTACCTGACCCAAAATTTTATTTACTCCAGTAATTTTTATTCAATTTCTACCATCCAATCCCAGGGCTATTTAATGGATTTCATCACCCTTCAAACTGATCCTCATTTAAATCTACTTATTCAATCTGACCAAAATTACCTATTCTTCTAGTGCTCTCAGTAACTTATTCCCACCTCATCTAATCAACTTCATAAAGAAATCTCTGGTCCTTCTATTTTCTCCTAGAATAACAACTCTTCTGGCTTCTCTTTCCCTATGTAGGCTGAAACCAATAGGTGATCAACTCTTCTCTCTTTGACTGCTATCCTTCTACCATACCCATTCAATGTATTCCTGAACCAAGGATCAATACTGTAATTCATCATCTCCATTCCTGAGTGTTAGCAGGAAAAACAAATCAGAGATTCTATACAGGCTGACAATATTATAAAATCATTATCACTAACCTGAGCTGACTTCTCAGAACTGCCCTCCAATCCTTTTACTTTCCCTTGGTCAGCTCCATCTCAAATTCACTTCAACATAAACTGTAAGTCTTCACCAAACCACTCTCCTCAATGCCTCTAACCTAATTCCACCACTACTCACCTCCCTCAGCAGATAATCTTGCTTTTACCTCAAAACTGATTTCTCTCAATTTCCTCTCTACAAACTTATCTGCATCCACTCTTGTCATCTTGGGCTCAATCAATTCCTTTTTCCCTTCAAGTCACACAAAGGAATAAACAGATTCTAACATCAGACTCCTCCATATAATTCAGTTCTAAACACTGCCATGTAGAATGCGATGAAAAACCAAATGATTCCTCTAATAAAACATCAGGGGACTTGTGATGGTCTGAATGTTTGTGTCCCCCCTGAAAAGTATAGGTTGAAATCCTAATCCCCAAGGTGATGAAATTAAGGAGGTAAGGCTTTTGGAAAGCAATTAGATCATGAGGACACAGGCCACATGTTTGGGATTAGTGCCCATTACAAAAAACGACTCCAGAGAGACCCCCTGCCCCTTCCACCATGGGAGGGCACAGAGGAACATGTCATCTATGACAAACAGGCCCTCACAAGACACTGAATCTCCCAGCACTTGATCTTGGAACCAGCCTCTAGAACTGCAAGAAACAAATTTCTGTTGTTTATAAGCCATACTTAAAGTACTAAGATATTTTTGTAATAGCAGTCTAAAGAGACTAAGACAGGATTTATAAACACATCTAATCTGAAGTATAATTATTATAGATATTAAAAAATACAAAATTAGATAGACCTAACAAGATATTTTTTCACAAGGTATCCGTAAGTAGGACATTTACTATCTCCTTTTTCTACGTACCTGCTTTTAAATGTTTAGGAGCCTTTGGCACAGTGTCAGGAGACATCCTCAACATTCTGAGATCTGAAGAGTGATATTCCGACTCTCTTGTTGGCTTATGTGGAACAAATGAAGGCAATAAAAATGAAAAAGACTCATTAATGCCCAGATTAGAATGACCCACCTACGAAGAAATGAAGAAAATAAGATATTAATTTCAAACCTCATCTGCTAAAAATAATCCTTCATTTTTACAAAGAGGAACACTAAGAAGTTATACTAGTTACTTAAGATCATAATCTCAAACCTTCTGAATTCATATATAGGTCATATTTTATTGGGTCAACTCTAGAAGACTAAATCATCCTGAGGGCTTAGAAATCTGTCTAGATAAAATATTATAGATAGTATGCTTAGAAGTGTTCTGTTACTCAGAAGTTTGCTCCTTATGATCATCGCAGAATTTGAACCATGGGATTATTCTGGACAAGCTCAGGTATTTCTTTTTAAGGTAGAGAGGTGCACTGTGGACAAGAAACAGTAAGAAGGAAAAAGAAAACAGGAATATTTTCTAGAAACTCACAAATGTTTAGAAGAAAAATGAGAGTATCAAAGAACTATAACTGTGATCGGTTACCAACAAGCATAAGTCCTCAAACTTCTTAAAACAAAAGTAGTGGAAACTATAAATTGGTAGTGAAGTAAAGGGTAACTGCTCAAAAAGAAGTTCCTAATGTTTCATCAAGTCACAAGTTCTTGCTAGAAAAGAAATTAGAAACCAATATTGGTGACATTAATACCTAAACATGTACAACTTTTCACCAAATTCACAGTGCACCCTCACATAAAAATATATATCATTTTTAGATTGTCTTTATTTCCCTAAAAAGATTATTTCAGTCACATCTTCTCAGGATGAAGTCTAAAAATGTACATAAGCATGAATTTTTCTATCCTCTTTCATCAATTTTTCATTGTGTAGTAATGAACATTCTTAGGAAGCCATGTGAAGTGTGGAAATGAACATTCCATATCTATTTCTATATCTACATCTACTGCCCATACAGGTTTCTCTACTTTTCAACTTGTGAAGATTTTGTACCCATCAAGGGACATTTGACAATGCCTGGAAACATTTTTTGCTGTCATAACTTGTGAGGGGAGGGGATGTTACTAGTATCTAGTGAATAGAGGCCAGGGATGGATGATGCAAAACATCCTACAATACTCAGGAAACACGCCTCCCACCATAACAAAGAATTATCCAACTCAAAATGATAAGGCTGCTAAGAAGCCCTGCTCTCCACATAGCACAAAGTTCATAGTTTTCAATTACCTCACTCCTACAGGAAACTTCTCTGAAGTACAGGCTATATATATACACATATATACATACACATAAATATATATAAATATATATGCATATATATAATATGCAGTCATAGATCACTTAATGATGTGGGTATGTTCTGAGAAATGTGCTGTCAGGCAATTTTGTTGTTGTGCAAACATCACAGAGTGACTTACACAAACCTACAACTGTGTAGCCTACTACACACCTAGGCTATATGGTCTAGCCTACTGCTTCCAGGATACAAACCTATCAGCATGTTACTGTTCTAAATATTGTAGGCAACTGTAACACAGTGGCATTTGTGTATCTAAACATAGGAAAGGTACAGTAAAAATACAGTATTTTAATCTTATGGGACTACCATCATATATGCAGTCTGTCACTAACTGAAATATCATTATGTGGCATGACCATATATAATATATAGACACTTGTGAGAGACAGTGTGTGTTTATAGTTTACAGCAGTTTTTCTTCTACAGCTTTCAAACACAGAAAGAAAAATTTTTATTACAAGCTTGACGTCAAAAAAATTTCATTATGTTAAAGTTTCAAAATATAGAACTATTAAAGTAGGTAATACCGGCCAGGCACGTTGGTTCACGCCTGTAATCCCAGCACTCTGGGAGGCCGAGGCGGGCGGATCACGAAGTCAGGAGATCGAGACCATCCTGGCTAACACGGTGAAACCCCGTCTCTACTAAAAATACAAAAAATTAGCCGGGCATGGGGGCGGGCACCTGTAGTCCAAGCTACTCAGGAGGCTGAGGCAGGAGAATGGTGTGAACCCGGGAGGCGGAGCTTGCAGTGAGCTGAGACCGCACCACTGCATTCCAGCCTGGGCAACAGTGGGAGACTCTGTCTCAAAAAAAAAAAAAAAAAGTAGGTAATACAAAAGAAAATGTAAAATGAAAAATATGAGAAGTATTTATTTAAGAAACCAGCAGATCTTCATTGCTAATTGAAAATGGAAAGAACCAGGAGAAAACAGAAATCAAGATTCGTTTATCTTCCCAATGTTTAATCAATAATGAAGAAAGAATGAAAGATGACCAAGAAACCAGAAAAATACTAATACCTTTCATAAAAACTCAGGAACTCTACAAGTCAGTCTAATTTTAGGAAAAACATGAGTTATTTTGCTATAGAGCAAGTTGAATTTGGGGTGATGACAATGTTCACAAGAAAACATGCAAAATAAATTAGACAAATATTAGGGTATAAAAACAGAGGTGATAATCATCCACACAGAGACAGGCAACTAGGTCTCCAAAGGTGGGGGGATATGAAGGGGAGAGAAAAGAAATCTAAGGCTTAAACCTTAAATAATTTTTAGAGCTAAATGGCCAAAACAAGAGGTACTAAAATAGCATATTAGGCCAGGCACGGTGGCTCACGCCTGTAACCCCAGCACTTTGGGAGGCTGAGGCAGGTGGATCACCTGAGGTCAGGAATTCGAGACTAGCCTGTCCAACATGGTGAAACCCCGTCTCTACTAAAAAGACAAAAAATTAGCCAGGCATAGTGGCAGGCACCTGTAATCCCAGCTACTTGGGACGCTGCAGCAGGACAACTGCTTAAACCCAGGAGATGGAGGTTGCAGTGAGCTGAGATTGTGCCATTGCACTCCAGCCTGGATGACAAGAGCAAAACTCTGCCTCAAAAAAAAAAAAAAAAAAAAGCATATTAATTATGTGCTGCTACCAAGAAAAAGGAGAAAGAAAAACAAAATAATGATAGAAAGTAGGAAACCACCAGAGACTCTAGTAGTCTAGTTTCAGCAAAGTGAAGAGAACTAACAACCAGGCACTATATAAATGCTACATAACTTACCCCATTTAATAGTACGATGTATAAGGTTATTACTATTCCTATTTCCTTATGCAGATCAGGAAAGTGATCCTCCGAAGTCATTTGCTCAAGACACAAGGCTAACAAAGTAACTGAACTGGATTTTGACTCAAAATCTCTATGTTCTTTTCACAGTTCCAAGCTCCATCATACATACGTGGATACCCAAATAATCATTTATGAGGAGTAGATATAAAAGTGAACCAAGTAACTATGAATGACTCTTCTGTGACACAGATGAGGAGCATAAGGAAAAACCAAGGAGTAAGCAAGCCCCTGAAAGCAAGCTAAGCCATGCAGAAAAAGTACTACCACATCTGGCTCCTTGCTTTTCTGATATTGACATTAAATAACTCCTAGATCTAAGACTAAGACAGATAGAGCTACAACTGAAAGACAATACAGGGAATAATAGCATCTTCCTTAGATTGAAAGAATAATACTTCAGGCTATATTTAAGGACAGATTAAAATTTGGAGCAGTGGTCAAAGCTAGTCTCTGCACATTAACTGAACCTATATATCTTTATTTTTAAAATACATTTTATCTACATGAAAGGTTGATGTAAGTCACAAAAGTAGTATTAAAAATTTAGAACACTTTAAAAGTTGTTACTTTGTTTCTCATTGTTATTGAACTCAACTTTAGGCAATCTCCTTCAAAACCTCTACTCTTGCCAAAATAATGCAAAATCTTAACCTTAGTTTCACCAAGAATAGTTAAAAGGTGGGGGGAGGGGGAACAGTTTATGGTATGGTGGTTAAGTACACAGATATGGTTAGTTTCAAATACTGGTTCCCCCAATTGCTGAATAATTATGAGCAAGTTCCTAAATCCTCTAAGTGTCAATTGCAAAATAGGGATGATAATAATCTCTAACAATTCTATTTGATAGGATTGACAGAGGACAAAAACGAATTGATATATACATGTAACCTCTTAGCACAGTACTTGAGCACAAAGTGTTAACTATCATTTTCATCCCCAGTTATCAGATTAAAATTAAAAAATGCCTAGTTTGGAATACTGAAGAAAATAAACCTAGTGATTCTGTGTTAAAAAAACTTTAATAAATGTAATAAATTATAAATAAAAGTTCATCATAATATCTTTGTTCATTTTCTACCAACAATCTGAACCTAAAGGTCTAAATGTGGTTGTAACCCAAACTAATAGAGCTTTACAAAAACATACCAATCTTATACATAGGAAAAGAGAAGTAACATTAAGTACATCACTATTTTATCTAACTGTATTTAATGAATAACAGGATATAAGGCTATATCACAAGGAAGTAGGGCCCACCTTGGGACTTACAGTACCAGACAACAAAAGAGGATATTCATTCAACGGGACCAGAGGAACATTAATGCCAAGGGATCCAAGGATCCAAGCAAATAAAAGCCTTCTATAAAAGAATGACACAGGGAGGGGAACATCACACACCAGGGCCCGTCGCGGGGTAGGGGGTTAGGGGAGGGATAGCATTAGGAGAAATACCTAATGTAGATGACAGGTTGATAGGTGCAGCAAACCACCATGACACCTGTATACCTATGTAACAAACCTGCACGTTCTGCACATGTGCCCCAGAACTTAATTTAAAAAAAAAAGGCTGATATAAAATTTTTATGACATCCTAGAGTTGCCAGTTTCTAGTACACACACACACAATGGTAATAATGATATAAATAGAGAGAGGGAAGAGACATGTATATACATTAGTATGTTGCTCATTTGGGAAGGAGATACTTCCCTTTGAAGAGACACTGGCCAGTTTGGACGTTAAGCACTTCATTATCCTTCCTGGTCAAACATGGGTCTTACAATTTTCAAGACACCTCTGAAGTCAAGTCTTTCAAGAGCTTCTAAACAGAAATACTTAAATATTCCAGGGACTGTTTCAAGGCTTGTGCATTGAAGACCAGAGGGAAACATTCAAAGTACAAGCTTTTGGATGTTCCCATGAATAAGCCTAATCTTAACACTGTCTAAAGACTCTTGCTGGCACAACTAGGAAGAGTTAGGCTGCCTCAATATGAAAGGCCTGGAGCCCCATGGGATGCCTTTTCCAAGACACCACAGAACTAAGTCTTACAGTCTATGAAACATAAACATTTCTTTTATACCAACCTCTAATGGAACATATTCCTGGATATCAGATGAAGAACAGGTACAAGTTACAAGCTGGTACTGAAGGATATAATTTTTCAAATAAAGTATTTTCAAATAAAATTTGGAAATTTTTCAAATAAAACATTCCCTCCCCGCCCAGAAAAAAATGTCAAATAGAAAAACTTACAGGCTTTTCAAAATTGCTTTCCTTCTCAGATGGTAGTTGTAAAGTAGGCTGCCAGTGCAGGGAGCTGTCATGCATCTCTAGATCACCATGAAATTTCTCTAAAGCTGCTAGCTCAATGTACTCACCAGTCAAATGACATTGGTCATGTACCCAGGAAACAGTAAAAAGTAAAATAAAAACAAACAATACCATTTCCTGAAACAATACTGAAAAAGGCCACGTTTCTTACAACTATCATTTTATTGTGTCTCACCTTTCTTTGTAGTTCAGCAACTCTTTCACTGCATACAACAGCATTTTCATTTAGGCCATCCAGAGTAATGACGTCAGACTCAACCTTCCCCTGCAGGCCCTCTACAAAATAGGAGTCATTTTGCATAATTGTATGTATAGTAAAACTAGGCTCAGCTCCCACACACGAAGGACTTTCACCTTGGCCTATATCAGCTTTCAGCAATGTCTCTTGGGCGACTGCAATTAATGATGCATCACTGGTCAATGGTACAAGCACCTTGTGACTTTGCATCACATGCCACCAAGTTTGCTGAAAAGCTGCTTCCTACAGCTGCAGGTGGACCTTTAATGGCATTTCTACAGTTAACATCCTTACCCAAATTAAAGTTTGAGTAATCTGCAACTTCTTCAAAGGTTGGCTGCTTTAAATCTTGTAAAACCAAAGATTCTGAAGTTAATACTTTCACATGATAAATAACATCTGAAGATCCTACCTTCTCTGCAAGGTCAAGAGAAGGAACAGACTTTATCTTCCCAAAGGGAAGAAATGGTTCATTGCCTATATCACACTGAAATAAAGCTGACTGTGTTTTGCCAAGACCAACAGCCTGGTTGTAAGATTTTTCACTCAAAGAAGCAGATGACTTAAGCTCTGGAATAACACAAAGTGGCTTAATGAACATTTTCTGAAGAGCATTAGGGGGTAATTTTAAATTTGGATGCCAGTATAGGAAGCTATCATTATTACCCTTTTTATGCAACAATGGTTTTGAAGCTGCTGGTTCAAACACCCCAGGAGTAGACTGATAGCATGGATGTTTAAGCCTATCAAATAAAGAGGTTTCATCATTATAATTTAATGGAGAAAGATCTGGATTTTTTGGCTCTCTCTCGGCTGTCATCTGTTAAATATTTATTGATGTCAGCTTGGATTTCATTTACTGTACTCTCTTTCTTAGAAGGCTCAATAGAGGCAATAACTGCCTCAAAGGCTATATTTTCAGCAGCATCAATATTTTTCTCACCAAAAAGAGAAGTTCCCTTTTGGTTTCTTTCCTCTTGAAAATACAGTTGTTCTGATATCTCATCCAAGTTGGATATAACAATCCAACCAGAAGCCTCCATTTTAGAGGTATTATGTCCCCTGGAGAGTACATGTGCTTCTGAAACTTTTACAGAATTATCAGGAGCTATAACATTCCTAATATACTGTATTTCTAAGAATCTGGGTTGCACTTCTGAAGATACTAAATTATTTCTAGTCTCCGTTAGTTCAAAACATTGAGATGATTCTTTCTGTAAACCTTCTTCATTTCTTTCATAACCCTCCAAAGAATCCATCTTTTGTTTCACCTCAATCTCAGCTGGAGCCCTTAAATAAACATTCTCAAAATAATGACTATCAGAAGTCAAGGGAACCCCTTTTCCTCTTCTTTCCAACAAACAACACAAGAAAGAATATGACATTTTATGATGATGATGATGAGCAGCAACTTCACATGGAAAGGAAAAACAGTCCTTACTGATTACACACGTTTCTGGGTGGTGCAAAGTTCCCTCTTTGTTCCATGGCACATAGGAAAAGGGGACACTAAAATTGTTACTTCCCTTGGGAATTTTATTTTTATCAATTGTGTCAGATGAATCTGAAAAAGAATCAGGGTACTTACTGGTTAAATATGTTTCTGCCTGCTTAGATGAATCTTCCTGTGTCCAATACTGCCCATATGAACGAGCAGCATCAAAATGGTCACTTCTTTTAGTAGCTATGTTTTCATCAGTTATGTCAAATGAAGTTGCAACTGAAACTTGATCTTTATCAGCTAAATTGTTTTCAGGCCACTGTGTATCTTTTCGTGTCTTCCATGACATATATGAACAAAGATCATCATAACGATCACAGTCTTTGGGAATTTTCAGTTCATCAACAGACGAAATAGTCTCTTCATTATTCCCTTGTTCAGAAGGTAAAAAAGGGCACTGAGACCCAACAGCTGTGCTGCCTATAAGCGGGTGCTGAGATACACTAAAGCGACTGCTTGCTAAGTCTGAAGCTACTTCTGCAGTAGCCTGGAATAAAGCTTCACTAACTTCCGATGGTCGAGAAGACCATTCAGTATCTTCAGACTTATCAGGAATTCCCCTGAAAATATATAGTTAAAAATAAATAAATAAATAACATTAAAAACATTTAATTTTTAAGTACTAACACAAAAATACATATGTCACTGAAATCAAGTTTATTTGAAAAGTGTATTGAAAAACACAGCTCTCCTAATTTCAGACTCTTCTAAGATGGCTAATGACTGAGTAAAGCAAATTCTTTTTAACTAAAAGGTGAACTACCACCCTATAACCCTGATATTATCTCAGACTTCTCCTAAAACAATAGACACAGAATGTGATTTTCATAATGACGCCTACCATGATTTTTCATTTAACCTGCGTTAACTTTTTTACTAGTCATCATTTATTGTGCTCTTGAAACCATGCAAGGCCAGGCACAGTGGCTCACACCTATGATCCCAGCACTCTGGGAGGCTGAGGCAGGAGGATCACCTAAAGCCAGGAGTTCAAGACAAGCCTTGGCAATACGGCAAGACCCTATCTCTACAGAAAAATTAAAAATTGGCTGGGCATGGTGGCACATGCCTGTAGTACTAGCTGCTGTGGAGGCTAAGGCAGGAGGATTGCTTGAGCCCAGAAGTTAGAGGTCACAGTGAGCCATGATGGCACCACTGCACTCCAGCCTGGGCAACAGAGCAAGACTCCATCTAAAGAAAAAAAAAAGCAAACAAACAAAAAGAGAAAGAGAAAGAAACCACTTAAGAAGTGATCTATTCCCAAAACACAACAGTAACTTAATCATTAGTTGATGATCTAATGTGTATAGATCACTTTTCATAAAAGTGATATCAGGTAAATATATAGTATAAGGACAGAGGTTACTTTTTACTTTCTAAACATCTATAGTTTTTAATTTAAGGTGGGTTTTCAATTCTAAAAGAAGAAAACATATTCTTGAATAATTCCAAATATGTTTTGAAAATTCCAGACTTTTCTCCCATTATGACTATTCTAAAGGACATGAATTTGGAGTATCTGTTCATTTGGATATGTCTGTTCATAAAAATCTTCTTACTTCATATTGACACCTCCTATAAGGTAAGGAGAGCTAACTAGTCTCATTCAATAACAGCTGAACAAAATGAGAGTGCCAAACAAGTTAGTGAACAAGAAATAAATGCTTTTTGCAGAATAAGGGTGAGAGGGAGGAGAGAGATGATGGGCAGCAGATGGGGAGGTTTATAAGAAGGAAAATCCAGTGTGTCTTCTAAATTAAAATATGCCTGAAATGCCTGAATATATTAGGAATTATTTTTAAATAAACTACTGTCATCTGGTTCATCTCTACACATACGTTACTCTGCCAAATTAATATGCATCAAGTCTTAGTACAGGACTTTGTTACCTTCAGGGCGTGTCCTAAGAGTATCTAAGCCCCACCTCAAAGTCCCACCTTAGCCTGAAGTCACTAATATTAGTAAAAACATAGAACAAGAAGTGAGAAAGGTTACATGCAAATAAATCATCCTACCTCAGAGGTGCAAAACTTAGTTCACTTTGATGAAATAAAGAATCAGGCGCAAATTCTTGGTCTTGTGTCAAACAGGTCAGCAAAGGCAAATCAGGAGAAGCAAAGCTATCTTGTATGACTGTAAAGTTTCAAATATTAAATGCTGGGTAATGCTGAAAATTGATTATTTACTTACGTATATAATACTTTAAAGCACCTACATATGCTGCCATATGGAGAATTCTACAAGCATTAGAATAATAATATAAAAGCAACAGCAGTAGCAGCTACCATTTATTGAGAGTCTGACAAGGTCCAGGTGCTTAACACACAATATTTCATTTAATCCTCATGACAACCTTGAAAGATAGGTATTATTATATATATCTTATAGGTGAGGAAACATGATTACAAAACTTACAAAGCATTAAGTAACTTGTCCACATTCAAGTAGCTGAAATGCCAGAGTGAGATTTGAACCCAAGCATTTCAACTTTTAGCAAACGCTCTTAACTATTATGAGTGTTTCTTCCCATCTTACATAATATAGACTACACCCGTTATGTCAAAGCATAGCACAGGAGCTCCTGGGCCCTAAGACACTCTTAGGGGGTACCTAATGTCAAAATTTTATTCAAAATAATATTAAGATATCATATGCCTTATTCACTCCCATTCTCTCAAAAAGATACAGTGACATTTTCCAGAAGCTACAGAATATATGATACAGCAACAGATTGAATACAGAAACAGACATGAGAGTCTTGATGTTTTCTATTATGTCAGACATTATAGAATTGTTTAAGTAAAACATGGCCATACTTCTAAACATTTTTGTATTGGAAAAGTTATTTTTTATAAAATATGTACTTTTTCAATGAATTAATAAATACATTTTAAATGTTTCAGTTTTAATTTCTAATGTGGGAAATATCAATAACCCAAATAAACAAAAGCTCTTTGGAGTTGTCAGTAATTTTTAAAAGTGTAAAAGAATCCTGTTACCCAAAAAGTTTGAACTGCTGCTTTAATGAAAAAAAAATTCTTGTGATTTCCTGAATGTTGACTTAAATCATTCTTATTTTAATCAGTATACTTTCTTGATTTCAGAATGCCTGCAACACTGTGTACAAAGTGAGGACTCCTCTCTCACATTACTGTTCCCCCTGAAATTACTGCAAATCTAGAGTTCACAGAGCTCACCATGTTGTCATCTGTCCTTTACTTAGTCAAAACACATACTGTCACTGCTTATATACCCTGCATACCTTCCATATAATTCATCACCCTCTTGTTTTAATCTTCAGTCTATCCACTTCCCATCTAAATTGTCAACTGTGTCTACTTTATCCATAGCTATATCCTCAGTGCCTAGCAAAGTACCTGCTACACTTAAAAGGTACTCAAAAGAGAGTTATTTATTTACTGAATGAATTAATTAAAAATGAAAAACTGATATGTAACAATAACCTTTGCCACCAAGGAACAATTGGTACAGTTCCTCTTTGGTCTTGGCACAGAGAAGCAGTCTTAAACCTCCGTAACAGTCCTTCACCCCTCTAAAACTCATGAAGAGTTTTTAACAAAGTCCCCAAATACACTAGAGCTGATGCTACAAGGGGGACCTTTGGGCAAGTAAAGCAAATTTACTATTTCCAGTTAACTGCAGGCTGAGTATTTAAAGAATCTGACAGTCTTTTCTCAAAAAAAATTAGAGTTAACCCTAACTAGGTTTCAGAACCTACAGAAATCCTCAGTACCTAAAATAGCTATTTAAGTATAAGTAAGGAATAGTAAGTAACAAGTAAGTTACAAGCAGCATTTCAGCATCTCCTTAAATATTTAAGAATATCTCAGGGTGGAGTTGGACAGTTAAATCACATAAATAGGCAAATGTATTTGCTAAAGGAGCAGGCCAAAGCTGAAGAGTTAATGATTCTCAAGTGTACAACATTATCTGTGTGTGTGTGATGGGAAGGTGGTGTATTTTACTTGCCATGCCTTTTTCTTACAGCTTTCAACTGCTTCTTGTTTCCTCAAGTGTGGATATCTGTTACTGGCTTGCATCCCTCTTTTTTGAGGTATCTAACCATTCTGGCACCAGCCATCATCAATTACATTTGCCATTGGCGAGAGCCTATTTATCACAATGTTAGTACTTATGCGTAACAAAACAGCAATGATAAAATTTCCTCTGCCTATGAGATCCAGGAATCTACTCCAATAATTTAAAATGTTCTGCCCTAACTATAGTAAATGAGAAGCCAGAGTTATAAAACTTTACATTAGAAAACATTTTAGGTCACGAAGTACAATCTCCTCCCCAGTGCTAAAATCCTAATACAGAATTTTGCTAGACATTTTGCAGTGACATGAAGCTCACTTTTTGTTGTTGTTATATAGCCTTTTTTAGTATTAAATGGCTCTATTAGAAAGCTCTTTTTTACATCAATTTGAAAAATAGCTTCCCTTTAAGTTATGTATCCATTTTAAACTCTAGGAGTTAGCAAACCTTTTTTAATAAAGGGTCAGATGGTAAATATTTTCGGTTTTGTTGGTCATACATACTACTGTTGTTTGTTTTTACAATCCTTTAAAAATGCAAAAATCATTCTCAGCAGATGGACAGTACAAAATCAAGACTTGGCCTGTAAGCTATAGTTTGCAGACTCCTGCTCTACACCATTATAATACAAATCCCATGGTACTGTTATTTTCTGTTTACTGGATTGCCTTCCCAGAAGAGGAGGTAGCTTTCATCTATATACCCCTAGCATCAAACACATAGGAGGCACTTAGATATTTGTTACATGAATGAATAAAAAATAAGTTGCTTCCTTTTTAGCATAACAGCCCTTCAAATATTTGACCATAGCAAAGTCTTCTCTTTTGTCTATCAAAAGATAGTCCTCTCCTCCCACAAAGGTACTCTAATTTTGTCAACCTTTCTTAAAATGTGGACCTAAAATTGACTTTAATAATCCACATCATAGAAAACGTTGGCACTAATACCTTGATTTGGATAGCATTAGTTTATGTTGGCAAAGAACTTGCTGAATTAAGTTCTATTCATGCTTCTCTACAAAACTATAAAACCATCTTCATAATTGAATCCCTTAATGATTTTAAAAGTACTTAAAGTTTATCTTTTATAAAGAGCTAATAAATCAGTTCCATACTAAACAGAGGAAAGCAGCAAGATCTACCTCAGACAAGCCACTCAACCTCTTTATCTCAATTTTTGGTTTGAAAGCTAAGGATAATAACATATGCCTTAATTAATTCTAAAAATCAAAAAGGTAAATATGAACATTTGTTTTTTGTTTTTTGTGGGGGATCATGGAGTCTCCATTGCTGAGATAACCAAAGTATACTATTCATCCCAAAAACTCTGCAAATTCAAGACTGAGGAGGCACACACAGTAGACAGTTATCACCTTTCTGCCTTCTGTGAGCAACGGGAAGTGATAAAATGAGAGGCAACTGCACACTTAATATAATTAGATCAGCTAGCCAGTAAAAAACAAACAAACAAACAAAACAGAAATAAGCTAATCCCTCTGAGTAGGTCTCTACAGAGCTCCTTAACTCAAAAAGGGGAAAGTTACAAGACTTGCAGTCCCCGCAAAACTTACAAATGTGAGGTATTACTACTAGTTAAAATAAACAGGCATTACCTAGCAGTGGAGAACAGAAGAGATCTCTGTTGGGTTCCTTTACTTGATTTTCTGATTGCGTCAATATGCCCTCCTCCAGAGAGGGGAAGTCTGTCACTTCAGTATCTTCCGTTCTCACATTAAACCTAGTCTGGGATGTATCCAAGGTTTGGGAAGAGTCCATTTCTTGAGGAAGACAATGCCAAGATTCTGTTTTCTAGAAAAATGTTAAAGGAAAACATGCTAAGTCATTAACTGAGTTACCATACATATTAATATTTAGATGAAAATGTCCACTCATGTATTATATAGCTTCCTATTTAATGACATTCTCATCAAAGTATAGAAAATGTAAAGCTGTTGTTCTCACAATATTAACTACATTTTAGACCTCTTCCCATTACTACACATCTTTTTTTAACACAAAAAAACCTTTTATACTAAGTTGTATTGTACGCCGCTGCCAGTGTATATAAAACAATTACCCTTGTGAAATAGAAATTCATGAAAATTCAGAGAGGTAGATATTAAGGACTGACAAAAGTAGAAGTTTGTATATTATGGCACATGTGTTCCGGGGATAAGCTTTTGTACAGGCTTCAAATGTAGCTCTCTTTTGAATATTCACTGTATCATGAGAAGTGGCTTGGGAAACCTCTGAAAGATTCATTTTACTACAAAAAGGAACAGACTTTCTGGGGTATGAAGGAATTTGTACTTGAAGATACTCCAGTCAGCAGAGAGTCATGTTAAGCAATCTGCAGACAGAATTGTTTCAAGTCTGCAGCTGCCTGGGAAATTTTTACACAGTTGAGCCGGGCCTTCAGCCAAAGCTGTTGAGCCACTTTCTTCGTGGCGGCGATGCTAGAGGGGCCAAACTTGGTGCACGCAAGGGCTGGGCCGATTCATGGGACCTACTGAAGCATTCACTTCAGCTTTAGCTTGGGAATTCACTTGACTGAATTTTTATTAGCTCTACTAGTTTCTAAACGATCCCTGGCTCTTCTCAGTATATATAACATTATCATATCACCCATGAATGTGATACACTTGTCTCCTTCAAATATTTACTCTTAAATTAGTGGCAAGATCCAGAGAACTGCTTCTCAAACTACCTATAGGGAAGAACCAGTTTTTCCTACTTCCAAGTCATCACATACTGACACTTTACTAAAATGCTAACAAAAATTAATGAGAAATAAGCTAATTTTTAAAACCAGTAAAAATAACTAGAAAAATGAAATTAAAAGTCTTACTATAAGCCCAAGATATAAAACACAAGCCCAAATGTTTGATTTCTAGGTCTAAAAAAAGATAAAATTACTCTATCCAACTACTATAAAAGTTTCTAAACACTTCCTCTCAATTTCTATACTTACCTCTTGACAGACCAGTAACAAGCAAATCATGGACTGGCACCAATCTACAGATCACACTAAATAACAATGCTGAATTAAAGTCGTATTAAATACTAATGGTGACAAGTTTAAAAGGTATTTTCCTTTTGAATTTAATATTAGTTAATAATTAAGTATAGTCTATCATGATATGAAAGTATTTTCATTTTCAAATAATTTGATTAGAAATGAACACTAAATTAGCTCAAACTATGTTATAGCATCATTTTCCCCAATTAAACCTGATAAAGGATAGCAATAATTTTTTTTTTTTTAGACAGGTTCTTGCTATGTTGCCCAGGATGGACTCAAACTCTGGGCTAAAGCGCTTAATCCTCCCACCTCAGCCTCCCAAGTCACAAAATTTCTTTATATTGAAACATGTTCACATTTCTTACACAGTAGTGGTAGATCAGACGTTTAAATGTTTGCTAGCATATTCTTTAACATTTTCACACATATATGGTCACAACTAAGATTAATCAGTATTTTAGAATGCCCTCATTTTCTTGTTTCATAACGTTGTTCTGTATTTATTTAAGCAACTTCAATTTTCTTTAAAAATGTAAAAGATTTATCAGCAAATCTATTAGTTCCAAAAATCTTTTTGATAGCTGGTACTAACATAACTTTCTCAATTTCCTCCTCAGTAATCCTAGTCTACCTCTATGAAATACTCATAGTTTTGTAGAAAGTCTATTTCATTGAGATTTTTTTCGCAACTCTATTTACTAGGAATATATCTATTTTTTCTCTATTTCTTGAATTTAACAACTGTATTATATTTTATAACTTGTTTTTCTCTTTACCACGTTTCCTCTATTTGCAGTTTTTCTTTTTTTGTGTGTGTGAGACAGGCTTTTGCTCTGTTAACCAGGCCAGAATACAGTGGCACAATCTCAGCTCACTGCAACCTCTGCCTCCAGGCTCAAGTGATCCTGTCATCCTCAGTATCCTGAGTAGCTGGGACTACTGGCAGGCACTCAGTTAATTTTTTAAAAATTTTTGTAGAGACAGGGGTCTCACTATGTTGCCCAGGCTGGTCTGGACCTCCTAGACTCAAGCGATTCCCCTGTCTTGGCCTCCCAAAGTGCTGGGATTACAAGTTTTTGAGTCTTTATGTAAAATCTTTGGTTAAATAATTCATTCAATTTGCTTTATTTATTTAAATAAAAACATGAGAAAGTGGCATTATATTGACAGCAACTTTAGACATATAATGTATTTTCATTATTTTGTAAGTATTCCACTACTGGACTCTTCTTCCTTGATCAACTCAAATGTTTCTAAGAGAATATAGGTATCTTTTAATTCCCGGGTGGTACAGAATCCATAAAAAGAAGATGTATTACAATTTACAAATATTTTCGCAAACATTTTCCAGCAAGACTTTTGTCTTTGAAGAGACATTTCTAATATTTAAAATTCATTAACAAAATGTTCATATAGTAAGTTTAAGAAAAAAGATACCCACTATCCACTACATAATATCAGTTATACAAATACATGCAAAGAAAAAAATGTGGAGAGAAATATTCTAGAATATTAATGCTACATTTATGGAATAGCAGACTTTTGACATTCCAAAATACCTCAATCCCTTCTACACTGAATAAATTAATCAGATCTATAACATCAAATTGCTACTGGAAACATGCTTTTCACCTTTCTGATACTTGAAAATAAAAGGAATATGAGAATGATTAATTTTACATTTTTTCTTTAGAGGGCACTCCTTTCTATAGGGGACAGGTTAGTGAGCCAACAAAAGGTTTTAAAGCAGAATTCCAATCATCTTGTGACTCACTAAAGCAAAAATCACTGGTCCCGAGTCATCTCTTAGCCTCTCTGACCATGGTTTGAGCCTGTATCCCATAGTTCACTCCTCTCTAATAGTGACAGATGTATCCATTAGTCTTTCTGTCCATCCTCTGACCTCCACAGATCACTTACTCTCTAGTTCCTCTACTGCAATAATTTTTTAACTTCACGGAGACAACTATCCTATCACATTTATACTTTTCTTTATTCCTTTCTTATCTGTATTTCCTTCTTTGCCCCTCTGAGAGTTCAGAGCCATCCTTATAATCACTGCCTTGCAAACACCCTTAACTTTCTTGCGTTTTTCTCCCATTATCCTATTTGCTCAGCAAAAGCTAACACTGATGGAACCGTCTCCTTGCATGAATCCAATCAGCAGCACGTTGCTGGAGAAATCACACTCCCAAACTGACTGGCTTTTCTTTAAATTGATGTCACTAAACCTGAAGGGCACTCAATATTGCCTGGAAATCCTACTACATTTTCCTGGTGAGTTGAGATTTCATACCTTCCCTCCTCAGAACTATTGAACGCTCCTAATTTTCAACTGATGACCTTCAATAATTGTAGAGCAGGAGAGAGGAACTCCCTTGTCTTCAACCACCAGATCTACAATCCCCATTACCAGATTTCTATCTTATGACTTGAAAATAAAAAAAAGTCACTCTGCCTCTCAAAGGCCTTCCTATCTCATTCAAATTTTTTTCAGTGATTTCCTTCCTATGTGATTCTCCCACTTTCCTTCACCCATTTTTCTCTCATTACTGAATCATTCCTCTCCTATGCAAACATATTCTTATAATTTCCCATTATAAACTGAATTTTTAAAACAACCTCTGTTCAACCTTTTTTAACTTTCTGCATTATGTATTTTCTTGATACATTTCAATCATCAAATATTCTTTGTGTTATACCTTTTAAATCAATATAAAAAGGCCAACAAATCTCTAAATATTTTTGACAGATGTGGGGAGGGACAACATATAAGCATTCTGACAAATACAAACAAATTTTGAGGGAGAAAAAAAGTTTGAGATACATCTTTGGGATTTATCAGTATACAGATGTATTTAAAGTCCTGGATCTGGATGAGACCGCGAACATTCCAGCGTTTCAAGCAGAGGTTGAAAACTAAATGTGTATAGGGGTATGGGGGTAAGACAAATGAAGTAATCCAACCTGGAATTGGAGAGTAATGGGATTTGTGGCTAACTATGCATGTTCACTTTAAAGTATTCTATTTCAAAAGTGTTAAAACATTATGCCAAAAAAAATGGTTTTTGAAAACCACATTTGAGTCATACTTGGGTCCACAGCTTACAAATTCTGATTCTAAGGTTTAACAAAGGAAGATAAAGCAGCAAAGGATACTGAGAGAGAACAGCCAGATGAGTAGAAAAAAAACCAGAAGAACCCAAGAAAGGAAATAATTTAAAGAAGTTATGTAATGATTAATAATAGTGTCAAATGCTATTTATCGTACCTAAGAGGAGGACAGAAAAGTATTCACTGTATTCAGCTACATAAATATTGCTGGTGATACTTCCTTTCAAAGAATTGGGGTCAGAACACAAAGTAGATCAAGTAGAAGAATAGGCAGATCCTAGCCAGTGTAATAAAGCAAAAAAAAAACAAAAAAAAAAAAAAACGGAAAAAAAGAAATGACATATCTATTTAAAAGTAAAAAACAAAGCATAGTTAATATAACTCTGCATATAAAGTCCTAAAGGAAATATTTTTTTAAAAAAGCTACTAAAACTAGTAAGTGAGATTAGCAAGGTAATAGGACACAAGGTCAATATAAAAAGTCAATTATATTTCTATACACTTATAATGAATAATAGGAAATAGAAATTTCTAAAAATACCAGTAAGTCTAACAAAACGTGTAAGATTGGCACACTGAAGACAGCAAAACATTGATGAAGACATTAAAGAGAAATAATAAACTAAGAGAACTGTCATGTTTATGGATTAGAAAACTCAATATTGTTAAGATGTCAAAATTATTTTCAAATTGATTTATAGACTCAATGAAATCTTAATAAAAAATTCCAGCAGGCTTTTAAAATATAAATTGGGCGAGCTAATTCTAAAATTTATATAGAAATTCCAAGAATCTGAAATAATCAATTTTTAAAAAGAGGAACAAAGTGGGAAAAATCACACAACCTGATTTTAAGACAGTACAGTTATTAAGAGTGTAATATTGGCATGAGGATACATATGTAAATCAATGGAATAGTGTGCAGAAATAGACCCACATATACAAGGTCAATTAATTTTTTTACAAAGATGTCATGAAATCCACTGGAAAAAAAGATAGCAAATGGTGCTAGAATAACAATTACATATTCATATGTAAGAAAATACAGCTTGGATGCTTCCTTCACACCATATACAAAAACCAACTCAAAATGGATCTTAGACATAAATGTAAAACGTAAAACTACAAAACTTCTGAAAAAGCGGTTCTCAGTTGGGAGAGATTTTGACACGCCTCTCCCTTCAACCATGGAACATTTGGCAATGTCAGAAAGCATTCCGGATGGTTACAAATTGGGGGACTATTACTGGTATCTAGTGGGAAGAGGCCAGGAATGCTGTTAAACATTTTAGGACACACAGGACAGACCCCCACTATGAAGAATTATTCAACCCAAAATGTCAATAGTGCCAAGGCTGAGAAACCCTGGTCTAGAAGAAAACATAGAAGAAAAATCTCAGTGACATAGGATTAGGCCAAGATTTCTCAGATAGTACACAAGAAATATAAACCAAAAAAGGAAAAAAAATCAATAAACAAGTTTCATCAAAATTAAAACTTCTGCCTTTCAAAGACAGGAGAATACAAAAACATGCCACAGACTGTCTCTGCAAAAGAAACAACTGATAAAGGACTTGCATCTAGAGCTATGAAGAACTCCCAAAGCTCAAAAAATGAAACAAACCAGCCACAAAAAATCAGGCAGAGATTTTAACAGATCTCTCACTGAAGAAGAAACATGGAGGGCAAATAAGCACACAAAAAGATGCTATATATCATTAGTCATTAGAGAAATGAATGTTAAAATCACAGTGAGACACCAATAATACATCTCCTAGGGTGTCTAAAATTAAAAAAAAAAAAGAAAAAAAGAAAAAACTGATGATACCAACAGCTGCCAAGAATGCAGGGCAATCAGAACTCTCATATACTACTGGGATACAAAATGGTACAGCCACTTTGGAAAAACAGTTTGGTACTTTCTTATAAAGTTAAACATACAATTACCTTATCACTCAACAAACCCATTCCTAGGGTTTTGTTTTTTGTTTTTTGTTTTTGAGACAGAGTCTCATTCTGTCACCCAGGCCAGAGTGCACTGGCGCCATCCTGACTCACTGCAACCTCTGCCTCCCAGGTTCAAGCGATTCTCCTGCCTCAGCCTCCCGAGTAGCTGGGATTACAGACATGTGCCACCACACCTGGCTAATTTTTATATTTTTAGTAGAGACGGGGTTTCTACTACACCATATTGGCCAGGCTGGTCTCAAACTCCTGACCTCAAGTGATCCACCCACTTCGGCCTCCCAAAGTGCTGGGATTACAGGCGTGAGCCACCACGTCCAGCCATTCCTAGGTATTTGCCAAGAGAAATGAAGCAGTATGTCTACCGAAAAACCTACACACAAATGGAATACTACTCAGTAATAAAAATTAAAGTGGACAAATTATTGATACATGCAACAACATGGATAAATCTCAAAAGCTAAGCCAAGTGAAAGAAGTCAAATTCAAAAGTCTACACACCGTATTATTCTGAAAAGGTAAAACTAAAGAGAAAGAAATTGGATAAGTAGTTGCCAGGGACTAGGAGTTGGGGAAGTGACTGACTACAAAGGGGCACACAGGAACTTTTTGTGACGTTCCTTTTTGTGAAGGCAGTGCTGTCTATCTCAAATGTGGTGGTGACTGCATGACTGTATACGTATGTCAAAGCTCACTTGACAAACTGTACACCTAAGAGAGTAAATTTTGATATGTTTAACCTATACCTACAATAAACCTGACTTTTTAAAAATGAGCATAGGATATCAGGAAACAGAAACAGAAAATGTATAGACAACTCTTGAAAATTTCACTGTAACAGGGAGCAGAATATTGACCGAAGCAGTAGCCGGAAGGGAAGAGAGGACGAGACATTTGTAGTAAAGTAGCTGGTGATGACAAAGTCTAGATAGACTGTGATCATGGGATGAGTAACTACATACAGGTAGGAGAAGACTGGAAGGAGGTACGGAAGTAAAGATCACTGGAGATTAGATGAAATATATGAGAACTTCAGGCACTGAATGGGAAATGTATGCTGAAGTGAAAGAAACCAATAAAAGAGAGGAAGACAATGTAGCAAGAGCTAGTTTTCCATGAATAAATAAAGGTAACTCAGATGACAGTAACAAAGATGAACGACGAAAGAATAAGAAGGAAGTGAACTAGAAAGCGGCATAATATTCCAGCTATTCTGACGAACCCAGGCGTAAAGGATGAAATGAAGTGCTTTAGGGTCCATCATGGTTCGTATTGTGTGAAACAGGAAAAAAAGGAAGACATCAATTTTTGGACTGTGCTCTACCAAAAATATGCCCTCAGAGAATATTATTTAGAAATATGACCCGGTATTAGTTTCCTAGGGCTGCTATAACAAAGTGACACAAACTAAGTGGCTTAAAACAACAGAAATTTATTATCTCGCAGTTCTGGAGGCCAGAAGTCTGAAATCAAGGTGTTGGCAGGGTCATGCTCCCTCTGAAGCCCCTAGGGGAGGGTCCTTCCTTGCTACTTCTACCTTCTGGAAGCCCCAGGCATTCCCTGGATGTGGCAGCATAATTCCAATTTCTGCCTCCATCTTCACACGGCCATCTTCTCCTTGTATGTTTTTCTCCTCACATGGTGCTTTCCTCTTTCATAAGGACACCAGTTAGATTGGATTAAGAGCAAACCCTACTCCAGTGTGAGCTTAAATAATTACACCTGCAATCACCAATAAGGTCACATTCTGAGGTATTGGGGATTAGGACTGCAACATATAATTTGGGAGGGCACAATTCGACCCAAAACAATCCTCTTCCATTTAATGGCCCCAGGTACTATGTTTTTTATGGTCAGGGATTGTCTTAACTACTTTGCCTCAGTGATAGTGTATCTCCCTTCCTCCATATCTTGCATCTAACAGGTAATCACTGCAATTTAAAGAAAACTGAAGGTAATAGGAGAAATCTGATACTCAAGTTATTAATCAACCTTAAATATTTAACCATTATTAGTAACACTAATAACATTTTTCCTCCAATAACTCTACATGAGCTTTTTTCCTATCTGCTCATGATCGTTTCATTTCTTCAAAGTTTATAACTATGTTCTAGAAAAGTGGTTCTCAAAGTGTAGTCCAAAAATCCCTGAGGGTCACTGACACCCTTTCAGGGACTGAATGACAGCCTCCTTTCCCTAACTCCTTTTTCATCTATGTAAGGCAAGATTGTCTTCATATACTTCAACCAAAACAATACATCCCAACAAATGAAATGCAGAGCAGACTGAGAATCCAGCTATGATAGGTAATTTATGTATCAAAATGACTGGATCATGGAGTGTCCAGATACTTGGTTAAACACAATTTTGGATACGTCTGTGAGGTGTGTGTATGTGTGTGGTATTTTTTGTTTTGTTTTCTTGGGTTTTTTTGCTTTTTTTTGAGACAAGTCTTGCTCCATCGCCCAGGATGGAGTGCAGTGGCGCAACCTCAGCTCACTGCAACCTCCACCTCCTGGGTTCAAGCGATTCTCTTGCCTCAGCCTCCCAAGTAGCTGCAATTACAGGTGTGCACCACCACGCCTGGCTAATTTTTGTATTTTTAGTAGAGACAGTGTTTCACTATGTTGGCCAGGCTGGTCTTGAACTCCTGACCTCAGGTGATCCACCCACCTCAGCCTCCCAAAGTGCTGGGATTACAGGCGTTAGCCACTGTTCCTGGCCTGTGAGGTGTGTATGAATGAGATTAACATTTGAATCTGGAAACTAAGTAAAGCAGGTTACCCTCTCCAATGTGGGTAGGCCTGATCCAGTACCTTGAAGGCCTAAATACAACAAAAGGCTGAGCAAGAGAGAATGTGTTCTCTCTGCCTGATGGTCTTCCAGCTGGAGGGTATTCTACCTGCAGATTCAGATCAAAACTTACATCACTGGTGCTCCTGGTTCTCAAGCCTTTGGACTTGAATTGGAACTATACCATCAGCCCTCCTGGGGCTCCAGCTTGCAGATCTTGGGACTTCTCAGTCTTCATGATCACATAAGCCAATTCTATATAATAAATATCAATAAAGATATATATATACACATACACACAGATGTGTATAAATAGATAGATGTATCTATCTCCAACCTATTGGTTCTGTTTCTCTGGAGAACCCTGAATAATATACCAACTGAGTTCTAGTAAGCCGGAATTTAAACAATGCTATTCTTCCAACTAATTTTTTTGTTTTGGAAAACAGTCATTTTTTACTTTAAAATATACTATTTATGGTAATATGTAATAGGTTTGTTCTTTCAAAATAAATTTTAAAATAGTTTTAAATGTTTTAATTTCTTGTATGCTAAATATCTATATAGATAATCCACATAAACAAAAGCTCTTAAGAATACTTGTGAAGAATATAAAGAGTCCTGAGGACAGGCACAGTGGCTCATGCCTGTAATCTCATAGTTTTAGGAGGCCGAGGCAAGAGGATCACTTAAGGCCAGGAATGAGAGACCAGCCCAGTAAACACAGAGACTCCCATCTCTATAAAAAATTTTTAAACTAAAAATAAAAATAAGAGTCCTGAGACCCGCCTTCAAAAAAAGTGAACTGCTCTTCTACATATACATAAAGTTTACAACAATCTATTAGAAAAATAGAATATTTGGCCAAGAGTGGTGGCTCACTCCTGTAATCCTAGCACTTTGGGAGGCCAAGGCGAAGGATCATTTGAGGCCAAGAGCTCAAGACCAGCCTGGGCAACAAAGCGAGACTCCATCTATAAAAAATTTTTTAAAAATAATTAGGTGGGTTTGATGGTATATGTCTGTAGTCCCAGCTACTCAAGAGGCTCAGGCAGGAGGATCACTTGATCCTAGAAGTTGGAGGGTGCAGTAAGCTATGATCATGCCACTGCCCTCCAGCCTGGGTGACAGAGTGAGACCCTGTCTTAAAAAAAAAAAAAAAAAAAAAAAAAAGACAAGAAAACATAATATTAATGAATATTAATTTATTTTTCCATTCTTCATAGCTAAATCAGAATTTCTTGTGCTGCTTATCAAAAAAAAAAAGTTAGCCAGTTACAGAAGACATACCTGATCATCCCCAGAACCCCGCTGAGCTGTTGTTTCCAAACAGACCACATTAGTATCAGAAATTTGTGTTCTACTATTGCCTTGATATACTATCTGTTGCCATACATGACAGGTCAATGGAACAATCTGAAAATCAAAAGCAGGCTTAAATAGAGTAATAACACAATCACTATGATTATACAACAAAAATAAACTAATATTTAGACCATACTTCCCAGTTTATAAAGCCCTTTCACATATACGACATTTTGATTTCACAACCATTATACAAGCTATTATCCTTAAGGTTACTCAGTTAGGACACAGCATACTTTTGCATAAACCACAGCAGTTCCTTAACCTCCTTTACCCATAGAGGTAAAAGCAGCAAACAGAAACAAGCAAGTTGTCTATTTTTAAATCTTACTGGTTGAGACAGTTAAAAATCAACCCCAATAATAGGGACTGAAATCAACTCATAGCACAAGAAGTGGGAACAAAAGTCAGAATCATTTTGTGAAGTAAGGGGTTGGAGCAGCGCTCTCCTACTAGTGAAAGAAGGCAATAAACGTTGTGACCATAGCCAAAGGCTGAAGGAACACAAATGGACAGATTACAGGCAATAAAACAAAAATGACCTGGTCAAGCCACCCACTGGTTCAGGGACTGGTTCTTGAGATTTTTCCCAATAACCCTGAAGAATAAGAACCCAGAGCTTCCAATATAAGATTTCCTTCTAAAGAAGATGCCATAAAGGACAAAGCAGAAACAACCACAAAAAGAGCAGGTAGAGAAGAATGCACACAAAGAGAAAAAAAAAATAACCCTCTTACTAAAAATCCGATTACAAACTATACTTCCAAAGGACTTTAAAATAGTATCTCAGATCCTCGAACAGACAAAGAAAGATACAAGGTGCACAGTGGCTCACACCTGTAATCCCAGCACTTTGGGAGGCCAAGGCAGGAGGATTACCTGAGGTCAGGAGTTCCAGACCAGCCTGGCCAACATAGCAAAACCCCGTCTCTACTAAAAATACAAGAATTAGCTGGGCATGATGGCATGCACCTGTAAAAGGGAAAATTAAAACATTCACAAAAGCTGAGAGAGTTCATTACCACTAGACCTCACCTGGAAGAAATGCTAATGGCAGTCCTTCAAGCTGAAATTAAAGGATGCTAGATAGTAACTTTAAGCCATAGGAAAATATAAAGTTCTCTGGTAAAGGTAAATATATGGACAAATATAAAAACATTATTTTAATTCTGGTGAGTAACTCCACCTTAATTCTTTTATAGGATTTAAAAGACAAAAGCATAAAAATTAACTATAAATCTACATGCTATGATTTGAGTATCTGTCCCCTCTAAAACTCATGTTAAAACTTAATCCGCAATGTGGCAGTACTGAGAGGTAGAACCTTTCAGAGGTGACTGGGTCATCAGGGATCTGGGCTCTCATGAATGAATTAATCATGAGGGCAGATCTGAACGGCTTAATGACTTGATGGATTAATGGATTAATGGCTTATCATGAGAGTGGACTGGTAGCTTTATAAGAAGAGGAAGAGAGACCTGAGCTAGCATGCCCAACCCCCTCACCATGTGCCCTGCACCACCTCAGGATTCTGCAGAGTCCCCATCAGCAAGAAGGCCCTCATCAGGCCCTCACCCTTGACCTTGGATTTCTCAGCCTCCATAACTTTTTAAAATAAACTACCCAGTTTCAAGTATTGTTATAAGCAAGAGAAAACAAACTAAGAAAGTATGTTAATGGTTAAACAATATATAAACATGTTACTTGTGACACCAGTAAAATGTTGTTAACAGGGTACTAATAACTTTGGCCAGGTGCGGTGGCTCATGCCTGTAATCCAGCACTTTGGGAGGCAAGGCAAGTGGATCACTTGAGGTCAGGAGTTTGAGACCAGCCTGGCCAACAATGGCGAAACCCCATCTCTGCTAAAAATGTAAACATTAGTCAGGCATGGTGGCCTGTGCCTGTAGTCCCAGCTACTTGGGAGACTAAGACAGGAGAACCACTTGAACCCGGGAGGTGGAGGTTGGGGGGCAAAGCTATAAAGGACTAGAGTTTTTATATGTGATTGAAGTGAAGTTGTTACTAGTTTAAACAGGTTGTTATCCTCCTAAGGAGTTTTATGATATTCTCATGGTAACTACAATGAAAATAGCTACAGAATATACACAAAAGGAAATAAGAGAATCAAAATATATCCCTACCAAAAAAATTGACTAAACACAAAGAAAGAAGGGGAGGAAATGAAAAACAAGCTATGAAAGGACAAAGAAATTACCAAAAAAAAAAAAAAAAACCCATAGGATTAAAAAACAGGACCCAACTATATGCTGTTTAAAAGACACTTTGGAACTAAGGACACACACAGGCTCTAAGTAAAAAGATTCAAAAAGATATTCCATGCAAATGGTAACCAAAAGAGAGCAATAGCGGCAACACTAATATCAGAGAAAATACATTTTTAAACAAAACTGATACCATAGACAAAGGAGAACACTATGGGGTCAATGCACAAATAAGATATAATAATTATATATGTGTCAGACATTGGAGCTCCTAAATACTTAAAGCAAACATTGATAAAATTGAAGGGAGCTCTCCAAAAACAGTGAGAGACTTCAATAACCAACTTTCCATGATGGATAGAATGAGATCAATAAGGAAAGAAAAGACCTGAACAGCACTACAGACCAATTGGACCTAACATACATATACAGAACACTCCACCCAACAACAGCACAATATACATTCTTCTCAAGTGCACGTGAAACATTCCCCAGGATACACCACATGTTGGCCACAAAGTATTAGGTATCTTTTCTGATCACAACAGAATGAAACTAGAAGGTAGCTGCAGAAAGAAAAGTGGAAAATCAAGAAATTTATAGAAATTAAACAACAAACTCTTAAAAAGACAATGGGTCACGACAGAAGTAACAAAGGAAATAATACATTAAGACAAAAATTAAAGCACAAAATACCAAAGCTTATTGAATGTAGCAAAAGTAGGACTAAGAAGGTAATCTACAGTCGTAAATGCCTATATTTAAAAAAAAAAATTCATGTCAATAATCTAACATTACACCTTGAAGAACTAGAAAAAGAAACTAAACCCAAAGTGATCAGAAGGAAAAAATAAGATTAGAGCAAAGATAAAGAAAAGAGAATAGAAAAACAGTAGGAAAAAAATCAAGAAAACCAATAGTTATTTGAAAATATAAACAAAACTGACAAACCTTTAGCTAGACTGACTGAGAAAAAAAAAGGCCTCAAATAACTAAATTCAGAAATGAAAGAGGGGACATGACAACCAATGCCATAGAAATAAAAAGGATCATAGGAGAATACTATGAACAACTGTACTCCAACTAATTGGACAGCCTAGAAGAAACAGATCAATTCCTAGAAACACACAGCCTACCAAGACTGAGTAACATGAAAAAATAAGAAAATCTCAACAGACCAACAACAAGGAAATTGAATCAATAATCCAAAACCTCCCACAAAAGAAAAGCCCATGGCCAGGCGCAGTGGCTCACACCTGTAATCCCAGTACTTTGGGAGGCCAAGGCAGGAGAAATGCTTGAGCTCAGGAGTTAGAGACCAGCCTGGGCAACATGGTGAGATCCTGTCTCTACTAAAAATACAACGAAAATAGCTGGACATGGTGGTGCTTGCCTGTGGTAACAGTTACTTGGGAGGCTGAGGTAGGAGGACTGCTTGAGCCTGGAGGGCAGAGGTTGCAGTGAGCTGAGATTGCACCACTGCACTCCAGCCTGGGTGACAAAGTAAGACCCTGTCTCAAAAAAAAAAAAAAAAAAAAAAAAAAAAAAGGTCCAGGACAAGAAAGCTTCACTGGAGAATTCTACCATACATTTAAAGAAGAATTAACACCAATCCTCCTGAAACAATCCCAAAAAATTGCACAGGAGGGAACATTCCAAATCATTCTATGAGGCCAGCATTATCCTGATACCAAAGTCAGACAAAGACATTAGAAGACTATAAACCAGTATCCCCGACGACTATTGATGTAAAAATCCTCAACAAAATATTACCAATAAGAATTCAGCAGTACGTTAAAAGGATTACACACCATGACCAAGTGGAATTCGTGGAATACAAGGATGGTTCAACATACAAAAATTGATCAATGTAATACACCACATTAATGGAAGGACAAAAACCACATGATCATCTCAAATGAAACCGAAATAGCACTTCACAAAATTCAACACCCTTTCATTATTTAAAAAAAAAAAAAGTCAACAGACTATAAACAGAAGAAAACTACCTCAACATAATAAAAGCTGTATGTCCCACAGCTCATATCATACTCAATGGTGAAAAACTGAAAACATTTCCTCTAAGATCAGAAGCAAGACAAAGATGCTTGCTCTCACCCTTCTACTCAACATAGCACTGGAAATCCTACTAAAGCGATTAGGCAAGAAAAAGAAATATAAATTGAAAGGAAAAAGTCCTATATACTGAAAACCCCCAAAGACTAAAATCGACACTGTTAGAATGAATAGGCCAGGCACAGTGGCTCACACCTGTAATCCCAGCACTTTGGGAGGCCAAGGCGGGTGGATCACTTGAGGTCAGGAGTTTGAGACCACCCTGACCAGCAATGGTGAAACCCCATCTCTGCTAAAAATGTAAACATTAGCCAGGTGTGGCAGCGCGCCTGTAGTCCTAGCTATTTGCGAAGCTGAGGCAGGAGAATCACTTGAACCCAGGAGGTGGAGGTTGCAGTGAGCAGGGATCGAGCCACTGCACTCCACCCTGGGCAACAGAGTGAGACTCTGTCTCAAAAAGAAAAAAGAATAAACCCAGTAAAGCCGCAGGATACAAAATCAATATATGAAAATCAGTTGCACTTCTGTACACAAATAACTACTTATATGAAAAAGAAATCAAGAAAACCATCCCACTTATGATAGCATCAAAAAACAAAATAAAAAGACTTAGAAATAAATGTAACCAAGAAGGCAAAAGATCTGTCTACTGAAAACTACAATACTAATGAAAGAAATTAAGGACACAAATAAATAGAAAGATATTCCATGTTCACAGACTGAAATAATTAATATTGTTAAAATGTATGTACTATCCAAAGCAATACAAAGTCAACACAATCCTTATGAAAATGCCAATGGCATTTTTCACAAAAATAGAAAAAAAAATCTAAAATTCATATAGAACCACAAAAGACTCTAAAGAGCCAAAGTAATTCTGTAAGACAAAAACAAAGTTGGAGGAAGCACACTTCCTGGTTTCAAATTATATTACAAAGTTATAGTAACCCAAACAGTGTGGTACTGGCATAAAAAGTAGACATGTAAACCAATGGAACAGAATAGAGAGAGAAAAATAAACCCAAGCATATATGATTCGCTAATTTTTGACAAGGGCACCAAGAAGACACAATAGGGAATAGAAGATCTCTTCAAATAATGGTGCTGAGAAAATTAAATTTCCTCATGCAAAAGAATGAAATTGGACCTTTATCTTACACCACCAGCAAAAATCAACTCAAAGTTGATTAAAGAACTCAACATGAAGACTTAAAACCATAAACCTAGAAGAAAATATATGGGAAAAACTCCTTGACACTTGTCTTGGCAATGTTGTTTTGGATATCACAACAAAAGCTCAGGCTACAAAAGCAAAAATAAATAAATAGAACTAAATCAAGCTAAAGAGTTTCACATCTAAGTAAACAATCAACAAAATGAGAAGACAGTCTACTACAGATGAGAAAATATCTGCAAACCATATATCTGATAAGGAGTCAGTTTCCACAATATATAAAGAACTTGTGCAACTCAGTAGAAGAAAAACAAACAACCTAATTTTAGAATGGGCAACGGACCTGAACAAACATTTCTCCAAAACAGAAAAAAAGAAAAGAAAAATGGCCAATCAGCATATGAAAAGATATTCAATATTACTATCATCAGGGAAATGCAAATTAAAACCAAAATGAAATATCATCTCACACTTGTTAGGATGGCTATTATTTAAAAAACAAAAAGATTCAAGAGATAAGTGTTGGCAAGGGTGTGGAAAAAAGAGAACCCTTGTACACTGCTGGTGGCAATGTAAACCAGTGCAGCAATTGCGGAAAACAGTATAAAGTTTTCTAAAGTAATTAAAAATAGAACTACGACTGGGCGCGGTGGCTCGTGCCTGTAATCCAAACACGGTGGGAGGATCACTGAGGTTAGGAGTTTGAGACCAGCTTGGCCAACATGACGAAACCCCGCCTCTATTAAAAATACAAAAATTAACCAGGCAGGGTAGTGCACACCTGTAACCCCAGCTACTCAGGAGGCTGAGACACAAGAATCGCTTGAACTCGGGAGGCGGAGGTTGCAGTGAGTTGAGAACACACCGCTGTACTCCAGCCTGAGCAACAGAGCGAGATTCTGTCTTAAAAAAAAAAAAAAAAAAAAAGAGAGAGAGAAAGAAAGAAAAGAAAGAAAAGGACTACTTTTCTTGTATGACCTAGCAATTCCATTTCTGGGTAAAAACCTAAAGAAAATGAAACCACCACCTCATACAGATACCTGCACTCCCATGTTCACTGCAGCATTATCACAATAGCCACGAACACAACTACAGCATCCATTGATGAATGAATAAACTACAAGACACACACACATACACTCACACTCACACACACACACACATAACACACACACACATACACACGAGGAGGGGAAGGGGGAGGAATATTATTCAACCTTAAAAAGGAAGGTGATCCTGCCATTTGTCACATGAATAAACCTGGAAGATAGAAAAATACTGCATGATCTCACTTACATATGAAATCTATTTTTTAAAGTCAAGTACAAAGAAGTAGAAGTGAGGAACAGGGGAGGAAATGGGGAGATGCAGGTCAGAGGATTCAAAGTTGCAGGTATGATGGATCAGCAAGTTTAGCAATTCAACGTAAAATATAAGTACTATAGTTAATAATATTGTATTATATTTAGGATTCTTGCTAAAAGGATTTTAGAAGCTCTTGCCACAAAAAAAAAAAGGCAGTAACTATGTGAGATCACGAATATGTTAATTTGCTTGACTATGGCAACCATTTCACTAGGTATATGTATATCAAAACATCATGATGTATAAATATATACAATAAAGGAAAAAATAAACTAGAAATCAATAACAGAAAAATAGCTGGAAAATCCCAACATACTTAAGAGGTTAAACAGTGTATTTCTAAATAGCATGTGGGTCAAATAAAAACTCTCAAAAGAAATTTAAAAATATTTCAACTAAATGAAAGTAAGAATACAACTTATCAAAATTTGTGATGCAGCAAAAGTAGTGCTTACTGGGAAATTTATAACACCGAATGTATATATTAGGAAAAAAATCTGAAATCAATTATCAAAGCTTCCAACTTAGGAAACTAGAAAAAGAAGAATAAATCATATTTAAAGTGAGGAGAAGAAAATAAATAAAAAGTAGAGCAGAAATCAATGAAATTGAGAATAGCAAATAAAGAGAGAAAATCAGTAAAAGCTTAAATGCTGGTTCTTTTGAAAAGATCAATAAAATCAATAAACCTCTGGCCAGGCTAATAAAATAAGATAAAGGATGCAAATTATGAACATCAAAAATGAGGCCAGGTATGGTAGCTCACTCTTGTTATCCCAGCACTTTGGAAGGCCAGGGTGGGCAGATCACTTGAGGCCAGGAGTTTGAGACCAGCCTGGCCAAAGTGGCGAAACCCTAAATCTACTAAAAATGCAAAAATTAGCCGGGCATAGTGGCACACACCTATAATCCCAGCTACTCAGGTGGCTGAGGCACAAGAATCGCTTGAACCCAGGAGGCAGAGGTTGCAGTGAGGGAGACTGCGCCATTGCACTCCTGCCTCGGTGACACAGCAAGACTCTGTCTCAAAAAAAAGAAAAAAGAAAGAGAGGACATCACAACAGATCTCATGGACATTAAAAGGATAATAAAGGAACACTATAAACAACTCTATGCCCACAAATTTGATAGCCTAGATAAAATGAACGATTTCTTAAAAAAGATAATCTGTCAAATCTGACACAAAAATAGACAAAATGAAGAGGCCTATATCTATTCGAAACACTGAATCATAAATTAATAGCCTTCTAAAACAGAAAGCACCAGACCCAGACAGGTTCACTGGTAATGCTACCAAACCCTGAAGGAGGAAATTGTACCAGTTCTCTAAAATCTCTCAGAAGACAGAATCAGAGAGAATACTTCTTAATCATTCTATGAAGTCTGTATTACCCTACTGCCAATACCAGACAAACATATTACCAAAAAAGAAAACAACAGACCATTATCTCCCATGAATATCAATGTAAAAATTCTCAGCAAAATATTAGCAAATCAAATTTAACAATGTACAAAAGTATTGTACATCATGACAAGTGGGTTTATCCCACGTACGCAAACTTGATTCAACATTCAAAAGTCAGTTAAGGCTGGACACAGTGGCTCCCACCTGTAATTCCAGCACTTTGAGAGGCCAAGGTGAGCAGATCACTTGAGCTCAGGAGTTCGAGACCAGCCTGGGCAACAAAGTGAGACCCCCCTCTGCCACCTCTAAAAAAAATACAAAAATTAGCCTGGTATGGTGGCACATGCCTGTGGTCCCAGTTACTCAGGAGGGTGAAGTAGGAGGACGGCTTGAGCCTTGGAGGCAGAGGTTGCAGTGAGCCAAGATGGCAACACTGCACTCTAGCCTGGGTGACAACGCCAGACCCTGTCTCAAAAAAAAAAAAAAAAAAACAATTAATATAATCCATCATGTTGACAAGCTTTAGAAGAAAAACCACATGATCATATAACAGATGCAGAAAAAACATTTGACAACCTCTTCACGATATTCTCATTAAAATAGGAATAGAGGGGAATATTCTCAACTTGACATAGAGTATCTACAAAAAATCCTACAACTAATATCATACCTAATGAAACTCGAAGCTTTGCCTCTAAGATCAAGAACAAGGCAAGGATTCCCTCTCTGATATGATTTGGATATCTGTCCCTTTCAAATCTCATATTGAAATGTAATCCCCAGTGTTGGAGGTGGGGTCTGGTACAAGGTGACTGGATCATGGGGGCAGATCCTTCATGATTAGTTTAACACCATTCCCTTAGTGATAAGTGAGCGCTCACTCTAAGTTCACACAAGACCTGGTTGTTTAAAAGAGTGGCACCTCCTCCCTTGCTCTCTGGCTTCTGCTCTCGCCATGTGAGACGCCTGCCCCCACTTCACCTTCCACCATGATTGTAAGCTCACCAGAAGCAGATGCTGGCACCAAGCTTCTCATACTCTGCAGAACCATGAGCCAATTAAACTTCTTTTCATTGTAACTTACCCAGCCTCAGGTGTTTCTTCATAGCAACACAATGACGACATAATACACCCTCTCACCACTGTCCAACAGTGTATTGGAGGTCATAGCTAATGCAATAAGACAAGAAAAGGAAATAAAAGGTACACAGTCTGGGAAGGAGGAAATAAAACTCTGTTTGCAGATGACATGACTGTCTGTCTATACAGAAAATCCAGGCCAGGCGCAGTGGCTCACGCCTGTAATCCCAGCACTTTGGGAGGCTGAGAAGGGCAGATCACAAGGTCAGGAGTTTGAGACCAGCCTGGCCAACATAGTGAAACTCCATCTCTACTAAAAATACAAAAAAAACAAAAATTAGCCAGGCATGGTGGCAGGCGCCTGTAATCCCAGCTACTCAGAAGGCTGAGGCAGGAGAATCGCTTGAACCCGGGAGGCAGAGGTTGCAGTAAGCTGAGATCACACCACTGCACTCCAGCCCGGGTGACAGTGCCAGACTCCATCTCAAAAAAAAAGAAAATCCAAAAGAACTGACAAAACTTTCCTGGAATTAATAAGTAAAACTAGCAAAACTGCAGAATATAGGTTAATATATAAAAGTCAATCACTTCCTGTATACCAGCAATCAAGTGGAATTTGAAGTTAAAAGTACAATAATACCATTTACATTAACAACCCAAGAAATAAAATATTTAGGTATAAATCTAACTTAATACATGTAAGATCTATATGAGGAAAACTATAAAACTCGATGAATGAAATCAAAGAACTAAATAAATGAGAAGGTATTTCAACTTCATGAAATACTCAATATTGTCAAGATGTCAGTTCTTCCCAACTTGATCTATTAAGATCAACGCAATCCCAATCAAAATCCCAGCAATTTTTAATACACATCAATGAATTCAATCTAAAGTTTATATGGAGGGGCAAAAGACTCCGAATTGGAGGACTGACACTACCTAACTTCAAGACTTACCATAAAGCTACAGTAATAAAGACAGCATGTATCAACGAAATAGACACATTGATCAATAAAACAGAATTGAAGGCCCAGAAATAGACCCATATAAATGTATTCAATTGATTTTTTGACCAAAAAACGAAGGCAATACAATGGAGAAAGTCTTCTCAACAAATGGTGCTGGAACAACTGGACATTTACATGCAAAACAATGAACCCAGAAACAGATCTGACATCCTTCACACACAAAAATTAATTCAAAGTGCAAAAGTATAAAAAGACCTAAATGCAAAGTGCAAAAGTATAAAACTCCTAGAAGATAACATAGGAGAAAATCTAGATGTCCTTGGGTTTGGTGATGGCTTTTTGGATACAATACTAAAGGCATATAATCTATGAAAGAAATAATTGATAAGCTGGATTTAATTAAAAACTTATTCTGCTTTGTGAAAAACACTGTCAAAAGAATAAAAAGACAAGCTATAGACTGGAAGAAAATATTTGCAAAAGACACATCTCTGATTCAGGATGTTAACAGTGAGGGAGGCTATGGAGAGGGGCAGGGCACAGATGGGAACTCTGTATTGCCCATTCAATGTGGCTGTGAACCTAAAACTGCCCTAAAAGATAAAGTCTGTTTAAAAGCAAAACCGCACGCCTGTAATCCCAGCACTCTGGGAGGCCGAGGCAGGTGGATCACCTGAAGTCAGGAGATCGAGACCAGCCTAACATGGTGAAATCCCATCTCTACTGAATACAAGAAAAATAATTAGCTGAGCGTGGTGGCATATGCCTGTAAACCCAGCTACTCAGGAGGCTGAGGCAGGAGAATCACTTGAATCCGGGAGGCAGAGGTTGCAGTGAGCCAAGATAATGCCATTGCATTCCAGCCTAGGCAACAAGAGCGAAACACCATCTCAAAAACAAAACAAAACAAAAAAACCCCAAAACAGAGGTCTGGTGAAGCATATAAAGAGCTTGGAAGTAATCACTCCCATCCCCATCATAAAAAAAAAAAGCTGAACAAACTAAAAAATCAAAACTCTTCTTATATCCATCAGAGAACTGAGATGAAGGGCAAACTATTGTTCCAAAAATTGGAGAGGTACATACACAGAGAATCACAACTTACCAGAGCAGAATCCCAAGAACAGAAACCACTGTGGGAACTAACTAGTACTAGGGAAGAAAAATCTAGTGTAATTGACAAATTGCTGGAGGTGCAATGCGACAACTTTGAGAATTAAAAGCCGCAGGGAAACCAGTCTTATGAAGGGCCTCCATGCTTCTGTAAGTTTTATCTCCACAACCCCTAGCATGTTACCACAGTTAAGATGAGAGAAAAATACCTACCCCCCAGTTAGGGGGAGGGGGTTGGGGATAACCATTTTGAATATTCCCAGAGTATTTTGTTCTTCTTAGAAAACTTGCCCTCAAACTATTTTACCAGAGCCTAACCAGGCTGGGCGCGGTAGCTCAAGCCTGTAATCCTAGCACTTTGGGAGGCCGAGGAGGGTGGATCACGAGGTCAGGAGATCGAGACCATCCCGTCTAACACGGTTAAACCCCGTCTCTACTAAAAATACAAAAAATTAGCCAGGCGTGGTGGCAGGCGCCTGTAGTCCCAGCTACTTGGGAGGCTGAGGCAGAAGAATGGCATGAACCTGGGAGGCGGAGCTTGCAGTGAGCTGAGATCGCGCCACTGCACCCCCAGCCTGTGCGACAGAGCAAGACTCCGTCTCAAAAAAAAAAAAAAAGAATGGACAATCTGAATAGACCCATAAGAAGAAAAAAGAGTGATTTAGTAATTAAAATACTATGCCCCATCCTGCAAAAAAAAAAAAAAAAAAAAAGAGCTCAGACCCATTTGATGTAACCTATCGAACTTTCAAAGAATTAATGCCAGTCCTTCACAAACTCTTCCAAAACCAATAGGAATACTTTCAATTCACTTTATGAGGTCAATATTACCCTGATACCAAACCAGACAAAAGCATCAAAAGAAAACTACAGACCAATATATCTTACAAATATAGATGGAATAACTCTAAACAAAATACAAGCGTGTGTGTGTGTGTGTGTGTGTGTGTGTGTGTGTGTATTTCTATGACAGGCAACACATAAAATGTTTATACACTGTGACAAAGTGAGTTATTTTCACAAGGCTGGTTTAATAACCTAATATCAATTAATGTAATACATCGATTAATAATTTGACAAAATTATTATTAAAAACACTTAAGAAATTAGGGATAGAAACTTCATCAATATGATAAGGGCATCTATTAAAAACCCACAACTAACATCATACTCGGGGGTAAAAGACAGGATGCTTTCTCCCTAAGACAAGTTTGTCCAACCCACAGCCGAGGACCATGAATGTGGCCCAACACAAATTCGTAAACCTTCTTAAAACATTATATTTTTGCAATTTTTTTTAGCTCATCAGCTATTGTTAGTGTATTTTATGTGTGGCCCAAGACAATTCTTCCAATGTAGCCCAGAGAAGCCAAAAGATTGGACACCCCTGCCCTAAGATCAGGAATAAAAAAGCATATACACTCTTACCCCTCCTATTGAATATTTTACTAAAGGTTCTAGCCAGGGCAATTAGCCATAAATAAATACATAAAAGGCATCCAGATTGGAAAGAAAAAATAAAGCTATATATATTTGCCCTTGACATGATCTTTACAAGAAAATCATAGAGAACCCACAAATAATCTACTAGGATGAATAAACAAGTTCAGAAGAGATTCAGAAACAATATTAATATATATAAAAATCAAGTGTTTTTAAACATCTACAACGAATAACCCAAACATTCAATTAAGAAAAATAATTCCACTGACAATACCATTAAAAACAGTATTTTGAAGAATTTAAGAAAAAAAGTGCAATTCTGAAAACTATAAAACATTATTGAAATTTAAAGAAGATCTAATTACAGTTGTATGCCACATCAGAACATTTCCATCAACTACAGACCACATACATAATGGTGGTCCTATAAGATTATAATACCGGCCCAGCATGGTGGCTCACACCTCTAATCCCAGCACTTTGGGAGGCCAAGGTGGGCAGATCACTTGAGTCAGGAGTTCGGGACCAGCCTAGGCAACATGACAAAACCCCATCTCTACTAAAAATACAAAAATTAGCCAGGCATGGTGGCACACACCTGTAATCCCAGCTACTCAGGAGGCTGACATGAGAATCACTTGAGCCTGGGAAGCGGTGGTTGCAGTGGGCGGAGATTGTGTCACTGCACTCCAGCCTCGGTGACAGAGCGAGACTCTGTCTCAAAAAAAAAAAAAAAAAAAAATATATATATATATATATACACATATATATATATACACACACATATATATACACATATATATACACATATATATACACATATATATATACACATATATATGTAAAATACCATATTTTTACTATACCTTTTCTAAGTATTTGTGTTAGATACACAAACGTATCCAACACAAATACTTACCACAGTGTTACAACTGCCTACAGTATTCAGTACTGTAACATGCTGTACAGGTTTGTAGCCTAGGAGCAAACAGTTAGACTATATAGCCTAGGTGTGTAGTAGGCTATGCCATCTAGGTTTGTGTACGTACACTATATGATGTTTGCACAACAATGAAATACTGTAATGAAACATTTCTCAGAATGTATCCTCATCATTAATTGACACAACTATAAATGAAAGGATATCCCATGTTCATGAACCAGATGATTAGGCCAGGCACGGTGGCTCACGCCTGCAATCCCAGCACTTTGAGAGGCCAAGGCAGGTGGATCACTTGAAGTCAGGAGTTCGAGACCAGCCTGGTCAACATGGTGAAACCCCGTCTCCACTAAAAATACAAAAATAAACCAGGGATGGTGGTGTGCATCTGTAATCCCAGTTACTGGAGGCTGAGGCAGGAGAACTGCTTGAACCCAGGAGGCAGAGGTTTCAGTGAGCTGAGATTGCACCACTGCACTCCAGCCTGGGCAAGACACCATCTCAACAACAACAAAAAAAAGGACCAGATGATTTAATATCAAGATGACCATACTCCCAAATTGATCTACAGATTCATCACAATCTCTATCAAAATACTAGCTGGCTTCTTTGCAGAAACTGACAAGCTAATCTAAAATTCATATGGAATTGCAAGGGGCTCCAGAATGGCTAAAATATCTTGAAAAAGGAAAGCAAAGTTGGAGAACTCCCCCATTTCAAAACTTACTATAAAGCAATATTAATCAAAAGAGTGTCTCCTAGTCAGGCATGGTGGCTCACGCCTGTAATCCCAGCACATTGAGAGGCCGAGGTGGGCAGATGGCTTTAGCCCAAGAGTTTGAGACCAGCCTGGGCAACATGGTGAGATTCCATCCCTACAAAACCTACAAAAATTAGCCAGGCATGGTGGCATGTGCCTGTAGTTCCAGCTACTTGGTAGGCTGAGATAGGAGGTCCACTTGAGCCCAGGAGGTGGAGGTTGCAGTGAGCCGAGATTGCACCACTGCATGCACTCCAGCCTGGGCAACAAAGAGACACCTATCTCAGAAAAAAAAAAAAAAAAGTGTTTCCTGGAATAAGGTGGGCATATAGATCAATGAAATAGAATTGGGAATCCAGAAATAAACCCATATATCTATGGCTAACTGATTTTCTACAAGGGTACTAAGACCAATCAATGGGGAAAAGAACAGCCTCTTTAACAAATGGTGCTGCAGAAAGACAAACTGCCTATTCTTCCAAGTGGGAGCTAAACAACAAGTACATGTGGAAGCAGAGTATGGAATGACAGAGAGTGGAATCTTGGAAGGGTGGGGAGTGTGAGAGTGGGGTGGATGAAGAGAAATTACTTAATGAGTACAACGTAGGCTACTCCAGTGATGGATACACTAAAAGCCCTGACTTTACCGCTATGCAATATATCAATGTAACAAAATTATACTTGAACTCTATAAATTTACACAAATCAATAAAATTTAAAAAAAAAAACAGTGCTGGATAGTCACATACGAAAGAATAAAGTTTGAACCCTTTCTTCATATCGTATACAAAAATTAACTCAAAATGGATCAAAGACCTACATGTAATAGCAATACTATAAAATCTCAAAGAAAACATAGTAGGTCCTCATGACCTCACATTTGTCAAGGGACTGTATCTTGTCAATCCCTTGATTGATAAGGGATTATATATGTAATATGCATATATATAAAGAATTCTTACAATCCAATAGTAAATAGACAAATAACCCAATTAAAGAATGGGCAAAAGTTTGACCTGAATAGATATTTCTCCAAAGAAGACACACAAATGGCCAAGAAGCACATGAATAGATGCATGAACCATAAGGGAAATGCAAATCAAAACTACAAAAAAGTCAGGTAATAACAAGTGCTGATAAGGATGTGGAGAAACTGGAACTCTCATACACTGCTAATAGGAAGGCCACTTTGGAAAACAATCTGGCAGAAACTTAAAAGGTTAACAGAATTCCATATGTCCCAAAAATTCTACTCCTAGATATACATCCAAGAGAAATGAATCCATATGTCCACACATACACTTATATAAGAATGTCTACGGTAGCATTATACATAATAGCCAAAAAGGAGGAAAAAAAACATGTCCATCAACTGATGAATGGATATACAAAATATCACATATCCATATAATAAAATATTATTCAGCCATATAAAGTAATGAAGTACTGATACATGCCACATCACAGGTGAATCCTGAAACCATTAAGCTAAGTGAAAGAAGCCCAGTCACAAAAACACATATCATTCCATTTATATGAAATGCCCAAAATAGGTAAATCTATAGACAGAAGGTAGATTAATAGTTGCATATGGGGAATGGAAGACGGGGGATATCAGCTAAAGTGTATGGGGTTTCTTTTAGAAGTGATAAAATGTTCTAAAATTGACCGTGATCATGATGGCACATATCTATGAATATACAGAAAATGACTGAATTGTGCACTTTAAATTAAAGGTGAATTGTACAGTATATGAATGATATCTCAAAAAAGCTATTAAAATGTTTTTAAGTAAGTCAATTAAGCACTCAACACAAGGAAATACACACACACACACACACACACACACACACACACACATCAAAGTAAACCTAAGGAAATAGTAAAAGATGAAAACTGAACTTATTATTAAAATTAATAATTTTTAATAATTAAAAAATAAACAGCAACAGAAACTTAAATCAAGAGCTGTGTCCTTGAATGAAAAATAAATTAAATAAACCCCTACCTAGTCAAATCAGGAGAAAAATAAAGCATAATTACACAAAATTGGGAATGAGAAGTGAAAATAACCACAGAGGCAAATGAAAAAATAAAGAATACTGTGTAGCACTCCATTAAAATTAACTAGAAACCCTTACTGAAAAGAATGATTTCCTAGGAAAACCACCAAAATTAACCCAAGAAAGGAGAACATATATAGACTACAACCCTGAAAGGAATACAGAGATAGTTTAAATGGTGATATCTTTCAAACATACAAGAAAGAAAAATTCCTTTGTACTTACACTGTTCCAGAAAAACAAAAATCATCCAAGTACCTTTTATGAAAATGGCATAATATTGATGTCAAGTTTGATAAATACTGGCCAAGAAAACAAAAAACAAACAGAAAAACATTTAAAACCATTATCAAATATCTGCAAATAAAATCTAGCAGTTCCTCAAGAGAAAAGCACACTACGACTAAATAGTTTTTACCCTAGGAACACAAAACAGGATTAATATTAAGAATAAAACGTATACAAGGCCAGGCACGGTGGCTCAAGCCTGTAATCCCAGCACTTTGGGAGGCCGAGGCGGGTGTATCACGAGGTCAGGAGATGGAGACCATCCTGGCTAACACGGTGAAACCCCGTCTCTACTAAAAATACAAAATAATAGCCGGGCGTGGTGGCGGGCGCCTGTAGTCGCAGCTACTCGGGAGGCTGAGGCAGGAGAATGGCATGAACTCGGGAGGCTGAGTTTGCAGTGAGCCGAGATTGCGCCACTGCACTCCAGCCTGGGTGACAGAGCGAGACTCCGTCTCAAAAAAAAAAAAAAAAAGAATAAAACGTATATGAATAGGTTAAAAAAATAAATTGTGCACTGTAGATAAATTTGGAGATGGGGAGCAGAAACGGGAGAGGTTCAGCCTGTGTTCTCTTCTTTGAAACTGTAACCTGCTTATGGGGGGATGTTGAACTCTGGGTGGGAGACAGAAGTTAAGAGGGAAGATGGGGAAAGAAGCTGACAGAGAGGAAACTAAAGATTTCCAAACACTGTTGGGCCGGGCGCAGTGGCTCATCACATCTGTAATGCCAGCACTTTGGGAGGCCGAGGCGGGTGGATAACCTGAGGTCAAGAGATCAAGACCATCCTGGCCAACATGGTGAAACCCCATCTCTACTAAAAATACAAAAATTAGCTGGGCATGGTGGCGCGCATCTGTAGTCCCAGCTACTGCGGAGGCTGAGGCAGGAGAATCACTTGAACCCGGGAGGCGGAGGTTGCAGTTAGCCAAGATCGGGCCACTGCCACTCCAGCCTGGTGACAAAAGCGAGAGACTCCATCTTAAAAAGAAAAAAAAAAAAGATTTCCAAGCACTGTTGATGACCCAATTAAAAGTTGGAGACCAAGAATTTCTAGTGATGCCAACCCAGAGAACTGAATTATCTTCCCCAGCACAACTCAGAAATTCAGGTTAAGGAATTACAAGAAGTGCCTGAATGGTCTGTAGGACCAGCATAAAAACAACATAAGGCTCTGAATCACTCACTTCCCTCTTAAAAAGACTTAGTTATAAGACTGGTCATATTTTGCTTCAAATTTAAACAGTATCATAGTTTAACTCAGCCTTAGTAACAGGACTACAAACTTAATCACTGCCTTATATAACACCACTATAACTCCCTTATTATCTAGTGAGATATGAGAGTAAATTGAATAACACAATTTTGTCATTTAACTTGAGAGTAAACTGGATGAAATTAATGTTTCCTATTATTTGATCTCATCCTCTAAATACGCAGCATTAGATGTTATACAACACATCTAAGAATTTCATAGTTCATAAATTTCTAGCAAGAAACATACTAAGCATTTTTTCCTTAAACACTTTCCAACCTATGCCAGTAAGTTTCAATATGCCAGTGAACTAAAGGAAAAATTATCTGAACACTCCTTGTATCATTGTAAATCTACCTTTAATACAGAAAATCATCTATATATTCTATATATTATCATATATTCTCTCAGGTAAATAAGAAAATATCTAATTTTTCTCAGGGGAAAGAAAAAACTGTGGGGAGGAAAAAATACTCTGGGCTCTCAGAAGTAAGATTTTCTATTACCCATAGATAGTTCACGATTAGAGGCCGGGCGCGGTGGCTCATGCCTCTAATCCCAACACTTTGGGAGGCTGAGGCAGGCAGATCACAGGTCAGGAGTTCAAGACCAGCCTGGCCAACATGGTGAAACCCCATCTCTACTAAAACTACAAAAATTAGCCAGGCGTGGTGGTGGATACCTGTAATCCCAGCTACTCGGGAGGCTGAGGCAGGAGAATTGCTTGAACCCAGGAGGCAGAGGTTGCAGTGAACCAAGATCGTGACACTGCACTCCAGCCTGGGCAACAGAGCAAGACTTCATCTCGGCGGGGGAAAAAAAAGATAGTTCATTATTAAACAGGAAAATAATTTTCTCACATTGGCTGTAGTAAAAGAGGGTTAGCTTAAAAATTCCTCCTCTGGGTCCCTATCTCTCACCATATGCAAAGATTAACTCAAGATAGATTAAAGATTTAAATGTAAGGCCCGAAATTATAATAATCCTAAAGAATACTTAGGAAAAAAGTTTATGATTAAGACCTCAAAAGCAAATGCAACAAAAATAAAAACAGACAAATGGAACTTAATTAAACTAGAAGAGCTCCTGCACAGCAAAATAAACTACCAACAGAGTAAACAGACAACCTACAGGATGGGAGAAAATATCTGCAAACTATGCATCTGACAAAGGACTAATATCCAGCATCTATAAGGAACTCAAACAAATCAACAGGAAGAAAAAACAAATAACCCCACTAAAAAGCGGGCAAAAGACTGAACAGACACTTCTCAAAAGAAGACATACGAGCGGCCAAAAAACATGAAAAAATGCTCAACATCACTAAGCATCAGAGAAATGCAAATTAAAATCACAATGAGATACCATCTCACACCAGTCAGAATGGCTATTATTAAAAAGTCAAAAAACAGATGTTGGCAAGGATGAGAAGAAAAGGGAACACGTATACACTGTTGTTGGGAATGTAAATTGTTCAACTCCTATGGAAAGCAGTATGGAGATTTCTTGAAGAACTCAAAACAGAACTACCATTTGACCCAGCAATCCTACTACTGGGTATCTCTCCAAAGGAAATTAAATCATTTCATCAAAAAGACATCTGAGCCAGGCACACTGGCTCACACCTGTAATCCCAGCACTTTGGGAAGCCAAGGCGGAGTATCACTTGAGCCCAGGTGTTCTACACCAGCTAGACGCCATTAAAAAAAAAGAAAAAAATCTGTGCTCATATGTTTATCACAGCACCGTTCACAATAGCAAAGTCATGAAATCAACCTAAGTGTCCATCAACAACTGAATGGGTAAAGAAAATGTAGTATGTATTAATATACATTGTGGAATATTATGCAGCTATAAACAGAATGAAATCCTGTCCTTTGCAGCAACATGGATGGAGCCTGGAGGCTATTTATCAAGTGAAACAATTCAGAAACAGAAAATCAAATACCACATGCTCTCACTGGTAAGACAAGTGGGTACAATGGGTACACAGAGGCATAAAGATAAATGGGTACAATAAGTACCCACAGACATAAAGATGGAAATAAACAGACACTGGGGGCTCCAGAAGGAGGAGAGAAGGGCTGAAAAATTACCTATCAAGTACAATGTTACACTATCACGTACAAAGGTATATTATTTGGGTGAGAGGTTCACTAGAAGCCCAAACCTCACCATTATGCAATATATCCATGTTAATTACGTGCATATGTACCCCCAAATCTAAAATTAAATTAAAATTTTGTTTAAAAAACTCCTCCTCTAGGCTTCAAGATAAAGTTTGAATATTAATAGTTATTCAAGCAAGAAGTCACAGGACAAAATAAAAGTTAGAAGACCTAGTCAACAAGTGTGGCTTTAATTATGGTCTCTATGTAAATGACTTACAACTTGAAATCTCTAGCCCAGCCTTCTCCTTCAATCTTCAAAACCAAACTCATAATCTTAAGACTCACCCAACCAATTCCACCACCCACTCACAGCCACCACCTCCACCATAAATCTGGCCATATCTTAATATTGGCACAACCATTCAAACAATAACCTAACACCTGGCTACTTCACCTTTCACATCCCATCCGTTATTAAGTATGATGATTTTGCCTCTTAAATATCTCTCAAATCAGTCCACTTTTCCCTGTATCCACCAACACTTCCCTATTCCAAACTTTCATCATCTTTTGCCGGGCAATGCTGCAATGGTCTCCTAATTTATGCCCTTGACCTATGGCTACTGCTCCCCATCCCACCTTGCTATCACAGCTGTTCCACACTCTGCTATACACCTGACCTTTCTGAAACACCTAACTTATCATACATCCCCTCGTTTCAAATATTTTCTTCAACTCCCCAAAGCTCCAGAGATAAAGCCCCTAAATCCTTGGCATAGCACACAAAGCCTTGCAGTCTGTGCTCAAACCACGTTGGCTTCTGGGTCCTGGAAAATGCCATGCTCTCTCTCATCAACAGTACCTTTTCATGTGTTTTTCCCTCAGCTAGACGGCTCTTTCCCTCCCCTTTGCCTGATTAACCTTAAACTGTCTTCAGATATCAGCTCTATCATAACCTCCTCAAGAAGGCTTTCCCAACTTCACTGACAAGGCCAGATTATCTTACTTTATGCTTTCATAGAATATTAGCACATATATTAGTTTCACTTTATGTGATCATCTGAAATCTGTCTGCCTCCCTGTCTAGACCATGAACACAAGGAAGGCAGAGACCAAAAATGTTTGGGTTCACCAAGCTTTCCTTAGCACCCAGCACAATGTGTGGCACATGGTGAATTCTAATAATACATGTTCAATGAATTAAGTACCCCCTGGAATATTCACCAGACAAAACAACAACTACTGCTCATTAGTGACAAAACTCTACACCTTCACTGTCTGTGATGATGGAACTGTTCCATTATCTGCTCTGTCCAACATGGTAGCCACTAGCCTAGTGTGGCTGCTGAGCACTTGAAAACCGGTAAGAACAGACGCATGGAATTTTTCATTTAATTTATTTTTAACTCTTACTCAAAACTATAATAGTTTTCTCTTTAAGATGTAAAAAGCCACACGTGGCCAGTGGCTACTGTACTGAGCAGGGCAGGTCTTGCTCCTCGAAAAGCAGTAAGTTAAAAAAAGGGGGGTAAGGGCAGCAAATTAAATGGAGAGTTATTTTCAAAATGATCTTCGGGGGTCTACCATGAAATCGGCTTTCTCCATTGTGTATTATCTGTGCTTTGTAGTTTTGCAGACTGTTTGGAGCCGCATCACAAGCCTCCTGCATTCCAAGCCCCTCCTATCGGCTGGGGAACCCCTTTATTGCTACAAATGATGGTCCAGGGGAGGAAAACCCGCGGGGAGCCTCTCCAGACTAAGTGATCGCGCGGTGTACATTATCCACATTACTCCCTCAGGGGAGTCCTGCAATTCAGTCAAGCTCATCTGTTCACTGTCTCCCCAACAAGATGCTCCCCAGGCAACCACTCGCTCCGGTCCTACACCGCCTTTTCCCTCCTTCAAGGCTCGACACACCCGTGGTCCTCTCTCAGCGTTTCTCACGGGGAATGCAGGCTCCCCTGAACGTCTACGGGAGTTCAAAAGGCCCAGGACCCACCGAGGGGGAGGAAACGAGAAGTCTTTGCCACAAAGCCTGGGAGACGCGGAGCAGCCGGCCGGCACCTGGGCTGGAGTCTGGGCCGCCTACTAGCCTCAGCTGCGCGCGTTTTCTCCGTCAGGCGGCGTGACCTGCGGGCGGGCGGAGCGCTCGGGGCCCAGCCTCCACCCCCAACTCGCCGCGGCTCCACACCCCTCCCCGGCCCGCCTCACCTTCTCCAGGGAGGTCCGCTCGCCCTCCGAGTAGCGGTGCTGCGGGGGCGACAGCGGAGGCAAAATCCTGCCGGGGTGCGCCTGCAGCCAGGCCTTGGCCTCCTCGTCCTCCTCGTCGTCTATACTTTCCAGATGCTGGGGCCCGTAGTGAGAGTCGGAGTCCAACTCCCGCCCCGCCTCTTCCTCCACCTCCTCCACGACCACTACGTCGTCCACGTTCGCCGCCGCCGCCGCTGCAGCCTCCTCCTCTTCCTCCTCCTCCTCCTCCTCCTCCTCCTCCTCCTCCTCCAGCTCGCCCGGCCATGGCAGATCCTCGGGCTCCATGTTGGTGTCTCGCTCTGGGCGGCAGAGGAGGAGGAGGAGGGGGGGAGGGAGGGGAAGGGGAGAGCCCTGACTGGCGGTTGTGGCCCAGCTTAGGCGCAGTGCCGCCCGCCTGGGCGGGGCCGGAAGACCGCGCGCGCGTTGCTAGGGACGCCGCGCGAGGCCCGGCGGGAACGCCTTAGGGCGGAGGTTTGCTACAGGCGACGTTGCCGCCTCGCCGCCGTCACCGGCCGGGACCTTGCGAACTGTACTGTAAGCTCACAATAAACCGGGACTGGGCGCCTTCCGGGGCGCAGAGGGCCCCGCGCAAGGACAGTGTAGTTCTCGGCTGGGGTCGAGTTTCGCCCCTGCACAGAGAAGAGATCAAACTCTAGGACGTACCCGTTATAATCACACATGCAAATTATAAAGTTTTAAAGGTTGAGTATCTCCTAAAGTGTCAAGCTGTATGGTGGGCGCTTGAACCTAACCGTGGAAAAGTGTCACGGGTTGTTAGAGGGATTAAGAACTGGGCACTGGCATCAGAAAGATCGGAGTTTGAATCCTGGCATCACCACTTAAAGTGGTGTGACTTTGTGTTTATAAAACGATGATAATAGGCCATCGCATAGGATGGGTGTGATAATTAAAGGAAATAATCAATGTGAAGGACTTAGTGATAGGTTGGTTATTGTACAATAACTCATTAGATGCTCACGGTTCTGTGAGACAAGTATTACTATTTCATGTATGAAGAATCTGAGGCTAAAAAAATTAATTTGCCCAAAGTTTCTTACCTAGTAAGTGGCTGACTCAGTATGCCATCCCAGGTCCTCTGTTAGTGTAGGAATTGCCCTGGCCTAGACCAACCAGCTGTTAAAGGATAACAGAGCAAATATTTATACTGATAGTACATATGTTTTGGTGGTTCGTCAATGACTTTGGAGTGCTTTAAAAACAAAGATTTCCTGACCGCTTCAGGAACCTCTACGAAATGAATGGCAAATTAAAGTATCTTAAGATGCCATGTAACCAGACACCACCTGTACCCCCAATAACCTATGGGGAAAATTTTTAAATTAAAATTTTAAATAATAATTATAATCTTGAGATGCTTCACTGTTACCAAAGGAAATAGCCATAATTAAAGTGGAGTCCAGCAAAAAGTCTTCATGGTATTACCCACAATAGTAGAGATACATTGATAATGATGCTGAACCAATGTTGGTGGGGCAATTTTAGGGTTATTGCCAAGGATGTATGTCCTGCCTACCTGTCAATGACCCAATCCTGGCAAAACTTTAAGGGTAGAACATGAACTGGAGCCCAGTCTTGGAGTTCTGTTGAACACCTCTAAATGGACTATGAGTACATTAGGGTTATTTATTCTTAAGGGGTTTAGGGGTTCTCCTTGCCGGAGACCTATTACTGTAATAGTAGAAAAGAATTTATTAATTTTGTATTCCTGAATGTGAAATCTCAATGTTTATCTCCAGTAAGAGGACACACATTTCACTGATATTAAATAACTGTAAAGCTTTACCTTTTTAGAAACTCCGCTATCTTTTTGCATCCACAAATTTCAGGAAAGATAAAGAGAACTAATAGAATTCTAAAAAATAGCTTTCAAAGTTCTCTAACTTCCATCTAACTTCCAAAGCCCAAAGTACTTCTATTTGCCTTGATGGCAATAAGGTCAGTCCATTCTAAGGCCCATAAGTTATCTCCTTCTGAGTTAATAACAGGCTTCCTCATGTATTTGTGAATTACTTCCAATACTAGATGCTACTAATATAAGCTGTTATCACTAATTGCTGCAGGAGACTTCTAAGATTAACTCCTGCTTTATCAACAACAGATGGAAGCTGCATTCTCAAAGCACCCACCTAAGCAGCTTCTGAAGTTAGAGATTTGGTCTTCTGAAAAAGCATTAGAAAACAATTTCCCTTGAGCCTCAATGCAAGAAAAAAAAATGTCAGGTACTATCAACAACTGACCCAGGAGTAAAACTAGAAGACATTGATCCCTGGATTCATATTACACAACTAAAAAGACATGCATCATTTTCTCCTGGCTACCGGACATCCCATACTATTGGAAGACCTCAAACTGAAGATTCCTGGGACTTCCCCAGAAGCTGCTTACTGCAGAAATGGGCAGTTTATACCCAAGACAACAGGACAAGATTAATTTCTGATTCCTTGGCATCTCTTACCCTACCACTAATCTTGCTTATTGCATTTTGACACCCTTGATTAACTAACAAATTGATTTCTCGGGGAGATAACCCTTATCTTCATCCTGTTACTTTTGACTCCCTATGTTCTACTACTTAAAGTAAACATTATTTGGCCAGGTGCAGTGGGTCATACCTGTAATTCCAGCACTTTAGAAAGCCAAGGTGGGAAGATCACTTGAGACCAGGAGTCTAACTAACGTAGGCAATGTAGCAAGACCCCCATCTCTAAAAACAATAAAAAATTAGCTGGGCATGGTGGCACGTATCTGGAGTCCCAGCTACTCAGGAGGCTGAGGCAAGAGGGTCCTTGAAGCTCAGGAGTCCAAGACTGCAGTGAGCTGTGATCGTGCCAATGGGCAACAAAGTGAAACCCAATCTAAAAAAGAAAGAGAGAAAGGGAGAAGAGAGAAAGAGAAAGGAAAGGAAAGGAGGGGAAAGGGGAAAGGGAAAGAGAAAGGAAAGGGAAGGAAAAAAAGAAAAGAAAAGAGACACTTTCTGGAGTGTTTTTCTCAAACCGTAGCTACTGCTTTTAAGGAATTGTTGACAAAATTTAATAACTGTGCTTTCATAGACTTCATCAAGTAGATTTTCTTCTGTAGGTCACTTCTGGTACTTAAGCATTCCCCACAAAGTTCATCCCAAACCTCAGTCTTCTAAAAATTGGACCTTGACCTACACTTCAACAGAATGTTTCCCTGAAGTCATTACAATCCTATGAGAAAAACCTAGCCCTTCAGGAATAGAAACTAATATTGGGGCTATTCTTTATACACTACTCAGGTCATTCTCTTCCAAAACATTCCAGCCTGCTTTGGAGAAACCTGTTTAACTTCATCCAAGAAATCTGCTTATCCTGAGGGAAAGAAAGTTGGCTTGTCCCTGATGTGCTAAATAGCCCTTATCCTCCCAATGCAGTCTGTACTCCCCTAGGGTACTACTTATTTATGGGAACATCTGGCTTGCCCACTAACTTACCCTTTATATTGAAGCTAATTGTTAGAGACCCTCCAGTGCTTAAAATTACCACCCCTCCAGTAGACTGTGTTTCTTTGAAAAGAACACCCAGAAACCAACAAAATGAAGCAAGCACACAATCACAGACTACTTGGGAGAACTCCCAGGAGGGATAACTGACTCATTTTTCATGTGTACTCTGTGAATGAAATTCCTACAACAAAGATAATACAACAGAAAGAGATCAGATCCAAGAGAGGTATTTGACCTTAGCAGACCCCATAGATAGCAAAACTTCTGCTATAGCAGCTCAGAAAACCACTTAAATTTGAATTCCTTAGCCAGAGTTTTCATGGATAATTATATAACCCTTGATTTCTTCTTAGCTGGCCAAGGAGGAGTTTGTATTTAGCAACACTTGTCACCATACTCACATACTACTGGGCCAGTAGAACATACTACAGAGTCAGTAGAACATGAGTAAACTGAAAAGAGAAAATCCTCCTGGCTCCCTAAAAACAGACTCAGCTGGATTCTGGGGCATGTTTTCATTGCCAGGACTTTATAATCTGGGTCCCTGTCTTCAAGACTTTTTACAAAGATGGATAATCATTTTGTTTCTGGTAATTGCTTCTTTTGCACTTGGTCAACGTATCCTATCCACAGCCCTAGTTTCTGCACAGCCATTGTCATATCATATGATTCAACAAATCCTACAACAGAAGGCGGAATTAACCCAACTACAGACTGCATCCTCCAGATCAGCATAAATTTAGCAATAGTGAAAATCTGAATATCATAGATTAATGGTCCTGTGGCCTGACTTTGTCTACCCTTGACCAACTGGAGGACTCACTAAATAAATCTAGGGTGCCTGGGAACTGGTCTGACACAGGTAACTAAGCCTCAGGGTTGTCACATGCTGGCCTGGCATTCACCATCATCCCTCAATATTCTCCTGTTGAGCATAAATAATCTCACAGAACACCGACATCACACATGGTCTTTCTGTGACTGAAGAAACGAGACATGACAAGACCATTTCATAACCTTGCCTAAGCACAGACAAAAACAACGTTACTGTGCACATCAAACACCCTCCTTTTCCAGTTAATTTGATGGCTGTTTTTTTAAATCAATTATAGCTCTACCATCACTGTGGTTTGTTTTTTTTTTTTTTTTTGCTGTCACCTAGGCTGGAGTGCAGTGGCACGATCATGGCTTACTGCAGCCTCGACTTCACCAGCTCCAGTGATCCTCTCACCTCAGCCTCCTGAGTAGCTGGAACAACAGGTGTGTGCCACCGTGCTCAGCTAATTTTTTTTTTTTTGGTAGAGATGGAGTTTCGCCATGGTTCCCAGGCTGGTCCTGAACTCCTGGGCTCAAGCAGTCCACCCGCCTTGGCCTCCCAAAGTGCTGGGGTTACAGGCTTGAGCCACTGTGCCCAGCCCATCACTGTATTCTTTTCCTCTGAATAAAATTTATTAAGATGCCCAATCATAGAATTACTCCCTCATCTTGACAGCATCCAATACACAGAAAAGCACTGGCCTTTAAAACTTGCCCCCTAAAATCACCTAACACAAGGCAAATCCTATAACTCCTAGTAACATCCCAATATGGAGATCTCTCATGATCTCCCATGGTGTGCGTTCTCCCTTGTTGCAATGAATAGTGAAACCAACACTGGGTTGCTAGAGAACATTGACACATTAAACTAAAGGAAGCAATTATGTAAGTTCTAGTTCTACCCTGGTTTTAATTTTTTATCTTTTTTTAGGCATAAGGTCTTACTATTGCCCAGGCTGGACTCAAACTCTTAGGCTCAAGCAATCCTCCCACTCAGCCTCTTGAGTAGTTGGGACTACAGGCACATACCTACACACAGCTTGCCAGTTTTAAACTTCCCATGAGTGGAATGTATTCCTAGTTACCAGAATCCTGGTTTCTGTCCTGAAGCACAGTACCTCCTGATCAAAGGTTTACTGAGTACTTTCTAGGTTCCAGGCACTGTACTAGGAAACAGGAATGTTGCCTGCTGGTACCAACCTACTATGGCCAAGCAAGTGCTCCTAATGATGTTTCCCTCTAGTAGCAGCAGGTATTAAGATGCTGCTGCCAAAAGGAGCTGAGGGTCCTGAGAATGGGAAAAGATAGGTGGAGGCCCATATGGAACATGAGACCTACCCATATACTTTGAACAGAGGATCCTATACCTGGGACTCATGGTGCAGGTTCCTGGCTATCAATCCCCATAGCAGGACTGCACCAAATGAGTACATAAAAACGCCAGACAACTCAAAATGGAGCAGATTCCTGCTGCCCCACATCTAACTTGCCCACAGGCCCAAGAGACTGCTCAGACTAGAATTGCCTCTCTCGTGGTGCAGCCCTTTCTTCATCTAGGGGCCAAAAGGCAATGAAAGAAGGAGCAAGGGCAGCATGCCCTCCTTTCCCCCTCCTACATCCATTGTTATTGCTGCCACCTTCTTCTCCTCCTCCTCCTTTTGCTTCTCTTCCTCCCCTCCTTGTCTTTCTTCTTCTTTTCTCTCTGTTTCTGGATAAACAAAGATGATAGATGAAAAAACCTGTCAGTTATAGAAAAAAATCTTAATTGAGGTTTGAGAAGGCAAGCATAAGACAAAAGGCAGACGACAGGAAAAAGTGAAGGAACTGGTCATTAAAACCATAAAACACTGTAGCATGTGCACACTGCTACAGAGTCTGCATTTGCTATGTTCCCACATATCCCCCATTGCTCACGCTTTTATTTGATTAAGTTTCCTGATCAAATGTCAGAGGTCTTCTCTGATCATCCAGTCTAAGATATAAAACAGCAGACATACCCGACATACTCCATCATTCTCCAACCCATGACTCTGCTTTATTCCTACACCTATTATTAGCTGACATTACATATGTTTGTCTATATTCTGTCTCCACCCACTAGAATGTAAGTGTCATGAAAGCAGGGAGCCTGTCTTTTTCACTTTAGCTCTAACGCCTGGAATTATGCCTGATGTATAGTTGCCCTCAATGTTTGTCCAATGAATAAATACATAAATGCCCTTTTGGTACTCCTCTCATAAAAGAGATTTAAAGAGAAAAAGAGGCATTCTCCTCCCCCACTTTACCTTAAATGTCTGGAAAATCCAGGCACTTTGAGGGCTCTAAGACTTTGGTGGTGGTACCCAGAGATTTCCCAAGGCAGCTTGGACATCCACAGAAGAACATAAGGTCTGTCAGGCAAGAGCAGAAGCACCTGTAGAGGCTAATGGAGGAATTAGTGCTTCAGAGATAAAACCACACATGAGAAACCTCAGTCATGCCCAGCGGAGGCCAGTGTACCTGCAGGAGAGGCTGTCCACTGCTGGGCGGGTGGATCACCTGAGGTCAGGAGTACAAGACCAGCCTGGCCAACATGGCGAAACCCCATCTCTACTAAAAACACAAAAATTAGCCAGGTTTGGTGGCATGCACCTGTAGTCCCAGCTACTGGGGGGCTGAGGCAGGAGAATTGCTTGAACCCAGGAGGTGGAGGTTACAGTGAGCAGAGATCGCACCACTGCACTCCAGCCTGAGCAACAGAGCAAGACTCCATTCCAAAAACAAAACAAAAGAAAAACCTCATATGTGGAAGGCCTAACCCCCAGTGTAATGGTATTTGTAAGTGGGACCTTTGGGAGATAATTAGATATAAATGAGGTCATAAGGGTAGAGTCCCAGTGATGGGATTAGTGCCCTTTTAAGAAGAGGAGAGAGAGATTGCTCTCTCTTCACCATGTAAAGACATAGCAAGAGGGTAGCCCTCTACAAGCCAGGAAGAGGGCCCTCGCCAGACACTGAGTCTGCTAGTGCCCTGATCTTACACTTCCCAGCCTCTAGAGCTATGAGAAATAAATGTTTAAGCCACCCAGTCTAAGGAATTTTGTTATGGCAGCCTATGTTGAATACAACAAACTGACAACTCCCAGAAATATGTGAAGGCAGGTCTGACATTCATCTGGTGTGCACGAATGCTGTTCTGGTTGTTAAAATACTGAGATACTTTCATATTCATTGGTAAATAGCCAATGCCCCCAAGCACCCTTCCCCTCTTCACCCCCATTACCTTCTACCCAGACCTCCCCAGGATCCAAAAACTAAAGGGTTAATGCCTGGTACGGCTTGAGCCCCTGTTTTGATTGGTCCATGCACTTGTCATTCCAGGTGCTAAATATTTTTAATATCACCACTACCTGGAGTAAAGGAGAGATGAGGCCCTATTTGAAGAAGAACCAGAGCCAATGAACTGGAAGATTACTTTTATGTGTTTGTTTGTTTGTTTGTTTGTTTGAGACGGAGTCTCGCTCTGTCGTCCAGGCTGGAGTGCAGTAGCGCGATCTCGGCTCACTGCAAGCTCCGCCTCCCGGGTTCACCCCATTCTCCGGCCTTAGCCTCCCGAGTAGCTGGGACTACAGGCGCCCACCACCATGCCCGGCTAATTTTTGTATTTTTAGTAGAGACGGAGTTTCACTATGTTGGCCAGGCTGGTCTCAAACTCCTGACCTCATGATCTGCCTGCCTTGGCCTCCCAAAGTGCTAAGATTACAAGCATGAGCCACCGTGCCCGGCCGAGAGGTTACTATTAACATAGACTTACCTGAAGCCAAAGTGCAGGTTCTGGTGACATTTTTTAATTTGTAAAAACATTATGGGCTGGGCGCTGTGGGTCACGCCGGTAATCCCAACACTGTGGGAGGCCCAGGCGGGTGGATCACCTGAGGTCAGGCATTCAAGACGAGCCTGGTCAACATGGCAAAACCCCTCCTCTACTAAAAATACAAAAATTAGCAGGGCATGTGACATATGCCTATAATCCCAGCTACTCAGGAGGCTGAGGCAGGAGAATTGCTTGAACCCGGGAGGCGGAGGTTGCAGTGATCAGAGGTCGTGCCATTGCACTCCAGTCTGGGCAACAGAACAAGCCTGCATCTCAAAAAAAAAAATTATGAAACTCCAGCTTACTGGAGCTGTGCTAAGGGCAACCCAGGGAAGGAGTCTCTGAGGACCCTTGAACATGGACCAGCATGGCAGTGACAGGAGTCATCAAATTGAGCCTACTACCTGTGAAAGATGAAGCTCAGGGGGCCACTGGGAACTGCAGAGTCAGCTGGCTGTCTCTTGTCAAAAGATTCTGCTTTCAAACCCAAGCCTTGAAGGTTCAGGATTTTTTTTTTTTTTTGAATGGGAAAAGAGGGTGTAGAGGCAAATAACCTGAGAAAGTCAGGTTCCAACAGCTATCCAGATTACGTTTCTCCGTAACCCCTTTCCAATCCTAAGGTTCTGCCGTGTTACCATGGCGGGTCCAGGTCTGTCCTAAGTCTCCAAAGGCATTTACTTGTGAAAATAAATGAAGACTAATCAAATGAGAACAAGCAAAGTCTATTTATTCTGAACTTGCTGTAGCAAGGGAGTCAGCCACTGTTATTTGTGTTTTGGCAGACTCAAAGGCAGGCAGAGGAGTGGGAAAATCTTATAGTGGAAAAGAAAGGAAGGCTTCAGGTGTGCCCTGATTGGAGGCTGTTGGCACAGGAAGCTGTTGGAGGGCTAACTGGAAACTGGGCATCTTACAGGAGTTGTTTGGGGGGGAATATCTGGTTTTCTCTGGTTAGTCCTAAGTTGCAAGCAAAGACAAAACTTAGGGAAGCTGTCAAGTTATTAAAGTCCTAGCCATTTGGGGCTGATTATTATAAGGATTATTGTTTGGCTTCTTAGATTTTTATTAGAGACGGCAATCTGGCTTCCTACAAGTCTGGCATAGCAGGCTAGCTTCCTGGACTGGTTATTGTAGATATGGGTTGATTTCCTGGGAAGATTACTACTGGTTGTGGATCAAAGTTCTGCTTTTTTAAAATAGAGACAGGATCTTGCTCTGTTACCCAGGCTGGACTGCAGTGGCATGGTCATAGCTCACTGCAGCCCCAAACTCCTCGTCTCAAGCAATCCTCCCACCTTGACCTCCCAAAGGGCTGAGATTAAAAGCATGAGCCACCACATGCAGCTGAGGGTTCTATTCTTATATGTGATCTGGCTGTTATTAGTTTGTATATTCAGTCAAATATACAAATACTCAACAAATATTTATTAAGTAGCTACTAAATGCCAGTCACTTTGCCAGATGCTAGAGTAACAGAAATTAAATGACATCTTCCTGCTTTCAGGATTTACAGTCTCATGGGGAGACATAGACAGAGTTTCCCCTTAGAAATCAGTGACCAGGTTTGCTTACATTGGATTCCTAGAATATCTGCCTGGAGGCAACCCTGGGAATATTTTTCATGAAGCCAGTAGTAAAATTATTTTCTTAGCCTGTTCAGAGTGGTATAACAAAATACCATAGACTAGGTGGCTTATAAATGACAGATGTTTATTTCTCACAGTTCTGGAAGCTGGGAAGTCCAAGATCAAGGCACCAGCAGATTCAGTGTCTAACAAGGGCCCGCTTCTTCATAGACAGCCATCTTCTCACTCTACTCTTACATGGCAGAGGGAGGGAGGGAACTCTCTTAGGCTTTTTAAAATAAGGACACTAATCACTTTCTGATACAATCACCTTGGAGTTAGGATTTCAACATATGAATTTTGGAGGAATGCAAATATTCAAACCATAGTAATCATGAATTGAGGAATTTCAGCAATCCTTATAATAAAAACATCTTATGCCTGGTTATTAAAATGTCACTTTAATTGCTGCTGTTCTCTGTAGTGTATGAACCAAGATTGGGATTGGTGGATATGGCAGAGCCATTACTCTCATTGAATGAATTGTTTACCTGAGGTTCCTGCTGTGATTGGATGCAGGAATGACTTTATTCCAAGATAATTCTTCACCAAGGTATAAAGTTAGGTATAGGTAAGGTAGTAATTAGATCAACTGGTGCAGACAATCCCAGTGTCTACAGCTGAAAATACTTAAGCTGTCCAGCAGCTCTTATATTGCAAGTGGACAGTCTGAATGCCAAACTGATGTCTCCTGAGGCTTAGCCTTCCAGAGAGTAACCAGGAATCATTCTTAAAACACATCATCCTTTAAACAAATAGTTGTGTTTCTGAATTACATCAATATGTCACTATATGTCTTAACCCATCCTCCTTAGAAACCAAAGTACACAATGATGTGGAGGAGGACTCTGGTAGAGGAAGGGAGGTCAGAGTAAGGAGGTTGCAACCCCACTCAGATGATGAGTGACAGGAGTGGATAGTGGCACGGACAAGAAAGATGAAAACACAAACTGAAAAGAAACTGCCAGAGAGATAGGAAGAGAACACAAAAAGAGTGGTATTGTAGAATGTAGGTGTCTTAGTCTATTTTGTGCTGCTGTAACAGAATACCACAGACTAGGTTATTTAGAAAGAAAAGAGATTTATTTTGCTCACTATTGTAGAGGCTGGGAAGTCCGAGAGTATAGTGCTAGCACCTGGTGAGGGTCATCCCAAAGAGGATGGACGGAAGGCAGAAGCAAGTGCATGAGGCAGAGAGAGGAAATTAGGCTGAACTCATTGTTTTATCAGAAAGCCAGTCCCAAGATAACTAACTCACTCCTACAATAATGGCATTAATCCATTCGTGAGGTTCTGGAAGCTGGGAAGCCCAAGATCAAGGCACCAGCAGTTTCAGTGTCTAACGAGGGCCTGCTTCCTCATAGACAGCCACCTTCTCACTCCACTCTTACATGGCAGAAGGAGTGAAGGGTGAAGCCTAACCATCTCTTAAAGGTCCCACCTCTTAATACTGTTACTTTTTTATGTGTAAGAGATCTGAATATATTAGTATGCTGAGGAAATAGACCCAAAGGAAGGAAAGAGATTGAAGGTAGAAAACAGGGAGAATTAATAAAAACAGAGAAGATGATGAGTGATTCAGGTGGAGGGATTACTCTTAAATAGGAGAAGTATGTGGCTTTCTCATACAGCAGAAAAAAGAAAGGTGCCAGGCCACAAGCATCTCTCACCTGGACTACTGACACTCTCCTTGTTGGTCTCCTGCTTTCTATTCTTGCCCTTACAATCCGTTCTCCATTCAGTGGCCTAAGTGAGCTCTCAGAATATGTATGGATTCATCTGCTGTTACTTAAATAGCCTCCAATGCTCCCTGTTATGTTCAGAATAAAATCTAAATTTCTTAGCTTTCCCTGTTGCTTGGCCTTTGACTACTTCTCCACCCTAATTCAACACTTCCCTCCCTCTTGCTCAATAACCCTAGTCTCACTGGCCTCCTTTCTGTTTTTCAAGCCAAGACCTTCCCTGCCTCAAGACTTTGCATTTGGTCCCTCAGCCTTGAACATTTTTCTTTCAGCTATTCTCTGAGCTCATAATTCAGACTTCAGCTTGACTTATCTCATGTAAGCTGCCCCTAGTTACTCATCATGATATTCTCTTCATAGCACATTTAGCACCCTGGATTCATTAAACTTATTTTTTTATTTGAGAATGTCTGTTTTTTTCCACTAGAATATAAGCCACAAGAGGTAGAATCTTCATTATTCTTTTTTTTTTTTTTTTACCAAATTATCCCTGATGGCTGGCATATTATGGGAATTCAGAAAATATGTTTTAAATGAATGAATAAGTTGGTAAAAGTGATGAAGGTAGCCAGGGGATTGATCCAAGATCAGGAGTTGCAGAACAAGTGCAATAGCAGGACCAAGAGCAAGAGAAGGGTTAAAGTGATTTAATAGGGAGCCTGGATAGACATTTGTAATATTTTTAGCTGCTCTTCTTATTTCCCATTGAATAGCACTACTGGGATACAGTGCTCCCTGACCCATCACAGAAGGGTCATCCCTCTACCTGTCACCTAACAGTCAAGGCATGGACATGTGACCTAGATTCACCCATTTGAATATTCCCGTCTGTCTGGGGCCAGTAGCATTGGCATCACCTGGGAGCCTTAGAAATGCAGAATCTCAGGGCCCACCGAGATGTACTGAATCTGCATTTTAACAAGATCCCACATGATTCATACATATTAAAGTGTGAAAAGCACTGGCTTAGAACACATTCATACTGGTGGAATTGAGAGTCCAGCAGTAGCAACAGCCAAAGGAGCAAGGAGACATATCCTTATCAATTAGTTCTTATGGCATGCTTAGTCATGGGTCCTGCTCCCCGCCCATCCTTGGTTCTACCAGGACTACTTGGTTCACCAGCTACTCACACAATGCTGTGTAATAAACAATCATAAAATCTCAAGGACCTATAATAAAAAGCATTGTTTCTTGCTTATACACAAGCCAGTTACCTGGGGATATCTGTTTCAGGCTGCAGTGTACAAATTGGCTAGGATATCTTTACCAGTCTTTCATTCTTCTGGGACTAGCAGGTTACCCAGAGAATGCTTCTTTTATGATGGAGGTCCAAAGCTCTCAGGATGAGTGGAAACACAAATGCTTCTAAGGCTACAGGCATACTGTCTCTTCCTCCAATGCTTCAATGTCCAAAGAAAATCATGTGGGAAAATCCAGCATCGTATTTCTCCCATGGAGGTTGATGGAGGATAGGAAATAAATATTTACCGAATGACAAACCTAACACATGCCACCCCTTTTCCAAGCCTGGTTTCCAACTTTCCCACTGGTTCTTGAAACCCCTCAATATGCTTCCAGTAGGTTCCTTTTCTGCTGAAGTTAGCCAGAGTCAGTTTCTATCACTTGAACTCTAAAACTCTCGCTGATTCACAGGAGGAAGTCCAGGTCAAATAAGGAAGGAGGTAGAGCCCAGGGATGCAGCTGTCAGACCTTGGAGAAGGAGCACTTGGAGACTAGAGTGCACAAGATGGCTCAAAAGGGATTAAGGATGAATGGAGAGATGGGAGATTTTGACCAGAAACTAAAATACTGGAGTTTAAATGGCTCAAGGTATGGCTACAGGAATGAGTTCCTGAAACAAGTCTCCCATGTGGTTATGAAAACTCTTAGGATTCTCCAGCAATACACACCAATAGGCTATATAGATGTAGATATATGGATTTATGAGAGGAGATTTACTAGAATTGGCTCATGAGCTTATGGAGGCTGATGAGTTCCACAACAGACCACCTCCATGTTGGAGACCCTGGGATGCTGGTAGCATAGCTCAGTCCAAGTCTAAAGGCCTCAGAACTAGGGAAGCTGATGGTATACCTCTCAGTCTGAGGTGTAAGATCTGAGAACCTGGAGGACTGCTGGTATAAGTTCTGGAGTCCAAAGCTGGAAAACCTGGAGTTCTGTTGTCCAAGGACAGGAGCGGAAGAGTGTATACCCGCTGAAGCAGATAGATAGATACATTAGCCTTTCCTCTGTTTTTGTTCTCTCAGGTCCCCCGGCCAATTAGATGGTACCTGCCCACATTGAAGGCAGATCTCCACCTAGTCTACTCAGATTCATACTCTAATCATTTCTGGAAACACCCTCACAGATATACCCCCAGAATAATGCTTTACCAATTTTCTAGGCATTCCTTAATCTACTCAAAGTGACACCTAAGATTAACCATCACAAATGGGGATGAAGTCTGGATTAGCGAGGTGAGTCAAATGCCACATTCTACCTGCACACTATACAGATAAGTGACAAGAGGGTCATATGGTTATCAAAGGGACAGGAGGGAAGAGAAGAGTAAGGTTTTTTGAGTGCTAGGCACTATAATGGGTATTTTACAATCATCGCTTCCTGTAATCTTGACAAAAATTGTCCAATGTATTTTACAGGTGAGGAAACCAAGGCTCATATTAAGTTAAATAATTTGCCCAGTGTAACCCAGCCAGTAAAAGGGGGTGCAGTGGAGATTCAAGTCCAGCCTGACTACAAAGTCTGTGCAGCTTCCCATTAAACCAAACAGTGTAGAAGCTTCCAGTGGGTCAGTGGGAGCAGGCAAGTCTAAGTGCTGGTTCTGTTGTATAATAAGTAGAACATGGGAACATGTCAACCTGCCCTGCAGAGGTTGCAAGGACAGTTGTGTCCTCAGGGGAAAGAGAGGTGTCAGTTAAGGATGGGATAAGGTGAAAGGCTATTTAGGCAGGGAAGTTTGCCTACAATTGCAACACAAGTTTGGAGAAAGGAGGTCAGCAGTGGAAGATGAGCCCAAGAGAAAGACTTGCAGAAATAGGGAGATGAAAGCCTTTCAGTGAGAGGAAATGGGGGGAGCTTGCATTTTTATATGGCTGAAGATGAAGAAATGTAGAGGCATGGAATTGGTTTGCATCAAAGACCAAGACCATTCTCTACAGGGGAGCAAGAGTGATCCCACTAAATCATTAAACAGAGCATTTCATGTCTCTATTCAAAATGCTACAAGGGTTTTCAACCACACTCACAATAAAATTCAGAGTCCTAACCAAAGCCTACAGGAGCCTACATGATCTGGCTTCCATTGAAATACCTCCAGATCTAAACTCCTACTCATGCCCCTTGCTTACCCCACTCCAGCCATGCTGGCTTCCTCACTGTTCCTCAACGTGCAGAGCAAACTGCCGCCTCAGGGCCCTTGCATGGGCTGTTCTCACTGCCTAGAACATATTCCAGAGTCTCTGCCCTACTAGAGGCCTTCTCTGATAACCCAACATACCCATGCCCTTGCCCATGTCTTATTTTTTCTTTGCACTTATTACCACCCAAATTTATTTATTTAGTTATTGTTTGTCTCACTTCCCACCATGAGAATGCAAGCTCCATGAGAAGCGATTTTTGTCTTTTTGTTTGATTGTTTGTTTGTTTATTTTAGAAAATGATGTTTATTTTCCACCAGCCTTATTTCCATGTTGCTTAAGAGCCTGTGGAAGAACAGCTTTAAGCCCATTCAGTGGTTGTTCCTATGTATTCAGTGGCCTGAGCAGTGGGAGCTGCAGACCAGTCTTCCGTGGCAGGCTAAGCACTCTAGTCTTCAGTAGGCAACTTCTGAATAGGCACAGAGGGCAGCTGCATGCCTTCAGACCAGCCTGCAACCTCAGGCTGAGCAGCAGTGAACTCAGGAGCTAGAGCAGTCCATTCAACCTGAAATTCCTCATTGGTCACAGCTTTTTCAGCAGCAGCCTGCTCTTCCTTCTCAAACTCTTCAGGATCTCTGTAGAAGTAAAGATCAGGCATGACCTTCCATGGGTGTTCATGGGAGATGGTGTCACGCATGCTCAGAACTTCCTGGGCCAGCCTCCACCACATCAGACCCACTGAGTGAACTCTCTTGTTGCAAGGAATGCCATTGTCTACATAGTGCAAAGAAGAATGTGTTACACAGAACAATGATAGGCAGGTTAACATAAGATGCCTCTGAGAGGCTGGTGGTCAGCCCTAGGATCAGTAAACACCCGAAGATGTGGCTCCCGGAAGGCTGCCAGTGGATCTGGTTAGTGAAGGTTTCAGAAATGAAGTGGCCGGCAATTGGAATGGCTCCCGTGGCAGCAGCAAACTTCAGGATGGCCTGCTGGCCAGGATTCCTGGAGGATATGACACTGACATCAGTAGGGTTTTCAATGGCATGAGCTGCCAGCAGAAGCCTCTCCCAGGTCCTCTTCAGATTTATGATGTAGATGCCATCACTTTTCCTTTTATAGATGTGCTGTTCCATTTGGAAGTCAAGGTTGGTGCCACCTAAATGGGTTCCTGCTGCAAGGAACTTGATGACATCCTCCTCTTTCATTTGCAGAACATTAAGGACTCCAGACATTGTGAACATTTTCCTTTAAGTTATGATGGCAATCCAGAACAACACTGTATGGACCCCTCTCTAGGTAGTGTGAAAAGGGATTTGGTGTGTTTTTTGTATTACTGCATGCCTAGTCCCTAAAAAAGCCTCTGGCATATAAGGAGGTGCTTGGTTAACATTGTCGAAAGAAATAAATGGACTTCAAATTGAACTGGCTGATCAAAAGATTCTGAATAGAACACTGGAATAAATGTGGTTTCACTGGAGCTGATATAGATGTCTGCCTATTGGAGAACTTTTAATTTCCTCTCCCAGTTGGCTTCTGGGGGCATTAGGTGGGCAGAAAGTGAAGGGCATTTCCAGGTGCTTGAGTGGGTGGCAGGGAAACTGATTATAACCTGCCATTGACTCCTGGTGGCAAAGTCTTCCTTAGGATGAGTCATTTCCACTAAGGGCTAAGTTGATCCAATAATAGCTTCATTTTTATAATGATTTTATAATCAGAAAAAATTATAAAAGTTAATATATGGCATATGTAGAGAGAAATCTTGTGAGTTTTTTTGTTGGTTGGTTTGTTTGTTTTTTGAGATAGAGTCTCACTCTTATCTCCCAGGTTGGAGTGCAGTGGCACTATCCCAGCTCACTACAACCTCTGCCTCCCAGGTTCAAGTGATTCTCCTGCCTCAGCCTCCCAAGTAGCTGGGATTACAGGCACCTGCCACCACTCCCAGCTAATTTTTGTATTTTTAGTACAGACGGGGTTTCACCATGTTAGCCAGGCTGGTCTCGAACTCCCAACCTCAGGTGATCCGCCCGCCTCAGCCTCCCAAAGTGCTGGGATTACAGGTGTGAGCCAGGGATGTTGTTTTATATATCTATATGTGTATGTATATATTTGTGTATGTATAGCTAGATAGGCAGCTAGATAGACGTAATATATTTAGTATACAATGAACCAGTGAGCACAACATGAAATATGCAATAAGTTCCCATTCCTGTGAGTCCAAAATTGCTGTCTCATCCATGGTGTAATGGGACCCCATGATCTCAGCTCACTTATCTTCTCAAGGCGTTGTTGCTATCATCACTGGTTCACAGCTGGATGCTGTTGTCAGCAATTGTTATGTAACAGAGGTGGTAGTGAGCTCAAATTTAGTGAAAGGAAGTTCATAATTTTTAGTTCATATATAGTATCCATCCCTGCCACCAGGGCCACTTTGTTAAGGTGCCCATTTGAGCAGGCTCTGGGGTGTATTGTAGGCAACTGCTCCCAAGTTCCCTAGAAATTTTGGAATTTCTCCACCGGGTTCCATGAGCTATTCATTTCCTTGCCCCAGTTAGAAATTGGAGTGTAATTGCCTCTTGTCTTATCTTGGCCTGATAATCAATTCAAAATACACCATATTTCTTTGAGGGCCTTTTGCTTAGAACACACTCTCAGATACCAATTTCTGTTCCAATTAGTGTTCTTTGGTTGTAGGCAATAGAATTACTCCTCTGGTCAACTTAATTTTTTAAAAAATTTATTGGAAAGATGTACTCTAGCTCCCATGAGTACCCAGTAATCTCACAGAGTTGTGAAAGCTAATAAATTGTTGTTTTAACACATTAAATTTTCAGGTGGTTTGTTATACATCATCAGATAACAAAAACATCTGCCTTATATAAAATAGTGGAAGAAAGATACAAGGAATATTAAAATGCATAATTGAAAATAAATATTTAATATATATGTGTAATTACATATGCATATGCATAATTTGAGGAATCATAAGATAGCTCCTAAAGTCCTCATTTCTGCAGCTAGGCACAAGTTACAGAACATTACTGAAATGCTGTGATGTCAACATCATGTTCTCTTTTTCTCAGTCTGTGTCTCAGCCAGTTGAGCCATTTTATCCATGGGGTGATCCAAACCATAGGGGTACTGTAGCCTCCCACTAGATTTTATTACTGGATATTCCATTCTTACGGAGTGTTCTAGAGGCTCACCTGTGTTCAGATATATTTTTTCCTCACTCAGTTTTGTGGCAGTATTCCTATTTCCCTTTGATTATCTGGATCAATTACCCCAGCCAAATGGTAATCCCCTTTTGGGCCTGTTAATCCAGGTGCATGAGGAATACAAAATGATCAGGTGACAGTTTCAGTTTCCCATTCAGTGGAGCCCTTGCTTTGTCCCATGGTGGAAACATTAATTCTTTGGGTACAGAAACCTCTAAATCAATACAGCCAAAAATTGAAAGAACAGGAAGCAAACATTTGGTAAGTTGTCCTAGTCCATTTTTGCTGCTATAGCAGAATACCACATACAGGATAATTTATAAGGAAGAGAAATTTATTTGACTCATGGTTCTGGAGGCTGGGAAGTCCAAGAGCAAGGTGCCAGCATCTGGTGAGGGTCATCCTATGCTGGAAGGCATCATATGATGAGGAGACATGCATGCAAGAGGCAGAGAGGGATGGAGGCTGAACTTCATGTTTTTATTGGGAGCCCACTCTCATGATAATTAACCCTCTCCTGCAATAACAGCATTAATCCCTTAATGAGGGTAGAGCTTTCGTGGACTAATTGCCTCTTAAAGGCAACTGCCTAAATCACCTCTTTAATTGCTAAAACATATTTAACAATTAGATTTCCAGCTTGTGAACTTTTGGGGGACACATTTGAACCATAGCATGGGTCATTAGACATAATATTTTAAAATAACACTACCACTTTCACCCCCTTGGTTCCCAGATCCATGAGTTCTGACTGTAGGAGAAACAGCACCATATATTATTAATAGTTACTTGTTCAGACTTTTGAAGCACCCACTCCCCTCGCCTAACTTCCCCAGTTGTCTTCCAGCTGTCTCAGTACCTGAGTTTATTAGGCCATTTAACCATTCTATATACTCAGTTGTTTCTGGGTAATGAGGCACGTGATAAGATCAGCAATTTCTGCATGGGCCAGCCCATTGCCTTGCTTCTTTCTTAGCCAGAAACAATGTTGTACAGAATACCATGGCCAGGAATAAGGTATCCAGTAATTTCAAGGATGGCATTTTTAACAGAAGCATGTTCGTTAAGCAAGCAAGACAAATACATATTTAGAATAAATGTCTATTCTAGTATGGGCAATACATTGACAGGGATCCAATAAAATCAACCTGCCACCAGGTGGCTGGCTGATCTTCTTAGATTATGATACTATATTAGGTGCTTACCATTGGATTTTGCTGCTGAAAGATTGGGTGCTCAGCAAGTGGAAGCTAGGTCGGCCTTGATGATGAGAGACCATAGAATTGAGCACAAGCACAGCCTCTATCTCTGCTGTCATAGCCACTTAGTTCATAAACTCATTGTGCAAGCTGGGCAAAAAGGCTGACTGAAACCCAGAGCAGCTAATCTTGTCTGCTCAATTATTGAGAGTCTCATCCCCTGTGGAGGTTTTCTGGTGAGCATTCATGTTTTACACAAATATCCTCACATTCTGAAACCACACCTCTTTCTCAGACTCCCTTGTCCCCTGCCCTCTGGAGCTGTTTCTCCCAAGTCTCTTGTCTGGCTGGCCAGACAATTAATCACTACTTATTAACTGCTGTACATTCATACTTCTCCTTCCAGGCAAAGAGGAAATAGAATGTACTAATATAAGTTCTGCACATTGGGCAGATTTCTCTTCACCACTGTCTTGAAGGCCCACTCTGAGCAGGGCTCTAATGCTGCTGATTTCATTTCTCGCTACTGACAGAATATTGTCTGGTGCCAGCTATAAACTAGGCTAAGGGTTTTCCTCTTCAGTCAGCTGGCCACAAGGAACAACCCAAGAGTCCAAAGGTGTGGCTTGAGGGATAGGTGGATATGCAATAGAAGTAGAGAACTAGGTTAGTTACTCTGAAATGCATCCAAAAAGCAAGATGAATTTGTGGATACATACAGGAATGAACAGATAATGTGCAAAAATATATATATATATAAGAATATGGGCCAGGCACAGTGACTCACACCTGTAATCAGGAGGATCACCTGAGGTCAGGAGTTTGAGACCAGCCTGGCCAACATCTCTACTAAAAATACAAAAAATTAGATGGGCGTGGTGGCGAACACCTGTAATCCCAGGTATTTGGGAGGCTGAGACAAGAGAATCACTTGAACCCAGGAGGCAGAGGTTGCAGTGAGCCGAGATCGTGCTATTGCACTCCAGCCTCGGCAACAGAGCAAGACTTCATCTCTCTCTCTCTCTCTCTCTCTCTCTCTCTCTCTCTCTCTCTCTCTCTCTATATATATATATATATATATATATATGAATATGTTAATGGTAGAATCTACGTGGTAGGTATATGGATGCTCACTGGACAAGTCTTTTGTTCTGTATGTTTAAAAATTTCTATAGAATGTCAAAAATAAGAGCACTGTAAATACTGAACAACCCCTATTCATTCAACTGAATTGTGCCTCTTAGAGCTGTTCAAGCCCAATTTCATACATACTACTACTGCTTGATGATGAACTCCTGCTAGGCATACTCTATGTCAAGGCATGGTAAATCAGATAATACCCAGTTTATGCTGATAATTCAGATCTCATGGTCATTTAGTGTACTATATTCAGGTGCTCAGTCTCTATCAGCCTCTAGCAAGCCACAGCCTCGCAAGGAGAATAGTGATTTTCCTAATAGAATTTTATTTTGCTCCAAAATCCTAAGGGGCTATGCTGTGATTCTTCTATCTAGGCTTTTTGCAACCTTTATACATCACCCCAATCTGCCACAAATACTTCGAGGACTATTTCATACTTTGGATCATAAAAGCTGGGTGCCAAGCAGCTTCAACAAGCCAGAATTTCTCTTATTCTGCAGTTCATTGAAGTCTGGCCCCCTTACAGTTTACTTAGTCAACGGGCTAAAGTAAAGGTTACTCAGTAAATGCACCATATGTTGCCTCAAAAATCCAGAATAATCTGCCATGTGTTGTACCTTTTTCTTAAAGGTAGGAATGCAGGGTGTTTTTCATTTTACAACTTGTTTTTCATTTTGAAGGTGTCAGCTAATGTTCCCCAGGACATTAGATTCCCAAACATTTCCATGAGGGAACACATTGGAATTCTTGTGGGATTTCACAACCACCTTTCAGCAGGCATGTATCTCATCAGGGAATTGAGAATACCTACTATTTCCTGCTCTCAGTTCCTATCAGAATGAATGTCATCAATATATTGGCTCAAAGTAATATCCAGTAAGACAGTGAGACACTCATGCCCATAGGGACCAAAGTATGACCACCTTAAGCCAAGAAAATAGAGATAGATAAGTGACCCTTACAGGTAAAAGCAATTTCCTCTACTATTATCTGCTTATTAGGAGATAGAAAAAAAGACAATTTCACCTTCCAGGTATGAGGCTCTGGGTTAATTTTTCTCCAGTAAAGAGAATCAGCAACTCTAATTGAAATTACTACCTGATTAAGCTTATAGTAATCCAATAAAATTCTCAAAGACACACACCAAACAGGTGAGTGAAATGGAGATGTGGTAAGAATCACTACTTATAAGTATTTTAAGTGTTTGATGGTACCTCATCACCATAATTCCAAAGGGATATGATATTGTCTTTAGTTTATAACTTTGGTAGGGAGAGGAATCTCCATGTACTTACACTTGGCCCTTTCTACCATAATAGACATGATTCCATGGGTCAGAGAACAATCTTTATTTTTCTACCAGTAGCTGAATATTTCTACTTCCACTATGAACTCCAGAACTAGGAAAATAAACACGGTATGGATATAAGATTCACTGGGCCACTGTGAGAAGAATGCTAGCCCAAAATTCATCACTTAGCTCTCATAAATCCCACCCTGACTGGGGGACGACAGTGGAATTCAGTTTTCTCAGGGATTAAGCTTGCTTTGGACCCAGTAGCTAATCATTCCTGAGAGATCTGAATGTTTGTCTTCCCTGGGGCTCAGTTTCCATGGTAAATAGGCCTGAGTCTTCTTGGGAAACAGGAGGAATAAGAGTTATATATATCTAAGTTACCACAGGGTTCCTCCCCAGGGTTCCTGATCTCTCCTTCATTCAAGGGGTGCTGGGTCATTGAACTGACTCAGAAATGGAAAAAGGGTGAGAGGACATGACTCTTCATTGGGATAGCTTAAGTCAGGACTCTTTCCATACACGTAACAAATTTTTTTCTTCTAGTTTTACAGTTGAGTAGAATCTTAGTGGTCTGTCTATGTATTTTGGCCCTGAGTACCTCAGGTTAGCCACCATCAAAGTTTCCTATGGGTCAGACAATTCTGAGAACCACTCTATCACTGATACCTATTGTGTAGCCATGCTGCCTTTCTCCACTGGTTAAGTGCTACTTCATGGTCTCCGCCACTGTGGGATAGGATCATTTCACCAAAATCCAGGTATACATTTCTATAGCAAAATCCCTCATCCAAATTTTCCTTCTCCATTTCCACTTTTTTACATTTGTACTTTTCCATGTCATGGTGAAAGAAATATTCTCTGAGCCTTTTTGGGTAATTTAATTTGGAAGGGAGTGAGTGAATGACAAATCCACATTTGATAAATCCACTCCAAAATTTCAAAAACATGTCTTTTGATTTCCTTTTTTTTTTTTTTTCGAGACAGAGTTATGTTCTTGTTGCCCACACTGGAGTGCAGTGGCTCGATCTCAGCTCACTGCAACCTCTGCCTCCTGAGTTCAAGCGATTCTCCGGTCTCAGCCTCCTGAGTAGCTGGGATTACAGGCACCAGCCACCATGCCCAGCTAATTTTTTGTATTTTTAGTAGAGACAGGGTTTCACGATGTTGGCCAGGCTGGTCTCAGACTCCTGACCTCAGGTGATCCACCTGCCTCGGCCTCCCAAAGTGCTAGGATTACAGGCGTAAGCCACCACACCCAGCTGATTTCTTTATATCATACTTTGATGTGTTTCTGGTATGAGTTTCTGGAATCTCAATTTCCCATCACATAGGCCACACCAAGTTTTAATCAAACTAAAGAAGCAATTAGGTCCTCTAAAATTAAGTAAATTCAGGCCAATGTAAAAGTGTGTCCCTAATCTCTTAGACTCCATGTCCATATATATATTACCCATGTCTTGTTGAAATAAATTAGCAAAACTTTGCAATTATTTTGCTAAGGTTTAACTTTGTGATTGGTCCCCTGGGACACAGGACAATATGACTGCTTGTATGTTTCAGTACAATGAGCAGGGACAGGAGGGGGATAATGAGAATTGTCATCTGCTGACAAGAAAACTATCTTAGGTGAGATCACAAGAAGGGCTTAAAGTAGGACAGGAACAGGCATATAAGATGGGGTAGGGTAAGGGTGAGAGGGCTTCTGCTATCAAGAGAAACTCACTGGGGTTTGAGGTACTTGGTATCCTCAGATCTTCCCAAATTTCCCCAAATTCTCATGGTGCCATCCTTTCCCAATTGATGCCCTAAGTTTTTACCTAAAAGATCAGGGAGGACTATGAGTTCAACCTATATTAATCCAGCAAGCCAGTTAACCTCAGTCATGTAGGACTACATGGAGAGATTATTTCAGGGCAGTCATAGGAATTCCCTGGTTCTCTAACCATGTCTTCAGGCAAGAATTTAAAACCCTGAAGCTTTAATTTTCTTTCCTTAAGCAGTTAGAAATAGCCCACCCAAGTCACAACCTTTATATTCCTTATGGCCTTCACATCATCTGTCACAGCAGCTACTTTGACTGCCAAGGCATTATCTTCAATATGTACTTCACTCCAGGTATCCACAGATGATAGTTGAAGTAATCGTCCACCACTGTGTACCATGCACTGCCAGCAACCATTCTCTGATGTCAAACAGATTGTCACAGCTTTCAATTGCAACGAAGGCAGATAACCAATCCAACCTCCCCATTTCACTGAAGTACTGTTTACTGCAATCACAGCTGGTAGGGGTTAAGGGCACTTGTTTTAGCCAACAGAATCTACTGTAACATGTTTTAATGAACAGGATTTGTTACAGAATATTATCTTAATAATTTCCAGGCAATTTTGGGTGATGATGCAGCCAGGAGAAACACCCAATCCCACCATGGAGGGTCCCACACCACTACTTTTTACAGACATGAATGAGATTAAGGACAAGACAGTAGGGAGAAACTTCACTACACCTTCTGTGCAAAAAAGTCAAATGCTTCAGTGACTTATCACATAACTCACTTCTAGCAACTAAGTCCTGCACAAGTGCTATTTACTTGGCTGAACTAATTGGAGTCTGGGGTGTTGCTTTTTTAGCTTTACGCCCACTCTTCTTTGGGAAAGTGTGCTTTAAGGGGGATGCCATGGATGTTGAATGCCCCAATCTCCATTCCTGCAACAATCAGAAACACATTTTTCTCACTAAATATACTCCCAGAAGTCTCTCTCACAGAAACAAAAGCAATCACTTATAAGGATCTGTATAAGGGTGTTTATTACAGATGCATTTGTAGTGGCAAAAAATCTACAAAGACCAACACTAAGAACATGGTTGAACTAATCACAGATCATGCACATCTCTGAATATTATGAAAAAGAGGGAAATAGAGTTCTATGAGTTGGAGGGATTTCCGCAGGATGTTGTTGACAGAGAAAATCAAGATGAAGAAAAGTGTATACTATGTGATCTTTTGTTTAAAAAGAAAAAAAAAAAGAAAGAAGAGAAAAGAAAAAACAGGCCGGGCATGGTGGCTCATGCCTGTAATCCTAGCACTTTGGGAGGCCAAGGCGGACGGATCACCTGAGGTCAGGAGTCTGAGACCAGCCTGGCCAACATGATGAAACCCCATCTCTACTAAAAATACAAAAATTAGCTGGGCATGGTGATGCACACCTGTAGTCCCAGCTACTTGGGTGGCTGAGGCAGGAGAAACACTTGAACCCGGAGATGGAGGTTGCAGTGAGCTGAGAGTGCGCCACTGCACTCTAGCCTGGCCAACAGAGTGAGACTCTGTCCCCCAAAATTAAAATAATAATAATAATAATAAATTTAAAAAAAATTAAAAAACAGAAAACCATATGTAATGCTTATAGGCATGTATGATTAAATACATGTAATAAAAATTATAGAAAAATGCACACTAGGTTTAGAACATGGATTATCTGAGGAGATACAGGGTGAAATATGTGTAAGGGAAGCGAGAAGTACACCAAGGCGGTAAAAGAAAGGAAAGAAGATTACATTTGAAAATTATGTGGCATATTCTGGGAAAGTGGCAACAGCAGCAACCACATAGTTTTTCAATCTCTGCAAATCTCTACATAAAAACAGCAGAACTAGATTGCAAAACCAAAGCACATGGAAAATATTTACAACTAGTGTTGCCAGATGTAGCAAAGAAAAATACAGGATGTTCAGTTAAGTGCGAATTTTAAATAAACACTAAATAATTTTTTAGTGGATGTATGTCTCAGATATTACATGGAAATAGAAACGCTAGACCTAAATGGAGAGGGGAATGGAGCCAGAAAATCCCAGAAAGCAAACCACCATATTTTTGAACACTACACAAAAGCAACAGAAGAGGGAGCTCTGTGAAATTAGAAAAGCTCTGTGGAATTCCACCTTATTTTTTCAAAGTACAGGGAAACAGATTTCACACAAAAACAAAAACACAGTAGTATCAAGGTCAAATCACATGCAAAATTATAATAAGAAAAAAGAAAATGGGAAGCTAAATAACATCCCAAGGATAATGAAAGTATGCCAAAAAGACATGCCCACAAAAGAAAGAAAAATTGTAGCCTATTATTTCAAGATGAGCTAAGAGACATTAACAACAACCTAACTCAGAATCAGGAAGCCTCAGAAACAAGGTGACACAGCTCAAGAAAGAATAAGAATAAGAAGAGGAGAAAATCAGTTCATAAATGAATACTAAACCAGAAAGAATACAAGCAAGTAAATGCAACAAGTACCTGTAGAGAAATTTCTAGAAAGTGAAAAAGAGGAAAACTTTTTAAATCAAAAAGAAATGAAGAGAGATCAAAAGGAAAAGAGAAAGGTAAAGTAAATTAAACACACAGGTAATAGAAATTCCTATAAAAGAAAACCAAAGCAAGGGCATAGGACAAATATTAAACTGTATACATTTACTTTAAAAAAAAAAAACACTTTCCTGAAAATAAAAAAGATTCTTAATTGCATATTGAAAGAGCACACCACATAGCTGATAGTATTTTCCCAGAACAGTCAACACCACAGTATATTGCAATTTTAAATCCTACTGGAAACAATATCTGTGCACTTAAATATGTATGCTTATGTGTTTGCACCACATATGATAAAAAAAGTTTTCAAATACAATATTATGTAAAGAAGATAGAGAAACTAAAATTGATTGGTTACAAAATAAAATGTTATTGCTCTATTTATTCTGTGGGATGAAAATTAAGATCTTTCAAACATAGCTTAATCTCTACTTTTAGGAAAATATGAAATTACAAAAGTGGGATTTTACTTGTAAGATTTTCCTTTGCTTTGCTCTTTCTATTTGCAGCATCCACATAAATTCCCACAAGGATAACTGGCTTGAAATTTTAAACATTTATTTTCTTTTATAGAATTTTAGGTATTATAACACTTGCAAATTTAATCCAAGCATATGTTTTGTTGTTGTTTTGTTTGTTTTTTGACGCAGAGTCTCACTCTGTCACCCAGGCAGGAGTGCAGTGGCTCACTGCCACCTCCGCCTCCCAGATTCAAGAGATTCTCCTGCCTCAGCCTCCCAAGTAGCTGGGATTACAGGCGCGTGCCACCACACCCGGCTAATTTTTGTATTTTTAGTGGAGACAGGGTTTCACCATGTAGGCCAGGCTGGTCTTGAACTCCTGACTTCAGGTTATCCACCTGCCTCAGCCTCCCAAAGTGCTGGGATTACAGGCGTGAACCACCGCTCCCGGCCGCATATGTTTTTTAAACGAGGAAATTGACACTTGGGAAGTTTGTGATTTGAAAAATAAAAAGTTTTCCTGGATGGGTTTCACCAAACCTGTAATACCAGAACTTTGGGAGGCTCACACCTGTAATCCAAGCACTCTGGGAGGCCAAGGCAGGTGGATCACTTGAGCCCAGCCTGGCCAATAGAGTGAAACCCGGTCTCTACCAACAAGAAAATACAAAAATTAGCCAAGTGTAGTGGTGCATGACTGTGGTCCCAGCTACTCGGAAGGCTGAGGCATGAGAATTGCTTGAGCCTGGGAGGCAGAGGTTGCAGTGAGCCTAGATCACGAAACTGCCCTCCAGCCTGAGTGGCAGAGCGAGACTCTGTTTCCTGCCCCCCCGACTCCCAAAAAAAAAGTATTAAAAAAAGTTTCCTGTCTGAAAATAAATAAATAGACTTCAGAAAAAAGGGGCCGGGCACAGTGGCTTACGCCTGTAATCCCAGCACTTTGGGAGGCCGAGGCAGGCGGATCACCTGAGGTCAAGAGTTCGAGACAAACCTGGCCAATATGGAGAAACCCGGTCTCTACTAAACACAAAAATTAGCCAGGCGTGGTGGCGGGCGCTTGTAATCCCAGCTACTCAGGAGGCTGAGGCAGGAGAATCGCTTGAACCCCACAGGCAGAGGTTGCAGTGAGCCAAGATCGCGCCACTGCACTCCAGCCTGAGCGACAAAAGTGAAACTCTGTCTACAAAAAAAAAGAAAAGAAAAAGAAAAGAAAGAAAGAAACATTTTCTGGGCACCTAGAAAAAGGCTCATTTGACTCTTAGCGAATAGAAAATTGGATTATCATCAGAATTTTTGACAACAATGCATAATGCCAAAGAAAATAAAAAGAACTAACATATTTAAGACTTTCAAGGAAAGACACAATAATTTTATATCCAGCAAAAATAATTCGCAAGTATAAAGGATATAAACTGTTATCAACATGTAAAAACTCGGGAATATTGTTTTCATGAGCCTTCCTGAGAAATTTATCACAGAATTTCCAACCAGCAAAATAACCAGACTGACATAAATATATCAATATAAGGATACCTGATGGGCATTCTTTTTTTTTTTTTTTTTTTTGAGACATAGTCTCTATTGCCCAGGCTGGACTGCAGTGGCACAATCTCAGCTCACTGCACTGCAACCTCTGCCTCCTGGGTTCAAGCAATTCTTCTGCCTCAGGCTCCCGAGTAGCTGGGATTACAGCATGCGCCACCACGCCCAGCTAATTTTTGTATTTTTAGTAGAGATGGGGTTTCACCATGTTGGCCAGGCTGGTTTCGAACTCCTGACCTCAAATGATCCATCTGCCTCATCCTCCCAAGGTGCTGGGATTACAGGCATGAGCCACCGCACCTGGCCCATTCAATTATAATTACCTGTAGAACTACAAATAAATAAGGGCTAAGAGACAAAAAAAATTGAATATATATATATATATATGACTATGTGGTCTGACAAGACAAATGTAATACAACTTTTTAAAATTTTTTACTTTTTAAACACAGCTTTACTGATATATATTCCACATCATATAGTTTACCCATTTGAAGCATACAATTTAGTGGGTTCTCATATATTTAGAGAGTTGTGCATTAATCACTACAATCAATTTGAAAACATTTTCATGACCCCCAAAAGAAATCCCACACCCCCTAAACCCTTCACCCTTGCCCCCAGCCCTATGTAATCACTACTTTACTTTCTGTCTCTGTAGATTTGCCTACTGTGGATATTTCGTACAAAGGAAATCATATATTATGTGTTTTCTTTGTGGCTGGCTGCTTTCACTTAGCATAATGTTTTCAATATTTATTCATGTTGTAGCATGTATCAGCATTTCACTTTGTTTTTGTGGTTGGACAATATCCCATCATATGGATATACAGTGTTTATTGTTTATCCATTCATCAGTAGATGGGCATTTGGGTTTTTTCTACCTTTTGGCTATTGCAAATCACGCTGCTATAAACGTTTGTATACAAGTTTTTGTGTAGACACAAACATTTCATTTCTCTTGGGTAGATACCTAGGAGTGAAATTGCTGGATTGTAGGGTAAGTCTGTTTAACTTTTTGAAGAACTGCCAGACTATTTTTCAAAGCAGCTGCACCATTTAACATTCCCACCAGCACTGTGTGAAGTTTCCAATTTCTCTACATCCTTTTTTATTAGAGCCATCCTAGTAGGTGTGAAATAGCATCTCATTGTGGTTTTCATTTACATTTCTCTATTGGCTAATGATGTTGAACATTTTTATGTACTTACTGTCCTTTGTACACTTTCTTTCTTTCTCTCTTTCTTCCTTCCTTCCTTCCTTCCTTCCTTCCTTTCTTTCTTTTTCTTTTTTTTGAGATGAAGTCTTGCTCTGTTGCCCAGGCTGGAATGCAGTGGCGTGATCTTGACTCACTGCAACCTCTGCCTCCTGGGTTCAAGCAATTCTCCTGCCTCAGCCTCCCAAGTAGCTGAGATTACAGGCGCACACCACCATGACTGGCTACTTTTTATGTTTTTTTAGTAGAGATGGGGTTTCATCATGTTGGCCAGGCTGGTCTCAAACTCCTGACCTCAGGTGATCCACCTGCCTCGGCCTCCCAAAGTGCTGGGATTACAGGCGTGAGCCACTGCGCCTGGCTCTTTGTACATTTTCTTTCAAGAAATGTCTATTCAGATTTTTTGCCCATTTTTAAATTGGATTATTGTCTTTTATTATTGAGGTGTAATCGTTTCCTATATATTCTAGATATAAGTCCTTTATTAGAGGGATGACTTGCAAATATTTTTCCCATTCTGTGAGTTGCCATTTCATTTTGTTGATGGATGGTATCCTTTGAAGCATGAAAGTTTTTAATTTTAACTTTGCCCAGTTTGTCTATTTTTTCTTTTCTTGCTTGTGCTTTTGATGTCATATCTAAGAAACTGCTGCCTAATCTAAGGTCAAAAAGATTTGCACCTATGTGTTCTTTTAAGAGTTTTATTGTTTTAGCTCTTACATTTTTGTTTTTGATCCATGCTGAGCTAATTTTTGTCTAGGGTGTGAGGTAGGGATCCAACTGCATTCTTTTGCATGTGGGTATCTAGTTGTCCCAATAATACAACTATTTTTAAATGATGAGAGAGAACAGAGAAAATATATGCAAAGTTTAAAATGTTTTCAATAATTATGTCAGTGGGAGTATTAGCACTGTTATTCTGATACTCTTGGGTGGGTAATATGGGATAAAACAAATACACAATTACAACATATTCTAATTCTATCATCCTCAAGAACAAGTATTCTCAGTAGAAAAGAAAGAATACACAGGTATAATAGAGAAGGGGTTAAACAAAAGTCCTATTGATACAAAAACTATCTAACTGTAAATATTAAACTCATGGATTATTTCACTTTGTCCACTAAAAAAAGCATAAAGACAATAACTAATGATGTACCATTGAACATCTCTTAGCACCCAGATTGGGGCCTTGAAGTATTGTTTCTCACTAAAAGAAACCAGGACTTCTCAAGAAATGGGCGTGATACTATGATTTTATGTATATATATATAAAATCTATGTTTTCGTCCACAGTTCCTGTCTCATAACTCCCATAGCCCTTGTTACAGTCTTTTGTTATAATGTTGGGGTGCTTTAGGCCTCAGGAGCAGGCCTCAGGAAACAGAATCTCTCTCACCTTGTCCTGTCCTCCTTTTACCTGCCCAGTCAGGACTCTAATCTGATTAAGGGTCAAAAGGCCCTCAATCCAGAGAGGGTTTCGTCCCATACTTTACCAAGAGGCCAAGAAGAATCCGAACAAACAGACCTTACTGGATTTCCCCACTCAGTCTATTAGTATGAGATCATATCCTTTTTGTCCAATCACATTTCCACACAGTTGTCAATGTAATGAAGCCTCCATAAAAACCCAAAAGGAGAGGATTCAGAGAGCTTCTGGACAGCTGAACAAGTGGAGGTTCCTGGAGGGTGGCATGGCCAGGAAGGGCCTGGAAGCTCTACAACCCTTCAACCATACCTTGCCCTGCAAATCTCTTCATATGCTTCCTTTGTAATATCCTTTATAATAAACTGGTAAATGTGTTTCCCTGAGTTCTGTGAGCCACTCCAGCAAGTTAATCAAGCCCAAAGAGGGGGTCATGGGAACCCCAACTTGAAGCTGGTCAGTCAGAACTTTCAGAGGCCCAAACTTGCAACTAGTGTCTGAAGGAGGGGGCAATCTTGGGGTCTGAGCCCTCGACCTGTGGAATCCGATGTTATCTGCAGGTACATAGAGTCGGAGTTGAATTGGAAGACACCCAGCTGGTGTTCACTGCTTGTAGTTGGGGGAAAACCCCCATATATTTGGTCACAGAAGTCTTCTGTGTTGATTGTTGTGGTGTGAGAGCAGAGGAAAAGCATGGTTTAAGAGTTTACCCAAAGCAATAGTTGATCCCAAGTTTGGGGCAGGAAAAATACAAGATGAACCTGGAGTATCGTGTAATACCAGATTGCAAGCAAGCCATCAAAGACTACTAGAGTTATGTCAAAAGGACTCAGAGGCCAACCTGAGGAGGCTCCCATTGGCCATAGGTCAACAATTTGTTATTTGAATTCTCTTGGTGCAGTTCAGTGTGTTTCCCTAAACTCTGTATTTCCTGCAAATAGCTGATCCAGAGGTGAATTAGACATAGGTTCAATCCCTATGGCAAAACTATGGGTATTGTATGACAGGACTATAGTAGGCACACATTGTCCAGTTGTCACTGAAAAGCTTCAATAATTATAATAGCTGTAATAGCTTGAAACTCATCAAATGTGTCTAAATCTAAGATCAAAGTATCTGATATTTGTTTGAAAAAAGGAATTAGTCACCTTCAAAGGATGATAGGGAACCAATATTTTGCCTTGAAAACTGGTAAATATCTCATTGTGGTTTTGATTTGCATTTCTCTGATGGCCAGTGATGATGAGCATTTTTTCATGTGTCTGTTGGCTGCATAAATGTCTTCTTTTGAGAAGTGTCTGTTCATATCCTTTGCCCACTTTTTGATGGGGTTGTTTGTTTTTTTCTTGTAAATTTGTTTGAGTTCTTTGTAGATGAGTAGATTGCAAAAATTTTCCCCATTCTGTAGGTTGCCTGTTCACTCTGATGGTAGTTTCTTTTGCTGTGCAGAAGCTCTTTAGTTTAATTAGATCCCATTTGTCAATTTTGGCTTTTGTTGCCATTGCTTTTTGTGTTTTAGACATGAAGTTCTTGCCCATGCCTATGTCATCATTCTCAGCAAACTATTGCAAGGACAAAAAGCCAAACACCGCATGTTCTCACTCATAGGTGGGAATTGAACAATGAGAACACTTGGACACAGGAAGGGGAACATCACACACCGGGGCCTGTTGTGGGGTGCGGGGAGCGGGGAGGGAGAGCATTAGGAGATATACCTAATGTAAATGATGAGTTAATGGGTGCAGCACACCAACATGGCACATGTATACATATGTAACAAACCTGCACGTTGTGCACCTGTACCCTAGAACTTAAAGTATAATAAAATATATATATATATAAAAAAAAAGAAAACTGGTAAATAAAAGGAATAAATAGAACATTTATCCTGCTCTTTCAGTCCACTTGGGCTGCTATAACAAGACACTATAAACTGGGTGGCTAATAAACAATAGAAGGCCAGGCGCAGTAGCTCACGCCTGTAATCTCAACATTTTGGGAGGCCGAGGCAGGAGGATCGCTTGAGGCCAGAAGTTTGAGACCAACCTGGACAACCTGGTGAGACCCTATCTCTACAAACAAAGAAAACATTAGCTGAGAATGGTGGCCTCGGCCTGTAGTGCCAGCTACTTGGGAGGCTGAGGTGGGAGGATCACTTGAGCCCAGGAGTTCCAGGCTACAGTGAGCTATGGTTGTGCCACTGCACTTCAGCCTGGATGACAGAACGAGACTCTGTCTCTAAAAAATAAATAGGTCAGGCGTGGTGGCTCAGGTCTGCAATCCCAGCACTTTGGGAGGCTGAGGTGGGCAGATCACGAGGTCAGGAGTTCGAGACCAGCCTGGCCAACATGGTGAAACCCCATCTCTACTAAAAATACAAAAATTATCTGGGTGTGGTGGCGTGTGCCTATAGTCCCAGTTACTCAGGAGACTGAGGCAGGAGAATCACTTGAACCCGGGAGGCGGACATTGCAGTGAGCTGAGATTGTGCCACTGCACTCCAGCCTGGATGACAGAGAGAGACTCAGTCTCAAAAATAAATTAATTAATTAATTTAATTAAATAAAGAAATAAATAAACAACAGAATTTTATTTCTCACCATTCTAGAGTCTGGAAAGACCAAGATCAGGATGTCATCATGGTTGGATTCTGCTGAGGGCCCACCTCTGGATTCATAGAATGGCACCTTCTTGCTGTGTCCTCACATGGTCTAAGGGACTAAAAGCCCTCATGGCCTGACCACCTCCCAGTGGTCACACCTCCTAATACCATCACTTTGGGGGTTAGGATTTCAATATATGAATTCCGGGGAGACATAGACATTTAGACTATAGTACCTGCCTTTTCTATATGAACTTTACTCCTGGAAAACAAAACAGTAGATGAGAGAATGTGTGTTTTTATGAAAGTATTCCAACTCAAATAAAACAGAAATGATAGAATATCAGCAGTTGACAACTCTGCAGTGAATGATAGATACTGACACTTTGCAGCTATTAAGATCATTAAAAAATGACAACAGGACAATCTGTGCCTCCTACAGTCCTGCCATACAGTGTCCATAGTTTTGTCAAAGGGATCGAACCTGTATCTAATCCACCTCTGGATCACCTGTCTATTTACAGGAAATACAGAGGACAGAGAAACACATTGAACTGTACCAAGAGAATTCAAATAATGAAATCCAGACTGTGGGAGAGTACAGGTCACAAAGCTTGTATGCAAAATAAAGGGTGGAGGAGGAACCCACAGATTCAAAGATACTTAAAAAGATATATCTTCTAATGGGCAAGAGCAAACTACAGTGTCTATGGATGCACATTCCTGTCATAAAACTAAAGGAAAACTTCAAGGAAGCAATCACTATAAAAGTTAGGATGGCTGGGCACGGTGGCTCATACCTGCAGTCCCAGCACTTTAGGAGGCCAAAGCAGGAGGATCGCTTGAGGCCAGAAATATGAGACCAGCCTGGGCAACATAGCAATATCTCATCTCTAGAAAAAAATTAAAAATTAAAAATTAACCGAGGACCGGGCATGGTGGCTCATGCCTGTAATCCCAGCACTTTGGGAGGCTGAGGCGGATGGTTCATGTGAGATCAGAAGTTCGAGACCAGCCTGGCCAACATGGTGAAACCCCGTCTCTACTAAAAATACAAAAATTAGCCAGGCTTGGTGGCACATGCCTGTAATCCCAGCTACTTGAGAGGCTGAGGTAGGAGAATGCTTGAACCTGGGAGGCGGAGGTTGCAGTGAGCCAAGATCGTACCATTGCATTCCAGCCTGGGCAACAAGAGCGAAACTCCATCTCAAACAAACAAAAAAATTTAACTGAGAATGGTGGCATGGGCCTGTGGTCTTAGCTACTCAGGAGGCTGAGGCAGGAGGATCACTTTAGCCTAGGACGTGGAGGCTGCCGTGAGCCATGATCTTGCTATTGCGCTTCAGCCTGGGTGACAGAGAGAGACTCTGTGTCTAAAATAAATAAATAAATAAATAAATAAAACAAATCAGGATGTTATTTAGGGGAGGAGGAGAGATTGTGGTTGGGATGGGTTACACTGAAGGGGCTTTCAGAGTGGCTGGCAAAGTTCTATTTTTTAAAAAATCTGGGTGGTATTCACCTTAAAATAATTCATTAAACCAGGCATTTGATTTGTGTGATATTCTATTGTGATGTTTTATTTTATAATAAAAATTAAAATATTTATAATACAAATATCTTTAAAATATGTTTTATTAAAATGTTAAATCAAAATCAATTAAATCAAGTTCTCTGGAGGTGGGACCCAGGCATCAATATTCTTTAAAGCTCTCTGGTGATTCTAAAGTGCAGCCAAGTTTGAAAGCCAGCGTGTAAGAGAAATGGCACTTCACTGTGCTCCGTATCAGGGGATTGGGTTCTAGTCTTCACGTAGCCACCCATCCAGCTGTGTGACCAGGAACAGGGGGTTTAACCTCTCTGGCCCATAGTGGCCCATCTGTTACATGGTGAAAACAATTGATCTACCCAAAGTTGGGATTAGACAGGTTGACTTTTGAAGTCCCTGTGAGTTTCAGAACCTGGTAATCTAAGAAAAGGAAATAGAATTGTATTAGAATAATTCAATTGTATAAAACTTTTTAATAATTGTATGTATAATACGATCATGCGTATGCATCCACATGAAAAGTGTGTGTGTGTGTGTGTGTGTGTGTGTGTGTGTGTGTGTGTACGTCATTCAGGGTCCTGGCACCAAACAGAATTCACCATGTATGATCCAATTAAGAGATGTTATGAAGGAGCTGTGCACAGAGGTGTGGACAGGATTACTGTCAGAGCACACTGACTTGAAACAGTGAGAAACTGTTACCACCCCCTAAGCCTGAAAAGCAAGAGAAAGAAATGTGTTACTGAATCCCAGCAAGAGGTGAAGCTATGGAGGAGCCGCCCCACAGGCACTGTAGTTGCAGAGGAACACAGTCTCTTACACTGGATCCATTTATTTACGTGGCTGTGTAGATGAATACACCACAATACATTAGTCCATTCTACTGTTGAAGGACATTTGGGTTATTTTCAGATTTTTGTTCCAAAAAATATGTCACTAAGAATATTCTTATACATGCCTGTTGGTGTACATGTGGACACATTTCTGTTGGGTATGTACATACGAGTGGAATTTCTGAGTCATAGCATATATGAATCTTCATCATGTACTGCCAAACTGTTTTTCAAAGTATGTGTACCAATTTACATTCCACTAACAGTATATAAAAATTCCTTTTTCCCTTTAGTCTTATCAATACTTGCTGAAGAAAGAAAACAAGGTGGGATAACAGACATAATCAGATATCAATATTTATCATAAAACTATAGTAATTGAGGCAGGGTGGTCTGTGTGAAAAGATAGACAAATAAACCAATGGAGAAGAATAGAGAGTACAGAAACAGTCCCACACATAGGCAGATGCTCAATTAGTGACAAAGGTAGAATTTCAGAGCAGTAGAAAACAGGCATTCTCTTCATTAAATGGTATTGGATCAATGGAATATACACACCCAAAAATGAAATTTGACCCCACCTCACACCATACCTAAAAATCAATTCTAGGTGGATTGCAAATCTAAATGCAAAAGGTGAAACAACAGATTTAGAAGAAAACATGAGACTATCTTCATGACCTTGAGGTAGACAAAACTTTCTTAAATAGGACAAAAAAAAGCACTTATTTAAAAAGGAAAAGATTAATAAACTGGATTTCATTAAGATTAGGGACTACCGTTCACCAAAGGATACCACAAAGAGTGCAGTAGCATAAGTCACACACTGGCAAAGATATTTGCAACATATAACTGACAAAGGACTTACATCCAGACTGTACAAAGAACTGTTAGAATAAAAAAGACAGCAACCCAATGGAAAAATGATGAAGTCTTGAATGGGCACTTTACAAAAGAGATGTCCAAACATTCAATAACCATATTTAAAAGTGCTCAACCTCATGTAAAGTAAAACCATGAGATATAACCTCACATCCACCAGCACGGCTAAAACCAAAGTGACTGACACTATAGTATTGCAGAAAATATGGAACAATGTGAATTCTCACACATTGCTGGGGGGAGTTTAACTGATACTACTCCAGAAGTGAAAATAAATTGAAAGTTGAAAATATACTATGACTCAACAATCCTATCCTATACTCCAGAAATGTGTACATATGTGCACAAAAATAAATGTAGAAGAATGTTCACGAACAATATTTTTCTTAATAAATAAAAACTGGAAACAATCCAAATGTCCATTAACAATAAAAGTGGATGAATAAATTATGTTATACCTGTGCCATGAAATAATATACAGCAATGAAAATGAACAAACCAAAGCTACAATATCATGAATCAATCTCACACTTATAATGTTGAACAAAGGAAGCCAAGCACAAAATAATACATATCATAGAATTCCAAGTATATTAAGTACAAAACCAGGCAATAATAATCTATAGTGGTAGACAGAAATCAGAATAGTAGTTAAGACTAGGGAAGAGAAAAGGGGTAGTGATTGGGAGGGGCACAAAGGGAGCATCTGAGATGCTGGTATTGCTCTATCTCTTGAGTTGGGAGGTATTGCCTGGCTATATCTATTTTTCTATGACTTATCAAGCTATGTACTTATGATTTCTGTATTTTTGTATGTATATCTCAATTAAGGTTGTATTAATGAAAAATATGTACATACAGGAATGTTTATCATTGCATTGTACATAATGTCATTAGATTCATCAGTTACAGTATTAGTTAAATAAATTGGTTGTATCCATGAAATGAAATATTTTATCATATGAAATAAGGTCTATGGAAAACTTTCATAACATTTTGTTGAATGGAAACACCAGGTTACAAAATGGTATATTCGGTGCAAATTGATTTGTTTAAAAAGTGTATGGAGGCCGGATATGGTGACTCATGCCTGTAATCCCAGCACTTTGGGAGGCCAAGGTGGGCAGATCACCTGAGGTCAGGAGTTTGAAACCAGCCTGGCCAACATGGTGAAACCCCGTCTCTATTAAAAATACAAAAATTAGCCAGGCACGGTGGCGCTTACCTGTAATCCCAGCTACTCGGGAAGCTGAGGCAGGAGAATCGCTTGAACCCGGGAGGCAGAGGTTGCAGTGAGTGGAGATGGCGCCACTGCACTCCAGTCTGGATGACAGAGTGAGACTCTGTCTGAAAAAAAAAAAAAAAAAGTGTATGGGATATGTGTTTCTGGTGTGTGTGTGTGTGTGTGTGCATGCACGTGTGCATGAGCACACATTGAAATAAGTGTTAACTGAAAGGATTCACTACAAAATATTAATAATGGTTTTCTCTGAGTAGTGTGATTACAAGGTTGCTAAAGTTTTTGATGCTTTCTTCTTGTTCTTCTGAATTCTTCTATTTTTCTACAATAAACATGTTCTATTTATGTTTTTAAAAAGTTTAAAAAAAGAAAATCTATTCAGAGCTTTGTTAGCACTCCATTAAACACTCTTTTATGTATTCTCTGATTCTATCAAATTAATCTGTTATTCTCCCCATGGCATCTGAATCAGGCAGAATGGCAAAATCAATCCACTATGTAAAGCATTAAACTAAAACTCAAAAATGGCTTCAGTTCCCAGCTTTCCTGTTGTGTGATCTTGTTTCTCCCATCTGATCTCTCTGCACCTAATATTCTCTTCCCAGTGTCTTGCTGGAACTTGGATTTAAAATCATTCTGTTTCTCTGTATATTTTTTCCAGCATTTAGATTTCATTTTTCTGTCTACAAGAGACACAGCCACAAAATCTCCAGACATAAAGCAAGGTAGATACTTCTTTTTTTAAGTAATGATGATCAACTTGACCCCATGTATGAAGTACCTACTATTTGTCAGACATGATGCTAAATAACATTAGTTAATCCTCACAACCGCAAGAAGTAGGTGTTTTTATGTCCACTTTACAGATGAAGAAACTAAGGGACAGATTGGTTAAGCAACTTGGCCAAGGTCGCCGGGTTAGTAAGAGGCAAAGCAATATTTAACAGCAGGGAAGAGGCTGGGCGCGGTGGCTCTCGCCTGTAGTCCCAGGACTTTGGGAGGCCAAGGCAGGCAGATTACTTGAGGTCAGGAGTTCGAGACCAGCCTGGCCAACATGGAGAAATGCTCTCTACTAAAAATACAAAAATTAGCCAGGTGTGGTGGTGAGCACCTGTAATCTCAGCTACTTGGGAGGCTGAGGCAGGATAATTGCTTGAATCCGGGAGCCGGAGGTTGCAGTGAACCGAGATTGAGCCACTGCATTCCAGCCTGGGAGACAGAGTGAGACTCTGTCTCCTCTGAAAAGGGATTACCTGTAAAATTAACCAGGAGATAGATTCATGTAATAAGCACCTTGGCTGCACAAATTGTTGGCACCTCCCTTCTTAAGATAATCCAATATCGGGACAATGAAGATGAAAATGTCATGAATAAACCATCAAGAGAATCTGGCAATCTTCAGGAATCTCTGGTTGACTTTGACACTGGAGGATCCACTCCAAATCACCCCTTTTTCTCACTTCTTAGCTGGACAGAACAAGACCCCTGGAACTGTATCTTGAACTACCAGACACCGACTTCCCCAGATTTGTCCAGAGAAAGCACTTTAGCAGGCAGCAAGGATTGCGTGGAATACGTGACTACTGAGACATCAGTTTTGGTGAATGCATAAGGCTATCATCTGGATGAACTATGGACATTCAAAATGCTGACAATTAAGTGCCAAGAAAAATATCCAAAGCCCTACCTAAACTAAGTAGCATTGTGGCAAAGCCAAAATGGTCAAAGTCATCTAGCAGTTCATCTTTTAATCATTGCATTCCGAGATACTAGTTGGAAATACCCCAAGAAGTATCACCACATAAATAAAGACATTTTAATTGTGAGTTGAGAGCTAGAAGTCAAGAGACCTAAGGTAGTAGTTCTCAAACTTGAGCTTGCCTCAGAAGCACCTGGAGAGCTTATTAAAACACAGTTTGTTCAACCCTATCCCCAAAGTTTTTGATTCAGTAGTTCTGGGGTGGAGTCCAGTAATTTGCATTTTAACAAGTTCCCAGGTGATGCTGAGGTAGCTGGTCCAGGACCACAGTTTGAGAGTCATTGGCCTAAGAAATTGGTATAATTGGCCACAGCTTTATGGATTTTAAGATTGTAATGGGAGCCCTTTCCTTCATTGTCAGAGTGAGGAGGAAGGTTTTTACGGATGCTTAGTTGGTTCAAACAGGGGGAAGGAAAATCAGGACAGTGTGGTATGATAAAAACCAAAAAACCAGACCGGGCGCGGTGGCTCATGCCTGTAATCCCAGCATTTTGGGAGGCCGAGGCAGGCGGATCACGAGGTCAGGAGATCAAGACCATCCTGGCTAACACGGTGAAACCCAATCTCTACTAAAAATACAAAAAAATTAGCTGAGCGTGGTGGCACATGCTTGTAGTCCCAGCTACTCTGGAGGCTAAGGCAGGACAATGGCATGAACCTGGGCGGCAGAGCTTGCAGTGAGCCAAGATCGCCCCACTGTACTCCAGCCTGGGTGACAGAGCGAGACTCTGTCAAAAAAAAAAAAAAAAAAAGAGAGAATTTCAAGGAGGAATAAAGTAATAGAGAAGTCACATAAGAGAAGGAGAAGGAAAGATAATGGTCCATTGAATTTGGCATCCTGGAAGTAATGGATGATCTCAAGGAAGAGAGTTTCACCAGCATGGTGGGGACAGACACAGAGCTGCAGTGGTTTTTGAGTGAAGTAGTTCTTGCAGCTGACTCTTTCAAATAGCCTGGCTATTAAGTAATGGAGAGTTAGAGGATAGGAATGAGACAGGATTTGGCTTGAGCAAGTGCTGAAGGAAACGCAGCATGTATGAAAAGAGGCTGAAGATACAGAGGAGACAGGAGCTGTAGTGAGCAGATTCCTGAGAAGGTGAGAGGCATTCCAAGCCTAGATGGGAGAGAAATACCTTTCACTGAGGCAGGAGGAAAAGATAAGGGATGGGTCAAGAGGGAGGGTTTGGGGCCAGATGCAGTGGCTCACACCTGTAATCCAAGCACTTTAGGAGGCCAAGGCAGGAGGACTGCTTGAGGCCAGGAGTTTAAGACCAGCCTGAGCAATAGAGCAAGACCCTATCTCTACAAAAAAAAATATAAAAATTAGCCAGGCATGGTGGTACACGCCTATAGTCCCAGCTAGTCAGGAGGCTGAGGCAGGAGGATCACTTGAGCCTAGGAGGTTGAGGCTGCAGTGAGCCATGATTATGCCACTGCACTCTAGCCTGGGTGACAGAGTGAGATTCTGTCTCAAAAAGGAAGGAAGGAAGGAAGGAAGGAAGGAAGGAAGGAAGGAAGGAAGGAAGGAAGGAAGGGTGGGTTTAGTTTCTAGTTGGGAAAGTTCTTGCCTGATGGCCTCAATTTTCCCAGTGGAATAGGCAAGTCCTTACCCGAGAGGGAGTTAGTACGGGAGGGGATGTGAGAAAAAGGCAAAGAGGTTAGATGAACCACTGGAGAGATGGGTAACGGCATAATTTCTGACATACAGAAGGATTAATTAAGGAGCAGGTATGAGGGGCCAGGTGAAGCTGGAAACCATGATTGGAAATTACTCTTACATGAATATTTTCAGCAGCATTCGGCTGAGCAAGGGAATGCTTGAATCAACTGAGGCTTAAGGTTCTGGAGGCCAAGCACACTGGTGGGACAAGAGGCAAGAGGGTCTGGCGAAATGGAAAGGACAGAAGGGGGCATTCTGGGGGTCCAGATTCAATAGGAAAGAAATGACAGCATGAGGGTGTGGATTTCATTGGGAGAAAATGTAGTGGACAAGAGACGGAGGGTCCAATTGTGGCCAAAATGGGAATATAGTGGAGCTGCATCATTGGAGGGCCTGGATTCAAAATTTAGCCAGCACTTGGGGCATACATTTTAGGTGGTCAAATTTACCTTTGGAAATGCCTTAAATCACCCTTAATATATTATTTGCACTGACACCCAATATACTGTTTTCCAGTCAGAACTACATGGCCAGCATTAGCCCAGAACTCTGTCATTGGCTGAGCAGCCCATAAAGCAGTTGGCATGTGTTTAGAGGCCATATTGACAACAAGAGGAAGTGCTCTTTAAACACTGGAATCACAGTGAAGGCCGTGAGACAATCCCGCGATAAGAGGTACAAGGGAACTGAGGTCAACCTAGGAAACAGCAGACTCATGGCTCCCACCTCATCCTCACTCCCCAGCACACACTCTTGAAAGGAAAGTCAGTGAGGCAACTGTGCTATTTAAACTGTTCTGTCTTACCCGCTGTCATTTTTTCCCCAGACTGTAGAACCGAATTTAAATTAGTTAAAAACATGAATGATGTGATTCCACTATTTTAGGAATAAGAGAATGAGTGAGCTTAAATAGTTGGAGGCTGTGGTCTATATGAATCATGAGAGTTTAAGATTTCAAAGGTTCAGATGATCGATAAGGCCAAAGGACAAGTATCCAAATAGCTGTCATTATGGATCAATGTGCTGCCTCCAAATATCTCAATTTCAAGCATCTGTCTCTCTGACTGCCACCCATCCTTTTAGCTTCCTAATTCTAGTAGCCCCACTTCAGGCAATTTTTGACTGATTGAGACCTCCAATCCAGTGACTCTGGCCCTCTCCCACTCTCCCTCCCTCTTGTCTTACTCACAAACCTCTGTACCCACACTCCTCACTACACAGACTCATTTATAACCTTAATTCCTCAACCCTCTCTTCTTCCACTGCACTTCCTGGACAAGCTCGACTATCTGCATGTTTATGCACCTGAGGAATTGAAAATTATGGTTTAACCTGATTCTCCCCAATGTCTGCTGTCTTGCTGTTTGGGCTGGTTTCACTTTAAATTCATGAGTGCAAATCTAAAGTGGGATTGTAAATCCATACTGCCTGATAATCCTGTATCTCTCTACTGAGATGGGGGTACCTCTCCTAAAGAAGGCTACTTTAAAGCTTCTCCTATATCCTCAAAACTCCAACACCTTTTCCACCCCCTTTTCTCAGCTGATGACCTCAACTAATCATATATTACTAATCACTGTGACAGTCAAACAGGAATATTCTCCCCTTTCCACCACCAGATCTGCCGCCTCCTATCTATATCCATACACTGACTTCCTCCCTCTCACAGTGGGTGAATCCCTAAACCCATCTAAGTTCAACTCTTCCATTGAGCTCTCAATCCCAGCCCCTTTTGCCTTAAGAGCTTGCTCTTGAAACCATTCTCTTGTTCTCTTGCATTATTAATTTCTCCCTCTCTACTAAACTATTCTCATCAGCTTACAAGCATGTCTTATGATCTCCTATCTTTGAAAACCCTACCCTTGTTCCTATATCTTTCTCCAGCTATTGACCCAATGCTCTTTCTTCAGAATAAAACTTTTCAAACAAATTGCCTATATTCACCCTTAGCAGCCCCTCACCTCTTATTAACTCCTCATCCCTCTCACACCTGGTTCTTATTTCACTTCTCCATTCCACTGAAACTGATTTTTTTTTTTTTGGAGACGAAGTCTCGCTCTGTCACCCAGGCTGGAGTACAATGGCACAATCTCGGCTCACTGCAACCTCCGCCTCCTGGGTTCAAGCGATTCTTCTGCCTCAGCCTCCTGAGTAGCTGGGATTACAGGCTCCTGCCACTACGCAGAGCTAATTTTTTGTATTTTTAATAGAGATGGGGTTTCACCATGTTGGCCAGGTTGGTCTCGAACTTCTGACCTCAAGTGGTCCACCTGCCTTGGCCTCCCAAAATGCTGTGATTACAGGTGTGAGCCACCATGCCTGGCCTGAAACTGATTTTGTCAAGGTCACCAGTGACCTCCATGTGGCCACTTCTCTATCCTCATCTTACTGAACCCCGTATTAACATTCAATACAGATACGATTCCTTCCTTCTTGTCTATCGGGACACTACAGTTTCTCGGTTTCCCTTCAACCTCTCTGGTTAATCTTTCATCTCCTCTGATTGCTCCTCCTCCTCTGATCAACTGCTAAATGCTGGTGTACCCCAGTGTTCAATCTGGGCTCTCTTCCTTTTTGCCCTTCACTTTCTCTGTAGAGAGCTCATCTAGTTTCATGACTTTAAATGTCATCCTCTGATGACTCCCAAAATTATATTCTAGTTCTGTCTCTCCCTTAAGCTCCAGGGTTACATATCTAATTGCTTGCTTGACATCTCACTCAGATACCTCCTAGGAAGCTAAAATTTAACGTGGCTAAAACAGAACTTTTGATTCCGTACCACTTCTCCAACCAATTTCTCCCATGTTTCCAAAAATGCTCCCACCATCCAGGATGTATTAGTTATCTATTGCTACAGGACCAATTACCATAAACTTAGTGGCTTACAACAACACAAATTATTACCATACAGTTTCTGTAGCTCAGAAGCCTGGGCATGACTTAGCTGAGTTGCTCTGTCTCCAGGCCTCACCAGGCTACAATCCAGATGTCAGCTGAGGCTGCAGTCTCACTAGGAAAGGACCCACTGCCAAGCTCCCACAGGTTGTTGCAAGAACTCATTTCCTTGCAGCTGCAGGACTGAGGGTTTTGATTTCTTGCTGGGGGCTTCTCTCAGCTCCAAGAGGCTACCCAGAGTTTTTTGCCACATGTCAGCCTCCTTCTTCAGAACCAGTGACAGGGAGTCTGTCAGTGTGAGTTGGCTAGCAAGATGGAGTTTTACATAATATAATGTCACAAGTATGATATCCCATCATCTTTGCCATATTTTATTGGTTAGAAACAAGTCACAGGTCCCACCTACACTCAAGGGAGGTATTACAAAAAGTGTGGATACCTGAACAAGAAAATCATGGGAGTCTTAGAGTCTGTCCACCACATGGGGTGAGATGTAGCTATTCCTTTTTGTCTTCCGATGTCCGACAGGTAACTATTGATGAAACACACATACACACTCACATATATTTCCAAAGGGTAAGAACTAATTTCTTGGAGACAGCACAGTCCAAATTTATATTGCCAAAGAAAAGGTTGTCGTTAGTAGCACATAAATCTAATGACAGTCCCTAGTCACGGGAGAGAGAGCACCTGACACTATGCAGAACAGTGTGACTTCCTCCTGCTCACCTCACTCTCTCAATAGGTCTTCACTCCCTTCAAACCACTAGTGTTCTGGGCCCAAGATCAAGGCCCATTGTTAAACTATCTGGCTCTCAAGAACCACTGCTTAGCTACTCAAAGGACTGTCTTCACAGTTGCCCGTTCCCTTTACCCTCAGCCAAGTTCAATGATTAGCCAAGGCCTGCCCTCACTCCAATCTCTGACAGTGAAAGAGAGGATAAGAAAGGGTGTTTCCTCCTCCAATTACATAACCAATTCCCATGTGATTGACATTTTAATAATTTTGATTTCCTTTTCTAAATCTGTACTCTATTCTGTCATGAGAGTTTTGCTATTTCAATCCATCTTCAACTGGTTTTAGAAGTAGGTGAACCAAAGGAAATCAAGTAAAAATAAATAAACACGTAGACTCACAACTTCCCTGAGTCTTAGATGCTTTGGGTAAGAACTGAAGTGAAATCATGAAGCTGTTGTTCAATAATGAAAATCAATGAACTGAGATTTCAGGACAGTTAAAGAATTGCTGGGGCTGGGCGCAGTGACTCACCCCTGTAACCCTAGCACTTTGGGCAGCCGAGGCAGCAGGATCGTTTGAACCCGAGTTTGAGACTGCTGTGAGCTATGATCATGCCACTGCACTCTAGCCTGGGTGACAGTGAGGCCTTGTCTCTAAAAAAAAAAAAAAAAAAAAAAAAAAATTTAGGGCTGGGTGCGGTGGCTCACGCCTGTAATCCCAGCACTTTTGGAGGCCAAGGCAGGTGGATCACTTGAGGTCAGGAGTTCGAGACCAGCCTGGCCAATATGGTGAAACCCTGTCTCTACTAAAAATACAAAAATTAGCTGGGCATGGTGGCACGCCCCTGTAGTCCCAGCTGCTCAGGAGGCTGAGGCAGGAGAATCACTTGAACCTGGGAGGCGGAGGTTGCAGTGAGCCAAGATCACGCCACTGCACTCCAGCCTGGGTGACAGAGCAAGACTCCGTCTCAAAAAAAAAAAAAATTAACAATTAAAAATTTAAAAAAAAAAGGAATTGTTGGAATGGGTTACTAAAGCAAATGCACTGGAAGGATAGGAGGTGGTAATCAAAAAGAGGTATGCTTGAGGCCAGGCGTGGCGGCTCACACATGTAGTAATCCCAGCACTTGGGAAGCTGAAGTGGGCGGATCACTTGAAGTCAGGAGTTCCAGACCATCCTGGCCAACATGGTGAAACCCCGTCCTACTAAAAACATACAAAAATTAGCCGGGTGTTGGTGACGCATGCCTGTAATCCCAGCTACATGGGAGGCTGAGGCAGAAGAATCGCTTGAACCTGGGAGGTGGAGGTTGCAGTGAGCCGAGATCGTACCACTGCACTCCAGCCTGGGTGACAGAGTGAGACTCTGTCTCAAAAATAAAAACAAAAATAAAAAATAAAAAGAGATATGCTTGAAATCAAGATATTGGAGGTATGCAGAAATCAATGGTGACAGATGTTTAGACACTTGTCCTTTCACCTGTCATTGGCTACTAGCTCTTATTATTTTTGAAGCAAAGGAAATTTCTCAAAGCCTGCTCAGTTCCCTTTTGGTTTTACTGATTATCTTCATCTTGTTCCAGATACTCTGGTTACCAAGGCAAACTCTCTCTGGGATGGGTGGTTCAAAGAAATGGGTCTTTTCTTTGGGGAAAGGTTTATGGGGATTCTGTGGGTCTTCCCAGCTAACCTTTGTGAGAGGGAGGAATGTGGATGCAAGCCTTACGGTCAGGCAGTTGCTTTTCTCCTATCGCACCATGTGACTTCCTACTTCCCACACATCAGCCCTGTAGTGTGCTGGCACTGAAAATGTTCAGAACCATTATCATGGTTGTATAGGCACCTCTCATTGGGTCCTTAGGACAATTCAGGAAAAAGTGCCTGGAGGAAAATTAGAGCTCTAATTATGGCTTGGCCTGCTGAGATAATGTTTGCAGGCATACTTTTTTCCATGAATAAATCAGAGGCACACCACGGAAAGCAGATATTTCTGTTCTTGCCTCTTTGAAAGTAGCTTTTCTGTCAGTAAATTATCTGTCCCAACAGATCCTCTTTGAGTTCAGTAAAACTGTATCATGAGGAGTTGAGTTTTTTTTTAAATTTGAAAATTACTCAGCTTAGGTTAGGAGAACATAAAAATGAAGTTATGTTACTAATTGTAACCATGCTAATGAAATTTGCATTGCTTCAGCAAGCATGGGCACAGCAGACACAGCCACTGGAAACACAAAGTTTTTCTCCCCAAAATCGGCTCTACCTTCCACTGAACAGCCACTCCCCTTCCTTTAAGTTGTGAGACCTCTACACTCTGGATTCACTTGCCCCATTACTTCTTTGAAAACGATGACTTATTTTTATAAAAATTAATTCATGTTCCTTATTTTAAAATGTAAGTGATATATAAAAACAACAAATCACCTCAAATTGCATACATTTGGTGGACATTATTCTAGATACATTTCTCTGCATATGTGCAATTTTTAAATAACAGTTTTACTGAGATATAACTCACAGCCCATACAATTCACTCTTTCAAAGTGTACAACTCAGTCATTTTCAGTGTTTTCACAGAACTATGCAATCTTCACTATCGTCTAGTTTAGAGTGTTTTCATCACCCCAAAAAGAAACCCCACACCCATTAGCAGTCATTCTCCATTCTCCCCCGTCTGCAGGCCCTTGTAACCACAATCTACTGTCTCTATGGATTTGCCTATTCTAGTCATTTCATATAAATGGAATCATCCAATATGTGATCTTTCGTGACTGACTTCTTTCACATAGCATAATGTTTTCAAGATTCACCCATGTTATATCATGTATCAATACTTAATTCCTTTGTATTGCCAAGCAATATTCCAATGTATGGATATTCCACATTTTGCTTAGTTGATGAACATTTGGGCTGTTTCCACTTTTTAGTTATCATGAATAGAGCTGCTGTGAATATTCATGTACTTGTTTTTGTGTGGACATACGTTTTCATTTTTCTTGAGTAGATATCCACAATTGCCATTGGTGGGTCCTATGGAATTCTATGTTTAACTTTTTATTTAATTGTGGTAAAACATACATAACATAAAATTAGCCACTCTAACAAATTTTAAGTGTACAGTTCAGTGGCATCAAGTACATTCACACTGTCGTGGAAACATCACCAGCATCCATCTCCAGAACTTTTTTCTACTTGCAAAACTGAAACTCTCTACTCATTAAACGGTAACTTCCTGTTTTATCTGCCCCACCAACCCCTGGCAACGACCATTCTACTTTCTGTCTCTGTTAATTTAACTATGTTTAACTTTTTAAGATACTTCCAAACTGTCCCCCAAAGTGGCTGCATCATTTTGCAATCCCACCAGCAATGTATGAGGGTTTTACTTTTTCCACATCTTCATCAATGCTTTTCATTGTCTGTCTTTTTAATTTTAGCTCTCCTAGTGGGTGTGAAGTGGTGTCTAATTGTGGCTTTCATTTGCATTTCTCTGGTGGCTAATGATATTGAGCATATTTTTTTAAGATAGGGTCTCACTATGTTGTCCAGGCTGATCTCAAACTCCTGGCTCAAACAATCCTCCCACCATGGCCCTCCACAGTGTTGGGATTACAAGTGTGAGCCACAGTGTCCAGCTGATATTGAGCATCTTTGTATGTGTTTATTGGCCATTTGTACATCTTCTTTAGTGAAATGTCCACTCAAATCCTTTATTTAAATACAAGTAAATTGGGTTATTTGTATTTTCATTATTAAGTTGTAACCGTTATTTATATATTCTAAGTACAATTCTCTTCTCAGATATATGATTTGCAAATTTTTTTTTCCATTCTGTGGGTTGTCTTTTTACTTTCTTGATGGTGTCCTTTGAAGCACACAAGTTTTTAACTTTTGTGAAGTTCAATTTGTCTGCTTTTCTTTGGTTGGTTGTAGTTTTGGTGTCACATCTAATAAACCATTTCCTTAAAAGAGATTATATATTATGACCAAGAAGGATTTGTCCCAGGAAAACAAGGTTGGCTTAACATCCAAAAATCAACATTATACAGTATATCATGAGAATAAAGGGCAAAACCCCATGATCATCTCAATAGATGCAGAAAAACCATTTGATAAAATCCAATGTAATTTCATGATAGAAACACTCAACAAACTATGAATAGAAGGAAACTTATTTAACCTCATAAAGGATATCTATGAAAAATCCATGGATAATGGTGAAAGACTGGATGCTTTCCCCCTAAGATTTGGAACAAGACAAGGATGTCCACTCTTACCACTTATCTTCAACATTGTACTGGAGGTTCTGTCAGGTAATTAGGTAATTACAAACAGTAGTTAGGTACACAATGAAATAAGAGGCATCCAAATTGGACAGGAACAAGTAAGGTTATCTATTCACACATGACATAATTTTGTATACAGAAAATACTAGGTAATCCACTAAAAAAAAAATCACTAAAACTAATAAGTTCAGCAAAGTTGCAGAATACAACATGAATACATACAAATCAATTGCATTTCTGTACATTTGCAATGAATAATAAAAAAGAATTTAAGAAAACAATTTCATTTACAATAACTTCAAAAAGGGTAAGATCCTTAGGAATAGATTTAACAAAAGAAGTACAAACTTATATCCTGAAAACTACAAAACATTGTTTAAAGAAATTGAAGAAGATCTAAATAAATAGAAAGACATCCACGTTCATGGATGGGAAGACTTAATATGATTAAGATGGGAATATTCCCCAAATTTATCTATCTATTCGATGAAATCCCTATCAAAATCTCAGCTGGCTTCCTTATAGGAATTGACAAACTTACTAAAATTTATATGGAAATTTAATGTAGCTCTTACATTTAGGTCTATGATCCATTTCAAGTTGATTTTTGTATATATTGTGAGGTAGGGGTCCAACATCATTCTTTGCATGTGGACATACAGTTTTCCCAGCACCATTTTTTGGAAAGACCATTCTTTCTCCCATTGAATTATCTTGGTAGCCTTGTTGAAAGCAACTGGCCATAAATATGTAAGATTTCATTTCCAGACTCTCAATTCAATTCCACTAATCTATAAATGTTAATTGGCTAATTCCTTTTTTTTTTTTCAGACAGAGTCTTGCTCTGTTGCCCAGGCTGGAGGGCAATCATGCTCACTGCAACCTCAAACACCAGGGCTCAAGCAATCCTTCCTGCCTCAGCCTTCCAAGTAGCTGGGACTACAAGTGTGTGCCACCAGGCCTGGCTAATTTTTAAAAATTCTTTTAGAGGCTATGTCTTGCTATGTTGCCCAGGCTCATCTCAAATTCCTGGCCTTAAGTATTCCTCCTGCTATGATCCCAGCACAAATTGGCTAATATTTAATGTAATTTTTTTTCAAGTTTTTTTTTGTTTTTGTTTTTGTTTTTTTCAGACAAGGTCTCACTTTGTCACCCAGGCTGGAGTGCAGTGATGCAATCACGGCTCACTGCAGCCTTGACTTCCTGGGATCAAGTGATCCTCCCACCTCAGCCCCCTGGAGTAGCTGGGGTCCTCTTGCCTCAACACCCCGGAGTAGCTGGGACTACAGGTATGCACCACCATGCCCAGCTAATTTTTGTATTTTTTGTAGAGACAGGGTTTTGCTACATTGCCTAGGCTGGTCTAGATCTCCTGAGCTCCAGTGATCCACCAGAGTGCTGGGATTACAGGTGTGAGTCACTGTACCAGGCCCAATGTAATTATTGATATGGTTTGATTTAGCTTATTATTTTATTATTTGTTCTATGTTGTTCCTTCTGATTTTTGTTCCTCTGTTTCCCTTTAACTGTCTTTCACCTTCATTCCTGAAGAATATTTTTGCTGAATATAAAATTCTGGGTTGCCAAGCATGGTGGTTCATGCCTGTAATCCAGCATTTTAGGAAGCCAAGGCAAGAGGATCACTTGAGGCCAGAAGTTTAAGACCAGCCTGGTCAACATAGCAAGACCTTGTCTCTACAAAAAATGAAAATAAAAATTAGCTGGGCATGGTGGCATGTGGCTATAGTCCCAGCTATTCGGGAGGCTGGGGCTAGAGGACTGCTTGAGCCAAGGAGGTCAAGGCTGCAATGAGCTATGATCATGCCACTGCATTCCAGCCTGGGCAACAGAGTAAGAAACCCTGTATAAAAACAAACAAACAAACAAACAAAACAAACAAACAAACAAAAATTGGGTTGATGATTCCATTATGTTCACGCCTCCATAATTTCTAGTGAAAAACCTGTAAACATTCAAATCATTGTTCCTCTGTGGGTAAAGTGTTGTTTTTCTGGTTGGTTTCAAATATTTTCTTTAGTTTTTGGTTTTGAGTACTTTTATTATGAAGTTTCTAAGTGTGGTTTTCTCTAAGTTTATCTTGTCTAGGGTTTGCTAGGCTTCTTGAATTTGTAAATTTGTGTCTTTCATCAAACTTGGGACATTTTTGGCCATTATTTCTTCAAATAGCTTTACTGCAACAATCTCTTTTTCTTCTCCTTTTGGAACTCCAACTACACATATATCTTTTTATATTTTTTCACAGATCCCCAAGGCTCTGTTTATTTTTTTAATCTAGTTTTGATTGGTTCTTATTAGATAATTCTATTAATCTATCTTCAATTTCACTTATTCTTTCCTCTGTCTTGTCTATCCTACTATTGAGCCCATCCAGTGGTTTTATTGTTTGTTTCAGAGATTGTATTTTTCAGCTCTGAAATTTTTATTTGATTCTTTTTATAGTTTCTATTTCTTTGCTAACAATACCTCTCTTTTCATTCAAGTTTGTTTTTCCTTGCCTCATGGAGCATAGTTATAAAAGCTGTTTTAAAATTTCTATCTGATAATTCCACCATCTAGGTTATCTTCAGGTTGGCATTTGTTGATTACGTTTTCCCTAGATAATTATTCACATCTCCTAGTTTTTCTTTATGTTTAGTAATTTTGTATTGTATCTTGAAAATTGTGAATTTTGTATTGGATAGACTGGATCACGTCATCATTCTCTGGAGGATGTTTATGTTTTTGTTTTAGCAGGCAATCAACATTATTAAGCTCAGAATGTAATTTCTACCTTGCCTTCTGTGGTAGTTCAGTTTAGTTCTCTAAGGCTTTGTTATGCTGCTTCATGTCTATCTTGTTCATTTACACTTACAGGTTATTCTGAAAGTTGTGCAGGTGGTTCAAATCCTGCTTCAGTCCTCTAAGCCTTTGTCACCTTTGTTTGCATGTATCCTGCACATGTCCTCTTCAGCAGTTAGACACTCTAATATTTAATCATTTAGTTCAAATATTTGTATTTGTCCAAGCATCCATAGCTCAGGGCTTATGCTGAGACTGGTATGGGCTCATATGCCAAATTAGTGGATCCCCTTCTATGGTTCTCTCCTCTATCCCCTACTCTTAGGCCTGCAGGAGCTCATTTTCCTGGTTTACTTAGCCATAAACAATAGGTTTCTGTTTGAACTTTAGCCACAGATGTCTTTGCACTGCTCTACAACCACAGCTCAGCCTTGAGGCAAGGCCACAAGAGAAGAGGAGAAACAAAAGGAAGTTCACCTCCACATTGGTTGTTTGTTCAATTTTTGACTCCCCTCCATGATCTACCTGCCCCCCTGCCAACTTTTCAGAGTCCTTTGGTAGTGTTGTTTTTTTTTTTTATTTGTCTTGCAATTTTAGTTTTAATTGGCAAGAGAGATGGCCTGTAGAGGCTTACACCACCACGCTGGAACTCAAGTTCTGTTATAATGTTTTAAACATTGAATACTGATCTAAAACTCATGTTTATTCAGTTTGTATTCTAACATCACCACTTACTGGATATGAGCCCGTGGGCAGATTATTTGATTTATCTGAATCTCAGTTTCTCCATCTGTTAAGTGGGATTATACTGCCTGCTCTAGAAACTGTTTTGAAAATTAATTGGAATAACACATGTATAGCACCTGGCTTGTGGTATTTGCTCTATACATGTGAGATATCTTTCCCTATCCTAGGATAGCAAATAGATTTCAATACTCAAGCCAAATCTGTTTTTAAAAGAATCCTCAGGAAAATTTTATTTGCTATTGATGAACAATTTCAAGGTCTTTAATAGGGGCTTATTTTAGTCATTGGGTACAACAAAAGTAAATAAGTATAATAAATAAACGTACAGTTTAAGATTGGTGTTAAGCCTTTATGAAATTTTAAAATCTGAACATTTTTGTTTCTTATTGTTCACAGGGCTATGCATATTTGGGCAATATTTCCTTGACTGCAATGTAATAGGAGGAGCCAAATCAATTACATCAATTGATTATGTAGTTAAAATGAGATACAAATCATAGACAACAAATGCTTTTGCAAAAATAGCTATACCAAAAAAATTACCAAAAGATGAAATACAACATTATAATAATGTTTAAACTGTAATTATCAGACTATAACTGCTAAATGGGCAGCCAATTAAACATCAGTGCACTCAGAGACAAATGAGTACAAGTAGTTGAAAACACAGTACAGCTGGTCTGTAACATTCTGGACCTCAAATGTAGAGTTAATCATTCCCATCGGTTCCTGGCCATTATCATACTTGTTCTGGGCAAGGCATTTCTTGAGTTTGTTATTTTTTTTAGCCCTATTCCCCAAAGCCTGTTTTCCCACCCACACCACCACCCTGCCTGTGTAGACACAGGCAATAATTCTAATGAGTTTTAAGTGTATCCTTTAATTTATATATATCTCACAAAACACAGCCACACATATTCACTTATGTATTGTCTACAACTGATTTTGTGCTACAACTGCACAGTTCAGTAATTAAGGTAGACACTCACAAAACCAAAAATATTTACTATCTGGTCCTTTACAAAAAAACAAAAAAAATCCTGTATAATATTGATTCTGTAGAATTAATTGAGGTTTCCTTTGTTATTTAGTATATGGTAAATGTTTGTAAATATTACATGTGAACTAAAAAAAGAATGTATTCTCTGTTTAGTGTAGAATTCAATATATATTTAGCAGCTAGGTATTTTTTATTTTCTTGAGACATGGTCTTGCTCTGTCACCCATGCTGGAGTGCAGTGGCTCACTGCAGCCTCAACCTCCCACCTTGGCCTTCTAAAATGCTGGATTACAGGTGTGAGCCACTGTACCCAGCCTGGATATTATTAATAATATTATTCAGATTTTATATTTCTCTGCTTAGTTTTTATTTGCTGATATATCAGCTTGTAGTTAAAATCTCTATTATTGATAATTGATTCCCCTCTGAGTGCAGTCAGTTGTGATTTAATATATCTTGAGGCTATGTTTTTACTGTATATATATTCTTAATGACTATATGTTCTTGTTCTGTGGTTCCTTTTCTTAGCATATAACAATGCTTTTGTCTCTTGTTATGATTTTTGTCAAGGATCTGTTTCATCAGATAGAAAGACTGGTACCCAACTTTCTTTTTTTCTTTTTGTCCATATCTTTTTCTTTTTTTTTTTTAGACGGAGTTTTGCTCTTGTTGTCCAAGCTGGAGTGCAATGGCATGATCTTGGCTCACCACAACCTCTGCCTCCCGGGTTCAAGCGATTCTCCTGCCTCAGCCTCCCAAGTAGCTGGGATTACAGGCATGCACCACCACATCTGGCTAATTTTGTATTTTTAGCAGAGACGGGGTTTCTCCATGTTGGTCAGGCTGGTCTCGGACTCCTACCTCAGGTGATCCACCCACCTTGGCCTCCCAAAGTGCTGGGATTACAGGCTTGAGCCACCGCGACCGGCCTCTTTTTCTATTCTTTACTTTTCTTTTTTTAGAGAAAGAGTCTCACTCTGTCACCCAGGCTGGAGTGCGGTGGCTCACTGCAGCCTCAACTCCCACCTTAGCCTCCCAAAATGCTGAGATTACAGGCATGAGCCACTGCACCTGGCCTAATTTTCAACTTGTCATTTTACTTTGCTTTCAGTACATTTCATGTAGATGGCACATTGTTGGATCTTGTGTTTGGGTTTTTTTCCATTTTATTCAAGGGTGTCTAGAATTCATTGATCAATTTTACTCATTTAAAGTTATTAACATTTCTGGGACTTATTTTATATTATCTATGTATTGTACTTTATCTTTTTTCCTTTTCTGTTTTCACTGGATAGACAAAATTGAATGCTTTTGCTTTTCGTTATATAATTGCCCTTAAGTCCTATATTTATGTTCATTTACTACTATGAATTTATTTATCAACATATTACTCTTCAAGCAAAACAATAATTTTAACATATTTTTATGTCTATCATGACCATGAGCATTTTGATATTGTGCAGAAAATCAATTCCAGATTGTTATAGGTATACTTTCTCTCTTTTTTATTTTTGGTTATTAAGTTTTTAAACAATAATATTTGCTAAGTTACATAAATGCCCTCACATTTCCTAATACCTTGCAGCATCCTCTTGGTTTCCCTTCCTATTTGAATACTTCCCCTAGAGCATTTCCAAAGTGTTTTTTTATGTGGTAATTTTCCAAGGCCTTTGTGCCTGAGAACATCTTTATTAAGGTCTTACATTTAGGCTATACCTTTTGCATAAAAAATTTCTGGACTTGAAATTATTTTCTTTTCATGTTCTAAAATTATCACTCAACTGGCTTCTTGGATCCACTTTTTCTGTGGGAAAAGCAATGTCAGTATGGTTCTTGTGCCTTTTGCAGGTAATCTGCTCTGGAAGCTCCTTGTCTTTGATGTTTTCTGGATTTTAGAATTCTCTTTATCTTTGCCGTTCTTAACTTTCACCATAAAAGGTCTAAATGTGATTTTGTTCTTACCTATCCAGCTTCACATATAATGAGACTTTTCAGTTCTGGGAACTTTATCATCATTATCTCTTCAAACATTACTTTCCCATAATTTTATTCTTCTCTTATTCTGGGACTCCTGCTATCTGAATGTGAACATTTCAACTTCTATTATTCACATCTCTTAGCTTGTATTTTATATGTTACATTTTCTGATACCTTCTATGGGAATTTCTTAATCTTATCTTCTGATTGTTCTTTGGGTAAATACATCCTGCTGTTTATCCCATCTATTATTTCAACAATTATGGTTTTTATACCTAATACTTTCATTTCATTCTTTTTTATGACTTTTTTCTTTATTCATATTATTAAATAAACTTTTATTTTTCTCAGGCTTTCTCTCCTCATCTATTCTCCCTCTTTATTTGAGAATATGAACTTTATTGTCATTAAAAATAATGACTTCACTACAACTTAAAAAGTTCTGTTAAGACAGTGAAGAAAGAATAACATAATCCTTAAGCAAAATAGGTATGATCTTTTATTCCAAGTCAAGCTGTCATTCAAGTACACAGACAACAGATGAACAACTTTGAACCTAAAAGAATTCTGAGAATTCCAATGATTTGAATGGAGGAATCCATTAGAGGATAAACTTAGGCCTACCAAGAAGTGACTGGAAAAATTGCAACTAAAGAACTGGCAGAGAGCACTAAATTTATATTACGGAGACCAAGACAAAACTCATTGTATTAGTTCGTTTTCATGCCACTGATAAAGGCATATCCAAAATTGGGAACAAAAAGAGGTTTAATTGGACTTACAATTCCACATGGCTGGGTAGGCCTTAGAATCATGGTGGGAGGCCAAAAGCACTTCTTACATGGTGGCGGCAAGAGAAAATGAGGAAGAGGCGAAAGCAGAAACCCCTGATAAACCCATCAGATCTCATGAGACTCATTCACTATCACAAGAATAGCATGGGGGAAAGACCAGCCCCTATGATTCAGTTACTTCCCCCTGAGCCCCTTCCATAAAACGTGGGAAATCTGGGAGATACAATTCAAGTTGAGATTCAGGTGGGGACACAGCCAAACCATATCACTCATGCAGTGACTATGATGTAAGAACAGATTATGGATGACCTAAAACTGATATAACTGACAAAAATTCAGATGGGAAGAGAGAACAAAAGTAACATAAACTACAAACATGTTGTGGTATAAATGTGTTTCTTCATCTTTAATAGTTTAGGCTACAAAGCTGTCAAATCAAACGGGAGAAGGAAGTATACTTAGCAATACTAAGTTAAATTCTAAGCAAATAAGACTATCAATTAATATTAGGTGGGGGAAAAGGGAGAGTAGAGAAAAGGAGAAGGAAGTAGAAATATTCCAATTTCACCATTGCTCATAGTGGGTAATTAATAGACTCTCTCTAAAGAAATAGAGGATTAAGGTAGTTACATAAAATTACAAAGCTAAAAGCTAAAATAAAGAATAGAAATCTATCATCTCATCCTAGTTAGAGTGGCTATTATCAAAAAGACAGAAAACACATAAACAAAAACAAATTCAGGCAAGGAGGCAGAGAAAAGGGAACTGTTATACACTATTGGTGGGAATGTAAATCAGTACAACCACTATGGAAAACATTATGGAGGTTCCCGAAAAAATTAAAAATAGAACTATCATGTGATCCAGGAATCCCACTACTAGGTATATATCCAAAGGAAATGAAGTCAGTATGTTGAAGAGATATCTGCACTCCCATGTCTATTGCAGCAACATTCATAATAACCACAGTATGGAATCAACCTAAGTGTCCATCAATAGATGAATGTATAAAGTAAATGTGGTACATATAATCAGTGGAATATTACTGAGCCATAAAAAGGAATGAAGTCCTGTCATTCACAGCAATATTAATGAGCCTGGAGGACATTGAGTAAAATAAATCAGGCACAGAAAGATAAATGCCATATGTTCTCACTGATATGTGAAAGCTAAAAAAGTTGTTCTCATAGAAGCAGAGAGTAGAATAATGGTTACTAGAACCTGGGAAGGACTGGGGGAGGGGACAAAAGGAAAGCTTGGGTAATGGATACAAAATCACAGCTTTATAGGAGAAATACTTCTAGTGTTCTATAGCACTGTGGGGTAACTACAGTAAATAAACACTTACGTATTTTTTCCAATAGCTAGAAGAGAAAATTTTGAATGTTATCAACACAAAGACATGATGAAAGTTGGAGGTGATGGGTGTAATACTAATTACCCTGATTTGATCATTACACATTGTATACACGTATTAAAATGTCACACTGTACCCCATAAATATGTATGATTACTATGTGTTGATTTAAAAATAGAAATCTTCCAAATTATTGGAAGAAACACACACTCAAAACAAAGCAAACAACTAGGGAAATTTGATTAAAATAGATGTTTATATTCATGACAATATCTTGCTAATAATATTGTATTATAGCTTTGTAAAACATTACCACCAGGGAAAACTGAGTTCATAGGCTCTCTGTATTATTTCTTACAAGTACATGTGAATCTACAATTATCTCAATAAAAATTGCAATGAAAAAGAGACAACAGGCTGGGCATGGTGACTCATGCCTGTAATTCCAGCATTTTGGGAGGCCGAGGTAGGCGGATCACCTGAGGTCAGGAGTTCGAGACCAACCTGCCTAACATGGTGAAACCCCATCTCTATTAAAAATATAAAAATTAGCCGGGTGTGGTGGCACGTGCCTGTAATCCCAGTTACTCAAGAGGCTGAGGCAGGAGAATCACTTGAAATCGGGAGGCGGAGGTTGTAGTGAGCCGACATCATGCCACTGCCCTCCAGCCTGGGCGACAGAGTGAGACTTTGGGAAGCCAAGGCAGGAGGATCACTTGAGGCCAGGAGTGTGAGACTAGCCTGGGCAACATAGCAACACCCTGTCTCTACCAAAACTTAAAAATTAGGCTGGCATGGTGGCACAGACCTGTAGTCCCAGCTACAGGAGGCTGAGGTGGCAGGATTCTTGAGTCCAGGAGTTTGAGGCTGCAGTGAGCTATGATTGTGCCACTGCACCCCAGTCAGGGCCATACAGTGAGACCCTGTCTCTGAAAAAGAAAAAAAAAAGACACAGAGAGAGAGAGAGACAGTATAAAGCAATATATTACTGAAACAGAGCCAAACAAGTAATATTAATTAATGTAAATGAGCAAGATTTTTATTAAGTAAAAATCTTTTTGTATCAAGACAAAAAGATCTTCAGATTGGGTCACAAAGCAAACAAAGCAAAACCTAACTATATGCTGTATTCTAGAGACACACCTAAAACAAATTATCATTATAATACTTCCTCCTGTGTTCTGACTTTTTGTACATTTTATTTTCCATTGTCAAGGTTTATAACATAGACATTTCATTTTGTAACCTTGTTTCTTTAGTATTTATTTCTAGTTCTATGTTTAAATTGGCACTGCAAATAACCCTTACAAATATCATTTCTAGTTCTTATTTTGATTCTCTTCTTGATTCTATTTCTATTATTAGCATATTTTTTTCAAGAAAAGCTTATATAACAATAGTAACAACAACGATAGCAGTACAAAACATTTTCACATTGGTTCGGCTCTTGCTATGTACCGAGAACTCTGCCCAGGCACTTTAAGTCATCTCATTTAGCACTCAAAACAATCCTATATCTTGAACTGTTATTATTTCTATTTTATAGTTCATTTTTCCTTAAACACAGTAATTTTGCTTTCTTCTAGCTTCTACATCTAAAATGTATATCCCTTTCCCACCCCAGAATTAAATTCTTTTTTCCAATCTACAGAGGTGACAAGACCACCATTAAATTCTACCCTCAAGAATGTACAAAGTGTGCTAAGATTTCATAATTTAAAAAGGAACGTACAAGGTTATTATACTAAGAACAATGGCTTTATTTGAAGTCAGCAAACAAAAGACACCACCACCCTTAGAGTGAAGTGAAGGGTTAAAAATGATAGTAACATTTTGTTCTACCACACTTGGGAGTCCCACAGAATGAGCCATGAAAATTTGACTTCAGAAACCCTTATTTACTGAACAGTGAAAGGAGAAATTGGGGAGGAATGTTACAGCTGGGAGCAAGGTGTTTTCTTACATAAGTAGGATGTAAGTGTAGCCACAGGAAGAATTATATCATGACTCTAAAGTCCTCAAGGCCATGTGAGAAATGAACAAAAAGGATTACTTTATCTGAAATTATAATTCTGAAAAAAAATTCTGAATAAATATTGTTTTTAAAATTAATGGTTGTTGGAATCATCCCCAAATCCTGGAGGTTATATATTTCCCCAATTGTGGTAGTGACAGAGAAAAAAAAGACAAAATTCATTTGTGTGGATTACCATATTCATAATCAATTGCATATTCCTGTACTGCTTCTAGAGTATTTGAAGAATGAATACTTTCCCCTTTTTCTTTCCTTTAAAATACAAGTTGTGGTAAATTTTTTCCTCTTACTTGTTCTCACTTTTCACTATTGTAAGTGGGTGTGTAGGTGGTAGTTAAATTTATAATTCATTCCATAGGTTGAAGAAAATGAAATTATGATAGACTAGATGAGAAATGGGCATCGCTTGGAAATTGCAATCTCCAAGATCAACTGATGGCTCTGAAAATGAAAATAGTAAAGCATGGTGGTTAAGACCAATGAATTTGGGAGATACATGGCTTCAAATTCTAACTGCCACGTTACCTGTGTGCCCTTGTGAGGATCAAATGAGGTGATACACATAAAGTACTTAGAACAATGTCTGGTATGCAATATGTGCTCGAGAAAAATATATTAATGGTCCCATGCTTTCATTTCAAAGTGCTGAACATGACTTTTAGGGAGCTGTTCACGTTATCCCATGAATAAAGCAAGTTTTTGGAGCAGACATTTAAATGTGTTATGATTCTGCCTCCAGTATCCAAGAGTGTCCTTGAAACATTAATTTTCTTAATGACAAGGCACAAGGTGAAGCAACTTGCCTTTCATCTCGGGTGGAATATCCCAACATTTCCCAGATCTCTGCATATTCCATCCATCCAAGAACTTCTCTCAAATGGAAAACTTCTGCATTTTCACAGGATATATCCCTTTGCTCCCTTTACACAGGTTTTAACAAAGCACCCAGTGTACTTATGACTTTTAGTTCTCCAGAACCCTTAGTATGATGCCATCATTCTTGCAAAGAAGCATGTTCTCCTTTGAGATGAAGATGGGGTCAGGGATGCTGCAGCGTTCCAGAGCCCCATTTGGTCCTAGGGTCTCCCAGGCTCTGCTCCTGACTCATCACCCACCTGACTCGTCAGCCTCTGGCTTAGTTTTTCTGTTTGTGAAATTGAGCAAGGTTGGTATGTGGAAGGGGACAAGCAAAATGATGGCAAAAGACCTGAGATGCATGGAAAGTCACAACCAAATAGGCTATCCAGTGGTGAGTGGCAGAGTGATAAATGCCTTGGATGTCAGCTGCAGCACAAACAGGGTCCACGGTGTACTTAAAAACAGGCATTCTCAGCAGATTGAGTCTGTTTTCATTCTGTTTTTAAAAGTGGCAGTGAGGGTGGGGGTGGTAACGAACAACCAAATAGATGAAAAAGGAAAAAGCAACCATTTTATTCCCTTTTTTATGCAGCTTCTGGAACCCACTCAAGTGGCAAGACATCCTATTTCAAGGAAGAGAAATGCTATTTATTAGCCTCTATGTCAACATCCCAGACATCTCATGTAATGACAGGAGAGGGTGATCAACATTTACGGAGAAACATTTAAGAACTTTCATAAATTTGTGTTTCCTATGCAGAGCACTGACAATCCGGAGATGTAATGACGATAATGAAATCTGGGTTTAGGAATTCCTTTGAAACCATTCCAAGCTTGTCAGAGCCTTTGAAAAGCATATGGCTGAAGGCAGCAACGATAATAAAAACCCAAGGAGGCACAGCTCAATCACTCTGCTGCTTTTTCTCCCCCTCGCTGCCTTTGCTATCCGTCCATTATATGCTCTCCGGGCATTGGCAGGACGTCTGTAAATGCCAACGTGAGGCGTTTCTGGTGCATTATTCTAGAAGGCAACATTATTGTTTTTTTCTCCTTTAAAAAAGATTTTGGCAAGATACCTGAGACTCTGGAATGGGCCGCCAAATCTCAGTAGGATTCCAGATGGTTGAGATTCCGGCTCCTGATGCCCTGATGTCTCCCCTCCCTCCTCTCTTAGATATTTTCATTTGTGTTCTCCTCAGAGATAAATATTTTTATGTCAACGAGCCTCAATAGTGGTCACTATTTAACACTTCCAGATTAACATGGAGGTGAACAAGCTTGCTCACATATCCTTGTGAACTTCAGCCTTCACGTCACCCCTTTCCATACTCCTCTCACCCCTTTCAGCCTCCTCCTCTCCTCCCTCCCCTGCTGAGGTGTCCTGTGCAGACCTGACCTACTAATGCTCCCTCTTTCTTTTCCCCATTTAATGGGCTGCTCCCTAATAGGTCCTCAAGCATTCACAGAGCGATGTGTGAGCTTCTCTGTGATCCCCCTGACCTCTGCCTCCAGTAACTGCCATTCTCTGGGCTCCTAGGGCACCCCATGTTGTCCTCGACCGTAGGAATATCACGCAGTGGTTACACACGGACACTTTAGGCAGAACACTTGCTGCAACTCCCAACCCTGCCTCTTGCTAACTGAGTGACCTTGAGCAAGCTACTTAGCCTCTCTAAACTTAAGTTCCCTCATCTGAAAACTGGTAATACTAAAGTTACCTTATAGGATTATTGTGAGGATTGAACAAGATGAAGCCTGTGGTGTGCTGGGTGTAATACCTGTACCTAGTAAGTGTTCCCTGAACACTTAGCTATTGTCATTGTTATCAGAGCACTTCATTTCAACTGTTAGGCGGCTGTCTTCCGTTCTGGATGGTGTGTCTTTATTGTCTCTGATTCCCAATTTCTAGCATAGCAGGTATCAATATATCCTCATAGAGTATTTGCATGTTTAAGTGGGGAGGTTGGGAGGACTGTGCCCGAAATAAAAGCGGTCATTTTAAAAGGGGAAAATTCTGTTATGTGTAAGGCAGGGACCTTTCTCCCACTTTCCTTGTATGCCCATCTTTGCCTCTTGGGGAATAAACACCACATTACCAGTCCTCTCTCAGCTTGGAAGAGATGCTCAAAGCCAAGACTGTGTTTCCTGAGCAGTGTTTTACTGGTGGGCAGAGCAATTATATTTTATGAAAGGTGAGAGTTTAGGCTCCATTCGCTTTCACTCTCTGCCTCCATGCAGTGAGCAGAGCAGGCTTGGCCATCCTTCTAGTCAACCTCCCCTGTCCTAGCTTCTCTGCCTGGATCTGTGGGAGGAAGGGGAGTGGGTAGGCTCTGTAGACTCAACTAGCCTCTCAGAAGAAAGGGCATAGGAAGCATTTTCTAGGCTTTCACACCTAAGCCTTGTGCTCCAACTCAGAGAAGCCCTGCTTCTGGCAGGGAGCATCTACTTGTACACTATTAATAAAGTGATGCTGTGTTTCCCACTTTCATGCAGAGCTGAGGGAACCCTGAAGTGGAGAAGGAACAAGTGCTGGAATTCAGATACCAATATTCCACCCCAGTTGAAATAGAGGATGTGGCTGGGCACCAGTGGCCCATGCTTATAATCCCAGCACTTCGGGAGGCTGAGGCGGGCGGATCACTTGAGCCCAAGAGTTCAAGACCAGCCTGGCCAACATGGTGAAACCCCGTCTCTACAAAAAATTCAAAAATTAGCCAGGCATGGTGGCGAATGCGTGTGGTCCCAGGTACTCGGGTGGCTGAGGTGGGAGGATTGCTTGATCCCGGGAGGCAGAGGTTGCAGTGAGCCGAGATCGCACCACCGCACTCCAGCCTCGGCAACAGAACGAGACTCTATCTCAAAAGAAAAAAAGAATAGAAAATAAATAGAGGCTATGTGGGATAGACTGTGCCTCGGCCGTGCCGGGGACTATGGAAAGGATGGCAACTCTATGCAGACACACTCGAGACATTCCAAGAGGGTGCGTGAGATGGGCCAGAGCAGAGGAATCTTTCTTCTTACTCTCTCCCCTTCTTTTCAGATTAAATCATTTGTGATGACCATGTACTGCTTCCAGAGTTTAAAAAAAAAATCAGGCTTCTCTGATTGAAAGAAACAGAGGCATTAAGCCTGGCTTGGTGGGAGTGAAAAGAAGCCAGGGCAGGGCAACCACCTCTTCCTCCCTTCTCCTTTGAGCCTGAATTCAAGTGTCCTTTGTTTCCCATTCCGTTCCCCACACTGAGCCACACTGTCTTCTCCCAATACCCCCTCAATGTTATAAGTAAATATCCTTTGGCTGGAATTAAGGTGACCTAGATTCTTGCCCAGCTCTGCCCCTAAGTCAGCAGACTTGGGACCTTGGGTCCTTCTCCAAGAGTCAATTTCCCATCTGGAAAATGGCTAGAAATACTTGGCTCTTAAGAGACTGTCAGCTGGGCACAGTAGCTCATGCTTGTGATCCCAGTACTTTGGGAGGCCGAGATGGGCGGATCACTTGAGGTCAGGAGTTCAAGACCAGCCTGGCCAACATGGTGAAACCCTGTCTCTACTAAAAAAAAATACAAAAATTAGCTCAGTGTGGTGGCATGTGCCTGTAGTCCCAGCTACTCAGGAGGCTGAGGCATGAGAAGCATTTGAACCTGGGAGGCAGAGGTTGCAGTGAGCCAAGATCGTGCCTCTGCACTCCAGCCTGGGTGACAGAGTGAGACTCTGTTTCAAAAAAAAAAAGAGAGAGAGAGAGAGACTGTCAAGTTTTGGCGAGATAATATACGTAAAAGCTCTCTCCAAAGTGCACAGTGCTATAAACAATGTCCCAAAGGTTTGAAAAAGTCTTGAAACACTCAACATCCCATAGCCCAACCCCACAGAGTCAAGAGGAGAACAGAGCTAAGGAGTCAAAGACAATAAACACATTCCAATCTCAAGCAATAAGACTCGAATCTAGAAAGGGGACCAGGAAAAGCAGATTTAGCAACCAACTACCTCATGCTGTGACCCCTAGTAAATCACAAATCTACAATTCCACGATTTAGAGTGAGAAGAAATCTTAGTTTATACATTCCTGTCCCCTCACTCTATAGATGCAGAACCCAAGGCTCAGGAGGTCTAGTAATCTCTCCTGGTTCTCAGTCCAGTGCTCTCAACACTACACACACCTCTCTAGAAAATAAGCCTTCAATTCTCAGCTTCTGTAATGTGATAAAACTGTGACTTGGAGAAACTAAGTGAAATTCCCAGGGTTAGAGATCTTGGTGGCTGTAGACCCAGAGGAGAAGCCTGATCCCCCACCTGGTCCAGAGTTGGTGTTCCTGGTTGTCACTGCCGCAATGGGAAAATCCGAATTTCAGTCCCCGTATCCCCAGCTGAGCCCATGCCCATAAGGTGTTCAGTCTTGACAAGGGCTCTTTTGCTAAAAGCCATGACTTCTGAATGATATAACAGACTCAGGAGTATGCCAAGGAGGTCATGGAGTCCAAGCTATGAACCCTTGTGGGACACTAACAGCAAGTTTGGGGCTGTATGAACAGAGCAGGGTGGCGGTTTTTTGTTTGTTTGTTTGTTTGTTTGTTTGGGTTTTTTTTGAGATGGAATCTTGCTCTGTCACCAGACTGGAGTGCAGTGGCACGATCTCAGCTCACTGCAACCTCTGACTCCCTGGTTCAAGCGATTCTCCTGCCTCGGCCTCCCGAGTAGCTGGGATTACAGGCAAGCACCACCATGCTCAGCTAATTTTTATTTTTATTTTTAGTAGAGACGGGGTTTCACTATGTTGTTCAGAGGGTCTCAATCTCCTGACCTCGTGATCCACTCGCCTCGGCCTCCCAAAGTGCTGGGATTACACGCGGAGCCAACGTGCCCAACCCGGCCTTCTATATATCCAGGCCTACACCCTAAAATTCCACCATCCTTCTTAATTAGAAGACAACAGAGTAAGAAGAGGATTGCTGAGCTCCGGTGGCCATTTAGCATGGCACAGGCTTAGAAGTCACGGGTGTTTCTCTTTCTAATCTTTGGGACATTGCAGATTCTATTCAACAGCTGTCTACTGAGTGCTGATATTGTATCAACAGTTGGAGGCTCAGGAAAAAAGGAATCTGTGGAACAGCCCTCAGATAGGACATCAGACAGACTGGTTGGGGATGTGAGACTCAAACCATGAGAGGATGAACTAACAATCCAAGACAGTGTGAGTTTGTAGGCTAAAATTGTGAAGTAGACCATATGTTCTATGGAAACTAAAGGAGAAAGGGAAGCAATGAAGGCTGGAATGGTCCTGGGAAGCTATAGCAGACAGACAGGAGGTGGAGAGATGAAGATTATATCTTTAAAGTCGAAAATTAACAGAAACTATCCAGCTCCCCTGAGTAATCAAAGCTGCAGTAGAAGATGCTCTCAGACAGATCAGCATCACCCCTTACTAAGAACTAGTTGTATGGCCTGGCAGATAGATGTTCTTGTGCCCATATTACAGCAAGGCATGTAGAGAGATTGGCAGCTTCCCAGAGACTCATTACAAGGAAAAGGACAGAGCCACAAATGAAGTTCATGTAGTGCAACTGACTTCCACTTCACATCTATTTCACTCTCTCCGCATGAGGTGGAACTCTCCAATCTTCTGGGAGAATATCAGCTGTATCTGGCACAGAACATCTGGGACATCCACCATATATCTGGGATGCCTAGGGCCAGGGTTTGCCTTGAAGGGCATGGGCTCTAGAGCAAGGACAACACTGAGAGTCTTGCCTACTGCATACACAGACTAATCAAGTAGGTAAAATGCAATCTGAAAACACATACACATGAAATAGAATAGCATTTTGAGCTATTTAGATATGAAGTGACCATCCCAGGAAACATTATGCATATATTCACTCAAAGCAAGGTAAATAATCATATAAATCATATAATGTTCATATGGCAGACACTGTTGGTTGGATAACCCAGCAACCAATCCCAGTCTGTTCCTGTTTTGTCTTCTACACTGTAGAGGTGAGAAGCCTGGCACTCACTTTCCCAGCCTTCACTGCAGACAAAGGTGACTAAATAACTTAATTCCAACCAAAGAGACATAAGGAAAGTCTAAGGGGATGGCTGGAGTGAGAAAGATGCCGCTTGCCCGATAATAGGGTTAAGTGTGAAGGAAGGTTGTGCTGGGACCACCCTTTCCTCTCTTTGTCCTGCCTTGATTGAGGATGTAATGACTGGAATTGTGGCAGCCATTTTTGAAATAACAAGTATGAGAGAAGCTGGGCACGGTGGCTCATGCCTGTAACCCCAGCACTTTGGGAGGCTGAGCCAGGCAGATCGCTTGAGCCCAGGAGTTCAAGACCAGCCTGGGCAACATAGAGAGATCCCATCTCAATAAAATTTTTTTAAAAATTAGCTGAGTGAGGTGGCTCATGCCTGTGGTCCCAGGTACTTGGGAGGCTAGGGCGGGAGGATCGTTTGAGCCCAGGAGTTTGAGGCTGCACTGAGCTGTGATCGTGTCACTGCCCTCCAGCCTGGGTAACAGAGTGAGACCCTGTCTCAAAAAAGAAAAAAAGACCCCAGCAGACACTCAGAAGTAACTGACTGGAAGACAGAGATAGAGACTGTGAGACCGTTTCCTTGGTTTTGGCCTCACCAGAGTGCTGGATTATTCCAGTTGTCCAGAAACCATTAAAGTCCATAAATTTTGAACTTACAATCAGCCAGAAGATATCCTAGCATAAGGTTAACTTGGGGACTATGCACTTGCCATTTATTTGAGGAGAATGCGTCTACATATAACCCTTTAATTTCTTTTTTTTTAATGTTATTTTATTTCAGATTCATTTCCCTTTCAGCCCTTCCTTAGCCCAGGTTTCCTAGCAGAAAGCATGGGAGGCAAAGCTTCTGTGCTGGTGCTTTCCTGAGAGGGACAAGCCCCAGGTCAGCAAGAGGGAGGGAAGTGAGAAGTGAGGGAGGTGAGGAGGGGAAGCAAACCCAAGCTGGTATACAATCAAGTTGGCCACAGCTTCACAAGCAAGCATTGCTGTTACTCGGCCACACAGGATATCTGCCAGGTAGGACTCACCGGCTTCAGAATAATCCCTCAGCGGAAAGAGAAGAAAAAGATAGGACCTAGAAATCTGTGTTTTAACAAGGCCTTTGGGTGATTCTATTCACATTCAAGTTTGAAAACAAGGCAGGGCTCAGTGGCTCAAGCCTTTAATCCCAGTACTTTGGAAGGCCGAAGCGGGAGGATCACTTGAGCCTAGAGGGTGTTGAGGCTGCAGTGAGCTATGCTTGTGCCACTACACTCCCACCTGTGTGGCAGAGTGAGACCCTATCTCAGAGAGAAAGAAAAGAAAGAAAGAAAGAGAGGGAGAAGAAAGAAAGAGAGAAAGAAAGAAAAAGAAAGAAAGGAAGAAAAAAGAAAGAGAGGAGGAGAGGGGAGGGAAGGAAGGAAGGAAGGAAGGAAGGAAGGAAGGAAGGAAGGAAGGAAGGAAGGAAGGAAGGAGCACTGCTTTATGGAGATAGTCACTCACCTATGGACAAAACTTCCATAAGCTACAGTCACATTAAGAGCCAAACACTATGTAGGCAGCTGAAAACCTGTCACCTGGATCACAGAATTAAAAGCCAACTGCAGAAAAATTCCTTCTTTTTAAACCTCAACTACAGTACAAACCTCTAAGCCACACATCTGGCCCTACCAAAAAAATTTCCATATGAATATTTTTTCCTCTGCATCCCACTCTCAGGTTTTTATTTCTTAGTATTTCTGGCCAATGCACCAAATGTTGAAGTTTCTGAAACTGCACACTCCCAACTTCTAAGTTGAAGCCCACTCAAGGGGCAAGGCCCCTTCCCATATAAATCTAACGTCATGAGGGAGAACACTGAAGGGCACATGTCCCTGCTGCTGGCAGCTGTCTCCCAAGAGGAAAAGAAGTCAGAGCTGAGACGGGCACACCCAGCTCACCCTCCCTAACTTTACTGAACAGAGAAGAAACTTCATTTTCCCTGGAGAAAGGATAGGAATTTCAGTAATGGGTATCCCCGCTCATGGAGGAAAAAAAGCAGAAGTGGAGAAAAAGAATCCTCCCCAAAATGAAGGATGGTGGAGAAGAAAACTAAAAGGAGCCTGCATCTTTGACGGCATCCTATAGCTGCCACACCAGCCCTGAGACTTCTGCCTTCAGACTTCTTGACACATAAGCATTTGCTATGGGTAGAACCGTACACCCCAGGAAAAGATAGGTTGAAGTCCTGACCCACCGTACCTCAGAATGGGAATTTATTTGCGTCTTTAACAGAGGTAATCAAGTTAAAAAGAGGTCATGATGTTAGGGAAGCAGGAGCCCAGGAGAGCCACAGTGATATCATTTTAAAATCAACTCCATCTTAAACCTAGCAAGGCACATTCCTTGCCAGTCACAACCCATGGTGCTAAGATGTTTACAGCTGAGGAAGCAGCTTGGTAATGCCTGCAAGGACAAACTCCTACAACAACAGAAAGTCCAGATGTCCCAACACCCAAAACAACATATCCTTTCAAGATAATAATAGTTATGTTTTGATGTACTCACACACAAAAAAATGTCAAGGATCGTTTTCTTGAAATCAATAGGATGATACATTTTGTCATGCTGTCTGCTCACCTTCACGTAGTCATGGTTTAGTTTCGTCTTTATGTAGACAAGACCCCTATATAAGAAAAATAACTTAAAGACAGTGCATTCCTCTGCTTGTTTTGTGAGGACACCCTAGTCTGTAATGTAGTCATTTCTAATAAGCTTGCTTCTTTTACTGTGCTCTGTGGCTCATCTTGAATTCCTTCCTGCCTGAGATCCAAGAACCCTCTCTTGGAGTCTGGATGAAGACCCCTTTTTCTGGTAACAATTAGAGTGGGTCCTGATCCAATATGACTGTTGTCTTTATAAAAAGGAAAAATTTGGACCCGAGGACAGACAGATACATGCACAGATGGAAGATGATGTGAAGAGACACAGGGAGAAGACAGCCATCTACAAGACAAGGATGCCTGAGGCTACCAGGAGCTGCAAGAGAGACCTCAACAGATCCTCACCAAGTACCTGCAGAGGGATCATGGCCACCTGAACAGATCCTCACCAAGTACCTGCAGAGGGATCACAGCCCTGCCAACACCTAGATTTCAAAGGTCTAGGCTCTAGAACTGTGAGACAATAACTTTCTGTTGTTTGAGCCAACCAGTTTGTGACAGTTTGTTATGGCATTCCCAGGAAACTAATACACCTTGGATCTATATACATATCTGTTCCACTTATTTATTGCTGTATAACAAATTAGACCCAAAACGTAGCAGCTTAAAACAATAAACATTTATTATCTCACACAGTATCTGAGCTCAGTATCTGTGAGCCACAAATTCGGGAGCAGCTTCAGTGGATATTTCTGCCTCTCATGAAAGTCTCAGGAGGGTAAAGTCAAGATGTTGGCTGAAACATCCAGAAAGCCTGGCTGGGGCTGGAGGATCCGGGTCTAAGTTGGCTTACTCTTATGGCTGGTGCTGGATGACAGTGAGAAGCTCCAGTTCTTCTCCAGATGAGCCTCTCCAGAGGGCTGCTTGAGTGTGCTCATGACATGGCAGCTGCATTCCCCTAGAATGAGTGACCCAGGCAGAAGCTGGAATACCTTTCATAACCTAGGCTCAAAAGTCACACACCACCATTTCTACAACGTCCTGTCATCACACAGATTAGTCCAATCACTGTGAGAGGGGCACGAGCATCAGGAGGTCAGATAATTGGGAGCCATTCAATGACTTCTATGTCATTGAAGTGAATAATATACCATTTTAATGTTCTTGTTTATAATTTACCTTTCTAGACGTGGAAACTGGACATTCCTTTTTTTTTTATTTTTTTGAGACAGGGTCTCATTCTGTCACCCAGGCTGGAGTGTAATGGTGCAATCATAGCTCATTGCAGCCTTGACCTCCTAGGCTGAAGCCATCTTCTGCTCCAGCCTCTAGAGTACCTGGGAGAGTGCAGGAGGATGGAGGATAGCAAGAGGATAGAAATATAAATTTGGTCCCTAAATCCCAAATACCAAATGTGGCACATCAAGGGCTGGGCAGCAGGGTATGGCTAGAAAAATGAACAAAGCAATTCAAAGCAAATAAAAAGCAATCCTGTTGCACCCACTAAGACTGCAGAATTCATCTCTATGAAAGGCAATTCAAGCAGGAAAATCAATACAAGAAGGATGTATAGAAATTTAAAGATGATTAGCAAAATCACAAATTAATAAAGGAAAATGGAAATTTGGTGAGCGTGTCAGTTAAGATTTTCTTGGTTCTAGGCCGGGCGCAGTGGCTCACGCCTGTAATCCCAACACTTTGGGAGGCCAAGGTGGGCGGATCACAAGGTCAGGAGATGGAGACCATCCTGGCTAACACAGTGAAAGCCCGTCTCTACTAAAAAATACAAAAAAAAAGAGCCGGGCATGGTGGCTAGCACCTGTAATCCCAGCTACTCGGGAGGTTGAGTCAGGAGAATCACTCGAACCCGGGAGGCAGAGGTTGCAGTGAGCCAAGATCACACCATTGGAATCCAGCCTGGGTGACAGAGCGAGCCTCCGTCTAAAAAAAAAACAAAAAAAACAACAACCTGACTTGTACCAGTTTAAAGGGAACCTATTGGAAGAACACTGGGCACCTCACTGAATACAAGCCTCAAACATGCTAGGCCCCAGGCAGCTGTGAAGACCCCAGCAGGGGAGGATTGTGCAGCTTCCCTCTAGAACATTACCACTGATGGGACTCTGCTGTAGGGACTCCCAGCCCATGAGTCTCTTGATTCCATATTCCAGTTCCTCCCAGAAGAGAGAATATGGCTGGCCCAACCTGGACCAGTTCTCCTCCCCTGTACCAATTACCTGCCTTGGGGAAGATTTAAAGAGCACAGACCTGGCTGCTGTGATTTGGGGGCAGTTCTCAGGCAATTGTGAGCAAAGCATCACCCAGACAGCTCCCTACCACAGGGCCCATCGTAAGTCATTTCTTTTGGCACACATCTCAGGAGAGCTCTGGCCTGCAGTAGGCCAATCCACACCTTTGCTGGTGATTGTGAGCTCCCTTACATTACCCTGTTCTTATGTTCTATAACATCTTGACCAGAAAGAAAACAGTCTTTCCTGCGGCCAGCCACAATGACACCCAGAGCCCAGAGAATGATGTAAAGCCTGTCCTTACTTTTTGCTCAGTAAAGCCCTTCAGGCAATCCAGACAACCTCAGGTGGGAAAGTTCAAGTCCCACGTTCTTTCTTCCCCTAGTTCCCTCCCTCTTCTCTTTTCTACTCCTCTGTCTCTATCTATTCCTTCCTAGCCCTGTTCATCCTGCTCCCAGGCTCCAGATTCTGGGGTCCATTCTGACAGAGACCCTTGTGGACAATGTCTTGGAGACAATTCTCTCCGTGGCAGAGGGAGCCTCCTTATAGCACTCTAAGTCTGGATAACTGTGGGTCTTGTAGATTCTTCAGAGTAAAATATCTTAAAAGACAAACAGGCCTTTACCTTGCTAATTCAAATCACCTCCCAGAATACATTTTTAGTCTAAGAGACCCTCTCCACAACAAGGGTGAAGATGAACCAAGAGGGGTCCACAACATGGGTCTTTTTTTTTTTTTTTTTTTATGGAGTCTCACTCTGTCACTAGGTTGCTAGAGTGCAGTGGTGCGATCTCGACTCACTGCAACCTCCGCCTCCCGGGTTCAAACGATTCTCCTGCTTCAGCCTCCTGAGTAGCTGGGACTTCAGGTGCGCACGACCATGCCCGGCTAATTTTTGTATTTTTAGTAGAGACGGGGTTTTCACCATGTTGGCCAGGATGGTCTCGATGTCCTGACCTCGTGATCTGCCCACCTTGGCCTCCCAAAGTGCTGGGATTACAGGCGTGAGCCACCGCTCCCAGCCCCATGGGTCATTCTTTATATCCCCTCTTCCGTCTAGCTGTGTGTCTTACGACTCCTATTCGCTGTCTGTAACTGCTCAGAAACACAGATACAACTCAACACTGGGAGGAGTGAATAATGGCAGCGTGTGTCACTGCACCCAGCAGCCTCTAAATTATGAGACTAAAAGAAAAATGTCACTGAGGAGCCATTACCTCCCATGGCAGAAGCTGAGGGAAAAACACTAATCAGTACGGGCAGACAGTGTGGGATGCAGACCTCTTAGTCAGCTGCCCTGGTCCTGTCCTAGAATAAAGAACTTCTGGAATGCGACCAAGAAAGTTATATCCAAACTGGTGGGGTGACGCCTTCAAGGTGAATAGTATCTCAGCCATATTTGAGCTCCTCTTAAACACAGAAAATCATGCTATAAGAAGCAGCATTTAATCTGAGTTTTACTATCTGCCAAGGGAGGCCATTTAAAGATTTTTGTTTTAAAATTAAGCCTACCAAAGCAGATTCGTCCTATTGGTGACAGTGGGTGTAGATGAAAAGGTGATATAACAGGACAAGCCCTGGACTCTAAACCCGATTTGAATATAGTATGGAAAGTCACCCTGGGTGAGGGAAGGCAAAGAATGGGATGGGGACCATATAGTCAGATGTGGGTTACTGCCAAAAAGAGTCTACCTTTGTTTCGGGGTTGTTTATTAAATTATTAAATTAACTAAATAAAAGTAATTTATAAATGAAGGTGAGAAATGGGGCAGGAAAGTCAGTAAGCCCTTAGCGATTTTTATGTACCTATTTTTTAAATGAGATTTTGAAAAATGTTTAGAAAATACTAGATTCACAAAGAAGTAAACATCTGTATAACTCTATTATATTTTGAATGTTGAAATTATATATTTCTCCCACTAGCCCTCTAAGTCCCAAAGGTGATCTCAGTAAGTTTGGGGGAGTTGTGGTATGCACATCCTAACTTATGAAATGGCAATATCATAGAGAGCTCTTCAGCTTCTTCAACTCCCCACTCTGATCCACTTGGTAAAAATATCCCTTTAAATGTCCTCAAAAGTGTTCAGCCATCCCATTACTGGGTATATACCCAAAGGATTATAAATCACGCTGCTATAAAGACACATGCACACGTATGTTTATTGCGGCTCTATTCACAATAGCAAAGACTTGGAACCAACCCAAATGTCCAACAATGATAGACTGGATTAAGAAAATGTGGCACATATACACCATGGAATACTATGCAGCCATAAAAAATGATGAGTTCATGTCCTTTGTAGGGACATGGATGAAATTGGAAATCATCATTCTCAGTAAACTATTGCAAGAACAAAAAACCAAACACTGCATATTCTCACTCATAGGTGGGAATTGAACAATGAGAACACATGGACACAGGAGGGGGAACATCATACTCTGGAGACTGTTGTGGGGTGGGGGGAGGGGGGAGGGATAGCTTTAGGAGATATACCTAATGCTAAATGATGAGTTAATGGGTGCAGCACACCAGCATGGCACATGTATGCATATGTAACTAACCTGCACATTGTGCACATGTACCCTAAAACTTAAAGTATATTAAAAAAAAGTGTTTACCTACATATAGCTGCCCTGGTATGAGGCTAAGTGATGATCAATGCAAGGTGAATGGACCCAGATCCTGGAACTCCCATGAGCTTGCAATTTTGGGAATGATTAGGAATAACTGGAAGCACAAGTTATTAAATAAATACACAAATGTAAAGAAAGTGACTTTCACCCCAAATAGCCAGAGCAATTTTAAGCAAGAAGAAAAAAGCTGGTGGCATGACACTTCCTGATTTCAAAATGTCTTACAAAGCGACAGTAATCATAACAGGATAGTACTGGCATAAACACAGACATATAGACCAATGGAACAGAATAGGGAGTCCAGAAATAAATACATGCATGTGTGGTCAACTGATCTTTGACAAGGGTGCCAAAAACACAATGGGGAAAGCATAGTCTCTTCAGTAAATGATTCTGAGAAAACTGGATATCCACACACGGAAGAATGAATTTGGACCCCTAGCTCATGCCATATACAAAAATTAACTCAAAGTAGATTGAAGACTTAAATGTAAGACCTGAAACCATAAAACTACTAGAAGAAAACAGGGAAAAAGCCTCTTGATGTTGGTCTGGGCAACGATTTTTTGGATATGACATCTGAAGCACAGACAACAAAAGCAAAATAAACAAGTGGGATTGCATCAAACTAAAACGTTTCTGCACAGCAAAGGAAACACTCAACACAGTAAAAAGGCAACCTATAGAATGGGAGAAAATATCTGCACATCATATGTCTGCTGAGGGTTTAACCCCCCCCCATACACACACGTACACACACAAATAACCCAATTTAAAAATGGACAAAGAACCTGAAAAGACATTTCTCAGAAGAATGCCCAACAAGTATAGTACATGAAAAGGTGCTCAACATCATTACACATTAGGGAAATACAAATCAAAACCACAATGAGGTATCACCTCATACCTGTTAGGATGGCTCTTATTGAAAAGACAAAAGGTAACAAGTGTTGGTGAAGTTGCAGAAAAAAGGGAACCCTTGCACACCATAGTTGGGAATGTAAATAGGTACAGTCGTTAAGGAAAGCGATATGGAGGTTCCTCAAAAAATTAAAAATAGAACTCCCATATGATCCAGCAATCCCATTTCTGGGTATATATCTAAAGGAAATGAAATCAGAATCTCAAAGAGGTATCTGCACTCTCATGCTCACTGTAGCATTATTTGCAATAACCAAAATGCAGAAACAAATGTCTGTTGATGAATGAATGGATTTAAACATTGAGATAGATAGATAGATAGATAGATAGATAAAGGTGATATTTATTTACATAGATATAGCTTATTCAGTCTTTAACAAGAAGGAAATCCTGCCATTTGCAATGTGGATGAACCTGGAGGACATTATGCCAGGTGAAATAAGCCAGGTACAGAAAGACAAATACTGCATAATCTCACTTACATGTGGAATCTAAAACGGTAAAACGCATAGAAGCAGAGAGTAGTTGCCAGGGTGGTCACCAGGGCGAGGGGAAATAAGAAGATGTTGGTCAAAGGATCCAAAGTTTCAGTTACACAGAATGAATAAGTTCTGGAGACCTAATGCACAGCATGGTGACTATAGTTAGTAATATTGTATTAGATTCTTGAAATTTGCTAAGATCATAAGATCTTACGTGTTCTAACCCTAAGGAAAAAAAAAAAGAAAACGTTAACTATGTGAGGTGCTGGATATATTAATTAGCTTGATCATGGTGATTTTTTCACAGTGTATATGTATATCAGAACATCAAGTTGTATACCTTAAATATATACAATTTTTATTTGTCAGTTATACAATAATAAAGATGAAAAAATAAATTTTTTAGCATATCTCCCCAATTTAGTATTTGTGTTTATGTACAAGTTATATATCAGCACTAGTTTTCCAATATATTGTATATGTTATAAAACGTACATAAAATTTTGAGGGATGAGGTTTTAAATAATTATTATATAATAACATCTTAGTAGGAGTAAAGTGATAGAATAAGCTTCATTATTTTTGAAAAGTTTAGATACTGACCTGGGAATTCTACAATCATTAGGCAAATACTAGCAAATTAATAAGTGTTAATGTTATTTTGGCTTACAAATGTGATTTCTGATTTGTTAAAAAGTTTTGAAAAGCATATTTGTAAATAATCAAAGGAAATGTTCAAGTATTCATTTTGCAGAATTGTAATGTTTAATTAAAATTTGTTATGAAATGTATCATATATAAAAGTACACAAAGATAATCAGTTTAAAAGAAAAAAAGAAAGATTGTTTTCATTTGGTTCAAGCAAAAAATAATTGTAAAAAGGTAAAGGGTGTTTAACGGATAGTGAATAACTGTGGGGCCAGGAATAATCTGTACCCCGCTGGCAAGTCTCCTGGATAAATGTGCATTGCATCTAATGTATGTCAAGCCCTGGGTGCGGAAAAGATACAAAGATGAATAAGAGCTGATGCCTGCCCACAAGGAGCTTGGTGTCGAGTAGGGGAGATAGGTGTCTATACAAATAGCTAATTTATACAAAAACACAGAATTTGACCAAGGCTTAATAACAATAACCAAAAAAAGATACTGAGAGCACAGTGACAAGGGGAAGGACAAGTCTATTTGAGAATTTGAGTCACCTTGAGCAAGGCCTGGAGAAAAAGCCAGGAAAAGCCTCATTGGAGAAGACTGTGAACAAGGGACTTAGACAAAAGAGACTTGAAGGCTTAGGAAGGGTCGGTGAGAAGTAGTAGGGACAAGGGGCATGAGGAAGGGCAGTGTCTAAATCTGGGCCTTGCTCTTAGACTTCCCAGAAGGCCCAAGAGCCCCTAAGGATGAGGCTAATGTGGCCAAAGTGATAGGAAGGTTGGGCACAGATGCTGGGTCAGGTAGGGGCTCTTGAGGGAAATCTGGAGGGCAGCCTCAGCCCTAGACTCACCATCTGGGGAGCTGTCTCTGGAGGACCAGGTCTGCTGTGGGATAGGCGGCTTCCTGCCTGGATAGCCAAGTCAGGGGCTGGATCAGGAGACTGATAGGAAGGCAATGCGGCCGACGTGAGAAAGTAGAAGCAAGAGAGTAAAGTGGTTAGGGGCACAGTACCGGAACCCAACTTCTGAGTTTATGTCCCAGATCTCCACCTTCTAGCTTCTTAATCCTGGATCAAAACTTAAACTCTCTGTTCCTCAGATTCCTCTTCCATAAAATGTGGACAATAAAATCACCTACGTCATAGAGCTGCGGTGAGCAGCAGGAAAGGAGCTGACAAATAGAAACTGCTAGCACAGGGTTAGCACCCATCAGTGTTAGCTGGGAGTATTCTCTAGGCATTTGACCAGAGGGTCCTTCCATTTCTCTATCCCCACTGATTTTTTCAAAAATCCATTTCATTGTCATCGAGGGCCAATTCATTCAGTTGGTCAAAACGTGGACTACTGAGGCCAGTGGGTTGAGGCTCAGTCTCTCTATGGATCCATTAATGCTTCTTGGTTCCACATCAAAGATGGAGACTGCTTCCAGCATAGTCCCCAGGCTGGGGGGCCAGCCATCTCAAAATAGGTGCCCTTGGTTATGGGAGGGCCTATGGGAAAGCAGGGGTGGGCCAAGGACCCCATCCCCCATTGAACAATCAGTGTGGACCCCACCACTCCCATCCTTTAATTTTCTAAAACAAGGAGAGAGACAAAATAGTTTCAATCACAGGCTTCAATTCCTCTTTTTCCCAATCCTACTTCCCATATCCTCCAGCCCCTCCCACAAAGCTAACACCCCAATGAAGAGTCCTGGCATTCCTGATGCTCTGGAGAAAGGCTCAGCCTCTGATAACCAAGGGACATAAGGCTCTTAAAGGCAGTAGAACCACCACAGAGCCCAGGAGCTCCGAGGCAAAGGTGCTGGCAGCAGGCACCCAGCAGCCTATATATGGAGCTGCCAGGAAAGCGACTTGTTTCCAGGGTGAGCCGGCACAGGCTTTCAGGAAACTCGGAACCTAGCAACTCAGAACCTAGCAACGTAATTGAAGCCTGCCACGCTCACCTCTCAGCCCTCCACCTCCAGCCCAGCTCCTGCTCAGCGCGGAGCTGCTTTGGAGAACTTGCTGCTGGCGCCCAACAGCTGGGTGAATTCTGCTTACAGTGTTTTCCAAAGAGGCCTGTAGGACATCTGGGTCTTCCATGGTGGTGGGGGTTTTGGCCTCAACAACAAGGCTCTGGTGGCAGAAATGATAGCAACCCAGTGAAAAGAGAGGGACAAAAGGGTCAAAGGAGTCAGTGCAAAAGCACTGTCTGGGAAAGCGAATCAACCCAGATTGTCCCCTCGGGAAACATGGCATGTGCTTGGTGTGACAGCTGATTCTCCCCTTAATCACTGCCATGAAAACAAAATAACCATAAGAACAATGGCAGATTAGACAAGGGAAATTAAGGAACCCAAATACTGACAGGACGCATTTTTGAAGATACAGCAGACTCCTGGGTCCTTGTGACAACCTTCCCACACCAATTCTCAGACCACCTTCTACCCGAACCTGCACGGTGTCAAAATGGCCTCCACAAGAAGCAATCCAATGGGGCTCTGTTCTCTCCTTGCCAAGACCACGATGATAACGCAGTTGTGATGGCCACAGGACTAGGAAGGACCATGGATATAGGCAGCAAAGTCTAAGGAAATTTTCTTAGACAGAAGTCTGAAACTAGCATGGAGAATAAATGGTTAAGGAAAGAGAGAGAAAGAGAGACAGCGAGAGAGAGCGAGAGTGAGAGCGAAAGCGAGAGCGAGAGAGACAGATCAGAGATGGGACCTCCAAAGCCAGGATGTAGCAAGGTTACCAGCAGCAGCCCTGTAAGGTAAGTCTGGTCCCACAGGGCCTTTCAAGAGGGACTCCTCGTGTCTAGGGCCAGAAATGACTTCTAACTGGCTTCTGGTCATTTTTCCTTATTTTAACAAAGATCTATTTGATTTAATAGGCTTTTGTCTCAATGCTATTTGAACATACTTTGCTGACTCAATGAGGGCTGTTTTAACCATTCTTCTTATACTATCCTTACCCCTATTTCATTGCTTCTTTTCCTAATTTTCAGGCTTCCAGTTCTACCTTCTTTCTATTATTTTCCCTTACCTTTCCATCCTATGTATTAAACTTTATTCTTTTTAAAACTATTTGCTTCTATGTTTTAGCCTTTTTATTTAAGAAAAATTTAACCTTAAACAAATCTTCCTTCACTTATATTTCTTGTATATTCCTTTAAAATGTTGTTTAGATATTTACAGATTTAATGCTTGTATTAAATTAAATACTTGTATATTCCTTTAAAATATTATTTTGATATTTACAGATTTAATACTTTCTATTGTATTTAGTTTTAGTTCAACCTTTTATGCTTAAATTGTTGAGGGCTTTAAATCCTTGTTGTTAACTGTATCAGTCATGATTCAGAGCAGGCATGTGGCAGATTATACTTCCTAAAAATGGCTGCAATATTTCCATCCCACTTGCTCTTCCAGAATTTTGTCACTCCTCCATCAACAGGTGGAGTCTAAGTCCTCTCCCTTGAACCTAGATGAGTCTATATAACTGCCTTGACTACTAGAGTATGGCAGAAGGGATGCTATGGGACTTCTGAAGCTAAGCAATAAAGGTGATCTCTCTCCCTCTCTGTTTTTGTCTTTCTCTCTCTCTCAAAAAGCTCTCCCTTGTAACCCAGCAACTATGTTGTGAGGAAGCCCAGGTCGCCTGGAAAAGTCCACATGGACAGGAACCCAGGAACTCAGCTGACAGCCAGCACCAGCTGGCCCACCTGTATGCATGGGCCCTCTTGGAAGTAGACCCTCCAGCCTTCAGTAGAACCCCTCCAACTGATTCAATGTGATACAAAGATGAACCTTCCCTGCCAAGCCCTGCCCAAATTGCAGGTTTGTGGGCAAAATAAATTATTGTTGTTGTTGTAATCTACTAAATTCTGGATGGTTTGTTAGACAACAATAAGATAACTGAAACTAGGAAACAGAAACTATGTGTTTTAAAAAGGAAGAGGTTTACTAGAAGATATCAAATACTTACAAAATCTTTGGAAAGGCTAGAATTAATCTCAGAATATAAAATTATTAAACTCAAAAATATGCTATAGTACAGGGACCAGGAAGTCCCTGCTGGCCAACACACCCACTTTTCAACACCTAAAAAGCCAGGGAGTGGGCACTGGAGCACCGTTCATGTCCCTTGATATGGCTTGACAGCAGAAAAACCACCCAAAGAGACAGGGAGATGACTCTGCCCTGTGCCCACCTTCTAAGTCTCACACAAGGCATATGCTTGGTATTACTTAATTTGCATTCAAATTCTAGCTGTAAAGGAATCTGAGAACTGTAGTTTTCAGCTTTCCAGCCTCTGCAGTACAAGGAGGCCCTCAGAAGCAAGGAGAAATAGAGATTAAGCAAATCAGCCAAAAATATCCATGTCTACCTTCTGCCCAATTGATTATACCAACTACCATATTTTCAAACTGTTTTTATTTCATCTCCCCTTTTCCATATTTATTACTTCATTTTTCATGATTTGTTTTTATACTGGCTAGCAGAATTAGTGGGTGTAATGATGATAGCTTTGAGGAGACTGCACTCTACAAGCAGGGAAGTTTAAAACCTCTGTCTCCAGATGCACCTGTGGCATTCATCTGGTCTCGCCTAATAGATACCCAGTCCTTGAAGTTGGCTCCTTGTTGTGCCTAGCATACTGTCTTCCCTCAGTCTCACTCTGCAAAGGTTTCCAGGTTATTAGTCTGAAATGTATCCATCCAGCTCATTTTCTACACATTAACATTTTTATACTCACTATATCAAATTTAATGGACTAAAAATATATACTGTTCTGCAATTCATTTTTGTTATGTTACAATATATCAAAACAACTTTCTAACAGTATATATGGATCTATCTCATTTTAAACAGCTACAGTTTTTTCAATCACATAAATTACTATAATTATTTAACTAATCTCCTCTTGATGGATACATAGCCATTCTTTTCCAATATGGCTTCTGAGTTTTAGTTCATTCTTGCAAAGGCCTTCTTCATTCCAAAATTATAAAAATTACCTGATACATTTTTTGGTTATTTTATAGTTTGGGGTTTATTATTGTATTTTAATATGTCTGGAATTTACTTTTGAGTGTTGTGTAAAATATATATTCTACTTTTTCTTCCAGAGGTCTACCCAGTTCTCTTAATACCATTTATTCAATAATCAAATGTTTGCATTACTGTGAAAAGCTACTTATATTCTAAATTCCATATACATGTGGGTTGGTTTCTCAACTCTGTTCCACTGGTTCATTTGGGTATCCCTTGCACTAGCACTACATTATGTTAATAGGTTTTGATATTTGATAGAGCTTTAGACATCATTTTCAAAATTCTCTTGATTATTTTTTCCTATTCTTCCAAACATATTTTAGAACTAATTTGTCAAATTGCACTCCAATTGCACAAAAAAACCACAGATGTTATTGGAATCTTTACAGAAATTGCATGAAACTTACAGATTGATTTGGGGAACTGACTGTGGCAGCTATGGAGGTGTGGCCACTCAAGTCTCCCTTCAACAAAGGATTTGCCATTCAGCTGCAAGCAGTGCAGTTATCCATGAGCCTACAGCTGTTAGCACCTTTCAGGTTCACCTTAGCTTTCAGGCCAAGACCATGCTCTTTCCAGCTAGGCCTCTCACCAACGACTGAGAGCAAAGAGGGCATAGAGACTGGCCGCTTCTTCCCAATGCAGGATTCTTCTAATGGGTTATTTGCTCTGGAACTCGCCACTGGGTTGGCTGAGACTGTCAGATGCTCATTGCAGTGTGAGGCTCTTCTATCCAATCTTGCCTTTATCTCTCACATGTGTAACTCCCAAATAAACTCCCTGTAGCCTTCCCTCTCAATGTCTGCTTCACAGAGAACCCACCAACACTGACACTGACATATTCATAATATTGAGTCTTCCCATCCAATAAGACATATGTCCCCACCTAGTCTATTGTTCAATGCCCTTCAGAAAAAATTTTTATCATTTTCTTCATATTCATATTGCACATTCTTAAGTTTATGACTAGTAATTACTCAATTTTTTAAAGTTTTTTTTGCTGAAGTAAATGACATCTTTGAAGTGTGATAAAATATATCAATCACACTTTAAATTGATATATTTTAAAGGTATGTAGTAGGTCATAAGGGTTTATAACTGTTATGTCATCGCCTTGTCATTCATTTCTAAGTTGTCTTCCTTTTGACCTCCTGAAAACAAACATAGAATTAAACAACAACAATCTACTTCCATCAGTAGGAGAATGGATAAACAAATTGGTATATTTAAACAATGGAAAGTTAGTGACTGAGAAAAAAGGATTGATACATACAAAACATTTATTAATTGATACTGATGCATGAAAAACATGGAGTGGGTAAATCTTACAGAGATTATGTTGAGCAAAAGAAGCCAGACACAAAACAGTACGTACTGAATTATTCCATGTATATGAAGTTCAAGAGTAGGCAAAACTAATCTATAGTGATATACTGAGAAATATGGTTACCCGAAAGAGGGGGTATCTACTGACTGGAAAAAGGTACAAGGGAACTTTTTGGAGGATGTAAATGTTCTATATATTGATTTGTGTTAAAAAGTCATCAAATGGTAGATTCACTTAAGATTTGCTCCTTTCACTGTATATAAATTAAAGCTCCATAAATAAAACGTAGTGGGTCAGAGGAAGACTCTGTTTCTCCTACTGATTCTCCACCTAAATAAATGACCACTGGCCAGGCACGGTGGCTCATGCCTGTGATTTCAGCACTTTGGGAGGCTGAGACAGGAGAATTGCTTGAGCCCAGGAATTCAAGACCAGCCGGGGCAACACAGTGAGAGCCCCATCTTTACAAAAAAAAATTTTTTAATTAGCGGGGTGTGGTGGTGCGTGCCTGTGGTTCCAGCTACTTGGGAGGCTGAGGTGGGAGAATTGCCTGAGCTGGGGAAAGTTGAGGCTGCAGTGAGCCATGATCGTGCCACTGCACTCCAGTCTGGGCAACAGAGCATGAGAGCCTGTCTTGAAAAAGAAAAAAAAAAAAACGACTAACCCATGGTCAAAACTGAACCCAAGAGTCAACCTTGACTCCTTCCTCTCTCTTTTGCCCCAAGGGTAGCTATTCACCCTTGTGTGTGTGTTATAAAAGAGCTCCTAAATGGCTGCTGACTCTGAAAGCTTCTCCTTTCCTGTTGCCACCCACTGTTCACGTCTGAGGGCCCACTGTCAGTTGATTTGCCACAGTGGCCTCCTAACTGATCCCCGTTCCAGGTCACCTTCCACGCTGTATCAGAGCATGGAAGGTGGTCTTAGAACGCTGGTCATTCTAAGATAAAAATCGCATCGCCTGTACAGCTTAAATCTCTTCAATAGCATCGTATTACTCTAGGGATAAAGTCCAAATGCCTATGCATAGAAGCTTGTGATCAGATAGGTGGGGAAAAAAAAAAAAAAGTCCAAATGCCTATGCATAGAAGCTTGTGATCAGATAGGTGGGGGAAAAAAAAAAAAAAGTCCAAATGCCTAAACCTGCTTAAAAGGTCTTCTAGGATCCTGAGCTCACCAGTTTCTCCAGCCTGACCCCACTTGCCCTTCCTAGCCTCTTTCCCTCCTCACACTCCAGCCATCATGGGCTTCCGCCAGTTCCCTGAATCCTTTTCTCCTCCCTTGTCTTTTTTCTCTCACCTTCTGGCTTTTGTATATGCTGTCCCCTTTGCCCAGAACATTCTCCCCACTCAACCTTTCCCTTTTTCTGGCTAACTTTTACTTAACCTTCCAGTCTCCATTCAAATGTCACTTCCTTGGGGAAGCCTTCCCTGAATATCTTGTTGAGCTAACGACCTCCTGCTTCCTTCTATGATCTCAAACCATCCGGTCCTTCTCCCGCTGGCACATGCATCACACCTTTCTGTAATAAGTTGTTGAACTGGCTGATGTATTAAGTCCTCAACAAATATTTAGATGAATGAATAATGAATGAATGAGAGCAAGGATTGGAAGAAAACAACTAGTCATGAAATTCATGTCATAGTGACCAATTCCACCCACATACACATAGATGCCCAGAAAACACAGGGCACACATTTGGGGTAGGAAGAATTACTCATCATTTCTTAACTGCATATATTGTTTCTAACCTCGCCTTTTTTTTTTTTTTTTTTTTTTTTGTAGCAAGTGCCTGTGCTTCAACCACCACTTAATTTGTTAATTCTGACTCTTAATCCTGAGACTATAGGTAGAGAAGGTAACATACTCCCATTTCACAGGTGAGAATGCACAAGCACAGAAAGTATTTCGAATTTGTTCAAGGTCACAGAACAAACCAGTGGCAGAACTGGGTCAGACTCAGTTCCTCTGACTCCCTGGCTTGAGGTTTTACTCTATTGTCAGATTCTCTATGTCTCCTGCAGGCCATGTGTCCCTACCAAATGTAGGGATCACCGGTTTGGCCTTTGTGAGAGCAGGTGCTTAGAAATCCTGTTGAACTTTCTTCCTTCGCTACCTACCCTGTACCAGAAACCTGCTGCACAACATTGATAAAACCAGTTCTATTCTAGGCCCTGACTTGCTGCTGCCTGGGGAGGTGACCCCCAGGGCATTCCCCCTCATGCTTAACTGAATAAAACTCCCTGCTGAAGTCTTCACATGGCACACCGCATGAACATGTGGGACCCACTGGTTGCCAAGCCAAATGTGGCTCCAGATTATTCTAGGAAACAAATAAATTGTTTTGCTCTGGATTGAAGGAATTGCTAATTAGGGATTTTTATTTTGAGCAGTGTTCCTTGGAGCTGGCAGACAGATGGAGTAGGCGACTTGCTCCAGGGGCATTGTTAAGCAGAGGGAACTATTTCTGCCCCTGGTTATGAGAACGTGCCAGAGCTCATTGCTGCCCAGCTCTTGCCCTCAAGGACAAGGGAGGCTTCCTGGCTCACAGTTATTTCCTCTTCTCTGGGCCTGGCCCTCAAAGCACAAGCACAAGACCCTAGTGGTGGTGTCAACCGGATATTACCCTGCCTGCTAACCATATAATTGTCCTAAGGAGAAGAGGAGAGGTCTTTTCTAGGATTCCCTACCTGTAACTGGGAATGAGAATCCATTTATCACAGAAGCTGAGGTGTAGAACACACAGTCTGCTAAAGGCCAGGTTTTCAGTTATCAGGGAGAAAAAAAAAAAAGGAGCTGAGAGCATTCTGAAAACTCTTAGCCTCTGACACCCAGTGTGTCCCTGATGCCCTCACAGGTTGGTTGTTTGACACTTTTTTGGATTCCCCATTCCCTTGGATATGCTGATAATTTCTTCTTTCCTCCCCTCTTTCTTTCTTTCTCTTTCTTTTTTCTTTCTTTCTTTTTCTTTCTTTCTCTCTTTCTTTCTTTCTTTCTTTTTCTTCCTTTCTTTCTTTCGTTCGTTCTTCTCTAAGCTAATTGAGGTTGCATTTCTGTCATTTGCAACCAGAAGCCCAGCCTGATGATGATGGACAGGATTCAAGGACACACAGAGGACCCAGGCTATGGCTCAACAGACCTAGCTGTGGATAAATTGCCTGGGCATTTCAGAGTTATATTGTCCAATCTCAGTACGATGACCAATCTACATCAAAGAGGTTTAAAGAAAACTATGGCAAGATGGGGGAGGAGAGACGGTGAAAAGACAGTGAGATGAGCTCAGATAAGTGAAAATAGAAGGAGGCCAGAGAGAGAGAAACATGCCAGATAGATAGGTTAAGAAGGCTTGTTTCTAATTCCATTTCTGTTCTAGAGCTATAGGTCTCTCCGTCTGCTCACTAATCCTCCTTTTTAACTTCTTAACACATGAATTGGAAATTAGTGCTCTGAACACCATTACTTAATCAAATAAAAACATTTAACAAGATCCAAGTCCGTTATTACCCACAAAGGGATAACCAGGCTTAGATCCAAAGGGCTGATGGGAGGCCGATTCCAAATCACAGGGCAGTAGCAGTGTGAAGTCACTGTAACCGTCCACCTACCTCTGACCCTCCTAGAACCCACCCTAGTCACGCCTCTTCTGTGATCATCTACCTCTCGGCTCTGTCCAGTGTTGCCAAAGGAAGGCTATAGAATGGAAGATGAGAGAAAGAATAACCTCCCTCTCTCCTGTAGGAGAACAGCTCAGAAGCCAAGCCACCTTGGAAGAATCCACTTTTCCTAATGGCATGCAGCCACCTTGTTCTCCTTGCCACCTCTCCCCATGATCCAAAAGAGAAAGAACAGGCCCGGTGTGCTGGCTCACACCTGTAATCCTAGCGCTTTGGGAATTCATGGTGGGAGAATCACTTGAGCCCAGGAGTTAGAAACCAGCCTGGGCAACAGAGAGACCCCATCTCTACAAAAAATGAGTAAATAAAAATAGAAAGAATTCAAAATAGAAAGAACAAAAGTAAAGAGGGTACATAAGCCCCCTATGTACCTGTCCCCACCTAGTCCTCCCAGTCTATGCCACAGCAGAGCAGCCTCACTTTCAGTGCCCACTACAGGGATGTGAGGAGCATAAGGAAGGCTTCCACTCAAAAAAAGTCTTTGGGTGAGGAGGCCAAAGGTACGTGGGTCACTCAGGTCAGGAGTTCAAGACCAGCCTGACCAACATGGAGAAACCCCATCTCTACTAAAAATACAAAATTAGCAGGGCATGGTGGTGCATGCCTGTAACCCCAGCTACTTGGGAGGCTAAGGCAGGAGAATCACTTGAACCTGGGAGGCAGAGGTTGCGGTGAGCCAAGATCACACCATTGCACTCCAGCCTGGGCAACAAAAGTGAAACTGCATTTCAAAAAAAAAAAAAAAAAGTATTTGGGTGAGGTATTAAGCCTCTATATCACGGAAAAGGAAATACTAAGGCCCTGTGAAAAGATTCTCATCCTTACTGATAATTTTTACAATAAAAATTAAAATATCACTGGGATGCCTCTTTCTGCTTACCAGTTGGTCCTCATATACTGCTAGTTGGCCCAGAGATTGGAACAATCTTTTTAGAGAAATATTTAACAATATATATAATTTTAAGTGTTTGTACCTTTGTCCTAAAACCAGTTCTATTTGTCCTAAAAAATTTCACTTTTTTTAAGGACCATACTAATCTTCCCTGTATCATTCCAATTTTAGTATATGTGCTGCTGAAGTGAGCATGAAATTTCACTTTTTGTAATCTAGCCTATGGCTATAGTATGAGTTCAGATCCCGGCATCATCACTAACCTGGTAAGCTTGGGCAAATTTCTTAGTGTTCCATGCTCAATTTCTCCATCTGTAAAACAGAGATAATAATACTAATCAGGTTGTGGTGAGGATTAAATGATGAGTATAGGTAAAGCTCTCACTACCTGTCAGATAGTGCCCATAGTAAATAACGTGCAAATGTTAGCTAGAATACTGTAGTATTATTACCCCATCAATGCACCACGTATACATAAAAGACCATATATAGCCAGATCCTTTATAATAGTGAAAGACAGGAAACTATAAAGTTAAAAAATTATATTCATCTACACAATGAAATATGCTGGTGAAACTGTTACCAACACTATAGATCAACACTGTAGATGGGTATCATTATGGAAAAAATTTTAAAAAAAACAAGGTACAGTGTTAATTAGTTACAAGAGTACGTATAGTATGAAAATGATGTAAATAAGAATGATGATAATAATGTGATTGTTGACTAAATGGATGTTGACTAAATGGATGTTGCATGAATATGCATGAAAAAAATCTATAGGAATCAACCTAAAACGTGTTCGTGTGTGTGTGTACAGGATAGTGAAAGGTATTCTCGTTCTTTGCATTATAATTTTTAACATTTGTTTTTTTCAATAAGCCTGTTACTTTTGTGGGCATTAAAAATAATAGCCATACTCATAATCATAATAATGACCCAAACCACAAACTAATGATGGGCCATGAGCAGGGAAGAGAAAAGAGACGGAGAAGGACCCTGACAGTTGGCCTCTTGCCTCAGGGGCCGATGATCACACTACTTCTGCCCTACTGGCTGTGGAAGCCCGGGGGCACTGCAGAGGTCTTGGGAGTGGAGTTGGGCACTGCAGATGCTGCAACTGGATGCAGACTTCATCTCTGCTGCGGCTTCATTAGCCATGTTTTTTGTTACTCTGATGGCTGGCCCTGCCTCTGTCCCTGCTTTTAAATAAATCCTTTAGGAAGAAAAAAAAAAGAGGGAGTGGAGGGAAGGGGTAGGAGAGAAGAGAGGAGAGGAAAGGAAGGAGAAGAAAGAAGCAGAGAGGAAAGAGGAGTGAGAGATGCAGTGCCCCTGCATCTCCATGGCCCCAGGAAGTGGGACATGGAACTGTTCCTCAGCTCTCGCTGTCAGGAGTCGCCATGGAGACAGAGTGCTGGCCTCTTCATGATTAATACTCCCAGGCAGCTGTCTTCTTGGAGTCTTTTAAAATACACACACTATTATTTGAACACAATGATATTTAGAGCAGAAAGATCAAGGTAGGGTGTGGAGGAGGGAGCAGTAGCATAACCAGAACTATGACAGGGGCTGAGCCCTCCCCAGAAGAGAGAGCAGGGAGGCTGCCTCTACCCTCCCTCTGCCCCTCCCCACCTCCTTCCCTGGATTCAAAGCTTCCAGTCTCATGCACTGCAGCATCAGCATCTGAAGGGCCAACCCAGCACCTGGCACTGGGCTGTGCTCAATGAATATTTGATGAATGAATTTCTTCATTCATTAATTCATTCAGCAAATGTTTGTTCAGTGCTTGTCTAGAAAGTGATTCTCCTTTGCACCTTTTCCCATGGAAATAGAAAATTCGCTCTCACCTTCCCCAAGATCACACATACACACACACACACACACACACACACACCAACTTACACAACAGCTCCAAAGAACCTTATATGTGCTACTTCTCAGCACTAGTTGTGACCCACTGTTTTCCTATCCATGGCCATCACTCCAGGGAATTCTTGCAGGGATGGGCACCAGCCAGCTCAAGTTTGCACATCACATCCTATTTGAAAGCTACAGGGAGATCCTCCATCTAAAGCCATCCAACAGTGAATCCTTTTGTAAAATTAATTATCTTTTCCTAAATTGTCTTATAGAGTAGGCTAGCCTGGACTTGACTCTCAGCTCTACCACTGACTAGAAGTGTGGTGTCGATCACGTCATTTGACCTTTTTGAATCTGTTTCCTCATCTGTGAAATTGGTCTCCAATTCCTTACTCCATAGAACTTTTGTGGAGATTGAATGATAAAATATTTGTAAAATGCTCAATGTATGTGATTTCCCTTTTTTCCCTTGTGTACATTTGTGTTTTTATATTTGAAGTGTGATTTAAATGGAGCTCATAGATCTAAGCTCTTCTCTCTTCCTTCCCTTCCCAAAGACTTTTATTTTATCTGGGCCCAGAATCTCTTTGTAAGCTGTTAAAACGTAGGGAGAAGAAGGGACGAGCTGGGAAGAACTACAAAATGCTCAGCCCCCTTTATATTCCCTCCCAGTCTTCAGAGAGCCAAAGGCAGATGCAAATTGCCCTCCAGAGGTAGCCATCCTCTGTGCCTGTGAGTGTGTGTATGTGTGTCCATTGGAGGTAAGTAGCATAGACATGGGGGTGTGAGCCATCCCACACCCAGAGCACAAGCTGTCTCTTCCCTATCTCCTTTCCTAATCACTCCTACCCACCCCCGAGCCCTGCCCCCAGGTCTGGCCTCTAACACAAGAAACTTTGGTGACTTGGACCCTTGTCCTAACACAGACCTAGTCCAACAGCCCTTGGCAGAGAGAAGCAATGGCTTGGCAACTCACCAAGAGAGTAGGGGAATTATCTGTGACTAAGAAGGAGGAGGAATGCTGTGGCAGAGGGAAGAACAGCAGAAGGGATGGGCAACCTGGGGCTGACCAATCTGGCCCGACGGGGCGACCTGGGGAGACCTGGACACCAGCCCAGTCAAACTCCTCCCCTCCTCCTCCCTCTCAGGCAGTAGGATGCCAGAGTGGATTTGAGACATGTGTGCCCTGTGTGTCTGGTGTGGGCTCACCTGGCCTTGGCAATGCATTTGGATTAGAATCAAACCCTGGATCTGAAATAGAGTATAAGGAAAATCGTGCTTGGTGTGTCCAATCTTTACAGACATCTGCTGGGTTTCTGCATTTCCTACATGCTCATATATGTGCTACTAACACAGAACCATAGGTGTAGCCATTTAGTAAGACACACTGCAAGTGCATGACCCTGTGAGAACCTTTATATGATTTGTGGACTTCAGGAGAAGATGCATACAAGTGTGTCAGCATATGTTTTGCAGGTGATTGTGTGAAGGGACATATTCTGTGAAAACACTTAATAAGGTCACTGTGGGATGAGGAGTGGGCACCTAGTGCTGGAGATGGGGCTCAGGGTCCCAGCAGACATAAAACCAAAGTCTACCTTCTGGCCTGTAATAGGCACTTAAGAAATGAATACTGAATGAATGAACATTGAGAAACTGAATGGATGTTTGGATAATGGACATAGGGTGAAAGGACTGAGAATGTGGTGGGGTTTGGGCATTCTTGGGCTCTCTCTCTCTCTCTTGAAAAAGAGGGTACAGGGGTGGAAGAGAGGCTGGGAGCTATACTGCCCATGATGCTGAGTCCACCACCCCCAAAGGGCTTTGTTTCTATTTCAAAAAAGGAGAGAAGGAAGGAGGAGCCCTAAACCTGCCCACCTTACCCTCCAGCACACAGAGTCTCAGGAATTGATGCTCTTCATAAAGAAGAACATGCTATTCCATGTATTTATTTAATCCTTCCCCCCCATGTATTTATTTAATTTGGTTCCAGAAAGGAGTTAAGTGAGCTATAATACAAAATAAAATAAACATTTTAAAAAGAATGAGAGAATGAGACAGAGGGAAAACCACAGCAGAAGAGAGATGAGACTAGGAGAGTAGGCAAGCTTCTTTGCTGGAGTTGGCTCTGATGCTTCTGCAGCCAAGATTCACAGCCTCCTTAAGGCTAGGATTTTTTTTTTTTTTCTCAAAAGAAGCCCAATTATTTCAAGTACTGATTCCAGGGAGATATTTCCCACGGATTCCCTGTGTGTTGCTGGGATCAACATCCTTAGAGCGAAAGCCATTTGTATGAAGGCAGAAAAAATGTTCTGCAGAAGCATCTCATACCCTGTGGGTGAGGGAGGAGTGAGCAGGAATTGGCCCTACTTTTCTGGAAGACAATTTGCCAGTTGTCTATCAAAATTTTACATATACTTTGGCACACAATTACACTCGTTGGAATTTATCTCACAGACACATTCACATTTATATAGTCAAGGATGTTGACTCCAACAACATTGGTATAAGTAAAAAGTTGGAAACTGCCTACATGCTCATGGATAGGGGACAAATCGACTAACTCAAGGTCCTCCCTTACAATGGAGTACTATACAGCCTTGAAAAAGAATGACAAGATCTTTATGTCAGGACATGGCACAATCTCTAAGTTATTTCAAGTGAAAAAATAATAATAATAATAATATTGCAGAACAATGTGTATGGTTGGATATACATAAAATTCTTCTGAAAGAATACCCAAGAAACTTAAATGTGGCTACCTCAGGAGCTAGGAATGAAGGTAGGTGGAGAGGAGGGACTTTTACTTTTCAATTTAGAATATACCCTGTTGTGCTAGTTGACTTTCCTCCTACTGTTAACAAGTATTACAGTCCTTTTTAATTTAAATTATTTTTCCTAGCACAAATTTAAAAAAAAAAAACTTAAAATGGAAAAACACACAGGCGTGAGCAAAAGAAATGAATGGCAATAATCTCTGTGGTTTACTGAGTGCGCCTGGACATTTATGTGCTCTCAGTTTCTCTCCACAGGAAATGCACAGGTGAGAAACTGACGTTAAGGGGGACTGAGTGTCAAGCTAGTTAGTGGCAGAGGGCAGATTCAAACCCAACACGGTCCTCCCCTGCTGCCCCTCGGCCTCTGCCTCCAGGTGGGAAGCGCATCTACCGGACGGTCGGCCCGGTGAGGCGCAGCGCCCCAGACTGGCGCATCCGCGGCCCCAGCGCTCCACGCCTGGGGAGCGCGCGCGCACGCAGCGGCGCGAGCCTGGCGGCGGCGGCGACAACAACAACGTCACAGCTCGAGCTTTCCTTTTCGGGAGTCCCCGGCACACATCCTGTGTCCATGTTTGGGCATTTACGTCACGGCGGCAGGGCCGGGGCCTCCCAAAATGGCAGTGGCCCGGGGAGTCGGAAGCCCGGAGCCAGCGCCGCCGCAGCTATATAAGTGGGGGGGCTGTGGGCTGGGGGAGCCCGGCAGCGCTTTGGAGAGGCGAGGAGCCGCCGCCCGAGGCCGGTGCGGGCGAGCGAGGGCGCCGCGGCTCCCCGACTCCTTTCCCAGAGGTGAGTGCCCGAAGCCAGGAGCCCGGGCGCCTAGGTCTGTGCGCTGCGGGGAACCCCTACCGCCAGCCTCCCCGCCACCCGCGCGCCCCCAAGCCCAGCGGGCGAGGCCCCGGGCGCCCCACAGCCGGCGCCGCGCCATGCTCCACCTTAGCGAGTTTTCCGAACCCGACGCGCTCCTCGTCAAGTCCACTGAAGGCTGTTGCGCCGAACCCAGCGCTGAATTGCCCCGGCTGCCTGCCAGGGACGCTCCCGCGGCCACCGGCTACCCTGGAGGTAAGGAGGGCGAGCAGGGGTGCTCAGACGACGACGGCGCAGCGCGGGGGCGCACCATACCTGAGAACCAGGAGGGACTGGGACATTGGAGCTATGAGAATAGGGGCGATGGGAAGCTTAGGAGTCCTGGGGTGCGCACCCCCATTCCCACCCACACTGGGCCGCCAGCGCCTCCGCAGGAACCTGTGCGGTTATCGGAGCGCCCTTTTGCCTGTGCACGTGTGTTTTGCGTGTGCATGTTTCTATGTGCTCCTTGGGACGTATGCGGGCCCCTGCTGAATCAGAATGTGCAAAAGGCACTTTGTGTATATCCGTGGGCACCAAGAGTTTTGTAGGTAGGGGCTGTGGACTCAGGTGCACCCTTTGATGTGCCCAGAGCTGATTCCTGCTCCCTCCTCAGCAGGCGACTTCTTGAGCTGGGCTTTGAACAGCTGCGGCGCAAGTGGGGACTTAGCCGACTCCTGCTTCCTGGAGGGGCCTGCGCCCACACCCCCTCCCGGCCTCAGCTACAGCGGTAGCTTCTTCATTCAGGCAGTGCCCGAACACCCGCACGACCCGGAGGCACTCTTCAACCTCATGTCGGGCATCTTAGGCCTGGCACCCTTCCCCGGTCCAGAGGCAGCAGCGTCCAGATCCCCGCTGGATGCCCCTTTTCCTGCGGGGTCCGATGCCTTGCTGCCGGGTCCGCCGGACCTTTACTCCCCGGATCTGGGCGCTGCCCCTTTCCCAGAGGCGTTCTGGGAGGCCTCGCCTTGCGCGGGTGCCCCCTCGCAGTGCCTGTATGAGCCTCAGCTCTCCCCGCCCGACGTCAAGCCCGGCCTCCGGGCGCCTCCCGCCTCGCCAGCGCTGGACGCTGTCTCTGCCTTCAAGGGTCCCTACGCGCCCTGGGAGCTGCTTTCTGTGGGGGCCCCAGGGAACTGTGGGTCACAGGGAGACTACCAGGCCGCCCCGGAGGCTCGTTTTCCCGTAATAGGGACCAAGATTGAGGACTTGCTGTCCATCAGCTGCCCTGCGGAACTGCCGGCCGTCCCAGCCAACAGACTCTATCCCAGCGGGGCCTATGACGCTTTCCCGCTGGCCCCGGGTGACTTAGGGGAGGGGGCTGAGGGCCTCCCTGGGCTCCTGACCCCTCCTAGTGGGGAGGGAGGGAGTAGCGGCGACGGCGGAGAGTTTCTGGCCAGTACGCAGCCTCAGCTTTCCCCGCTGGGCCTTCGCAGCGCCGCCGCGGCGGACTTCCCTAAACCTCTGGTGGCGGACATCCCTGGAAGCAGTGGCGTGGCTGCACCACCCGTGCCGCCGCCGCCGCCCACCCCTTTCCCCCAGGCCAAGGCGCGACGCAAGGGGCGCCGCGGCGGCAAATGCAGCACGCGCTGCTTCTGCCCGCGGCCGCACGCCAAGGCCTTCGCTTGCCCGGTGGAGAGTTGTGTGCGGAGCTTTGCGCGCTCCGACGAGCTCAATCGCCACCTGCGCATCCACACGGGCCACAAACCCTTCCAGTGCCGCATCTGCCTCCGCAACTTCAGCCGCAGCGACCACCTCACCACGCACGTGCGCACCCACACCGGCGAGAAGCCTTTTGCTTGCGACGTGTGCGGCCGCCGCTTCGCGCGCAGCGATGAGAAGAAACGGCACAGCAAGGTGCACCTCAAGCAGAAGGCGCGCGCCGAGGAGCGGCTCAAGGGCCTCGGCTTTTACTCGCTGGGCCTCTCCTTCGCTTCTCTCTGAGCAAGAGATGGGTTTATGGGTTGGGGCGCCGCCGTTCGGCGCGCACGAGTTCCGGGCCGTTCCCCTCCCCGCTCTTCTTCCAACTCCTCCTCGCACGCCCGAGGGCCGGCCTCCGGTCCCGCTTCCAGTTTCCTTGAAGCGCCCGCCGCACACGCCCTATTCAGCACCAGCTCCGCGGACAGTTCCCGCGGTCCAGGCGCTGTCACCCTTGTCAGCCGCGCTTTGGGGGAAGTCTTCTGAGACCACCCAGTGAATAGGCACTACCCTGGGATTCAAGACAGTCTTTTGTAACTGGCACACGCCCCACGCCTTCCTCTATAACCCCCAGAGACAGGCTGGGGCAGCGCCAAGGCGGTCTCGCGCGGGACTTTGTACAGCAGTGTCTTATCCAGCAGCCATTGGATGTAACGTTTTGCTTTGGGTTTTTTTTCCTTTTGTTGTTGTTAATTTTTGTAAAGCAGACGCTACTCTCAAGCAGTTGACAAAACTGTTTATTTTTGCAATTAAAATTATTGTGCTAAAAGCTTACTGAATCTGCCATGTAAGCTCCTGACCCTTCCCCTTAGCTTCTCCCCCAGGACCATATGTGCCAGAAGATAAAGGAGATCCCCACGCTCATGGGATACAGACCCTGAACATATTACACACCCACTGTCAGGCACACCTGCCAGGAACTGCGGCACAGAGTAGGCATTCAGTAAATGTGTGTTGGGTTAATGAACGAATTTAATCACAGCTCACCTAAGGGCTGGAGGTGTTTCTGGAACTTCAAAGTGGTTAAAAGGCGTAGGTGTTCAACATTATGTATATATTATTCTCCTTAATCCTCGCATTCCCAAATAAAGCAGGCATATACCTCATTTCAAAGATGTGGAAGCAATGTAGATAGCTTGCTGGAACAATGTAGTTAACCCAGGCTAGGAACAGACAGGTCAAACAAATCTGTCCAACTTCAAAGCCAACCCTCATTTTCCAACCCCAGAATGGAGACACCTAAACTTAATAGCACTGATTGGAAAGGCTTCCTACCAGAAGGTGAGAAACAGGTTTGGCAGCTAGAGGGAGCTCCAGGCAGTAGCGACAACAGCAAAAGGCTGCAGTATTTTGGTGCTGTTTGTGAAAGCCCAGAGTGTTCAGTGTCACAGAGGCTCCAGACAGTATCTATGCATCTGTTCAAGAGTCACATGATGTCAGGACCCAAAGGGTCTCAGCATTTAGCTAGAGCACACCTGAATATAGCTGGGAGCAGGCACTTGCCAGAGACTGATGGTCACCTTAGTTGCTCTTCCCACAAAAAGGATCTTCTCCAGGTGGCATCAGCCTACTTACCATTCAGCCATGCGCCTGCCACAGCCACTTTTCTCCAGCTGTCCTTCCAAGTGAACTCTTCATGGCTTTGGGATCAGAGGAAGGCTAGGAGGGTGATGAGGAAAGCATGACCTTGTAATGGTGAAGGTGGCCCCTTTTTACTCTTTGAACTCCCCACCCAAAGCTTTTCCACTCTTTCTGGCCACCTTGGGCAGACCTTGGAGCATAAAAAGGCCGCTGTGCTCTCCATCTCTCTGCTCCAATGACCCCTCTCTGATAAGGAAGAAAGAAGGCCTGTGTCTGAGGACTTCATTGTTTTCTCTTCTGAGCTGAGCTGTTCTTGAATTAAGAGACCTTACAGCCCTATGATGCCAGATCAAACCAGCTTCTGATACTCTTGCTGCTTTCTTCACTCCTTCACTCTAAGATATGCTCACCCTCCACCCCACAGTCCAGCTGACCAGAGACAAAATGATCAACTCAGAGAATTCCATCCTTTTCTCTCCCTAGGTTTTAAGTGCTTTCATGTGGCCAAGTATCTTGTATCTAAGAAACTAATTTGTGGTAAAGGATTTAATATTACCTCTTCTAGGAGAATTAACATTTTAGAACAGTAGCCTGCAGAGGGCAATGTTTAACCCAATGAAGAGGCTCAAATTGTGGACTGTCAGGCACTGTGATAAGTGGTAGATTCATGGAGACACAAGATAATCATGACCCTCATTGTCTTACTATTTAAGTCACCACACCTTTCACTTATTAGGCATGGGCCACCTGACTTCACTTTTCATGAAGAGTAGGGCAAGAAAAGCATAATGGCCCATATTTCAAGCAACTGGTCCCAAAACACACAAGCTGAACAAAGGAGGAAACGCAGACAGTGGGTGGCTGGCCTCTGATCACCCCTATCTTGCCCTCTCCAGCAGCATTCCAGCAAGTGCCATCAGCTCTATTATTCTTATCCTCACACCCACCTAGGCCTAACATCACTGATGAGAAAATTGAACCCCAAAGAAGTGACTTAGTAGTAGTCCTGGTACCAGAGCCCAGTCTGGCTCTATAACTCCTAGCTGAGAAGTTCCTGCTATGTCCCAAGGGACACTGCTCCCATTTATTGGAGCTTCCCCTAGGGATTGTGAGGGATGAGAATATTAGACTAGAGATGGAAAGAATTAAAACCAAACAATGTGAAAATCCAAACCCAGGACCCAACCAGAATTGGAGACCAAAGAGCTCATTTTCCTTATTTGCTCCTCTTTTTCAACTGGTCCTCAAAACATGAGTGTTTTCCTGGACCAGTTCTTAGCTCTCTTCTTTCCTATTTCAACACTTTCCTTACAGAGTGCATTCATTGCCAGGCCTTCAGCTATTATTCCTACGTAGATGGCTTCTAAGTCAGACAGCCCCATGGTTCTAATGAATACCCCCATATGGATGTCCCACCACCATTCCAAATACAGTCTGTCTAAAATCAAATCACCCTTCCATATTTCTGGTAATAGCAACATTATTTGATTCCCTGGATTCATCTAAGTAACTACAGCTCTGTGGGATTCACTTTTGCTTCTTCCCACCCCACACATCCAGGCTGTCACTTAGACTTGTTGAATCTTATTGTAATTCTTCAGGGTCTTCTCTACTCTCATTCACGGTACATTGTTCCAGGTTACGTATTATAATCTTTAGCTTGTGAGCTCAACTTCAGTGGGGATTTACTTGGGCAGCAATACTCTGTGGCCTTGGGTGATGGTATGTTTCTCCTGAGCAGTTTCCTGTTTGCTTCTACCAGACACTCCAAGAGTATCACCTGATGGAGACCAATCTTTTGTTAATTTCTTGGTTTGAGGTTCTTGTAACATGCAGATGTTTTGAGTTCAAAGTCCAACTCAAGTAGTTATAAATTCTCAGAGACAGTTCCCACTTCTCTAACCAGGATCCAGGTCAGGACAAACAAGCAATATGCCTCCCTTCCCATACCTTCTGGGGTTAGTCACAGCACATCTCATGCTTATATTTCTTGGTCTCAGTCCCCCTATTTTGGTCCATGTAGATTTTTTTCCCTTTCTTGCAAGCTCAGCCAAGCATTTCAGGAGATGTCTGTTACATTTTATGAAGCAATCCACATATTTTGTAGCAAGAGAGTCTTTGGGCTATCTAGTCAACAATGTTGTTGAAAACTGAAGCCAGATGATATTAATTCTTCTATTAAAATATTTCCCACATTTATCCTCTCTGTGCCTATTGCCAGCACCTTAGTCCATGCCACTCCCTCCATATACACACATACCTTGGCTATGTCAATTTCATAGAATCACATAATAGCGTTGCAGTTGGAAGGAGTTTGTAAGAACATCCTGTCCAGGCCAGGAATGGTGGCTTACGCCTGTAATCCCAGTACTTTGGAAGGCCAAGGCGGGTAGGTGGCTTGAGTCCAGGAGTTCAAGACCAGCCTGGGCAACATGGCAAAACTCTGTCTCTATTTTTTTAAGTATTTTTTTAAAAAGAACATCCTGTCCAAACCCACACTCTATAGAAGAGAATACTGAAGCCCAAGATGTTGGGGATTTTCTGAAGGGCACACAGATAATAAGAGAATGAAATGGGCCTTGAACCTGGGCCTTCCAGTTCCAAGACCAGTGCATATCTAAATATCCACTCACTCCACAGATACTGAGTGCTACTACATGCTGGGCCAGTGATTCCCAACTATTTTACTTCCTGGGGCACCTGAGAAATTCGACACACACATCAGTAACAGAGGCTCACTCAAGTCCTGATTCTCACACCAGAAAGGTGGGAAAAAGTAATACAAATCTTGATGAGGTGGGATATGGGGGGGAAGTTTGAGAAAGCAACCCAGAATGTTTGCTATTTTCTCCCTCTTCACCCCAACTCCTGTACCCTATTTGAGACAAGCCTACACTATGCCAAACTGCGTCCTGTGGTCCCTCTGCCTCCATTATGCCTCTTTCATTCCACATTGCCCAGCATTAATGATGAAAATTTCCTAATACACCATTCACAACAAACAAGAGCTTCATCCCAAACTGACCAAGGTTTCCACCCTCCTATAAAAACAATACCTATTTTTCACCCTTGCTGTGAAAGCCCTCTATATCTGATCCAAATTCACCTTCCAACCTCCTCTGTCATCTCTCCCTTTGTGCTTTGCTCTGCCACCTCCCTTCCCCCACCAGTTATCCAAATGCTCCCACCTTTGAGCACCTTCAAGGGCAGAAACCTCATTTGATCCACATGTGTGGTCCCCATATCACCAAGTCTAACATGAAAGTGCTTAATTATTGTGTCAATTAGTTGAACAACAACAACAAAAAAAACCCAAAAGGAGAAGGGAAACAGAAAGGGGAAGGAGGAGGGAAGGAAGGTGGTTGGAGAGCATGAAGCTGGCAAAGAGAGAGGGAGGAGAAAGGATCAGGAGGGAAAGATGGGAAAAAGCAGGACTGAGGACCGAGTCTGCAGCAAGGGGCCCTGATAGGCACCATAGGCCTCATGAGTGGGTCTACACCTCTGGCTAGTCTGGGTCTTTCCAGCTCTTGCTGAGCCCACAATTCTTTGCCTCAGCTCTGGGACCCCAGAGGTGTCTCCGTCACTGAGCTCTCTCTCTCTTTTGGTTTCTCTGGTTCACATGGAGTGGGATTCAGTTTAACATTTTTAGAACTGTGGTTCCCATAACAACCAAGCAGGAACTGTTGTCTGTGAAATGTAGCATGGGCACACAGGCGCACAAATACACATGCATACATTCACAGACATATGCGCACACACATGCACACAGGTGCAAATACACATGCATGAACTCTTACCCACACATACATGCATGTGCTCACAGATACACACATGCACCTATGTACACTTGCATATGCACAAGTGTACACCTGCATACACACACACATCCACACACTCATGCACACATGCACAAAAGCACCCACATACATAGCCATGCATGTCCCAAATTGTTTTGACACATTCACAGGATGCACAGAGTGAGGAGAAACATCACAACAAAGGTGAAACCAAGACAATATATGGACATTTTTGGCCATCTGCAAGAGCAGATGGATTTGGGGAATCTGCATTTTGACATGTGAAGGTCCAGTGGACTGTATTATAGCAGAGAAGGCAGGAGGGCACTGTGGTTGAGCATAGACTTTGGAGTTTGATGACTTGAGTTCAAGTCTTGACTATGCCATGTGTTGAGCTCTGAATTTTAGCGTCTTCATCTGCAAAGTAGGGATAATAATAATATTAGGAAGAGCAAATGATATGCATAAAAATTATTAGCATGATGCTTGGTGCCTGGTTAATAGGAGCTGTTATCGTTTGGGTATTAGGAAAAGTGATTTCTCATTTGTCCAATCTCAGAAGACCTCCGCGAGGAGGAAAGAAATTCAGGAGCTACAGAGAGGAAGAGAAGATCGAGAGAGGGGGAATTCAACCTGATTGGCCACTGTACAGCCTCTGTCCTTATTAAGTTTGCCATTCCCCCAAAGCCACTGACAAGTTTACAAATTATCCTTCCTGATACTGAATGTCCCAATGCCTCTGCCTTCACAGGAATGGGATGGGGGTCAAAGAGAATTCCCATGAGCCCGAGTTACTGGAATCCTGGGACTAAGTTGGGTTTCTGCTCTCCTGCAACCAGATTGCCCCTCAAGGCACATGTGCACAGCCCTACCCAAGCACCACCCTCAGGCTGAAATAACACTTCCCCCTCAAGGCACATGTGCACAGCCCTACCCAAGCACCACCCTCAGGCTGAAATAACACTTCCCCCTTTTCTCATCCAAGCCTCAGCTCTGCTCTGGCCTTGGTTGCCTCCAAACCCTGTGTGGTTTCTCAGCCCCACTGCAGCCCTGTGGACTTCCTCCAAGCGTACGACAGCCAGATTGTTTCTGCCTCACCAGCTTGGTAGGCCTTAGGCCAAAGGTGGGGCCGTCTAGGTGCTCCAGTCCCAAGAAGCCTGGCTGCTATCTTAGCCAAATGGTGGGAGTGGGTAGGAGGGAACCAGGGACCTGGAGGCCTTTTCCTCCTCCTCTAGGTCCGGGATGGGATTTGTGATGGGTACACGTGTTCCTAGGCGGCTCTTTAAGAGCAGAATTGGGTCTCCGGATGGGGTCCAGCAGCAGTTCCGCGGGTTCCCTAGGAATGCCCAGAGGGGATCATCCCAGGCGGTCTCCGCGGAGACCAAGCATCTGACCCGAGGTCGCCGAGTGCACGACCCAGGCGCGCTGCCCATGAGGCCGCTTAGGGACCGTGGCGCATGTCTCAGGAGTAGCGCCTGCGCCCGCCCCCTTCCGGATTCACAGAACCACCCACCCCCGGATTTGCCCCCGCGTGGAAGCAGGCCCAAGCCAGAGTGCTAGGGTTAGGGCGGAGAGGCCCTGATTCAAGGTGGGCAACAGAAGCCACAGCTGGAGGTGCCCAGGGCGGGGAATGCACTGGGCGGTGCCGGGAGCCGGGAAGACTGGGACCCGGGAGGAGCGCGGCGCGAGCCATCCCTACACCCCTAGGGCGGCGCCGAAGACCCCTCCCCCATCGAAACCACCTTGAGCGGAAAACGTGGGGTCCCGGCGCAGCCGCTGCTGGGCGCATCTGCCGCTCCCCAGCTCACTGGAGAGCCCGCCCCGGAGGAGGGGCCGGCTCCGCCCCACCTCGGTGCTGCCTCCCTCCCCCTTCCCTTGCTTTCCTCGGCCCGCGCGCCCCCTCCTCCCCCTCCTCCTCCTCCTCCTCCTCCATCCTTCCTCCCGCCGGGTTCGTGCGCCCCTCCCGCTGCGACTGGCTGGGAGGTTCGGCCGCCCCCGCCCCGAGAGGGAGGCGGGGGCGCTAGCCGCGGCGGCCACCCAAGGCTGCGGAGGGGAACGAGATCCGAGGCCCCAAGGCGGCCCTGCGTCTGGACCGGGCACGCGGGGGCTCTTCTGCGTCCCCAGCCCTGGGCCGCTGGGCCTGGCCTCGCCGCGGGGTGGAGGAGGTAAGGGCGAGTCGCGGGCACGCTGCGGGACTGCTCCCGGAGAGGGAAGGAGGGAGGACCCCAGCCACTGTCCCTTCTTCCCCTTCCGGCTCCTTCACAGCCCTCCGGAGGCCCGCGAGGCCGCCCAACGGGGAGGGATTCTGGGCAGGCCAGACCAGAGGCAGGGAAGGGGTTAATTTAAGAAATTAAAATCAGAACGTTTCGAGACCAGGCTTCCCCTCCCCCCTCTCGCCTGTCGCTCCCTGAGCCAGGTTTTGGGGCGGGGGCGGGCTCCAGAACCCCACTGGGACTCTGGACCTTGGAGAACAGGGGCCAGAGGGAGGGGGGAGGGGAAGCGCCCTGAAACCCCAACCCTCCCTACCGGTTTCTGAGGGGCTGGGGGAGGGGCCTGGTGTTGAGGCCTGGCTGGGCACCTGTGCGGGTGTCTGTGCGTGCCGGTGTGCACGTGTGATAGTCTGGAGGTGTGCATGTGTGTGCACGCATGTGTCTGTCTCTTCACATCCAGTGCCTGTACTGGTGACAGTGCTCACAGTGTCTCTGAATGTGTGCGCCCCTCCGCATTGCCTTGCATGTGAGTGTGTGTGACACGGGGCCTGTGTGCACTGCCCACAGTCGGCCAGCGAGTACTGTGTGGGCCTGCTCTCTCCTTAGGTCTCTCTGCAGCGAGGGGCCCAGATGGTTTTCTGGGTATGGGATCCAGGTTCTGGAGCCTGTGTGTGACCTTGGGAGGTGTATGCCTGTTTGCAGGAGCAGGAGAGTAAGGCAGGGCTTAGAACAGAAAAAGCAGTGCCAGGGCTGCTAGAAGGCAGAGGACTGGATGCATTGACCCCTGAGGGTCTTCGCCAGGCTGGAGTGACTACTCTGGGAGGTATACATGTTGGGGCCACAGCCACAGGTGTGGAGAGCCAGAGCCCCAGCCTTCTTGGGGGACTCAGAGGGATTTATAGAGGCAGTGGACATTCCTTTACTCCCCACCCACAGGGGCCTAATAGGGGTATAATGGGGACAACTCCGGCTGCCTCCCCCATCCTTAGGATACCTCCACCTGCTGGCAGATGCCTCCTAAAAGTACCGAGCTTAGAGCTTCATTTCTTTGGCTTGTAAATCCATCTGTTAACATCCAAACCTTCCTTCCCCATTTCTGTAATTTCCACCTTCTCAGCCCCTTTTCTGCATGTGGATTTTATATGGAAAGAGAGGGAAAGAACTGTTGGGCCCTGAAGGCCAAGTGGGATGAAGAGAGAAGATGCCATGAATGTGATGGGGAGGTGGGGACCGGGAGGCAGGGCCACCAGAAAACAAACTCTATTACCTTCTCAATTTTGCCTGATCTGAATTTAACAGAGAAAGAGACAGACACAGAGAGGGAGTTTGGTGATATCCACACAGTTGTTTCTAGATTTAGGAATGCCTAAATGGCTTCATTTTTGTTTTTGTTTTGGAATATTTGTTTGTTTTAGACAGGCTCTTGCTCTGTCACGAAGGCTGGAGTGCGGTGGAGTGATCATGGCTCACTGCAGCCTTGACCTTCCGGGCCCAAGCAATCCTCCCACCTCAGTCTCCCAAGCAGCTGGGACCACAGGCATATGCCACCACACCTGCCTAATTTTTTTTCTTTTGGTAGAGACAGGGTCTCCCTATGTTGCCCAGTCTGGTCTCAAACTCCTGGGCTCAAGTCCTCCTGCCTCAGCCTCCTGAAGTGCTGGGATTATAGCCACTGTGCACAGCCTTGTTTTGGAATATTTGTAATGGGAAGGGGGTGATGGTTGTTGAAAAGTAATTACCATCCTGCCTTTGAATTCCCTAGATCTCTTTACCTCTCTAGTGGCCTATCATACCCTTTATCCATTCATTTAACAAATATTAGGCCAGGCACGGTGGCTCACGCCTGTAATCCCAGCACTTTGGGATGCTGAGGTGGGTGGATCACCTGAGGTCAGGAGTTCGAGACCAGCCTGACCAACATGGAGAAACCCCATCTCTACTAAAAATACAAAAACTAGCCAGTGTGGTGGTGCATGCCTGTAATCCCAGCTACTTAGGAGACTGAGGCAGGAGAATTGCTTGAACTTGTGAGGCAGAGGTTGGGGTGAGCCAAGATCATGCCACTGCACTCCAGCCTGGACAACAAGAGCAAAACTCCATCTCAAAAAAAAGAAATTTATTGCATGCTACCATGGGCCAACCTGTGTGTATTACACTGTTAGTATGATGTTCCACTCTCAATCAGAAGGAACACAATGTGGAGACCAAGGGCATGAGCTTTGGTAGTCAGGTAGTACTGGGTTCAAATCCTAGTTTATCATGGTTTTAGTTATTCATTAGGTTGTAACAGACCACCCCAGAATTTCTGGATTTAAAACAACAGCGATTTATTATTCCTTCATGGTCTGTGGGTCAGCTGTGACTGTGTCTGTGGCTGTGGGCCCTGCTGGTCTCACGTAGACTCTCACACAGCTGCATTATGTTGAGAGCCTAACAGGAGAGGGACATCAAAATAGCCTCTCATTCTTCAGGGTCTTAATACACATGGCATCTAATCATTTGCTAGTCTAGCCCAAGTTTCTTATGTGGCAGCTGGATCCCAAGAGGGAGTATTCCAAGAGGACAAGTCCTAAGTTACTGCTGATGGAGCCTCTGCCTGCATCAGGCTTGCAAATGTCCAGTTGGCCAAAGCAAGTCACATGGCCAATCCCTGAGTCAGTGTGGGAGGAGAGCACATAAGGACAGGAATACTGGGAGGCATGTCTCATTGGGAACCACCAAAGCAACAGTCCATTACAGGCCTTCCTTGGGCAAGTGATTTGGACACTGAGCCTCAGTTTCCTCATCCTAGTATGGAAGCAGTACCACCTACTTGGCAGCATTGTTGTGAGGACCAAGTGAATAGCATGATGTCTGACCAGAATCATTAGTAGATAAGTATTCACTGTTTTGATTGTTAAACTACAGGCACCCTAATGGCACAACTCTCATTCATTTATGTGTACCCAGTGCCTAACATGGGCCTTGTGCTGGACATCGTTTGCTGGGTGGATAAAATGGAATGAAGCAGACAAGCCCTAAGCCTAAGAGCTCAGCTAGAGCAAAGCTGCAGCATTGAGAAGACACAGCAAGCTCTTACCTCCCAGTAGGTGACCAGCAGAACCAGGAAGCCACCTGTTATTCAAGGTGATTCTTGGATTTACTTAATTGTAACCAGTTCATCCAGTTCCATGATAACAAGTGGTGGAAATTGCTTTGGTTACATGAAGTCAATCAATTTCTCCATTATTCAGTGTGATTCCTCTAACAACATACTGATATCTACTGTGTGTTAGGATGAATCAGTTGTATTGTCTCTGCTTCCAGTGTATGTGTTAGGAGGTATTTGATGTGCAAACATGTCCATGATTATCAGTATGTGATGTCTGCTACCACATCCTTGAAGAGGTGCAGTAAGGAGTGATTCATGCAGTGATGTGATTTGAGCTGTAGAGGGAGAGGTCAAGGAAGGCTTGATGGAAAAGGTAGCATTTGAGCTGGGCCTGCAGAATTCAGGCCCAGGAGTCCCAGGAAGAGGGACCAGCATGAGCCTAGACTTGGCATTTCCCCATGGAGCAAAATCTTGTAGGGCACCCTAAGAACACACATGGGAGAGAAGCAGAGACAAAAGCTAGAGTGGGCGGAGCTCAGGGATGGTTAGATTCCAGCCAGTCTTGAGGGTGGGCAAGCCTGGGTGGATGTCACCTCTCAGAAGATGGCCAGCCTTCTGAAATGTTTTTAGAATAAAAGTGACATGACTGGATCAATATATGCAGAAAACTTTGGAAGCTGTGAGAATTCAAAGCTGGGAGATTTATAGACTCCAGTTAGACAATATCAGTGGTCCAGATAGAAGGGGATATAGGTCTGAACTGGGGAAGTGGCTTTAGGAAAAGTAGACAAAATCAAATATTTAGAAGTTAGTGTGGACAAAAATCAGTGATTGATGAGATCTGAGGGGGACTGAGAATTCTGAGATGGCTTGCCAGGGTGGCGTTTTGGGGTTGAGGGGCGGGGGCAGGGGGGGTCGCTATCCAGGGTGCTGAGTATATAACATGGGTATTGGTTGAGATGGGAGCCATGAGAAAGAATGTTTGAAGGCGGGTGTTGGGGCATTGTGAGTTCAGTATTAGTCACGTTAAGCTTTGAGCCGCCAACATTGAAATAGCACCCTTTTCATCCTCTCCCTGTCTACTGGCTGCTTCTAAGAAGCATTTTTTAAAAAAGAATTGTTATACATTTCAGGTCTAAGGCATTGAATTATTCGTGCCTCGGGCCTGCGGAAGTGAAGATATACAGTAAAATTAGGTTAGCCTTAAGAAGCATTTAAATATGTTCAGGTCACTCCCATCTTAGAAACTGCTTCTGGATTCTCCCATGCTGCCTCCTCCTCTTCACAGTTGAGCTTCTTGTATTCACTCATTGTCTCCTCACGTCCTTACCTCACTCACTCCTCAGCCCACATCAGCCAGGCCCATCAAAGCAGCAGTCTTGAAAGTCCCCAGTGGGCCCTTCCCTCTTCTGCTCTTACTTGAGTTTTCAACATTATTTCCACTGTTGCTCACTCCTCTCCTGGACATCCTCTCTTCCCTAACATTCCTTGCCAGAACTCCCATTTCTGCTGCTGGTTCTTAGGAACCTCTTTGTTCTTCTGCCTCTCTGAGGGTCCATCTTTTCCCCCAGCTCCCCTCTCTCTGAGCCCTCTCCCTTGGACTTGCTCATTGATTAAATACTTTCCTTTTTACCCTTAAGTTGCCAAAACTGTATTTTTGGCTCCGTGTTGCAATTCATGTACTGAATATCTCTACTTCCACGGCCCACTGGAACCTCAACCTCATGGAATCCACAGCCAAAATTATCTCCCTTCAAAACTTGCCTTCCTCCATTTTTCCTCCTTACTGAGTCACATCCTCATCTCCCCAGTTGCTTAAGACCCAAACCCGAGCCTCATCCTTGAGTCCTCCCTTTCTTACCTGCCACAGTCATTCTGTCACCAGGCCTTCTTGACTCTCCTTCCTTAATTGCTCCCATATCCATCCTTCTCCCCATTTGCACTCCTGCTACCGTGGTTAATAGTTTCCACTTCCGGTGTTCCAACAACCTTCTTCCTGACCTTGGCTCTCTGTATTTTGTTCTCTAAACTGTAAATCTGATCAAGCCCTTGCCATTCATTCATTCTACAAACACTACCCCATGAGCACCTGCCCCATGCCAGGCACTGTTAGAAGTGTTGGAGAAACAGCAGTGATTGAGATATACAATGTCTCTATCCTCAAGGAGCTTACATTTTAGTTCCCTGAAGGAGGAATACTCTTTCTCACTTCCTTGCCCTTATACATGCTGTTTCATGTGCTCCGATTGTCTTTCTTCTCCTACCCCAACCTCATAATTGCTCTTCCTCACCTGGCAATTATATTTTGCTCTTCAAGAGTCAGCTTAGATGCCACCACCTCTGGGGGTTCCCCAGTCCCCCAATTCCTCAAGTTAAGTGTAGAATCCCGTGCCTGCCTCTTGCATAATGTTTATTTCATAATTGTATACTCTAACACCTCAGTCAGCCCTGGGAGACAACAAACTGTTTGCAGGCCAGGACTGGATCTTGTTTGTCTTTGTCCTCAACAAACCTAGCACAGCACCTGGTATAGCTCATGGCACAGGGTAGGTACTCAGTAAATAGATATAGAATAAATTCGTGTTTGAATAGAGCTTAGGAGAGAAATCTAGGCTAGAAATGCAGATTTGGGAGACTATTAGTTAGGACACTTGATTGCAAGGGACAGAAATTCAGCCTGAACTACTTTAAGTAAATTTACCAATTCATATAACTGGAAAGAAGGGAAATGAATGAGTCTTAGACACCTAGGTCCTCACAGATGTGGTGAGGACTTTACAGCTCTTGGCTCAGCTTTCCTCTGAGTATTGCCACCTTGTTCCCCACCATGCATGGGCTTTCTCCATGTGATGGGTGGAGGTTGCACAAGGCCATAGACAGCTTCACTGTCCTAGCATGGGATCCCAGAGGGACAAGAGGACTACTTTATCTTTCATATAAACTCCCAATAGAGGACTCTGTTGGCTCAGCTTGAGGAATGTGCTCAACCCTGGGTCAATCACTGTGGCCAAGAAGATAGAAATACTGTGATTAGCCAGGCCTGGGTCATGTGCCCACCTACTAGGATTGACAACCCGGCCACAACCACATAAAGTACAGAGGGGCAGCTCACTAAAGAAAGGATGAGATGTTGCTATTACCAAAAGGTGAAGAAGACTTGCTGAGCAGATGAAAATCGTAATGCCCACTGCAGGGACTATCAGTGACCACATGATGGTGGAAGCCATAGAAATGCAAGATGATCTGTGTTGCTGGCAAAGCCAATGTGTGAGAATGTGACAGGAAACAGGAGCTACAGAAGACACACATCTTAAGATGGTTGGTCTTGTTTGAAGAGGTAAGACTCACATACCTGTAAGCCTTAAAAAAAAAAAAAGTACCTCTGATTAGTTCAGCCTGTAGAATCCTTCTATCCAAAGAAAACCTTGATGAGGACTTGAAAGAGAGTAGGCTTGAGATAGGCATTTCAGATACGAGGAGCATCACAGGTCTGGAGGCAGGGCCAGGCCAAAAAAGGAGGCAAGTCTTAGGGCTGCAGAGGTTGCTGATTTGGGGACACAAGAATGCAAAGGAAAATCTTCAACTGTTCTGTCATGGTGCTCATAGTACAGACCTGTGATGAAATTTGAACAACACTTCTGTTTTCCTTTTTCCTGCTGTCCTACCTCCCCCTGCCTTTATTGCCCTCTTGCCTGCATTCAAGCAAAGCTTCAGGCTCACGCTTAGGAGGTGCATAAATCTAGACAAAAATTTTCCTAAGATTTATAGTCACTCCTCAGCTCCAGCAGATGGAGGGCAACTGTGGAGGAGGGCTGGCCTGGGGTGAAGAGGCACCTGGACCCCAGAAGTCCCTCTCCTCCTCCACCTTACACATCCATCCACAGGCTGATACCCCCAGACTTTCCCCTTCCCCTGCTGTCTGGCAGCCTGGCTAGCAGGATGCTGTGAGGCAAAAAGGGGCACTTCAAAAGTGTATGGTGAGAGAGGGCAGGGTGGGGAGAAGGCTGGCTACTTCTGGGGCCCTGAAAGATGCCCCCCACAGGAAGGACCAGCACTTAGTTAGGATGAACAGATACACACAGATACCCTGACACCAGGCTCACCATACATTATAGAATATCCTTGTTCTTGAACAGTTCTGTATGTGTGTGAACTCTAGAATATCTCTGGTCACTTTGCCAACTTCTTCAGTTTTGTCTATAGTTATTAGTCTATTCAAGTTTTCTATTTCTTCTTGAGTCAATTTTGATAATTTATATTTTCCTAGAAAAGCATTCAGTTTACCCAGATTTTCAAAAATTTTGGCCAAGAGTTGTACCTGGTAGTAATTTAAGAAAATCTTCTCTGTGCCAGCAGTTATCTTTTTTTTTCCCCCATGTGTTATATATAAATGCATTCTCTCCCTCTCTCCCTCTCTCCCTCTCTCTCTCTCTCTCTCTCTCTCTCTCTCTCTCTCTCTCTCTGAATAGATTTGCCAGAGAGCTGTTTATTTTGCTGGTCTTTTCAAAGAACCATGTTTTGGATTTACTTCTCAAGGCTACATTTTGGGTTTTAATATACCTAAAGGATGGTGATGTTGAAACAATTACTACACACCATTTTTTTTGTCTTTTTTTGAGATGGAGTTTTGCTCTTGTTGCCCAGGCTGGAGTGCAATGGCGGAATGGCTCATTGCAACCTCCACCTCCCGGGTTTAAGTGATTATGCTGCCTCAGCCTCCTGAGTAGCTGGGATTACAGCCACCTGCCACCATGCCCGTCTAATTTTTGTATTTTTAGTAGAGAGGGGGTTTCACCCTGTTGGCCAGGGTGGTCTCGAACTCCTGACCTCAGGTGATCCACCCACCTCGGCCTCCCAAAGGGCTGGGATTACAGACGTGAGCCACCACACCTAGCCTACTACATATCATTTTTTTAAAAAAAAAGAAAGTTAAATCTTGGCCAGGTGTGGTGGCTCACGCCTGTAATCCTAGCACTTTGGGAGGCAGAGGCAAGTGGATCACCTGAGGTCAAGAGTTCAAGACCAGCCTGGCCAACATGGTGAAACCCCCCTCTACTAAAAATACAAAAATTAGCTGGGCCTGGTGGCATACGCCTGTAATCCCAGCTACTCAGGAGGCTGAGGCGGGAGAATCACTTGAACCCAGGGCGTGGAGGTTGCAGTGAGCCAAGATTGCGCCACTTCACTCCAGCCTGAGAGACACAGCGAAACTCTGTCCAAAAGAAAAAAGAAAGTTAAGGCTTGTCTCACATATACTAAGGTATTTATGGATGAAATAATATGATATTTAGGATTTGCTCAAAATTATCCAATAGTGGGGACAGGGCAAGTGTGACGCAGGGAAGTAGTGTGCAGATGAAAAATAATTGGCCATGAGTTGAGAATTCTTGAAGCTGGATGATGGGTACCTAGGAGTTCATCATAATACTCTCTCTATTTTTGAACATGTGTGAAAATGTCTATAATGGAAAGTTGGTTTTTAAAAATTCCTATCACACCATGCACACCAAAAATTTCTAGCTGGGTTATAAAATGCAAATGGGCCAGGCGTGGTGGCTCACACTTGTAATCCCAGCACTTTGGCAGGCCAAGGTGGGCAGATCACCTGAGGTCAAGAGTTCAAGACCAGCCTGGCCAACATGGTGAAACGCTGTCTCTACTAAAAATACAAAAATTAGCCACGTGTGGTGGTGGGTGCTTGCAATCCCAGCTACTTGGGAGGCTGAGGCAGGAGAATCACTTGAACCCAGGAGGCGGAGGTTGCAGTGAGCCAAGATCGCCACACCACTGTACTCCAACCTGGGCGACAAAGTGAAACTCTGTCTTAAAAAAAAGGGCCGGGCGCGGTGGCTCATGCCTGTAATCCCAGCACTTTGGGAGGCTGAGGCAGGCAGATCACGAGGTCAGGAGATCGAGACCATCCTGGCTAACACAGTGAAACCCTGTCTCTACTAAAAATACAAAAAATTAGCCGGGCATGGTGGCAGGCGCCTGTAGTCCCAGCTACTCAGGAGGCTGAGGCAGGAGAATGGCGTGAACCCAGGAGGCAGAGATTGCAGTGACTGCAGTGAGCTGAGATCGCACCATTGTACTCCAGCCTGGGCGACAGAGCGATACTCCGTTTCCAAAAAAAAAAAGAAAAAAAAAATCCAAATGTAGGCCAGATGCAATGGTTCAGGCCTATAATCCCAGCACTTTGGGAGGTTGAGGTGGGTGGATCATTTGAGCCTAGCACTTTCTGACCGGCCTGGGCAACATAGTGAGACCCTGTTTCTAAAAACAAACAAACAAAAAAAAATCCAAAAGGAAAAAGGAAATCATACAGCCTAAAGTATTTAATACTACCAAGTCATTGTCAGTCTATGGTATTAGGGCTATTTGTTTAAAGCCCTTAATTCTAAAAAATATTCTGGAATTTTAAAAAAAGGAAATCACAAGTATCGAAAGAAAACATATGTAACTGTTTATAATCTCTGGGTAGGGAGAGATTTCCTAAGCATAATAACAAAATCCGATTTTACGGCGGCATAATTTAAAACTCTAGTATATCAATAAAGACCATAAACAAAAGTAAAAGCCAATCAACACACTTGAGAAAAATATTTGAGGTATATAAATGACACAGGATCAATAATATTAAAAGCTTTTGTAAATCGATAAGAAAATATGAATGTTCAGTATGAAAATGAGCAAAGTAGTGCACAGGCAAGTTACCAAAGAGATAGAAATGGCCAGTGTATGTGTGAAAAACTGTCCAGCCATCACAATCAAGGACATGCAAGTGAAACAGCCAGGCCACTTTCCAGTTTCAAATTGGCAAGAGCACAGGGGCCAGATCGTGAAGCTGAGGAGTTTGGCTGCAGTTGGTAGTGGATGGGGGTGCCCTTGAAGGAGTCTGAGCAGAGGAATCCGATGCCTTTACAGATGGAATGGAGCTGCGGGACTGAAGGCTGGGCCAGCAGTCTAGATGTGATGAGGTTGTGGCCTGGAAGAGTACAAAGCATGAGAAAAGAACAGTTGGGTTGAAAGCACTTGGAAGGAAAAACCAGTAGGTCTTGATGGTTAGCAGAGAGAAAAATCAAGATGGCCAGTGCTGTGGCTGGGAGGACAGTAACACCAAAGGAAACAGGGGTGCTGGGTAGTAGGTGAGGAGAAGTCTGGGATTTGTTTTTGACACTGTGGGCCATTGTGTTAGTCTGGAGTCTCATTACTAGAGACTGGCAACCGACCCAAATGATAAAAGCTACAAAAACATTTGCAGCCCTTCTCAATGGTCAAGTCCTGGGTTAGAGCTTCAGGCACATCTGGATGTGGATGCTCAAATATCATCAGGGGTCCTTTACTTTTGTCTCAAAGACAGGGCAAAAATGGCCACAAGAGGCTCCAGGCTCACAGCCTACCAACTGAGCACAGCTCCCGAAGTGACTGTATCGGCCCAGACTGAGAAATGAGTCCATTACTGACCTGACCACTGTGATTCTAATGGAACAGACTGAGGTCATGTGTGTTCCCTGGGAGCCAATGGAAGCTGTCAGCCCTACCCAAATCTATTCAAAGTGCAGGCAATGGTTCTCAAAGGGAAAATTGGGGATCAATTCACAATAAAGAGGGACTAGAGCCGGGCAGCAAAAACAATAAAAGTCCACTGTATTTCACTTCTTAGATGTCAAAGATCGACACAGACCCCCTTTACTGTGTAATTTTAAAAAATATTTTCCTGTTTATCATAATGCAACTATCCCTCACCAAACTTAAAGCACAGTTATCCCACTTCTGGGAGGAGACATTCCAAGTTTTCACCCAGTTACCACATCTATCCCCAATTCAACATCTTGGCAATGGCAAGGGGCTGTTTGTTTGGTTAGGTACTAAGGTCATGGTCTTTCCATTTAAGGCCCAACTACAATGATGGAGAGAAAACTGTATAGCTGGAAGAAGAAAAACCCTCCTAGTTGAAGAGGGGGGTGAGGAAAAAAACCTGGACCGTGGTCCACATGCTTGACTGAATGGTGAGGAAGAGGTTTCCTGGTACACCAATCTCACTGCTCTGATTTTGCTGTCTCTGTGAGAGGGGCATTGAAGGGTGCATGTTTGGGGAGGTTCAGGGCAACCATAGGGGCTGAGCAATCCTTTGGTTTGTGGGGGCTTTCTGGCAATACAATCCCCTTAATCCCTGGGAGGCTTTTCAGTCAGTTTGCATTTGGTTATCCCCAGAGCTATTAACCAAAGCTAGAGACCTCTATGAAAGTTATGGTTCTTGAATGAAGTCCCTGGTGGTGGTGTAGAAGGAGGGAGGGGTTATCTCTTAGCAACAGGCCTCAGTGTTCTGCCCATCCCAGGAGCCCTTGGTTCTGCAGCCTCTAACTGGGCCTCTGCCACAGGGCAAAGCAAACTCCAACTTTGGGGAGGGAGGCAAAAGGTCATCTGCCCCTTCTCACTGAAGCTGCATCCCAATGGAAGGCTGCTTATAATGGAAGCTTCTGTCCAGCTGGGAGGGCACAGCAGGAAGGGTTCAGCAGGGCCCAAGGAGTTGAGTACCTGTCAGGCCCCAGGCTTATCTCCCTCTTAGTTCCCAGCCTCTTTGTCTTCGCTTGAGCTGACTTTAGCTTGAAGCAAAGAACTGGCTCTTAATTATCTGACTCTCAGCCATATTGAATTACTGGCTGCAGGCAGAAAGGGCCTCTCTGGGCAAGCCCAAATTTTCTTCCTCTCTGCTTTCAGATGGGCTCCTTTCAACCAGAGTGTGTCTCTTGCTTGTTGGACCTTACTGAGGCCGTTGGAAAGACACTCCCAACATCCTGACATTTTTCTACAAATCCCCTAATGTTCCAGCCATGGTAGGTACATGGCCTGAGCTCCAGGGATGGTGGGAGACAGTTTAATCATCTGCTTTGCTGCTGCTCTGTTCACCAACCTGTGAGTGGGGAATGGGGGAAGTAGTGCCAGCTTATGTCCCCCTCCTTAGTTCAGCTAATTTCTTTTGTGGATCTATTAAAAATTTCCATCTCTGATTCTAATTTCTTGGTTAGGATATTTTCTGGGTGCAAGTAACACAGATCCAACTGTAACTAGCTTAAGCAAAAAAGGGAAATAGGGGCTAGGTGCAGTGGCTCACACCTGTAATCCCAACACTCAAAGGCTGAGGCAGGTGGATCACTTGAGGTCAGGAGTTTGAGAGTAGCCTGGCCACCATGGTGAAATCCTGTCTCTACTAAAAATACAACAATTAGCTGGGCGTGGTGGCACATGCCTGTAGTCCCAGCTACTCGGGAGGCTGAGGCAGGAGAATCGCTTGAACTTCAGAGGGGGAGGTTGTAGTGAGCCGAGACTGCACCACTGCACTCCAGCCCAGGTGAAAGAGTGAGACTCCATCTCAAAAAAAAGAAGTTGGGGGGGGGGGAGTGCAGAATTGATTGGCTTGTGTAACTGAACAGGCCAGGCTCTCAAACAGTGTCTGTGAGGAATGTGTTTCTCCATCTAAGTTTTGCTTCTTTGGGTTGGCTTCATTCCCAGGTGTCTCCTCCCAAAAGGAGAAAGGATGGCACCAGCAGCTCTGGCCTTCTCCATCAGCTTAGAAACCTGATCCCAAAGACAATGCTTTCCCTCAGTCATTCCAGAACAGTCCTGGGGCTCACTGGCTCAACTTTGGTGCTCTATGTTTACCCCACGACTGATTTGCCAGGTCTATGTCATATCCCCAAGACCATGTGGACTGAGAAAGTGGGGAAGGATGGTTCCCTATGGTCAAAGCAGGGTGCTGTTACCAGGAGGAGGACTGGATGCTGGGCTGGCAAAAGGAACAGACATCCACCCATACATCCTGTGGAAATGCCAGAAGGCAACACAACTATGCGGCAGGTCAGGATGGAGAAGTAGAGCTTACAGGTGCAAGTAAACCTGTGTGAGGGAAGCTGACTGCCTTCCTAGGGGGAGAATAGAGATGGAGGGCTCCAGAGGCAGACCTCAGGGAATGAGGACGTTTAGGAAGGCAGCAAGAACAGGAAGTTGCAGAACCCAGGGGAAAATCCAGACAGGAAAGCTCATGGCAGCTGTGAAGATGGAGGGGTCAACAGTATCGGCCATGGGACCAAGTAGGTGAAGACCCTTGATGACAACTGGCTTGTCTGATCAGCAGGTGGTCTGTGACCTTGATCACAGGGCAGTGGAAGCCCTATTGCAGGCAGTTAGGAAGAGGATGGCAGTGAGGAATGGGATGGAGACCCCACAAGGTAGGAGAAGAGTGACAAGAAGCCAGAGATGGAGGGGCAGCAGGAGTTGACAGTGAGGAGGGTTGGGATGCCAGAATTGGTGGGGGGATGGAGGGACCTTGTGCCAAAAGGGGTGTGGGGAGGATGGATAATAAAGCCCTTGGGGTAAAGGCAGGGCAGGGACACTTACTGGAAGCCTACCTCACCTTTTCTAGGTCTGAGAAAAAGACCTAAGGGCCTGGAGTAGTAGGGATAGGAGGATGTGGTGCAGAAGTCGGGACAGAACAAACAGCGACACATGCGATGTCATTAGGTAGAGTGATGTCTTGGTCACTGCAACATGGTACCAATAGTTCCAGCCTGTGTGGGGGTGCAGTCTGCAAAAAATGAAAATAAGCATGCATGTTCTTTCCAAGGATTTTTACACTCATTTTAAGTATACAGCTTGATGATTGTTTAAATATGTACACAACTGTATAACCACCACTCAAAGCAGATAGAGAACATTCTCCGCATCACATAAAGCTGCCTCCTGCCCCTTCCTAGTCCATGTAGCCCCCAGCTGGGGACCTCTATGCTGACTTCATCATCAATTGTGTCTGTTCTTGAACTCCATCTCTCTGGAATTCTACAGCATGCACTCTTTGGTCTGGCTTCTTTCATGCAACATAATATTGGATGGACTCATCCATGTCACTGTGTACCAATAGTTTCTTTTCTTATTGCTGGGTAGATTCCATCATGAATATGCTACAGTTTAACCGTTCTACCATTGATGGGCACTTGGGTCGTTTCCAGGTTGGAACCATTATAAATAAAAGTGATTACGCGCCTGCCCCTTTAAAAACAGATTATCTCATTCTCTCGCTGTCTCTTGCACACATACAGGCCCTCGCACAGGTGCCAGAGCAGGCCAGCCTCCTCTGGGAGGTCTCCCCTTGCCCCTCAATGCTGATTTCCTCATGGCTGGGGGATGAGGGCTCCGGGCTGGGAGCCAGGGTGGGAGCAGCGATACCCTCTTCCTAAGACTCATCGCGTCTCTTCCAGCCTCCTCGCCCCAGGCCGCGGGCGCCCTGAGCCTTCCTGACCCCGCAGGGGGCCTCGCCCGCGGTCCCCCATGAGCGCGCCCGGCTGACCGGCGGGGCGGCCGCGGTGGAGCCCGCGTGCCGCGGGGGCGGCGGGGCCATGGCCTCGCTGGACCTGCCGTACCGCTGCCCCCGCTGCGGGGAGCACAAGCGCTTCCGGAGCCTGTCGTCGCTGCGCGCGCACCTGGAGTACAGCCACACCTACGAGACGCTCTACATCCTCTCCAAGACCAACAGCATCTGCGACGGCGCCGCCGCCGCCGCGGCCGCCGCCGCCGCTGCCTCGGGGTTCCCGCTGGCTCCCGAGCCCGCCGCCCTGCTGGCCGTGCCCGGCGCCCGGCGAGAGGTCTTCGAGAGCACTTCCTTCCAGGGCAAGGAGCAGGCGGCCGGGCCGTCGCCCGCGGCGCCGCACCTGCTGCACCACCACCATCACCACGCTCCCCTCGCCCACTTCCCCGGCGACCTGGTGCCCGCTAGCCTGCCCTGTGAGGAGTTGGCCGAGCCGGGCCTTGTGCCCGCCGCAGCAGCGCGCTATGCGCTGCGCGAGATCGAGATCCCGCTGGGGGAGCTGTTCGCCCGCAAGTCCGTGGCGTCCTCGGCGTGCTCGACGCCGCCGCCTGGCCCCGGCCCCGGCCCTTGCCCCGGGCCTGCCTCCGCTTCGCCCGCGTCCCCCTCACCCGCTGATGTGGCCTACGAAGAGGGCCTGGCGCGCCTCAAGATCCGCGCGCTGGAGAAGCTGGAGGTGGACCGGCGGCTGGAGCGGCTGAGCGAGGAGGTGGAGCAGAAGATCGCGGGCCAGGTGGGCCGGCTGCAGGCCGAGCTGGAGCGCAAGGCGGCCGAACTGGAGACTGCGCGGCAGGAGAGTGCGAGGCTCGGGCGCGAGAAGGAGGAGCTGGAGGAGCGCGCGTCTGAGCTCTCCCGCCAGGTGGACGTGAGCGTAGAGCTGCTGGCCTCACTCAAGCAGGACCTGGTGCACAAGGAACAGGAGCTGAGCCGCAAGCAGCAGTGAGTAGACCCTCGGGGCCCTGTGAGTGGTTGTGCCTGTGCGGGTCACTGTGCCACCACCACCACCGTGGGCGTGCCTGAGTGTGTCTGTATGTGGCCATGGCTTTGTAATAGAGGATCCGTGGCCAGGAGCATGCATGTGGGGCCAAGAGTGTCATGATGATATGTGGTACTGTGAGGACATGGCAGTGTGACCCTGTGCCTCTTTGTGAAGTCTGCCTTTCTCGTTCTCTGTCCTAGACAAGCCAACCCCTGCATTTTGGCACCAGATCCTCTTCTCTTTTGCCTAGCCAAAGATATAGCTCAACTCTCCCCTCTCCTTTTCCATCACCCGATTTTTTGTTTCTGCATATTTCTAAAAGCATACAGACATGTCATTTCTCCCATCTGCCATAACCCCCTTCCCCTTAAGCTACTGCCCCTTTTCTCTCCTCCTTACAGAAAACTCCTTGTATTTGTTTATACTTCTTGTCTCCAATTTCTTTCCTCACTTTCTCTCTTGAACCCAGGCTGATCGGGTTTCCACCTCTACCAGGGTCCCCATGTCACCAGCGACCTTCCTGTTGCTAAGGCCTAGCCATCGTCTTACTTGGCCCATTGGTGGCATTTGACATAGCTGATCCCTGACATGCCTTCTTCACTTGGCTTCCGGGACACTCTTGGGATTTCCTTCTATCTGTCTCAATCTTCTTCATTTCTCTGGTCTTTAAATGTAGGATTATGAACTACAGATGGCCCCTGACTTACAATGGTTTGACACAATTTTTTGATTTTCCGATGCTACAAAAGCATCATGCAGTCAGTAGAAACTGTACTGTATGAAAATGAAAAACAGTATGTACAACCATACTGTTTTTTTCAGTACAGTATTCAACAAATTACATGAGATCAACACTTTTTTTTATAAAATAGACTTTGTGTTGAGTGACTTTGTCCAACTGTAGGCTAATATAAGTGCTCTGAGCACATTTAAGGCAAGCCAGGCTAAGCACTGATGTTCAGTAGGTTAAGTGCATTAAATGCATTTTTGACTGATGATATTTTCAACTTACAATGGGATGAGGGGGATGTATCCCCATTGTAAGCCAAGGAGCATTTGTATATAGATGTTATTTATGTGTCCCCATTGTCATATAAACTCCATAAAGACAGGAGTTGTTCACTGCTATTTCCCCAATACCTAGAACAGTGCCTGGCACCTAGAGGGTGTTCAATAAATGTTGAATGGATGCACAAACAACCGGGAATGCATTTGGGAGTAAGTATGCATGTGATTCTAAGTGTGCCATGTGTTCACGCAGCTCCTACAAGTTGGTGCAAACTATCAGTATGCTTCCACATTTGAGTGTATTCCTCTGTGGGTTGATGTGACTTAGTGTGTATTTTTGAAGGTTCCTGCAAGTATGTTTGACTGTGTCGGTGGTACTGTGCCTCAATGGTTCTTTGCGTGTCTCACACGTAAGCACATGCCCAAGCTGGAACATGATGTGACTACACAAACATGAATGTGTGAGGCTGTGCCTGGGGCTGTGTAATGAGCCTCTGTGTGGGGATATGTGACATGGCTGGTGGCTCTAAGTGTGTGCCTAGGAGTGTTCTGTGTTGGGATGCTGGGTATCGAAGGACATGCACATGTGACTGAACATGTCTGTGTTTCTGTATGAGAGAGATGTGTCTGGTTATGGCATATGGATGTACATGGGGTACATGTGTGTGGGGATGTATGTATGCCTGGGGTTGTGTGGGACTGAGTATGCCTGATTATTTCTGTGGAGAGCAGGGTGTGCAGTATTTCTGTGGAGAGCAGGGTCTGGGGCCAGGTGGGTGGGGTGTGAGTGTGTGGCTCGGAGTGCATGCATGCATTTCTGTATGTGTCATCGTGCGGGGCTGTGTGCTAGGCCTGTTCTGCAGGAACCCATGTGACCATAAGCAGACACCGCAGGCAGCTGTGCCAGTGTCTCCCCGCACTGGCCAGGCTCTCCTCCAGAGGGTGGGTGGGCAGGCAGGCTGAGGCTCTGGGGTAAGAGACTGCTCTGGGCCCAGGGAGGTGGTGCAGATCGACCAGTTCCTGAAGGAGACGGCGGCGCGGGAGGCCAGCGCCAAGCTGCGGCTGCAGCAGTTCATTGAGGAGCTCCTTGAGCGGGCTGACCGTGCCGAGCGGCAGCTGCAGGTCATCAGCAGCAGCTGTGGCAGCACGCCCAGCGCCAGCCTGGGCCGTGGAGGTGGGGGCGGTGGTGCTGGACCCAATGCCCGGGGCCCAGGCAGAATGGTGAGTGCCCACCTGCCTTCCCTCCTCTACCTGCACACCTGGCCCCCCACAACCTCACCTTTCACATGGCTGGACATCTCCCCCATGATGCCGCATTCGCCCCTTCTTTGGCTTTTACCCCACCAGCAGATGCCAGGAACAGGGGAGCCCCTTTGATTGGGCAGGAGTGCCAGTGCCAGCCCCCGAGGCTGTAGTGAGATGTGATTCGGTGGCCCCAGCCCTCGGGGGCTATCTCTGCCCATCCCTGCAAATGAGAGTCCAGGAGCCACAAGCTGGGGTCCAGGGTATTGTGTGGGTGTGGGGAGGGGCTGGTAAGCCTGCCTCTCTGGGCTGTCTGTCTGTCCATTTGTCCATCTTTCCCAACTATTTTCCCTTCTCTCTCCTCTCCCCCATCTCCTCTCCATCTTTTGCCCTGTTTCCCCTGCTATTCCTGCTCATCCTCTTGCCTCCTCCGCCCCTCTCCTTTACCTCCTGCTCTGGGGGCCCACAGCGAGAACACCACGTGGGCCCGGCCGTGCCTAACACATATGCAGTGTCACGGCATGGCTCCTCTCCGAGCACAGGGTAAGCCTTGGGCCCAGCCCACCCCATGCAGCCCACCCTCACCCTGGAAGGATCCGCTGGCCTGTCTGGGGCTTGTGTCACCCTCCTGCCCCTACCCTCCCTGGGTCACGTATGTCTGCCTTTCCACACCCAGAGGGGGCTTTTGGAAAGCAGGGCGGGTGGGTTGCCCTCAGCTGATGGTAGGGGCAGGATGGGGAGTTTGGGTAGGCCTGGTGCCTCTTACCCCTTACTGTGTGGTCCACCCTGCCCCAGGGCCTCCAGCCGTGTGCCAGCCGCATCCCAGAGCTCAGGCTGCTATGACAGTGACAGTCTGGAGCTGCCCAGGCCAGAGGAGGGGGCCCCTGAGGACAGTGGCCCTGGGGGCTTGGGCACACGGGCCCAGGCTGCCAACGGGGGCTCAGAGCGGTCCCAGCCCCCTCGCAGCTCAGGCCTGCGGCGCCAGGCCATCCAGAACTGGCAGCGCAGACCCCGCCGACACAGCACTGAGGGGGAAGAGGGTGATGTCTCCGACGTTGGCTCCCGAACCACTGAGTCAGAGGCTGAGGGCCCGTTGGATGCGCCCCGCCCCGGGCCTGCTATGGCTGGGCCATTGAGCAGCTGCCGGCTCTCAGGTAGGTCCCGGAAGGCTGGGCAGGGGGACACAGGTCTGAGGCAGTGAATCTCCTGGGCTCCTGCACCCCCCTCCCCTTTCCCCAGACTTGCCCACCCCTCCTACATAGCGCCCTTCAAGCCTGGGGCAGGAACTCTTGTGACAGGGCAGGGCTGCAGTGGCACAAGTATGCTCAGATTGTCTGTTGCACAAGGATGCCACATCTGGGGGGCAGGGGGGCCATTCACGTGGTAGGCTCATCAACATTTACAGGAGAACAGTTGAGTGTTGCCTCCAAACTCTGAAGCCCCTGGTGCAGTGGGGGAGAGGCCCCCCACCGTATTCACAGAAGGCACCACACATATGTGGGTGGTTTGGGAGGTGAGAGGGCTAGGGTCAGGGGTGTAGCCACACCCCATCTTCTGGGCAGCCCCATGCCTGCCTTCTGTTTCCAGAGGCCTGGTTTATACTCCAGCACCACCGCCCCCCCAACCCCTTTCACTCTCCAAATCTGATGTGTTGCCTCTTGTAGGGGGTGAGTTTGAATGATATATAACCTTAAAAAGGAAGTTTACACAAGGGATGCCTTTTTGTAATTTGTAAAACTGGAGATGGGGTACCGCAAAGGACAGGGAGGCAGAGGCCCCTTTTCCTTCCTCCCTAGGCCCTGGTACCACAGCATGTCCATTCCTCTGCAGATCCTACCCTGCCCCAGCTCCCCACACACATCCCCACACCAGCCTTGACCCTCCACGCTCACTTTTGAACCCCTGGTATTCTGCAGCCCGCCCCGAGGGAGGCAGTGGGCGGGGTCGGCGAGCAGAGAGGGTCAGCCCCTCACGCTCCAATGAGGTCATCAGCCCAGAGATCCTGAAGATGCGAGCTGCCCTCTTCTGCATCTTCACCTACCTGGACACGCGCACACTGCTGCATGCTGCCGAGGTCTGCCGGGACTGGCGCTTCGTGGCCCGCCACCCCGCAGTCTGGACAAGGGTGCTGCTTGAGAATGCCCGTGTCTGCTCCAAGGTACCTGCCCCTGCCTGCCTTCTGTGCCCTGCTGTGAACCCACCTTTCCCCCTGGGTAGAATCTGGCCCCTTGAGGTCTGGTCCTTGCAACCCTTACAACACTGTAATGCCAACCTGGCTTCCCTGAAATGCTCTCATGGGGCCTTCTATCCTGGGGCTGGCCCACCTCCAGCCAACCAAGTTCAGACCCCTTCATCTCCAAATGTCCTTCCCCTCCCCCACAGTTCCTGGCAATGCTGGCTCAGTGGTGCACCCAGGCCCACTCTCTGACGCTGCAGAACTTGAAGCCCCGGCAGCGGGGAAAGAAGGAGAGCAAGGAGGAGTATGCCCGGAGCACCCGGTGAGGCCTGCGATGGGTGGGTGGTGGGTGCTGTTGGGCCACAGACCTGGAATTAAGTTTCCCAGAGGAGGAGGTTGCCAGCTCTCTGACCTCTTGGTCATCCCCAGGGGCTGCCTGGAAGCTGGGCTGGAGTCCCTGCTGAAGGCAGCTGGGGGGAACCTGCTGATCCTGCGCATCTCCCACTGTCCAAACATCCTCACCGACCGCTCGCTCTGGCTGGCCAGCTGCTACTGCCGTGCCCTGCAGGCTGTCACGTACAGGTGGGTCAACCGACTAGAAGCATGGCCTGTTCCCTCTAAGCCCAGGGTCCTACCGGATCCCTAGGTGCTGCATAGCCTCCCCCAGGGTTCTCAAGCAAAGGGATCCAAGAGCTCTATGGCTGAAGGAAAGGAAGCCTTGGCAAGAGCAGAGGCCACCACTGTGGGCGACTCCAGCTTTGTCTTGTATATTTTCTTTTTCTTTCTTTCTTTTTTTTTTTTTAAATGGAGACGGGGTCTCGCCGTATTGCCCAAGCTAGTCTGGAATCCTGGGCTCAGGCGATCCCCAACCTCGGCCTTGACCTCCCAAAGTGTTGGGATTACCAGTATAAGCCACCCTGCTGCCTGACTAGCAGCTTTGTCTTTTCACAGGAGTGCCACAGACCCCGTGGGCCATGAGGTCATTTGGGCCCTGGGCGCAGGCTGCAGAGAGATCGTCTCCCTCCAAGTGGCACCACTTCACCCCTGGTGAGCCCTGGCAGGTTTGGGGGATAGGAGGGGGGACACGGTTGGGCCTGGTCTGGGGCTGAGGACTTAGCAGATCTGAGCCCATTCCACAAGCTATTAGGACAGATCCACACACATTAATCTGTCCATTGAGGCATTAGGAGCAGGGCTTTAAAATCAGACCTGGTTGGTCGAGCACGGTATCTCACGCCTGTAATCCCAGCACTTTGAGAGGCTGAGTCGGGCGGATCACCTGAGGTCTGGAGTTCGAGACCATCCTGACCAACATGGAGACACCCTGTCTCTACTAAAAATACAAAATTAGCCGAGCGTGGTGGTGCATGCCTGTAATCCCAGCTACTGGGGAGGCTAAGGCAGGAGAATCGCTTGAACCTGGGAGGCAGAGGTTGCAGTGAGCCGAGATCGTGCCATTGCACTCCAGCCTGGGCAACAAGATGGAAACTCCGTCTAATAAATAAATAAATAAATAAATAGATAAATAAAATCAGACCTGGGGTCATGTCCTGGCTTACTGGCAGTGCCACCTTGGCAATCTCAATCATGTCTTAGTTTCTCAAACTGCAAAGTAAAGGTGGTATTAGGAACTATGGACCTTAGGGCTGTTGCTCGCCCAAATGAGATCAGGTACACAAAGCCTGCAGGGTCCACAGTAATTGTTCAGTAAACACCAGCTAAAAACCACCAGCTTTGTTTGACATATGAAAGGTGGTTCAGGGAGGTCAGTGTATGAAAGAGCTGGTCATTGGAGAATCCAGGTTATGAAATCATTTCTCACTCTGTTTGGAGTTCCTCTAACACACCAGGCTCTTTTGCTCCCTACATTTTGCCTCTCTCCACGCGACAGCTCCTCCCAGTCATCCAGTGTGCCTTCTGTAACACCCTGGGTAGAGTGTGTCACTGCTCCCCTGCCTCAATCCCCACTGCATGTTGCCCTGACCCCTCTGTCATCTACTTTGCAATAATTTCTTTTTTTTTTTTTATTTAGTTTTTGAGACAGAGTCTTGCTCTGTTGCCCAGGCTGGAGTGCAGTGGTGCAATCTCAGCTTACTGCAACCTCCACCTCCCAGGTTCAGGCGATCCTCCTACCTCAGCCTCCCAAGTAGCTGGGACTACAGGCATGGGCCACCATGCCCAGCTAATTTTTGTATTTGTAGTAGAGACGGGCTTTCACCATGTTGGCCAGCCTGATCTCAAACTCCTGACCTCAGGTGATCTGCCCGCCTCGGCCTCCCAAAGTGCTGGGATTACAGGCATAAGCCACCGCGCCCAGCCCTACTTTGCAATAATTTCTTTATATTTCTATCTCCTCCACCAGATGGGTTGTTCTCAAGGCAGAATCTAGGAATGTCCATTTCTGTATCCCTAGTACCAAATGCATAATAGATGCCAGAGAGATGTTTGTTGCCTGGGCAAATGTTGAGGGTTGAAATGTTTAGGGAAATGGCATTTGGTGTGAATGGAAAGGAAAGTTGGGGCAATCAGGAAGGGCCTTGCTAAGGAATTTAGGTTTTTTTGCATTTTATCTAGAAAGTATTGGAAGCTATTTGGCGGGATTTTAGATTTTAAGAAAGGGATTAAGATCAGACTGTTAATGTTCTATGCCCCCCACAACTTCTGCCACCAAAGAGACTGTCCACTCTTTGAGGGTAGAGACCATGTCTATGTTGTCACCGCTGTACCCCCAGGGCCTAGCTCAGTTGTTGTTGACTTGATAACCACTTGCTGAATGGCAGAGTGAGTGGATGTAGGAATGAGGGGCTCCCTATCTGCAGTGTGGAGGATGAGATGCAGGGAGACTAGTGCTAACCCAGAGAATGCCAATGGTGGTCTGAACTGTGGGTTCAAGAGTACTTAAGGCCGGGCGCAGTGGCTCACACCTGTAATCCCAGCACTTTGGGAAGCCGAGGCAGCAGATCACTTGAGGCCAGGAGTTTGAGACCAGCCTGGCCAACATGGTAAAATCCTGTCTCTACTAAAAGTACAAAAAAATGAGCCGGGCATGGTAGTGCATGCCTGTAGTCCTGTCTACTCGGGAGGCTGAGGCAGGAGAATTGCTTGAACCCAGGAGGCAGAGGTTGCAGTGAGCCGAAATTGCACCACTGCACTCCAGCCTGGGTGACAGATTGAGACCCTGTCTCAAAAAAAAAAAAAGAGTGCTTGGGAATCAGAATCTGCAGGACTTGGTGGATGAGATGAGGGCAGAGGAGTCAGGGATGATCCTGGTTCTCTGACTTGACCTGCTGGGTTGTTGGAGGAATGCTTGCCTGAGTCAGGGAGGGGTCCCACAGGAGGAGCATGCTGGGTTATCAAGCATCCAGAGACTTCCCTGACGGCTCCCCCTTCCCATTCTCCAGCCAGCAGCCCACACGCTTCAGTAACCGCTGCCTGCAGATGATTGGTCGCTGTTGGCCCCACCTGCGGGCCCTGGGGGTCGGGGGTGCCGGCTGTGGGGTGCAGGGCCTGGCATCACTCGGTGAGTCTTTCCTTGGACTGGGGTGGTGGGTAGTGGGAAGCAGGCATGGGTGCAGTGCTGCCTTGTGAAATCCCACAGGGGCTTGGGGCTGCAGCCTGGGTGGTGGCAGGTGGCAGGGTGGTAGCCAGGGTGCTGGCTGCAGGGGTGACCTGGGGAGTGTGTCAGCAGGATCCCCCTTCTTCCTCTTCCTAGCGAGAAACTGCATGCGGCTGCAGGTCCTGGAGCTTGACCACGTGTCAGAGATCACCCAGGAGGTGGCAGCAGAGGTCTGCCGGGAAGGCCTGAAGGGACTGGAGATGCTGGTGCTCACGGCGACTCCCGTCACCCCTAAGGCCCTACTGCACTTCAACAGTGAGCACTGGGGGAATGAGGGGCAGGGTACGACTATCACCTGCCACGGGGCCCTGTCAGCAGGTATCCTAACTATCACTGGGGCAGATGGATCAGAGTCTCCAGCCAAGGGCAGAGGCAGGGGGACAGGTTAAGAGCACTGGTTCTAGAGCCTGACTGACCTAGGTCCCAGGTCTGGCTCTGCTACTTATTAGCTGAGTGATGTTGGGCAAGTTACTATACCTCTCTGAGTCCTGTATTCCCATCTTCTAAGCTGACTTTCTAGGATGGGTGAGAGGATTAAATGAGATGATATATGGAAGCCCCCCCAAGGACAGTTCTCAGGGTGAAGACTCCTCTCTCCCTGGACTCCAGATCATACCTCCTTGGCTTCCACACCTTTCTCAAACCACCCACTCCACTCTCAGTCACTACTCCACCTGCACTGAGGACCTGGCACCCAGTGTGGGCTGCTCCTGCCCAAGGAGACCACCAGCCAGGACCCTTTGGCTCCTGAGAGGACCCCATGCCAACTGCGCCAAGGTGCCTTGACCCTCTTTCCAAGACCTTCCTCCCCCTTCAGCCACATGGGATACCCTGGACTTTACCACCAGAACTAACTGCTCAGCCTCCAGAATCATGACCTCCAGGCCCTTCTCAGTCGCCTGATCTTCCTCTACCTCCCCCGACTTCACGACATATCCAGTCCCTGAAGCCCTCTGTCCCCAAGTATTTGCCCCACCTCCCCCTCCTTTGTGCTTCAGCCTGGATCCACGAGCCCCACCTCAGCCACTCTGTTCCTTGCCATTCATCCCCAAATGCCCAGACCATGGTATAGCTGCCCCCTGTGTCAGGGAAGTTCCTAGAGGCTTTGGACAGCTGGTGGCTGCCCACTCACCCTCCCAGAGGCCAATGCAGCCTCTCCTGTGCCTCAGCCCCATCTACCTCTCCCCGCATCCGGTCGCCAGCCCCCAGGTGGCATGAGTCTGCTCTCCTCTGTCGTGTTCCCGGTAGCTGGCACCTGATTGTCTGATTTCATTAATTAGTGAGAGGAGAGGAGGCAGCTCCACAGCCCAGGCCAAACACGCCCCTACTTTGCTCACCTTTTCTCAGGCATCTGCCGGAACCTCAAGTCCATTGTGGTCCAGATTGGGATTGCGGATTATTTCAAAGAGCCCAGCAGCCCTGAGGCCCAGAAGCTGTTTGAGGACATGGTGACAAAACTCCAGGTGAGGGGTCAGCTCTGAGGCTGTCCAAGACCCCAAGTGGCATCCCTAGACTGGGGCTGGTGACCTGGGTGAGTGTGGCAGGAGGGCCCCACCTGCCTGGCACGGAGGGAGAACTAACCCAGGGTTCGGTCCGCAGGCTCTGCGACGGAGGCCCGGCTTCTCTAAGATTCTGCACATCAAGGTGGAAGGCGGCTGCTAACCCGGGTAGGGGGCGGCAGGGCCCCTGCCAGCCCCACACCAGGGCACTCTCTTTGGACCTCAGAGGGACCCTGGTTTGGACTAGACCTTTGGAGGCCGAGTGTTATCCCTGGCTTCTGGAGGGGGACTGTCAAGTCTCCTGTCCTCCTCCTGGAGCAGCAGAGCAACAGGCCTGACCCAGGGCACTGCCTCCCCAGTACAGGGGCTTGGACAGAAGCTGCCCTCCGACCCCCACCCTACCCCGGCTGGAGTAGCCTCTGGCACAGCCAGTGAGGAGCTGTCACCACCAGCGCCTGGTGTCATCACCTGGAGGATCTGCAATAACCACCCAGTGGCTCCTCAGCTGTTCTGGCTGGCCTCTCCTTCCTGAGGCCCAGCCTCCTGGTCAGGAGCATCTGGGGCCCCAAGCCAATGGGGGCTCCACAAGGCAGCTCAGACTTGGCAAGGAGGGCTCTTCTCCTCAACCTTGCTGCAGCCTTCTGGGGGCACCCCTTCAGACAGCCTGCCCAGGCTGTGGATCCACATTTCCTGGGGGTACCACAGCCAGACCTAGGGGCCTGGGCACGTGGTCAGCCAAAAGCTGGGGGCAGCAGTACAGTGGGGTAGTGGGGGTGGGTTTGGAAAGGAAACAGTCACCCAGAACTTCTCCCCAGGATGAGACCACCCTTCCAAGGTGGGGGATTGCCAGGGGGAGAAAACTTATTTATTGCTGTAAGACAGGACCCCTCCTCCCAACCTCATACCCCACCGCACACCAGAGCTAAATTCAAAGCTGAAAGGCGCACGTTTCTATACCTACATTCATTCCTGAGGGACCCTCCAGAGGGTCAAGGTCCCAGCCCCAGGCAGCCCTGTCACAGTGAGAAGTAGTTCCTGTCCTTAAGGAATTTCCTTCTAATCCAGGTGCTTGGGCAGGAACCCGATGGCCTTCGGGTCACCAAGGCTGTCTGGGAGGGAGGCACAGGGCCGCCCTCTGTGCTGAGGCCGTGGAGGAAGCCAGGAGGAGGGTGGCTTGCTTTGCTTCCTTGTCTAATTAGCTTGCTTGAAGATGTGGCCTTGGCAGGGAGCCAGACCCATGGGGCCAAGGAAGAGGAAGAGCATCCTCAATAGACTCACTCCCCCTTCCTTGGTCTCCACGGGCCCCGTGGACTGAGGGCTGCATTGGGGTCTTCTGCCTAGGGGAAGTGCTGGACCTGAGCTGGAGCCACTTGGCTTAGAAGCCACAGGATTCACTTTTCACTGGCCTTTGCAGTCCCCAAAGGATCAGGTCTCAGAACCAAGGCTCCAAAGGCTGAGGTCTCCCCAGTTCCTCCTCTCAGAACTCCCACAGTAGCTCAGAGGCCGGGGGTCCTGCCAACTTTCATTTGGAAAGTTCTTTCGAACATCTAAACTAGATCTATCTTAGGGTTTCTTTCTCTCCTAGATAGGATCAGCTCCCAGCCCTAGCCATTAGGCTGCTGGTCCTGGCGGGGGATGGGGTCCCCTCGTTACCCAGTCCTTCCCAGGGACCCAACTTCCTAACACAACCTGGCTTGGACATGAAGACCCTCCCCCAGGTTACCTTGTAAAGAGTCCTCCAGAGCTGGGATCCCATGGGCGCAGCAGCACACCCAGCTCCCATGGCGTCACTCCCTAGCTCTGTCCCAGCTTTTGCTATCATTGCTGACTTTTCCTCCTGTGGCTCATTCTGTCCCTGCCCTTTGAAAACCTAAAATACCAAGGGTGTCATGCTGGCAACTCCCTGCCCAGTCCTGCACAAAGCCTTGGCTGTGTGTGGCACCCCTTGCCTCCTACCCCAGAGCAGCTGGCTCCATTGGCTTCTCCCTGCACCAGCCCTGTCCTCAGGGGTCAGGAAAAAGCAGCACAGCTTTCTTTCCTCTCCTCCAGAGGCCTGGAAGGGAGGTGGAGGTCCAGTAAGGGCCTGGCTGCCTTGGATTTCTTGGTCCTGCCTTGCCAACTGCACCCTGTAGCTCCTGCTCCCTGTGACCCCAGAACCAGAGGTGCTGCCTTCCCTGTCTCCTAGACAAAGCACAAAGGGATGCCCTGCTTGGCTTGAGCCTGCCCAACTGAAGGATTTTCTCTGCCCCAGGGACCTTCCATCCCTGAATACAAGGCTCTAGGCAACTTCTCTCTGGGTGGTACACACTAGAATGCCTGGCATTAGCCCTAGAAAGGAGGTTGGGGTGTATGGGTAGTGAGCTAGGGTGGGAGAAAGGTGGTGCTGAAAGGACAGATGCTAGTTGTAGTTTCACTCACTCATTCATTCATTAGTGCAACAGTACTGAGCACCACCTGCACTAGAGGCAGAGGGGTGAACAAGATACCCTTCTGCCTGGGGGGACGTCCACTTCCCATGGGTTTGGCTATTTCCAGGAAAGCCCCTCAGTCCTCCACCCTGTTCTGGCTGTGTGTGAAGGATGTGTGTGAGCAGGCCCAATCCTTTGCAGCAAGAATGAGAGGTCAGAGTATTCCATTGCACACGCACCCTGGGGCTGACAGACTTGTGCCCCCTAGCCTTCATGCATGCCCAAGCACTGGCAGCTTTGCAGCCCCTGCCCCACCAGCCCCTTGACGCTCTTCTTTTGTTCTCTCCTCGGGGATGAGCTCTGCTGCTGAGTAGGGAGCTTTTGCTTGCTGGGAGGCTCTATGCATGGATTTTTTTGGTGACCATACAGCTAGGGCTGAGGATGGGAACAGGGACAGAGGGCCTGGCTATCCCTAGAAGCACTTCATCCATCTTTACCCACCCAAACGGGATCCCTTCACATCTCATACCCAGTAAGATGCAAGAAAGGAATATCTGAGAGCAAGCAGCCCTGCTCCAGGGGCCCCAGGTATGTGTAGAGGCCCAGTGGGGGTGGCCACTTGGTGTTTCTACCACCCCCTGCCATCCAGTCTGGCCCCAGTACCTACCTGGGAGGTTGGTGTACTTGGCTTAAGTACTTCATGCTTTATTCAGGCTGCTTCCCCACAGCACCGGCAGGAAATGAAGGTGCACTTATATGCATCCCTGCAGGAATAAAGAGTGGGTGGCCTGCCCAGCCCAGCACCACAGCCTTTCCCCAGCCAGGAGAGACCACCTAAGGATCAAGGCAGCTCCTGTTTTCTTGGTTCTGTGACACTCGAGTCTGAGCCAGCCCCTCAGGAATTGCCTCAAAAGAGAAAAACAAAAAAAAGTCCTCCTTCCCAAGGCCTGCTACTCCAAGGTTTGGCTCCATCCCTTGCCTTTGGGTCCTGCCTATTTCCCCACTCCTGGTCTCTTATCTTTGGGGCCACCAGTGGGGAGTCACCCGGGCCCCAATCCCTCTAAGGCGCTAAGTTGAAGGAGGCCTTCCCAGAGTGACTATTGGTGCCAAAGTCCCAGTTCCTGTTGGACTTGGGGTAAAAACAGGAGATGGTGAGTGGGTGTAAGGCCCAAATGCCCAGAGAAGTTAACTCGAACCCATGGGACCTGTCCCAGCCTGTCAGTCCCTGATGAGTGTAACTTCCTTCCCCTGGGGGCCTGGCCCTTCTCTCCAACCCAGTGGCCATGCTTTCTCACCCAGCCTTGTGCCCGGCCTGCATTTCTGTATATATTGCTGTGTATTGTGTGTATGTATGTATTCCTGGACAAGTGTGTTCATCTGCAGCCCTTGCCTGAGGATAAGGTTTAGGATTGGGTAAAGATCAGAATACCAGGGCCAGCTAAGGCAACGACTCCCTCCCCAAACCCTTGGGACCTCAGCCAGTCCCAAGGCTGCCCTGACAATCAGGCAGGCTCCCCACCGTGAGGCCAAGCCTCCTCTGCCACTGCCAGCATGGCCCAAGGGAGGCTTGGCCTTGGGCTTGCCAGCCTCAGCTCTGCCCTGACAAGGGTCTTGTATCCAGGGCAGAGGCCTGAGGTGACCCAGGCTTGCTTTGTGGCTGATGCCAGCAGGCTTGGTTCTAGTGGGCACCACTGGTGGGCAACCTCCATAACTGGCCCTTAGGCCCTACCTTCCTACACAGCTAGGCTATAATGGGCCTGAGTGAGAGGGTAGCTTCCCCAGCCCCAAGCACAGGCAGAGGGGTGGAGAGCAATTTTTGGTTTTATTTTTGTTTCTGAAGTGGTGCCTGTACCTCCAGCCCCCAGGGGGCCTTCCCTGGCCACACTTCTCTGCCCCACCCAGGCATCGCCATCCCAGCACTTTGCTCCATGTCACCCGTAAGATGCCCTTTGCTGAATGTACCTGAGTGTATGTATTTAAAAGGACTCACATGGGCATCAGAGAATTTATGGCTCTGTATCCAATAAAAAAGATGGTGAAACTGGTCTATCTGCCCCAGAGAGGTAAATGGTATGTGGCCACACTTATCATCTGTGTTATCATGGTCTTTCTGCAGCTCAAGTGCAGAGAGGCAGGTAACCCAGGGGAATGAAGTATAACAAGACTTGCCAGCGGGCACAGTTGCTCATATCTGTAATCCTAGCACTTTGGGAGGCTGGGGCGGGAGAATCACTTGAGCCCAGGAATTCGAGACTAGTCTGGGCAACATAGTGAAACCCTGTCTCTGCAAGAAAAACTGAAAAATTAGCTCGGCATGTGCCTGTATTGCCAGCTCCTTGGGAGGCTGAGGTGGGAGGATATCGAGCCAGGGAAGTGGAGGTTACAGTGAGCTGAGATCACACCACTGCACACTCCAGCTTAGTTAACTGAGTGAGGCCCTGTCTCAGAAACAACAAAAACTTGCCTCAGGACTGCAGAAAAGCCACCTAGGGTGACTGTCCTGCCACCGCTCAACCCTGCTTTCAGTGTGTGTATCCAGAGGAAACGCCTTGAGATACATCATTTCTGACTCTCAGCTAGGAGAGACTACCTTCAAGGACAAAACCAGTACAACAGGGCAGCAGGCACTGCCCAGCCCCTCCCTGGCTTGACTGCCTACTCAGGAGGCTCTGGCCAGCCAATCAGGCTTTGACTGCGGGAGACCAGGTTGACATCATGGCCTGGCCTTGACTTCCTCATTTTACAAAATGTCCTTCTGCCCCTGACTTGATTCCTCAGGTCCTGAAATATTTAAAATCAGAAAAAAGAATAAGTGTTTTTAGGCTTAAACTGTGTCTCTAACATAAAAATAAACATTTAAGTCTCACTACTCTTTGAGCCAGCTACTCTTACCCTGTCATACAGGTAGAATAGCAGAGGCTCAGAAAAATTAGTCTACCTAAAGACCATCAAGTTAGGAGGAATGCCAGACTCCAAAGCCTGGACCTGCCTGCCATCCTCTGTGCTTTAGAGTCCATCTAACCAGGAGTGGCTGGGTTCAGAGAATTTTTTTTAAAAATCACTTCCCAGTTTTAGCTAGCAAGTCTCAATGGCTGACAATGACATCATCATTTACCTCCAGCTTTTAACAACGACCAACTACAGCAGGGTGCAGGCCAGCTATCAGGACCAGTGTAAATCAGGAGGATGTTAGACACTGCTGGATTTCCAGCTCATCTGTGCCAGCCATTCCAAACTCCCATTGGTCACAAGAAAGCAGAAGGACCAAGATCACTGGGGGCTGAACTGAAAAGACTAGGTGGGTGCTTTCAGTCGTCTCCTTAGTAGACTTCCAAGGGATCACTAGAGTTTAGAGAGCATAAGCCCTCCCTAAAACACCCTTCTCACAGTCTTGAGTAAGAGGGAACAAAAGACTAAACCAAAAGAATATGGAGATAGAAGGGGCAGACAAGGTAATGTAACCCATTTACTCAAACCAGAGAAACCCTGAGAGCAGTGTCTGGCTAGGCCAGGGCTAAATAAGATGATGCCAGAAGAAAGCAACTGCGTGTTGTCCAGCCACTTCTGGAACAAAGAATGCAACCACAGTGAAACTTCCAGACGGGCCACTCTAGTGGAGCTCACCCCAGGATGCTCTTGTCTCCCTGTTGGACAAGTGCATGTAAAGCTAAAATTCTGAGCTACAGCCAGACATTTATGAGTACCATGCCAAAATAATTTACAAAGTTATCTGAAGTCTTACATTTTATTTAAATAGCCTCCAGTAAGAAGAGAGTGGGCCAATTACTACCCCTTCCTTGTAAAATGAAGTAACCAAGCCAAGGAGGGTAAGTGCACCCAGCAGCCAGCCAGCCATGTGATGGGTGGGGTGCCTCTCAGTGGGGGCGGCCACGACCACGGCCCCGGCCTGCTGCTGTGGGAGCATCCACAGTCGAGCGGGGGTTCTTGATGGTTTCATCTACAGACACGATCAGGCACGCAGCCTCAGAGGCTGCTGTCAGCGCATTGATCCGCACCATAGCTGGCTCCCACACGAAAGCTTCAAAGTTGTCAGCAATGTCCTCGTTGTTGATGTCTACTCCATACCATGTACCCCCCTAAAAGAGTAGGAAAAGAAAGGAGGTAATATGGAACTACTTTCAACTTTCCTCTTGTAAACTGGTACTCCAAAAGACACTGCTAGGAACCCGCAGACTCTCTGAACTTGGTGGCATTTCGCTGAAGAATACTGCATCTTCCTATGAGCATGCCAGGAACCTGGAAACACCCCTACTCCCGCCAACTCCTCCCCTTAGCCCTGGACATACCACACAAGACCTCTGGGATCTTCTCCCAGGCAAGCTGTTGTGTTTTGGGGCGGCCCCATCCTCAGGTCACCTGAGGACTATATATATATATATATATATATATATCAAACAATGAGTTCTCAAGATAAACAGGAATAACAAAAATACTATCCCATCTTTCATCTCATTGCTTCAAATAGCCCGATTTTACAGATGAGGCAAGTGAGACACAGAGGTAAAGTGACTTTAAGCAAAAGTCCTAATACAAGCCAGAAGCAGGGTCATTCACTGGGTGCTAAGCACTTAACAAACCTCTATCTATTTAACAAATGGAGAAATTAAACTCTCAGAGAGGTTGAAGTAACTAGCCCAGGGTCACACTTGTAGGGCTCTGGAGAGCTTCACCACACCAGTAAGCCCACTCCATGTGGTCAGTATGTGCTTCCAGGAAGGTGGATGCAAGGTTCCTCCTGTGGTACCATAAGAAGCAATCATACTCTTTTTTTTTTTTTGAGATGGAGTCTCACACTACCACCCGGGCTGGAGTGCAGCGGCACGATCTCTGCTCACTGCAAGCTCTGCCTCCTGGGTTCAAGCAATTCTCCTGCCTCAGCCTCCTGAGTAGCTGGGATTACAGGTGCCCACCACCACGCCTGGCTAATTTTTTGTATTTTTAGTAGACATAGGGTTTCACTATGTTGGCCAGGCTGGTCTCGAACTCCTGACCTCATGATCCGCCCACCTCGGCCTCCCGAATGTTGGGATTACAGGCGTGAGCCACCGCACCTGGCCACGATCATACTCTTGGTAGAAGCAATGAAGAAACCCTGGATCTCCTGTGCTAGCACCATGGCTTTCCTTCTGCCCTCAGAGGAGGGAGTTGGTCAGGCAGACAGGCTGGGGGGAGTTGCAGCCTATCTCCTGGGCCAGGCGTGCACAGCTTGAGTAAGCACAGCTCACATTCAGAATCTAGCCCCACCCGCCCAAACCCTGAACCCTGGGGAGAGAAAGGACCCACCTGGGCATGCCGAGCCCGCAGCTTGTTGAGAATGTTTGTGGCATCAAAGCCAGCATTGTCACACAGCTGGCGTGGGATAATCTCCAAGGCCTTGGCATATGCCCCAATCAACAGCTGCTGTTTTCCTGGAATAGTCCTTGAGTAATCCCGCAGGTACTTGGAGAGTTCCATCTCAATGGCCCCGCCACCAGCCACCACTGAATCATTCTGCAGAGATCAGACCACCTCTCAATGTAAGAGGGCCCCTGGTCCAAGCTTCCATGCTGGGCCACTCAGTAGGTCCCTTCAGCCCAGAAAGAGTGGTTCTTCATTCCTTCCTCCATCCCAAGCCCCAAACGCCCAGACACAGCCCCTATCTAGAACATCCCAACTTCAACCTGGTGAACCTTATGGTTTCTGACTATTTTCAAGGTCACCTGCAGCTCAAGGACACTGGCACAATTACTGGAATATCTGACTACATTAGCTCCAGTTTGCTAACAAAACGAAGTCTTTTTCTTCTGCTTGCTCTGTTGCCCAGGCTGGAGTGCAGTGGTGTGATCATAGCTCACTGTAACCTCCAACTCCTGGGCTCAAGGCATCTTTCCACCTCAGCCTCCCGAGTAGCTGGGACTGACTACAGGCACATGCCACCATTCCTGGCTAATTTTTTTATTTTTGTAGAGACAGGATCTCGCTATGTTGCCCAGGCTGGTGTCAAACTCTTGGTCTTATGCAACCCTCCCATCTCGGCCTTCCAAAGTGCTGGGATTACAGGTGTGAGCTACCACGCCCGGCTAAAAGAACAAGTCTTAGCTTTCAAGGCAGGATGACCTATTTTTGAGAAACTGAGGCTCAGTTTCTCTACCATTTGTGGGGCAAATCAGGGCTCACCACACCACCCAGGAAAGGGCAGGTTATATAGAGAAGGAATCACCACACAAATCCAAGGTCTGATCAGCTAGGGAGATAGGAGAGAGTAGGCTGTGCAAGCAGGAGGATATCAGCCCAGTACCTTGATGGCCCTCCTGACGATCATGATGGCATCATGCAGGGACCGCTCTGTCTCCTCCATAAACTGCTCGGCGCCGCCACGGAGAATGAAGGTGCATGTCTTGGCCTTGGGGCAGCCAGTAAAAAAATTGTACCTATGCCCAGGATTAAACAGTACACACATGAACTCTTGTCTGCCACCATCCTACTGTATTGTCCTCACTGCCAGCCCCCCCAACACTCAGCAGCTGCTCTTACATTCTTCACTCAGGTTACCCAATCCCAACCTTATAGACATTTTCTTGGAAAGGTCTGCAGCTGTACCACTAGGGCATAAAAGATTGTGGAGTCAAGGCTTTTAGATCTTCCTGTAATCCTGTATATTATCTGAGCTCTTTATGGCTCAAAGGTGAGACTCTGTAAAAGCTGTATACCACTTTGTACACAAAGGTGAGACTTTGTAAAAGCTGTATACCACAGCCAAAAGATGGCAGAAGACCAGACCCAGGCAGGTTTGTGAGCTCGGCCTGGGCCCACGGCTCACCTCTCGCCTCCAATCTGGGTCTCTTCAAACACCTGGCATCGACCCAGCACATCTGCTGACAGAGCATTCACACTGGTCTGGATTGAGCCTCCACAGGCCTAGGGAGCAAGGAAGGCAAGATCTAGCAGTGAAGGTTCCCGAGGCCAGGCAGCTTCCTGCCACCTCGTCTCAAAGCCAATTCCCACGCATGCCCCCAGAGCCTCTACATTACCCGCCCTTTCCCTTGACTTCCAGGCGACCCTTCCCCCTCTCTGAAAGAGCAAAAAAAAAACAAAATAGAACTAAAACACATCAAAGGCAAACAGAAGAAGTTAAAAGGAGATAGGGACCCATTCAATTCAGCTTATACTCCCTCCCCTAAACTAGGGTGGCACTGGGTCCAGCAACTGAACTCAGGAGTACTTTAAACCTAAAAGTATCTTTTGTGGGATGCTCATGAAAGGGAAAAAATCTGGCTGGAAGAATCAATATTTGAGTTTGTCCAGCTAATCATAGCATTACTGCTAGGTTCTCTCACAAACCAGATTTCTGGACTTGTTTTGGTTAGACTAAAGTAGTTTGTGCTACTGGGCACACACACATGGAAATGGAATGTGTCCTGGAAAAAAAAGAGTTAAAAAAAAAAAACAGGGCTCAATTCACACGCCAACCTGACAGTACACTCTGTTATACCAGGGGTCAGTGAAAACCCTTCAGGGCCACAAAGGCCGAGAAGCAGCCTGTGAAAATCTGGTTACCATCATTGTCCTCTTCAGATCCTCCTCAGGTACTCGGCCAGCACAGAACATGTCCCTGTCAGCAAAGTACTGGGTGGCCACATCCCCAATGGGGAGTTTGGACAAGACAACTTTGGCTCCAGAATGATGGATCTTCTCTAACTTGTCATAGAGAATGTTCCACTCAGCATCAACAATTGCCTGATAATCCTGGAGAGACCCAGAAAAGGATGAGAATGCTTTGGGGTGAAGGTTGACATATACGGTAGGGTAAAATATACCCATCTGCCCCCACCAAATAAAACATGCTGATTCATCTGGGAATTAACAGAGATAAACAGAATAGCTACTCCTCAGTCCAAGCAAATAAGGACCCCATGAGATGACTTAGGAATCACCTGAAACTCCCCAACACAAAAGCAGAAAGTAACCCCAAGGCTGAGAACCACAGCTGGTGCTGTCCAGATGCGAGAAATAGTTTAAACTGGCTGAGGTCTAGACTCTTCTGAGGTGCTGGATTCATGGAGTTCCCAATAAGACCCCTTTGGCCGGGCACAGTGGCTCATGCCTGTAATCACAGAACTTTGGGAGGCCAAGGCAGGTAGATCACCTGAGGTCAGAAGTTCAAGACCAGCCTGGCCAACATGGTGAAACCCTGTCTCTACTAAAAATACAAAAAAAAATTAGCTGGGCATGGTGGCACATACCTGTAATCCCAGCTACTCAGAAGGCTAAGGCAGGGGAATCACTTGAACCCAGGAGGCAGAGGTTACAGTGAGCCGAGATTGCACCACTGCACTCCAGCCTGGGCAACAGAGCGAGACTCCGTCTTAAAGGAAAAAAAAAAAAGACCCCTTCCCCAAGAACTGCTCAAAGGTGGGTGACATGGCTACCTCCAGAGGTAGCCTGGGTAACATCAACAATGAGAGCACACCTGTCTCTGCAGCACTAGGTCTAGTCTAGAAGTGGAGGAACTCACACTTGCACCAACAAGAGGAACCAAAATACCGGGCAGGCTATGTAGCTAGAGAGTCCCTGCCATCCCCTTCCCCAGGACCACAGCGTATTTCAACAGGTGTTCCCTATCCAAATTTCCTCAGGTCAAGGTCACTCAGGGAGAACACAGAGTATGGAAAGAAGGGGGCCTAGTACTTAGACATCAATATTCAGGGGGGCAGGAAGAGAAAGGGGCCCACAATAGCCATGAAGACCCAGGGCTCTGGCTCAGAAAGCTGCCCATTTCCATGCCCCCACCAACTGGTGAACCCACCTACCTCAACTGTGTGGACTCTTATCTCAGCATTGTCTTTCTCAGCTTTCAACTCGAGCTCGACATTCAAAAGGGCAATCTTGGGATTGTGGTACTTTTTGGGTTGCATTTCAAACCCAGCGTAAGAGAAAGTCTTCTTGAATGCAACACCAGCTACCAGCTGAGAATCCTGTTTTAAAAAAACAAACACTTTAATGGTTTGGTACTAACATGAAATAAAATCAAGCTAGTTGTTTGCTGGCTAGTGCTTATCCATTCCTGTGAGCCTGAGCTAATCATGTCTTTATTTCACTGCTGTAACACAGCCTTTCTGTTATCATAAAATCGAAGACAAATCCTTTTTTTTTTTTTTAAATAACACAACATATTATTTCAGTCACCCCTTAAGCATAAGGAAAATCATCTGGTTAGCAGAGGCAAAGCATGGTAAAGGCCTACTGGGCTGTCCTCTAAGACTGGCCTCTGCAGCACTGGCCGATGGATAATGCTGTACAAACTTCCAAAAAGTATGCCAGAAGAGGAGCCAGGTGTTTACAAAGAAGGCAAAACAAAAGCTGTGCAATGCTACCCTCTTCTATGCCCCAGCTCCCAAATCTCAAGTATCCTCCTGTACACCTCCATGTACCCATAATTTGCACTGCACCCTCCACCCCCACACCCCCAACAGCATGGATACTATAGCCTTGACGCTTCCTCCCTCCAGAAGATGATGCCAAAAGGTCTTAAGAATCAGAAATCCCCTGCATAATTTCTAAGCTATCACTGCAGCTCCTCAGACCTCAATCCCTCAAGGTAGGGATCTTCTACCACTTGTTCTGCAACAGAGCTTCTCTGTGGGTTGGATTTAACAGCAGGGCATAATAGAAAGCACACTGCACCCAGGGCTGACTCAGCACTACCGTGAGACTTAGGTTCCAATCTCAGATCTTTTCCTTACTAAATGACCGAGTCATTTCCCACACCATAAAAAAGGGTATTCAGTTCAATAACCTTTAGTTTCTCTGCCAGTGCTCATCTACAATTCTAATCTATAATACTGTAACCCATGGGTGAAGAGTATCTGTCCCCAGTTCCTGCATCATTCAAATCCACAGCTTCCTAAAGGGAGTGATGCCTGAGCTGAATGACAGATGAGCAGAAATTAGTCAAAGAGAAAAAAGGAAAAAAGGGGTTCTCCTAAGAGGTGGGAGGCAGTGTTGTGGAATCAGAGAATGAAAAGCCATTTGAAGTTGCTAGAATTTAGAGGGTAAGAACCAGCCAGTGAAGAAGAGAGAGGGGAAGTAGGCAGGGGCCAGTTTAGAAGGATCTTACAGGCTTTGTTAATGCCTGGCTTTGTATAGGGAATGTAGATATCAGAAGGCTTTACGCAGAAGAATAAAGTAGGAAACTTCACCCTGCAAATAGTAAATAAGTACAATGGATTTAGGGGATCCAAGACTGGAAGAGGGGTGGCAATAGTACCAGAAAGAGTAAAAGAGACAGACTCAATAAATAATTAGGAAATCACGAGGTAAAATGGAACAATGGTAATTGACAGGCTGGAGTCAGAAGGGTTTTCAAGGATGATCCCAGATTTCTGGTTTGAGTGACTGAATAAACGGTGGTGACACCAACTATGACAAGAAATACAGAAAATGCTATCACAGGAGTGGAGGACAAGATAAAGCGTTTAACAGCAGTTAGACACAAGAAAGAGCATGAGGCTCAGAGGAGAGGTGAGTACTAAAGATATGGATCAGAAAATTCCCAGTTAACCCTGGTAACAAGTAAATAATCACTACCACTATTTATTGAATTCTGGGTCAGGTTTGTATGTATTTAACGAATGTAGGACAGTCTCGGAAAAACGCAAGTGTGGCTTAGAGTCCCTGGCTCTCTTGCCAGGTAAGATTATTAGTCCTGATTTCTAATCTATGTAGATTAGAAATGGATGCCATTTCTAGATTAGAAGTGGATGCCAATCTAATCTCAACCATTTATGGAAGTAGGAAGGCCCAAGAGAAGATGAAAAATCGCTACTAAAGCAGTGAGTAAAGACAAAGTCAGCAAGCCATGATGAAGATAGGGAAATGGCTCAGATGACCTCCAGGTTCCTCACAGCTTTATTACATACAGAGAATCTCAGCCCACTGGTCTGACATGTGCCACAATAGGAGGGGAAATGGCAAAGTGGGAATGCAATTTGGGAGGGTAAAATTTAAAGAGAAGGGCCAGGCTATCTTTCAAGCTGGTCCTCCTCTATCCAAATCGCTTCAGTTGAGGTCACTGACGAAGAGTAATAAGTAAAGCAGGCCAGAGACTGAAAAGGCCAAAAGCAGCATGGAGATACCAAGGACGTTTCCAGACAGATACTACTGTGTTAAAAAGAAGGAGTTGTGCTGTCCAAGACAGTAGCCACTAGCTACATGTTGCCATTTAAATGGAAATAAAATTAAGATTCAGTTCTTCAGTTACATTAGTTGCATTTCAGGTGCTCAGTAGCCAAGTGTGGATGGGGCTATCATATTGGACAGCGCAGATATGTAACAGTCCCACCACCCTACAGAAAGCTCTACTGGAGGGTGCTGAGTTAAGAGCTACACACGCTAATGTGGATCAATTTCTAAAATATGTTGTTAAATGGACAAAAGCAAGCTACAGAACACTATATAAGCAATCTTTTGTCTTTAAAAAACAGTATTTACATACATGTTCATATATGCACAAAGTAATTCTGCAAGGATACACACAAACTAATAGTGGCTGTATATGGGGCAGGGGTAGTGCATGAAACACTTTTAACTTTAGGCCCCTTCACAGTTTGAAATATGTATCATCTATTCAAGATAAATGAATGAAAGAAGGGCAAGCTTAACAGTATCACTTAGGAGTAAGCAGTGAACTGAAAAATCCCTCTCAGATGTATTAATTGGGAGGTCATTGATGATTTGAGCTAGTCCTACTACCCCTCCACCACCCACTGACACAGAGAACCTGAGATTCTGAAAATCATACAGTCCAATTTTCTACTCTGCTGACAAATAATATCCACAGAGGTTACCAAGTTCATCTAGTAACAGCCTCTAATGGCAGTATGGAAAGTACAATGTAAGTCTGACTTCCTGCCTAACATGCATTCTCTTTATTCCTGTAATGAGTACCCCTCTGCCATATGAAGCTGTCTGAAGGGTCAATATGAAAGCAAGAGCTGTCTAGGAAGGCCACAGCAGGCTTACCTCGAGGGCTCCACCCTGTACCTTCTTGATTCCAATCATTTTAAGCTGCAGCAAATCATCGAGCATCATCACTGCATCCACCACCATCTTAGCAAAGAAAGCTTTCTGCTGGGAGATCAGCTTGGAGCTCAGAGCGGTCATGGCACACTTTTCCAGCAGCTTCCTCTGCTCCCTGGGACACAAGGGCAGAATCTGCATCAGGTCTTGAAAACCAAATCCCTCTTATCTGATTCTACTACAGTGTGGAGGTAGTTCCCTTCCAGTCTCTAAACTCAGCCCTCTCCAACTTCACCTTTTGTATCTTTAGGGCAGATTATCAGTGACAGATGGTGACTGCAGTCAAAGATCTCATATGTGGCAGCTTTTAAACTACAGTCGACAGCTTCTTTTGTGCTCTGTGGGCTGGGACACAGCCAAGGGTCTGGCAGGAGCCAAACAGCCCCAGGCACATAGAGGGATTGCAGCATGCTTCTGCATCCAATTTGGCCACAGGAAGTCAGTCAAGGTTCTGACAAAGGCCTGACACGGTGACTCACACCTGTAATCCCAGCACTTTGGGAGTCGCAGGTGGGAGATCACTTGAGCCAGTAGTTCAAGACTAGCCTGGGCAATACAGCAAGGCTCCGTCTCTTTAAAAAAAAAAAAAAAAACCCACTACAGACTTACACTTTATCTGCCTTCTTCACGGTCACAGCAATCTCTTTGATCTTGTTAACTGCCTGCCAAGAACAGAAGTTGAATGAGTCTCTCATGCTAAAGACAAACTGCTGAAGTGGACCTCAATCTCTCAATAGTCCTGAGTCTGTTCACTCCCAAATCCTAAGCATTTCTACTCTACAGCTGAAAAAACACTTCTAGGTCTTGTAACTGCTCAGAAAAATGTAAAACTCTATAGTTCAGAAAATTCCAAGTCAGAAATGCAGAGTGGGTATACAGTTCTGAAGAATCAGGGTGCTTCCAAGATTTTGCTCTGGGTCTGCAGGTAACACGCTACAACGAATGAGTGGAAACAGCTGTGACACGAGATTAAGCCAAACCTCCTGGTTTACTAAAAACACCTACGACAACTTCTAGCACTTTATATATTAGTTATATATAAAATATGCATACAAATATATAAACTTTTTATTTTTTTCCAAAGTACTCCTCATATATTATTTCATTTTAATGTCACCACTCAAATTAGAGATAGCAAAGAAAGTAAGGCCTAGAAAGATTAAATGACTTGCCCCAGATCACAAATGAAGGTTAGAGGGCAAATAATAGCTAGGTCTCAATATACACCATGAGGTGCTTGAGTATAGCATGTAGTAGTAGTATGCCATGAGTCTCTTAGTCCTTACTAAAAGACTATGTCTACATCATAGTCTACCAGGCTGACTCTAACCTGAGGCTTAAAGAGATTAAGTAATACACCTCATCAAATGGCTACAGATTAGTAGAACTGAGATTACTAAGGAGATGTCAGAAAATGCCCAAAGTACCCTGTTCCCCAGTCCCTCCACACTCCTGAAAAGAAATTCCCCTTCCTAAGAGAAATGTGAAGGTGTCCAGGCCCAAGAGAAGGTTAATCAGTACTGCCATACCAGCTGGGTGGCTGTGCGGAAAGCTCGAATGATGATCTGGGGGTGTAAACCTTCCTCCACATAGGGTTTCACCTGCTTCAGAAACTCTGCAGCCAGCAAGGTCACTGAGGTGGTGCCATCACCCACCTGGAAGATGATGACAGGAAATACACGTTTTCTGATGTTCAGGGAATAAAGCCCTGAAACTCCATTTTTAGGCACGCTACCCATTTAAACTGAATATTATTTAAATGGATGTCAAGCTTTTTTCTGGAAGCACAGGTTTTTGCAATAAGTAGAAAGAAGCTAATGGTAGTTACATATCCATCATGTCAAACAGTCCTGGGCTACCAAATTAATTCCCCAGACAGCCCCATTCTCTAAAGAGGGCTGATGTGGACAATCAAATGTCCTCAGGGTAAAAAATTACACACATGAACTGAGAACTTATGTTACGTACAAGGCATTGTGATGAATAAAACAGTCCTTGTCATGCTTATTGTAATACAATACTTAAAATAATCATGGTACCAAGAAGCAAGAGACAAACATTGTTTAAGAAGCAAAAGGTGGCTGGGCACGGTGGCTCACACCTGTAATCTCAGCACTTTGGGAGGCTGAGGCAGGTGGATCACCTGAGGTCAGGAGTTCAAGACCAGCCTGGACAACACGGTGAAACCCTGTCTCTACTAAAAATACAAAAATTAGCTGGGCGTGATGGCGGGCGCCTGTAATCCCAGCTACTCAGGAGGCTGAGGCAGGAGAATTGCTTGAACCTGGGAGGCAGAGGTTGCAGTGAGCCAAGATCGCACCACAGCACTCCAGCCTGGGCGACAGAGTGAGACTCCGTCTCAAGAAGCAAAAGGTACTGCAGGAGTTCCTTTCTTTTTTAATAGAGAAAGGGTCTCCCTATGTTGTCTAGACTGGTTTTGAACTCCTGGCCTCAAGCAATCCTCCCACCTCGGCCTCCCAAAGTGCTAGAATTACAGGCATGAGCCACTGCATCTGGCCAGGAGTTAAAAAAAAAAAAAGGTAACTTTCAGTCAAATCACACTAAAACAAACGTCCTAGGACCAGCCAAAGTTCTTTATATTTCAAAAACTATGAGGAGGCCAGGCACGGTGGCTCATGCCTGTAATCCCAGCACTTGGGGAGGCCGAGGCGGGCTGATCACCTGAGGTCAGGAGTTCGAGACCAGCCTGGCCAACATGGTGAAACCCCGTCTCTACCAAAAATACAAAAATTACCCGGGCGTGGTGGTGGGTGCCTGCAATCTCAGCTACTCGGGAGGCTGAGGCAAGAGAATTGCTTGATCCCAGGAGGCGGAGGTTGCAGTGAGCCAAGATCACACCATTGCACTCCAGCCTGGGCAACAAGAATGAAACCCCCTCTCAAAAGAAAAAAAAAAAAAACTACTGGGAATAAGCAGATTACTAGTCTGCTAATCTTTTTTAGATGGTGCTTTTCTGTGATGGGATCTAAATCCTATTTAATGAGGGTGAAAAAGAAAAAGAGCTTTCTAAGAAAATTGGATAAACTCTAAACTGGAAGAAATTTATTTCGGTAGAGATGGGGTCGTGCTGTATTGCCCAGGCTGATCTCAAACTCCTGGACTGAAGGGATCCTCCCACCTTGGCCTCCTAAAGTAATGAGACACAAGCATGAGCCACCATGCTCAGCCCAGAAATTTATTTTTAACTTCATGTATGTTCACTGTGTAAGGTAAGAAATTCTCAAGGGGCAAAAAAAAAAAGGTTACTATAGAGAAGGTTTAAGTGGGCAGATTTCTGGACCAAAAGGCATTATTCCCTCGTTGAAGACAAAAACAAATCAAATCCAGACTCTTCTCTCTTTAATTTTATATATGCTATACCTGTTTTATAGGCTTGGCTCCTAATAAACCTTTTAACGTAACTTCAAGACATACCTGTAGTATACATATTTTGCAGTACTCTAAAATACAAAACCTATCTGTCAACACATTTATTAATACTCCAGTGTTAGAATTTATTTTTAAAAGATAGACTGGTTAATGCCATGAATTATACACTTAAACATGGTATTAAGAATAAATATTATGTCTGTTTTATCATCAGTTTAAAAAAAAAAAAAAAAAAGCCTGGTGTAGTGGGGAATGCCAGTAGTTCCAACGACTAAGGAAGCTGAGGTGAGAGAAGGCTTGAGCCCCGGAGTTCAAGGCCAACCTGGGAAACATAGTAAGACCCTATCTCTTTAAAAAAAAAAAAAAAAGAAAGAAAGGCAGATTGGAAGTCTTAGTTTACAGCCCCATTTTGTAAGAGATGAGAAGTCAAATTATTTAACCTAGCAACTCACACAAATGACAGCACACAACCTGTTAAGATCTCAGGCAGTAGACTTATATCTAAAGACTGTTGTCATTCACCAATGTATTAATGGATATGAAAAGCTACATGTAACGAAATAGTATGAATTTTAAAAGGCTGTTAATTCTAAATACTTTTATAAGCATGTATTACTTGTACAATTATAATTATATAAAATCTTAAAAAAATTTAATAGAGGAGAACTAAGGAGCAAGCAAGCATGTGTTTCAACCTCCATTTAAACACACAACTATTTTCCTACCTCAGCATCTTGGGATTTGGCAATGTCTACCAAAGTCTTTGCTGCAGGATGGACAACATCAAGAAGTTTCAGAATTGTGGCCCCATCATTAGAAATTGTTGCTTTGCCTTAAAAGAAACAAACAAAAATCTAAAGCCCCTTTCTTAAATGCTGTCTTCAAGTGGGACCTAGAACCCATCTACACTTTACTGGGATGGGGCAGAGGGGATCACGGCAGGGCTGAAGGGAAAGGATACCTATCTGATCTTTCTATACAGAATTAGCTCTGTACACAAAGGGTCTAAAATCACAAGCTTTTGCAGACCACAGACTCCCAATTTTCCTTGAAGAGCAATTAATACAGGTCAACTGGATACAGAAAAGATTTTTTAAATAAAAGTAACCACTTAGATATTCTTACCACAGTTGATACCCTCACACATCAATTAATATACCAAGATATAAACAGGAATTTTCTCATCTTGATAACAATGGAAGTGAACACAGGAAACTCCAGATGGTTCTATTTCATGTTTCTAGGCCACGTCTCCCTATGAGGCAACAGGCTCCTGAGCCTAGGTTCTCTCATATAGTCCCACACGGGCTCAGCAGTCAGGACAATATAAGAATTGGAACTGCTTCAGAGTGAGTCATCTTTCAACGATCTTAAAAGCAGTGGGATTTCTGATACCAACCTATGCTAGTCCCAAACACCCCCTCAGGAGCCTCCTTTCCTGCACACAGGCCTGAGGAACTCTGTAGACTTACCTCTGCCATCTACAATAAGCTTGTCCATGCCACGGGGACCCAGGGTAGTTCTTACAGCCTCAGCAATCACCTGGCAGGCACTGATGTTACTCACAAGCTGGGGGATGCCTTGGGAGCTATCAGTCCCCTCTTTCAATAGGATAACTGGTGTGGGCTAGAAAAGAAAGAAATTAACTGCTTTTAATAATCATCTATTATAATGAGACTGGCAGGGGAAAGGGGAAAATGCTCCCATCTCTCCCTTAACAGAATTATCTAGAGGTCTTCTTAAACCACATTCCCCCAACTGTCTACCACATCCATTCCCCAACCAGCCTCTACCTCCAGAGACACTATCAAATTTAGCCTACCCTGCAGGTATGCTAGACAGGAAAATGGTTTGAGAAGCACTGACCTAATCTAAAAGAAAAAATCATGAGTTCTCCAGTACCCAGCTGAATGACCATGGCCTTTTCAACTTCTGACCTTACTCCCTGTGCTGAGGAATTGGGTCACAACACAGGAGGAAGAGGCAGACCCTGCTAAGTGTTCATTCCGCAGCAAAACATCCACTTGTCTGTGTTACAGCTCAATCTTAGAGAAGCAGATGGGACACTGATGCAAAATGCAAGATGCCAAGAGCTTGAGGTGTTGTCCTAGAGATGCCTAGGCAGTCAGCTTTATGTAACAGTGATGTTCAGCTGCAGTGTAGGAAAACAGGCAGAGAAACAAACAGCACCTTTGCCCTGTTTTGAAAAATGATGGCAAATCTAATTCATACAGCAATGTTTCCATCTCTCATGCTGGCTGAATAAAGCTTCTGTGTGACTAATTTCCAATCAGATACCCCAAAGAAGTTTTCCTCTTTCTATATTGCATTGGTCTCCAGAACATTCCCTATCCCCGTAAGGGCTTCATTTGCAGACCTGCTTTAGAAACTGAGAAACAGGGATACTTGCTTGTTTTAAAGGGCCCGCTCAGATATCTTTGCTCTAGTGACCACCATTATTAGCAGAGAGAGCAATTTCTCAGCTTAGCAAACCAGACTACTTTCTCTCCACATTCAAATCTGAGCCTTCAGAGATAAGCCCACGAACTAGATCCAGTCTTCTCAAGTGTTTCTGGCTAATTTTGTGTGTGACACAGAATGTAGTAAGGATAAATACTATTTCAAAACTTTTATTGTGTTAAATTTGTTACTAGGCTATGATTAAAAATGTATTTCTTACTGTGGAATGCAATAAAAAGTTTGAAAGCCATCACCTAGTCCTTAGAGGTACGTGGATGTCTGAGCAAGGAAGGCACAGGAAAGCACAGAGCTTTCCCAACCTAACAATGAGGAGTGAGGAATTCCTGCCAAAGACAGAGTCTTGCCACTCATGAGGCTGATTCCTTATTAACTGGTCAATTCCTTAAAAAGTTCAACTCTTTTGGCCAGCGCAGCTGGAGGGTAGTAAGCAAGAGGAAGACTGGAATAAAGCTGAAGAGGCAGGCAGGAACCAGATCACATACACACTCGTAGACACACTATGGTGAGGAGTTCAGATTTCATTCCTAAAAAGGAAAGCCCTGGGAAGCTTTCAGCAGAGGAATGGCATACTGTGATTTACATAAAAAACAAAAACCACTGTAGAAAAAAGAGGATCACTTGAGCTCATGGAGTTCAAGACCAGCCTGGGGAACATGGCAAGACCCTGTCTCTACAAAAAGAAAACGAAAAATACCCAATAAACTCTACGGAATAAGAGAGTGGGAGTAATTTAATATATTATTCATTTTTTAATATATATTTCTAAGAGACAGGGTCTTGCTCCACCACCCATGCTGGAGTGCAGTGGTGAGATCATAGCTTACTATAAGCTCAAGCCTCCTGAGTAGCTGGACCGCAATGCATGAGGTACCACACCTGGCTAATTTTTTAAATTTGTATTTAAAAAATGTTGCCCAGGCTGGTCTCCAACTCCTGGCCTCTAACAACCCTCCTGCCTCAGCCTTCTGAAGTGCTAGGATTACAGGCATGAGGCACCATGCCAGGCCCTCATTAAATTTTTTTAAATGCTTGTCAAATAATCATACATTACTCCTTTTATTTTTTATTTTAAAAAGAATGCTTGTCATGTAAACCCCTACATTTGGGATCAGGCGTCAACTGAAGGGAAAATTCCTTCCTTTTGCTGGAGTGTCCCAGGTCTGGTGGCAAGAAATGGCTTCTCTATACTCCCAGCATTCTTTCTGGCTCTTCAGCTGGCCCAGTCCCTGGCACCTTCTGTAAGGGAAAGATGTGTGTCCTGAAAGGCCCTACCATCTCCCAGTCTTGCTAAATCATTCCTTATGGCAGCCCCAAGTCTTCTCTGGTCCACCCCTGCCACGGATGGAGTCTTACACTTTAAATCAAAAACTAACATGAGTCTCAATCACTTCCTATCACCTTCAACAGGTTCTTTCACCTCAACAGGTTAACTTACCCAATGCTTGTGTATACTTTTTCTCACCTCAACCTGCAAAGTGTACCCCCATCTAAAATAGTCACTCTGCCATCTTCTACCAAAACCACTTTCTCACCACCAGGCCACCAATTCCTCAGAGCTCCAATTCTTCCAAGAAGTTTTCTCTACAGTAATAAACAAGGGCATCTGAATAGGGGAATCCCATAACTTTCTCTTCACTTGCCCTTGCTCGCAACTTTTTATCACCATCCAGCTTAAGTACAAGCTTTCCAAAGACAAGGACCAAAATAACCTTAATTTGAAGAGTGCCAAGATTTGGCCACACATGAAGCAATATTCAGCAGCTTTTGGGGCTGAAAATCCAACTGCTACTTGTAAGTGCTTGACAGCACTGGCTTCTTGACTTTTGGGGAGAAAAGCACTGGCACTACAGTAACACTACATTTACTGAGAGTTCTTAAGCACAATGCAAGAAGAGCTTGGAAGCAGCTAACCACAGATTCCCCAGGTTCCCTATGCTTTGCAGGCCCTGAAGAAACAGCAGGCTGGGTAGAGAGCATCTATGGGGTGGAAAAGGTGGCAGAGCTGGATTGAGTCAAGCCAAGACAAGCAGGATAGGTCCTCTTCTAACAGTTCCCCAGCAGCAGGCACTGTATGCAAAGTCCAGTTTCCATCCCTTAGTTACTTTCAACCTCGCTCCTTTTTTTTATTCCTCTAATAAATAAGAAACAAGGTCGGGTGCGGTGGCTCACGCCTGTAATCCCAGCACTTTGGGAGTCCAAGGTGGGTGAATCACAAGGTCAGGTGTTCGAGACCAGCCTGGTCAACACGGTGAAACCCCGTCTCTACTAAAAATACAAAAATTAGCCAGGCGTGGTGGCGTATGCCTGTAATCCCAGCTACTTGGGAGGCTGAGGCAGGAGAATTGCTTGAACCTGGGAATGGAGGTTGCAGTGAGCCAAGATGGTGCCACTGCACTCCAGCCTGGGCAACAGAGCAAGACTCCATCTCGGGAAAAAAAAAAAAGAAAAAGAAACAAGAGCAGACTCCAGTAATTGGCCACAGGTATAATGGAAGGTTTTGGAATTTCAGCTTACTGATCTTCCTCTTCATCCTACTTTAAAACTTTCACTAAGCATCATTAAGCTTAATGGCTTACAAAACAAGTGTGTCTATGCCAAGGCACACAGCGCTCAACGCCACAAAGGCAAGGACATACATTTTATGCAAGCTGTACCAACATCACAGGACTGAGGTTTCAGGGGACCTTTTCACCTCTCTTTCGATTACAGAAGTATTCTAGAATATCAGGGGCCAATTTGAAGACAGGAAGACTCTTGGAGATAGAAGTTTCACATTCCAAAAATGGGGAGGAGATATCAAGAGCCAATACAGCAGGGAAACGTCAATCTGACAGAGGAGGGGTCAGTTCAGGGAAAATCCAAGTGTGATGATCTAGAGCCCACTGGTGAAGTTTTATCACGGCAGAGAATGGCGGTTCTGATCCCTAGCTGTGTGAATGTGAACCAAAGCTCTTACGGAAGCCCTGGCAGCGGGATGGACTGATTTCAGAGATGAAAGGAAGCAAACAACCACCTCGCCGAGTAAGAGCTAACATTGCTGAGTGCTTACTATCTGCTAGGCACACTGACAAACTGAGAACCAGAAATTAAATAACATGCTCAAAGTCACACAGCTAGTAAGTGGCAGAGCTAAGTTACAAACCTAGGCATTCAGTGTAGCTCCAGAGGCCTTACTCTCAACTGCTGTACTATGCTGCCTCTGCACAGAAGATGAAGACGACTTCAAGAATGAGCAATGCTAGAGACATAAAGGGGAGAGGAAGTACTGTTAAATGCTAATTTCCTTCTACCTTGGGTACAAGCGGGATTCATAGGGCATTTGGTAGAACACCTAAAAGGTGTCTGCGTCCCTAACAGGACAGAGAAAAGCTGCAGGAAGCAGGAAAAGAGCAGAAGATAGAGTCGGACAGGCCAAAATGAATAAGTGAACTGCCAAGTGCACAGAAAGCAGTATCTCAGTCAGGGTCAAACACCACCTCGGAAGCTGGCCCTACTCAATAACAACCCAGGAGATACCATCGAGGCTTGGGACCCACGGAAAGTATCTAAAGCTCCGAGAGACAGAGAAAAGAAGTGTGGGAAGTAGGGCTACAAGGAGCACTTTAGGTGGCTCCAGGACTCACAGCAACTCCCTCGCCCCAAATTTCAAGAAAACGAGACCCAGAGTTAGGTAGCCAACTAGAAAAGCCTTTCTTATGTCACCAGAGTCCGAGCCTGGGTCTTCCCACCTCCGATACAGTGTCTCCATCTACCTTTCCCGTTCTCCTGGCTGAGAGGCTGCAACCCCCAGCAACCACCAGGGCCTGGTACATTCAGTAGGCACTAAAGACGCGTTTATTTAATGACTGAGCGAATGAGTGAATGAATTAAAAGTACTAGGGAAGGCGTCTGCTTCTCTGCACGCTGCGGTGAGGGTCAGCGAGTGAACATAGTGAGTCCCTAGGCGGGCACAATATGAGGTCCCCAATGTGCCTGTGCCGGTTCCAAGAAGCACACGTCTTTACAGCCCGCAAATCTCAGAGCAGCCCCAGCTTCCAAGTCTAGCTGCCGACCGCGTAACCACGGCCGACCTGCACTCGTTTCACGCAAGTCCCGATCATGCGGGGCTAAAAAAGAGGTCCCCGACGTGGGTTCGCGGGCCCGAAGCACCCTGGGACTTGTAGTCCCCAACCGGCCAGCCCAGAGACTCCTCTAAAGCCCCACGCAGCCCTCGCCAACGGCTCCAGCGCCGTGCTCGGGCCGAGCCAGGCCGCGGCTGGCTGGGGTCGCCCCTAAGCTGGGGATCTGGGCGAGGACAGAGGCGGCAAGCAAAAGAGGGTCCTACAGAGCAAGCCCAGGCCGAGCGGCGCCGGCCACCGGCCAGATGGCAGCTGATGGCGACGGATGCGCGAGACGCCACTCACCATCATTTTGGAAGCTTATTCAGCGGCCCGCCACTCTCCCCTCTTCTCCGAGACCGGGCCGCCCAGCAACCCACAATGCCTCGCGCAATAGAAATACCCAGAAGCTTGGGCCGGGAGAGGAAGAGAACGGACCACTTCCGCTACTCTATGGTTCGTTACCACCGACTCGGTGCGGCTAGAAGGACCTGAGGCTGGGCTTCGGGGACTCTCTAGTGAGGGGCGTTCATTAAAGAGGGGTCGCCGCATTTCGGTCGTGCTTCTTAGAGCACGGAGGGTCTTTGCTCGGCCCGCATCACCTACTAACTTAATTCCACCCTCCTCCATCCCCGGACGCCAGACCAAGGAATGCAATAAAGGCAAAAGTGTGGGACGCAAAGTGTGGGATAGGCTGGTGCCAAAGCACTTTACGTGAGCGATCTCATTTAATCCTCACAACCCTATTGCGTTGGTCCTATTAAGGCCATTTTACTGATGACAGAAAGGAGGCTGAGAGGTCAAGGTGTCCAGTGTCACAGTTACATAGTCAGTGTCAACGGGACGAGCGTGGGAAGCTGCCCCCAATGCCCGTTTTCTGGCTTTGCACTGGCCAGAGGCTCCTCGTGGATGGCGTGCGCCAGGCCGCGGCCCCAGCGCCTATCCACGGTGAGCGCGCAAGCGTTGGTGGCACTGGGCGGAAGACCCCCTGGCGCAAGACGAGTGCCTTCCCGTGAAGGCGTGGGGAGGAGGGAAGCGCAGCTGGGAGGAGGGAAGCGCAGCTGGGAGAAGGCTAATCGTCGTCAATCGAGGCGGCCTTGGAGTGGACAGGACCGAGACCGCAAGGGTTAACGGCCTCGACTATCGACAGCTGAAGCAAGTCCGGCTACGGGCACACCTCCAGTGCTTGTCCTCCCTGGCCCGCCCACCGCCAGCGAGGACCCGGAGAGTATGCTGGGGCGGGGCTGAGGCGAAGGCCGGTTGTAGCTGTTAAGAGTTTAAGCCAATCAGCCCCCGGCTCCACTTCTCTCGACCAATAGGAAGTAGGCTAAGGCGCAGAGGCGGAAAGTGTGGCTACATGAGCAGGCGTCAGAGCCAATCAGCCTTGAGCCTCGTTCCCGTCGTCCAGCCCGCGGCGAGAGCGGGTATGTGGGCGGGAGGCCGGAGCAGCTGTCAGGCTGAAGTCCTGCGAGCGACGCGCGGCGGGGCGGCGAGAGGAAACGCGGCGCCGGGCCGGGCCCGGCCCTGGAGATGGTCCCCGGCGCCGCGGGCTGGTGTTGTCTCGTGCTCTGGCTCCCCGCGTGCGTCGCGGCCCACGGTGAGCGGCAACGGGTGGGACTGCGTTGCAGGGCGGGGCTGGCCGTCCAGCTTGCGCGCGTCTCGGGTTGGGGGCCAAGGGTCACCTTGGGGACCCTGCGAGTTCAGAGCAGGACAGGTCTGGGAGCGGGCGGCCGGAATAAGTGGGTGGTGGTCCAAGGACATAAAGTGGGCGCAGCCTGAGGCTGAAGCTCTGACTCCTCACCTTCCCACGACAAAGCAGATCTCCCCACTCGCCCCTCCCCGCCCACTAGCGCCGACCCAGGTGACTTAGGGTGCGACCAGAAGGGACAGCTAAGGAAGGATACTACAGGCTGGAGATATGTATGTGAGCATTCACATGTACACAGGAGCACACATTCCTACACGTGGGCACACACGCACAAACCGTTTACACCTACACAAGCACATAAATGTATACATCTATGCACATAAGTGAGCACATACGTATACCCACAACTTACACAAATAAGCACACACAAAGGCAAGCAAGGGTTGGGGAGGAGGGAGTGAGTTTGACGCTAGTCCAGGAAGGCTTTCTGGGGGTGTATTTGTATCCGAGAGGGAGTCCCCACTCCCAGGACTGTATAGCCCAGTGCCAAGCCATGGGAGCTCTAACTGATGGCTGTGATTTGGGCAGTAAACAAAGACAGCTAAAGCCTTAATGCCATCCTTGGTACACAGTAGTGACTTGGTAGTTTGTTGATAGACTAACAGACTTGTGACAGCAGTTTTCTTTTTTTCTTTTTTTTTTTTTTGAGACGGAGTCTTGCTCTGTCGCCCAGGTTGCAGTGCAGTGGCCCGATCTCGGCTCACTGCAAGCTCCGCCTCCCGGGTTCACGCCATTCTCCTGCCTCAGCCTCCCAAGTAGCTGGGACTACAGGCGCCCACCACCACGCCCGGCTAATTTTTTTGTATTTTTAGTAGAGACGGGGGTTTCACCGTGTTAGCCAGGATGGTCTCGATCTCCTGACCTCGTGATCTGCCCGCCTCGGCCTCCCAAAGTGCTGGGATTACAGGCGTGAGCCACCGCGCCCGCCCATGACAGCAGTTTTTATCTTTCAACATTCCGCAGTCTCTCTGGGTTAAGGAAACCAGGGACTCAAGTCCAGGTACAACATTAAACTTTGGTGCTGAGGAGAAGATCCCATGCCCCAGAAAAATCTAGTGGTCTGGAAATTCTCTTCATCGGTGCTGTGGAGCTAGATATAGTTGTTCACCCATTCAGGAAAGTTTATAGGGCTATCCCTATATTGTAGCCACTGTGCAAGACACTGGTGACTCTTCACTGAATGAAGTTACAAAGTGGAAGAGGCAGATATTTAAAAATTATGAATCCAGGGCAGGTGCGGTGGCTCACGCCTGTAATCCCAGGACTTTGGTAAGCCAAGGTGGGAGGATCACAAGCCCTGGCAACAAGGCGAGACCCCATTCCTATTTAAAAAATGAAAAAAAAAAATCAGCCTGGTCAACATGGCGAAACCCTCTCTACTAAAAAATACAAAAAAAAATTAGCCAGGCATGGTGGCGCACGCCTGTAGTCCCAGCTATTTGGGAGGCTGAGGCATGAGAATCGCTTGAGCCTGGGAGGTGGAGGTTGCTGTGAGGCGAGATGGCGCCACTGCACTCCAGCCTGGGTGATAAAGTGAGACCCTGTCTCAAAAAAAAGAAAAAGAGGCCGGGCGCGGTGGCTCACGCCTGTAATCCCAGCACTTTGGAAGGCCCAGGCGGGTGGATCACGAGGTCAGGAGATAGAGACCATCCTGGCTAACACGGTGAAACCCCGTCTCTACTAAAAATACAAAAAATTCTCCGGGCGTGGTGGCGGGCGCCTGTAGTCCCAGCTACTCCGGAGGCTGAGGCAGGAGAATGGCGTGAACCCGGGAGGCGGAGCTTGCAGCGAGCCTAGATCGCAACACTGCACTCCAGCCTGGGTGACAGAGCGAGACTCCGTCTCAAAAAAAGAAAAAAAGAAAAGTTATGAAAGCTGTATAATTACAAATTATGTTGAAAGTCCCCATTTATTAAAAAGTACATTTGAATGGGTATGGGAGGGCAATCATGAGGCAGAAGCTTTCTCTGAGGAAGTGACATTTAAGGTGTGACCTGAAGGATGACTAGGAAAGAGTCAGGTAAAGGGGTGGAAGTAGGGTGGCGTGGGAGTAGGGGGCCTTCCAGGCTCAGGGAACAGCCTGCAGAAAGACCCAGAGAAGTGAAGACACTGAAAGGCCAGTGTAGCTTGAACACAGGATGGAGGAGATGAGGTTGGAAGAGTGGCCAGGGGCCACAGCAAACAGGGTCTTGTAGGCCACAGTTTAAAAAGAGTTTAAATTTTAAATGCAAAGGGCAGTTATTGAAACCCTAGGTATGGTGATGTGCTCATAATTGCTAAGATGTTTTCGATTTCTGGTTGTTGCTTGGGGAGCAAGAATGGAGGCAGGGAGGCCAGGTAAGAAGCTGAGCTGTCAGGACAAGAGATGATAGTGACTAGACTTAAGGGGATGGCAGTGGGACCAGAAAGTCAACTTTTAAATTTTAGTGAGAATTGCTTTGTACGCAGGCCACTACATCTCTACCCTGAAACTCCCAGGTCTTCAGAGCAAAAATACTAACCCTGGAGCTCTCAGTTTTCCTGGCTTACTGCGTAAGCAGCAGCAGCAGCTGATATAAGCCTCTGGGGTTAATGACTCTGCATCAACTCTATCCTCCCCAGGACAGAGGCCATCTAGCCCCCAACCCTGCCACTAGTGGACCCCGTTGGCTGAAGCCAGGACCCTGAGCCCAGACTATAGCCAGCCCAGCTGAAGACACAGGGTCTGGGATCTGAACCTGAACCAGCTTGTTCCTGGGAGGCTTCTTACCTGTACTCTTTATCCTTCAGGCTTCCGTATCCATGATTATTTGTACTTTCAAGTGCTGAGTCCTGGGGACATTCGATACATCTTCACAGCCACACCTGCCAAGGACTTTGGTGGTATCTTTGTAAGTTAAGGGAGGCCCCTGATCTCTGATCCTCAACCTCCCCCTTCCCCTCACTGAGCTGCAGTGACCCTCTCATCCCACCTGAGTGCTGGGACAGGGAAGGGAGCAGAATCAGCTCTGCCTTCCATGAGCTGCAGCACAGAAAGGAAGCTCTTCCAGCTACTCCCCTGAGTATAATATAAACCTAGGCACCATGGAGGGACAAGTTGTCTTTTTAGGGGACATGAAGTGAAAAGCCAAGAGCACCAGCTTCCTCTGCCAGCTCTACCTGTGAACTATGTGACTTAAGGCACATCACTTCCTCTCTCTGGATCTACAACCAAGTCCCCTGCCTATCTCATAGAAGGGTAGGGTGGTGTAGGACAACCAGATAGGCCTTTGCGAGAATTAAGTAAAAATGTTTAAGTGTCTGGCGATACAGAAACCACTCCATGTTTCCTTCACACTTTATAAGGTGCCAATAAGATGGGATTGTCAGCCCAGTCCTAAAGCAGGTGTGTCTCATTACACTCTCACCTGTCCAAATGTTAAATGTTTTTCAGCACACAAGGTATGAGCAGATTCACCTTGTCCCCGCTGAACCTCCAGAGGCCTGCGGGGAACTCAGCAACGGTTTCTTCATCCAGGACCAGATTGCTCTGGTGGAGAGGGGGTAAGGAGTGGGCAGGCAGGACACGAGGAGTGGGCAGGCATACGGCAGATTCTGAGATTATTGGTAGTAGTGCTTTGAAAGAGCTGTTTTTGAAAATTTCATCTTTTTAAGCGTCTTTAAGAAATGTCTAGCCTGGGCAACATGGAGAAACCCTGTCTGTACAAAAAATACAAAAATTAGCTGGGCATGGTGGTGCACACCTGTGGTCCCAGCTACTCGAGGCTGAGGTGAGAGGATTGCTTGACCGCATGTTAAGGCTGCAGTGAGCCGAGATCACGTCACTGCACTCCAGCCTGGGCAACAGAGCAAAACCCAGTCTCCAAAAAAAAAGAAAAAGGAAAAAGAAATGTATTTAAATTATCCATGCTTTTAGCTATTTACTTATGAGCCTTTATAACAGATTCTTCATAGTCTGCCTTCTATACTCCCAGGGTGATGGTCTGGGGAAGGGGGAGCTAGGACCTGTCTTTCCTTTGGTCTTATCACCACCTCTTCCAGGGGCTGCTCCTTCCTCTCCAAGACTCGGGTGGTCCAGGAGCACGGCGGGCGGGCGGTGATCATCTCTGACAACGCAGTTGACAATGACAGCTTCTACGTGGAGATGATCCAGGACAGTACCCAGCGCACAGCTGACATCCCCGCCCTCTTCCTGCTCGGCCGAGACGGGTGAGGGCTCCTTGCCTCTGGCTTTATCAGCACCAGGCTGGGCGCCATGACTGGGTCAGGGGTAATCACCAGTCCCTTCTTGCAGGCCTCAACTTGGGGTGCTTCAGTTAGAGGGCAAAAAAAGATCTCGGGCTTTGGAACTCCCAGATTGATGGGGACAGTGGGGCATGATGGGGTACCAAGAAAGTGACCGTCACCACCTCTCTTCATGCCCTCCCAGCTACATGATCCGCCGCTCTCTGGAACAGCATGGGCTGCCATGGGCCATCATTTCCATCCCAGTCAATGTCACCAGCATCCCCACCTTTGAGCTGCTGCAACCGCCCTGGACCTTCTGGTAGAAGAGTTTGTCCCACATTCCAGCCATAAGTGACTCTGAGCTGGGAAGGGGAAACCCAGGAATTTTGCTACTTGGAATTTGGAGATAGCATCTGGGGACAAGTGGAGCCAGGTAGAGGAAAAGGGTTTGGGCGTTGCTAGGCTGAAAGGGAAGCCACACCACTGGCCTTCCCTTCCCCAGGGCCCCCAAGGGTGTCTCATGCTACAAGAAGAGGCAAGAGACAGGCCCCAGGGCTTCTGGCTAGAACCCGAAACAAAAGGAGCTGAAGGCAGGTGGCCTGAGAGCCATCTGTGACCTGTCACACTCACCTGGCTCCAGCCTCCCCTACCCAGGGTCTCTGCACAGTGACCTTCACAGCAGTTGTTGGAGTGGTTTAAAGAGCTGGTGTTTGGGGACTCAATAAACCCTCACTGACTTTTTAGCAATAAAGCTTCTCATCAGGGTTGCAACTGTGTCCTAGAATAAGAGCACACGGGTGGGCAGGACCTTCAAACTCACTCGTATCGTCCCATACTGTCGTTCTGAGGAAAGGAAACACCCACAGAGGACAGTGACTGGCCTAGGTCATTTGGGACCAGTGCTCAGACTGCTAGTCTTAGATCCCAGCACAGCTTCCTGCTAGGAGCCAAGGAAGCCCTGGGAAGCCAGAGTTCAGCCCCTCAGGAGAAGACTCATCTTAGAGCCTGGAACTGGGGGTCCAAACTGGACCTCAGGGCTAGGCATGGTGGCCCATGCCTGTAATCCCAGCACTTTGGGAGGCCGAGGTGGGAGGATCAGTTGAGGCCAAGAATTCAAGACCAGCCTTGGCAACAACATAGCAAGATCCCATCTCTACAGAAAAATTAAAAATTAGCTGGGTGTGGTGGTGTGAGCCTATAGTCCCAGCTACTCAGGAGGCGGAGGTGGGAGGATCACTTGGGCCCAGAAGTTCAAGGCTGTAGTGAGCTATGATTGCATTGCTGCATGCCAGCCTGGGTGACAAGGTGAGACCCTGTCTCAAAATTTAAAAACCACCCAAACTGGACCTCAGAGGACCCTTGCTCTTGGGCATTAGAACATTTGCATAGCAGGGTGTAAATAACAGTAGAGGTGAGCCCAAGCTGGTGAGCCTGGAGCTCCCATCTCCTACCATTACCTGGTCTAATTGGTATTCCTTTGCACCCACCTGTGCCTGCTGCACGCCCGGGGCAGCCTGCCCAGCCACTTGCCACAAAGCATTCCTGCAGAGGCCTCTCACCACTCACATTTTATTGAGAACAGTGGGCAGGGGGGCTGGGAGAGGAGTGCTGACCGTTGTGAAGGAGTAAGAACCCAATGGGTAAGGGGCCAGACAGGTTTCACCTGGCTCCATGGTCCAGGAAAGGGCCTGTGGGGTGGGCACCTGCCCTCTCTGGGATCCCTCAGCAGGAGAATGCAGCAGGCTCCTCCAGGAAAGGGAGGCATTGGGAGTGATGGGTTGTAATTCCCATAGCATCCAACCCAAGAGTGAGAGGGGTGGTGCTAATCTGGGGGTAGGAGGGGACAAGACAGGGCTACTCTCGAAGTATCTAGCCCAGCTCCTCGAGGTTTCTGGAAGACTTCAATGTTAGTCTGTGGAGACCCTAAAGATGGAGATTGAGGCCAGGAGAGCCCCTCACTGACCCATTTTAACTGGCCCCAGGAATACCAGAGCATCCTAATCTAAGGAGCGCAGGCCTGTCAAGCCCCAGGTCTCAGCCATGCTGCTGAGTGCTCATTGGGAAGCAGGTGTGAGAAAGGGTGATGACCCACTATGTGTCCCTCCTGAGGAAGGCAGAGGCCTTTTCCATACTCCATAAGGCCAGCCACTGTGCCAGGTCCTGAGAGGCAAGGCACGAGTCTGGGGGAGGGGTTAATCTCCACTTCCCCAGATGTCCAAATGGGGGTGTGGGTGGGGGAAGTAATCCCCCTGGTCCAGCATTCCCAGGAGACAGCCTCAGGGAAGGGGCTCAGGATGCCCAGATCCTCCTGCCCGCCTCTGCTTGCTGGGCCAGTGGTCAAGCAGTTGCCTTACCAGCCACAGCTGTGGTGGGGGGAGGTGAGGACGCCTCACCACCTCCCATCTCTGCTTCAATGAACTCGGTCTTTCTTTTACCCCTCAAAAGAAATCAACAGCAAGTTGAGAGGGGAGAAGCCTCAGGTGAAGGGGTGAGTATGGGCCGTGGGGCCGAGGGGAAGAAACACTGTTAGGCCCTGGCCCTGATTCCAGCCCCTCAAACCCTAGAGTGGAGGAACCTCAAGGGGAGGCCAGTTGTGAAAGGCTCAGTGCCAGTGCAGAGTCTGAGCCAACTCAGCAGCAGTGTCCAGGGCATGAGGTCTGGTGGGGGTTGGGGCCAGAGATCCAGGCTCTCTCCTACCCTCTAGCAGAGAGGGCTGGAATGGGGAAAGCAGGCAATGGGAGTGGGAAGTTCCCTCCAAGCCACTTCTCTGGGGGAAGAGCCCCCTTTTCTGGCAGGGTCTAGGGCAGGGCCCTTTCTGGGCAGGGCAACATCACACATCAGTCATCTCATCCCCCAGCTCTGCATCTTCTGGCTCTCCTTCCTCCTCCTCCTCCTCTTCCTCTTCCTCTTCTGAGGTCACATTGGGTTCATCAGCCTCTGCCAGGCATTTGGGACAGGAACAGACAAATAGATAGTTCTCCCTGCAGCGGTGGGGGATGGTGAGGGGGAAAAGTCAGGGAGCTATGGGTAGAGGACCCCAGAGCCCAGCTGCACAACCATGTCCCCAGCTGGCACCTGAGGATCTTGTGGCGGCTGTGGCGGCTGCGCTCCCGCTGACAGCAGTCCAAGTAGCTGATACAAATTTCCTGTAGGGCAGAGAAGTGCAGTCTGATGGTCTGTGCTCTTTTAAATGGCATAAGGACCTCCCCAACAGCTACCCTATCTCCAACCACTGCCCCATCTCTAGGAGCCAAGTTTGCGTTGCCCTTCAGTGAAGGGGCTGGCTGCCCTCATCCAGTTCCCAGTGCCTTCAGTAGGCAGGCCACTATAAGGCTCCAACAGCCTGTGCCTGAGACAGAGGAGACTGGTTGGCCTCAGGCCGTGGTGAAAGCCAGTCAATGGCCAAGGTCTGCAGCTGGGATCAGAGGTCTTGGTATGATGCTACTTGCCCTCAAGAAGATTCAACCAGGCACTGTGCCTGCACTAACAGACAAGACCCTAAACCCACAAAGAGCTATCTCCTGCTTTCTTAGAAATTACATATCTGCATTTGACCAAAAGATAGCTGGGGACAAGAATCTGAGCACATAGGTGTCCCTCAAACACTGTCCTGAGGCTTTCTGGAGTCATATTTTGAAAAAGCGAGGTAGGGTTAGAACCTAACCATGAGCTGAAAGACTCAGACCCTAAGGTATGTGGGGATTCCACCCAACAGCCTGAACTTCAAGGTGCTCTAGCCACTGCTGCTCCTGATCCCTGCAGAGAACTTCCAAGGCCTACTGCCCACCCATCCCGACGGTTCCTGGTCCCCCTCACCTCTCCTGGCTTAATATCCTCCAGAGCAGTGACATGCAAAAGGAAGTTGTTTTCTGGAAAGGAGGTCTCTGCATTGGGCACACAACTGTGGTTGCCTGGATCATAAGAGGCAGGTAATGAGGATTATTGACTAAAAAAAATAATAGCCTCAATTCTGCAGAGCACTGGGTCCTTTCTTGCTCGTTCATCCCTGCCAAGGCTGAGCACGTTTTGGAACCCAAGTTTCTGGACTCTGCATCCAGTGTTCTTTCCTGAAGACCATATAGCACAGCACAAATGAACTCCACAGCACTCCCACTCCAACTCGCTGTGACTGGCCAACTTCATTCTCAGTCGTGTTCCCACTGTCTCGCAAAGGGAGGGACAGGGCTCTGAAGGAATGCCCACCCCAGACCACTTAACTCAGTTCTGCCTGCTATTGGACATCTAGTAACAGCTGACACAGGCCCTCTGAGAATCCAGTTTGGGAGGGTAGAGTGGCCCTGGAGCCTGGGAGGAGGAGTTTGCAGTGAGGAAACCAGGGGGTGGGAAGCTGAGGTCTGGAAAAGGCAGTTGTCTGAGCTGAATCTGCCCCTTCTCATCAGGTGCTGATGAGACTCGCCCTGTAGCCTGGGCTCCCAGTACTCCCAAATCTCACAAGGCAGTGACGGTGCAAAGCCCATGCATCCCTTTGCAAGAATCAGAGCTCTATGCCTGCCTTAGTACAGGGCCTGGCCTATTGTAAGGTTTTATATATAAGCAGGTATTATAGCACAAACAGTTGGATGAACAAATGAAAAAAATGATAGAACAAAAAGGCCCAGGGGAATTCCTGTGGGAGCTCAGACCTAATGGGGCTCCCAGACTCAACCCTACCAGCCTAGAAAGGGCCAACTGAGAAAGATAAACTGTGGCTGCAAGGCCACCTGGCAAAGGCAGAAGCGCCTGGGACCATCCCTCCTCAACGCCATGACTCACAGCAGCTCTGAAGCACAAAGAGGCCAGATCCTTCACAGTTAAGAAACTCTCCAGTTGCTGTAAGACAGTAATACACACACATTATTCTACCCATTTTTAAAGGCAGGAAAAGGAAACGAGGCTTACACGGACAGGCACTGTCTCCACTGTCCTGCAACCCCACCACACTAAGGCATCAGTCCCTACCATCTTACCTAAACTTGCCTCTCCGAGACAGAAGCCTTGCTTTTCTGTCTACAAGACATCCTATTTATCCAGCACCCCCCTCCTCCCAGCATCAAGCCTCTGGATACATCTTGGGGCTGTTTCTCACCTGTGTGCCCTGTGGACAGATCTGAAGCTCCCCACAGGCACAAAGGGATTACCTTCCCCCACCATTAATTCAGAGCACCCTGGGGAAAGACTTTGTGTCCACCATCTGACTGGGGGGGTCGCCATGGCTGGGTGAGGCCAAGGCCCTATCTCACCAACCTGCCTCGATGTCCTTGTATAGCTGGTCAATGAAGGCGTCAAGCTGCTCACGGTCCTGAGGCTTCAACTCCAGAGTGTCACAGGCATGGACCCACTGGCTTAGGGAGCTGGGGGGTCCCAGGCAGCCCATGGTTGGGGAGGCAGAAGCCCAGGTCACAGGGCTCTCCACCTCCAGGTAAGTTAAGCCCAGGAAGAAGGGTCTCCCATCCCCACCCCACTTCATTCTCCAGGTGGGGGCCCATCTTCCCCAACAGAGGCTCCCCAAAACAGATTCCAATGCCTCATTCTGATTCCCACCACTGTGTCCAGTTCAGTGATCTGTCCAGAGTCCCACCCTACCCCATCCCAGTCTTGAAAGGAACTGTGGCTACCTTCCTCAGTTTCCCACCCCTGAGAGTAACTTCAATAGCTCTGGAACATTCTAACCTGGTCCCGATTCCTTGGCCATTGGTCCCAACAAGAGCAAAGAGAGACCGGAATCCATCTGGAGTGAACCACTGTGGGGGGAAAAAAGAGATGAGTGCTCATTACAGCCACTGACTTTTCTTCCAATTGGACTCTCTGTTTGGGAAGCCTTCTGTGAGTCAGGCTCATCTGAACTCCAGAAGACCAAGTCGGCTTTGGCTCAGCTGTCCCAGTAGGAGATGATGACCTGATTGCTCCTGGAGAGCTGGAGTAACAAGGAGGCCACTGGTCCCACCCTCTCCTCACTCACCTGGCTGACTGCTTCCTCATAGAGGGCCTCTGTGAAGAGTCTCCGCAGAAGTTCCAGTTGGCCCTGGATTAGAGGAAGCAGGGAGAGACTTGTATCCCTGGGGATTTCCCATTAGCACCCAGGCAGGGCCCAGGCGACTAGGGGAGGGAAGGAAAAAGGGCCAGCTCTGTAGACTGAGCTTTCCGTAGGGGCAAAGGAAGGCCACAGAGTCTACCTCCAAAGAGCTTTGGCAGTCTGCCGGCCTGTTCCAACCCGGGGTGGCAAACCCAAATTTCTCTCCATTTTCCAGCACTTGTACCAGCAAGGCTGAGGCAGCCTGAAATGTCTATCCACACCACCACCATCAAATCTCCCTTGACCTGGCCTCCAGACCAGCTGGGCTCTCCCACTCCCTTCCTATAAAAGTTCAGTGCAAGAGGGCCCACCCCAGATGCAAACCTTGTACACACCTGCCTCCACCCTCAGGCAGCTCCTGCAGGGAAGTCTGCTGTCCTCAGTGAGGACCCATACTCTTTGATTGGGAACGGGTTCTCAGGACATGGGCAGTTTCACACTGCTCTCTGATTCTGCGGCCCCATTCTACCTGATTTGCCCACTGCTATCCTATGACGAGTCCTGCCTTCTAACACCAGTTAGGGAGCACTTTCAGGGCAAGGCATCTGACATGCCCTTCCTCTGTTGTCACCCCACTTCCCAACTGTAGGTCCACATGAGGTCATGAAGTAAACAGTGGCAGGAATGTAACTCCTCTGAATCGATTTCTGGACCCAAGTTCTAACTCCTTCCTGTAGCTCAGAAGTGATCAAATGTGGTGCTCCCCACAGCTGGCCAGAGACATCCTAGGATATTTGGGGAGGGAAGGAGACAGGCCACGGGAGAATAATAACCTTGAATTTGTCTCCCAGAAGTTTATGGACAATTTCCTCCTCTTCATTGGCTGTTTTGTTACAAAACTGGGAAAAGAGTCTGATCCAACGGTCCTTGTCCTTCGCCTGCAGTGAACAAACATACTTAAGGGTCACAGATACCCACCTTCTCACTGGCACTCCCGCCCACTTGGGAAATACCACTACACAGGAACTTATAGGGGCCCTTCCTCTGCCTGAGGCTTCCTCCCAATGCTGCCCACCCACAACCATCTCCCCAGTTGTAGCCAAGATAGCCAATTCAACAACACTTGGAAAACAGGAGAAAGAGGCTGAGGAACAATATTAATAGAAGGGTGGTTAGAGTGGCTTCTCTCGCTTTATGTAAGACATAATCCTGAAAAAGCGGTGCTTATAAATCAAATGCATGAATTGCTACTGCACAAGGCATCTTCTATATCAGAAACTACAGGCATACTATCACACTGGTCTTTAAGTTACAAAAAAAAAAAAAAAAAAGACTACAGGCAAAACGAGCTCTCCACTCCCTATGCCTTCAGAGTGCATTCTGAAGGTTTTACATAGCAAGGAGCTCTCCTTTGGGAAGGCCAGGAAGAACTCTGCATCCAAGCTAGGGCTTTGAGGTGAGGAAAAGACTGAGACCAAGGGTTGAATGGGGCCAAAGTCAGCTTCCCCGAGAGGGTTGGGTGGGCTCACCTGCTTCACTGTGGCCACCATCCTAGCCATCAACATGATGCTTGCAGTCTCAGGTGGGTAGTGAATACTCCTGGGGAAAGAGAAAAAAGATTGGCCTAGAAATTCTCTCCCTAGTAGCTGAGCTCAGGGAAGCCGAGTCTGACTGGTACAGAGAAAACTTCCTACCAATTCCATCAATTACCAGGAAAGTCATAGACAAGGACTTAGGCAAGACTTTGCATCCCTATTGGCTTAATGGGGCTCTTTCTGGGAGAGCGTTAAATGCTAAGGACAGAAAGACTGACAGCCCAGATTAAAAGCAGGGGATAGGGTTATGTGACTTCTGTTTAACCCTAAGAAAGGAAGAAAAATCCGGGGAATTGGAACTTAAGAAAGACGGCAACACCTGATGAGCCCAGGCAGGCAACCAGGGAGGAAAGGATAAAGGAAAGAAGAGAGGAAAAGAAACCTACCTCCATGCCTCCTGAAGCTTATTGAGAGGATGCAAGGGGTCATCCTGGGAGGGGCCTGGGCACAGGACCTGGTGGTATTGCTCAGTGGCTGCCAACCGACATTCTGCACTGCAGTACATCACCTGTTAGGTGGGATAGAGGTCAGTACCCAAGGATCTGGCCCTAGAATCACCTCCTCTAACTGCATTCCTTCCACAAATAGCCCCTGAGCTGTAGCTCAGATGTATCATGAGAAGAGAAAACATAGGGTGCTCTGGGGATATGTGAAAGGCACACCTAGGCTTGCAAAACCACAGAAAGGGAAGAGAACTTTTCAGGTAGAGGGGAGAGCCCCTGCCAGGTCCCCAGGAAGAAAGCAAGCTCCCACCAAGCCCATTTTCCAGCTCCCACCAAGCCCATTTTCCAGACAATGTAACTGTGCCAGGGAGGATGAAACTGGAACAATAACCAAGCCTTTTCAACATCTTATCCTACATTGTAGTTTTCAAGGGCCATGACCAGGTCTGTCGCTGCTCCTGTCTCCCCACTGAGGACTCCAGCTAAGGCCTCCCTCACCCACCCCCTTCCAGGTACACTCCCCAAGAATACTCACTTGGCAATGGGGACAGTTCTGGTGGAGGTCTTTGCGCACAGTGCACAGCTCTGGGTGAGGCAGAACCTGGCCTGGTTTCCCGGTCAGCCTCTGGGCATTCTCCTCTGCCTTCTCTAGTGCCCTAAGGCAGTGGTCACAGGCTGACGGTGAGAGCCAGACACAACAATATCTTGAGAGCAGAGGCCACATCTATCCCTTTCACAGCCCTACAGAGCAGCTGCTATGTGCCAGGCACCATTCTAGTGTTTCATAAAGGTTTGGAAAGTGAGTAAATGAATAATTACATGCATGGATGAATGGATGAATGAATTTATTTCATGTGCATCCCAAGGCAGATGATCCCCTCCTCCCTCTCAAGGACCTCCTGGCCCTTATTGTCTAACTTTCCTTGCTTCTTAATCAGACTCACTCTGTGGGGCTCCCCTACCACCCCCAAACTGGGCTTTTCCCATACTCTGGGGCCAACTGACCCTCCTTTCATTGTGTCTCTCTAGCTTAAGAAATGTGTGGGTTGGGCACGGTGGCTCAAGCCTGTAATCCCAGCACTTTGGGAGGCCAAGGCAAGTGGAGCACCTGAGGTTAGGAGTTCAAGACCAGCCTAGCCAACATGTTGAAACCCCGTTTCTACTAAAAATGCAAAAATTAGCTGGACATGGTTGTGTGTGCCTGTAATCCCAGCTACTCGGGAGGCTGAGGCAGGAGGATTGCTTGAACCTAGGAGGCAGAGGTTGCAGAGAGCCGAGATTGCACCACTGCACTTTAGCCTGGGTGACAAGAGCGAAACTCCGTCCCCCTCCCCCAGACCCCAAAAAAAGAAAAGTGTGAAAAAAGCATGTGGCCAGCAAAGCTAAGGGCATCGTACTTGTGCTCACCCCTAACTCAGCCTTCTTTGAACAAGGGCCATGTAGCCTCCTCTTGGTGGAGGACTCCACTTTGGCACTGGGCCTTCAGCATGATGTCCCTCATACCATGGAATCAAACTCGCCTAAGTCCTGCTGTGCTCCCTCAGGGAGCACATCTGAAGAGCCTCCCACCACAGGAATAAGCCTCAAACACCTGAGACTGGACAGAGGCATGGTTCTCAGGCACAGTCCTTCAATGGAAGACAGCATTTCCTCCCAACACCCAGAGTTCCAGAGACGTCAGCCAGTAGGGATGTATGCAGCTCACTTCCATGCACAAAGACGACTGGGCCATGAGGAGTAGGAGAGATGTACTCACCTCGGTAGCGATAAAGTGCATTCCAGAGAAACTGTGCAGCCACCAGGGGCCGTTCTACGAAGATGGTCTCCCCCTTCCGGATGAGCTGTGTGGCAAACAGCCCCTTTCCCTGAGAGGGCAGAGGGATAGGATGGCCATAAAAAGGAACAGAAGACATAGCTCCGAGAGCTTCCAGGAGGCTGTCCAGCCTCACTCCCACATGCCTCACTCTTAGGAGAGGCCTCTGCCTCTGTGAGTTCATGGAGAGTGGTTAGCACCCTCCATAACTTTCTCCTCTGGAAATACAGCTCTGACCTATTTTCAGTTGCATCCCTTTCAGCCCATTCAGAGCAGAAGGCCTGGAACAGGGAGGCAGCCACCATGGCAGCCATCTCAGATTACTGAGAGAATTTTTCTCAGTATGGCCAGAGCAGGGCCAAGGCTTATAGCAGGCTGGGGCCTCCAGTACCAGGAGCTGATAATGGCAGGGCACTCATCTCTGAGTCAGCCACATGCCACTCCAGGATCCTGGCAGTGGTGTTGCTACACAGGGTTGCAGAGAAATCCTACACCATGGGACAGGGAAGCCTTGTTTGGGGGAGAATGTGCCTTCTTCCTTGGTCAGCTGAATACCCACAGCACCTAGCACAGTGCCTGGCATCCAACAAGTCCTTGGTGGTTGCACTGAAAGAAAGGAGCTAATACTAGTACCAGTCCTAACATTAACTTGCTGTGAACCTTTGAGCCAACTGCTTCACTTTACATCTGTTTCCCGTTTGAAAAGTGAGCATTATAATAATACCTACAAGGTAGTTTCCAGGGTGTAATGATATAGCACAGATGAATGGACCTTATGAGCTCTAGCTTCTTCCTACTCAATGAGGGTACAGGGACTGGCAACATGGGCATCACCTAGGACTCTGTCAGAAATGCAGACTCTTGGGCCCCACCCCAGACCTGCTGAATCAGAATCTGCATCGTAACAAGATGCCCAGGTGATTCATATGCATGTTAGTTTGAGAAGCACTGGTCTAAAACACTATATACATCATGTAAAGGATGAAGAATGAGAAAAAAACCTCTGAACTGCCATCTCTCAAATGTGCAAAAGGACTCAGCAGATGGCTTCAGAACCCAGGCAGTTACTGGCCTTATTGGGCACATACTCCCACTACTCAAAGAAGACGTGTGGAGCCCTGTCAACACTGAGCTGCCACAACAAAAGGAGAGGAAAAAAATGCTTGACACTGAAGCAAAATGACCTGTCAGTGTTGCCTCCCAGGTAGCTCCCTGCCTCCTTAGAAGGCCAGATACGGTTGCCTCTCAAATTCAGAGCGAAAAATCTCAACCCTGTGAACAACTCTGGAAGCTCTATCTCACAGTAGAGTGGGACAGGTGAAACAAAACCAGGAGGCAAAGCCCTGGGCATACCCTTGCCTGGTTTCCTGGAAGCCCTTCTCCCCATGCCTTGTATCCCATCCCAATCTAGCAAATTGAAAACTTGGCCTTCCTCTATGGGACACGACAATATGAACAGGGACTCACATTATTTCTGACAATCTCAAATTTCAATATTGGACAAATATAGATCTCCCTCTCTTTGTGAAGGACTAAATGCAGAAAATATTTCGTAATCAAAACAAAGAGAAAAGAATCAGAGTTGTTCCTTTATAAAGTCATTCCCAAAACTGATGACCATATTTCAAGGAAAACAGAGCTCTAACTCATAATATTAAGGTTGGGCCGGGCGCAGTGGCTCATGCTTGTAATCCCAGCACTTTGGGAGGCTAAGGCAGACAGATCACGAGGTCAGGAGTTCAAGACCAGCCTGACCAATATGGTGAAACCCTGTCTCTACTAAAAATACAAAAATTAGCTGGACATGGTGGTGTTCACCTGTAGTCCCAGCTACTCGGAAGGCTGAGGCAGGAGAATCGCTTGAACCCAGGAGGCGGAGGTTGCAGTGAGCCAAGATTGTACTACTGCACTATAGCCTGGGCAACAGAGTAAGACTCCATCTCAAAAAAAAAAAGAAGGTTGGAGAGCACTGAACCTGAATGGAAAGGGGACAAACCATACATACTTCCAATTTGAAAAAAAAGTTTTAAGAAAAAATCGTGCAGGCCGGGTATGGTGGCTCACACTGTAAATCTAGCACTTTGGGAAGCAAGGATGAAGGATCGCTTGAGCCCAGGAGTTTGAGACCAGCCTGGGCAACACAGCAAGACCCCATCTCTATAAAAAAAAATAGTGCAAAACTCTTAAGACTATGTAATAGATTTTTGTTGTTGTTGTTGAGATGGAGTCTCCCTCTGTCGCCCAGGCTGGAGTGCAGTAGCACGACCTCAGCTCACTGCAACTTCTGCCTCCTGGGTTCAAGCAATTCTCGTGCCTGGCCCTCAGGTAGCTGGGATTACAGGTGTGCACCACCACGCCCGACTAATTTTTGTATTTTTAGTACAGATGGGGTTTCACCATGTTGGTCAGGCTGGTCTCGAACTCCTGACATCAAGTTCAAGTGATCCGCCCCTCTCGGCCTCCCAAAGTGCTGGGATTACAGGTGTGAGCCACCACGCCAGGCCTAATTTTTGTATTTTTAGTAGAGACAGGGTTTCACCATGTTGGCCAGACTGGTCTTGAACTCCTGATCTCAAGTGATCAGCCCACCTTGGCCTCCGAAAGCGCTGGAATTAAAGGAATGAGCCACCATGCCCGGGCAGACTATGTAGTAGATTTTAAAATCTTGATTAAAAGAAGAAAGCCCACAATAAGCCATGCTGCTATCCGGCTAGTGCACCAGTATGGTAATCCAGCTGGCTTCCACTGGACCTGGTGAGGTTTCTGTTCTGACTGGTCATGTCTCTGGCATAATAGTTGATAAATTTTTGAAAAGTCATTCCTATCCACAGAAGCAATAAACAGTAGTCAAAAACTACTCCCACTTGAGGCCCCTGGTCTATATAGTTTCATGACCCAATTCTCTCAAACCTTTAAAGAATAAATAATGCTCATGCTATTTAAACAATGTAATGACAGAAAGCATTTCTGTTTTACCAAAAAAAAACAAGTATAACCCTCATGTGGCAACTTGAGGAAAATAACACAGAGAAAAAAATCACAAACCAATCTCATTTGAATAGAGAAGCAAAAAGCCCAGGATAATCCATGCTGTTACCAAGTCCAGGCAGGTATGTTATTTTCTCCAGCAGCAGATCAGATGTAGGCAAGGAGAGGGCAATCAGCTAGGGCCTTGATAGAAGCCTGGGACAGGAAAACTGTGCAAGGAGAGTGGCTGAAGTGAAGAAGCGAGAGGGAAGAAATGAAGAAAGGAAGGGGCTGAGAGACTGGGGGCTAATGAAGAAAAAGGTGAAGAATATCACTGCAAACCAAGAATGATGGAACTGAGAGGCCTTCAAACTGTGGCCACCCAGGAGCACTAGAGACTATGGAGATGGAGATAGGAACAGGTAAGGAGACCAGGGATGTAGGGAAGCTGATTTACCAGGGAAGGAGCAAACTGCTCCAGATACCTCTAGAGCAGAAAGGGGGCACGGAAGGTTGAGCTGGAAAACTAGATCAATATGATGACGCTGAGAGCAGACAACAGACAACTAGAGGTCTTACGTCTTGGGCAAGAACCAACCATACACACAGCCACTACACAGGATAAATTATTCAACCTCACTAGTAACCAAAGAAACGTAAATGAGAACAAATATAATTTTACACATATCAATAGGCAAAGATAACTAGGAAAAAAATACTGCTGGACAAAACAAGAGGATGTTTGCACAGAAAATGAGCTCTAAGACTTTTGACTCTGGGGATGAAAAATACCATACAACAATAAAGGGTCCATTAATAAGGGGTTGGTTGAGTGAACTGTGACCCTCTCACGGAAGAAGCTACTACTCAGCTCTTAAAACTTAATATGTAGAAATAGGCTTGATATTGAAAGATTCACTGCTGCATCAAAAAGCAGTTTCTAAAAATGTAATTTTAACGTACTCATCTTTGCACAAGTATAGAAGTATGGGTGATTTTTGTATTTTCTTTCCTTACATGCATTTTGTATTTTTTTCTACAATGAACTTTTGGAACACAATAAAAACGACAAAATCACGTCACCTTCCTGCTAAAAACTCTCCCAATGCCCCCACGGCCTTTGGACTCTGGTCCAAATTCCTCAGCACTCCAAGGACCCTCGTGAAGGATCTTGGCCTCTCTCCTCATCCCCTCACCCAAATCTCACACATGAAGTTCGTGAGGACTCCCTCTTTTACACCTCAGTTCTCTCTGCCCGGCACATCCCCGCCCACCGTTCCAGGGATACAGCAGCAAAGCCCCCTAGCCCCGCCCCGAGCAGCCACAGAAGGGCCTCCCGCGGGCTGGCCGAATTCCGCTGGGAGGAAATGCGCACGGAGACTCCGGAGGCCCGGGTCTATCGCGTGACCGCGCCACGAGCCTGCGCGCAGGGACAGACTGGGAGCCCCCGGGCCGCGAGCAGGGGCAGGGCCGTAGCGTCCGAGCGGCACAGAAGCCTCTGGGCTCCGGGCATGGAGTCCGGCCGGGCTGTCTCCATGGCCGGACTGGGGAGAGGCTCCCGGCAGGACCCGCCCCGACCTCACCTTGGCGCTGCTCACGAAACGGACTTCCACGGAGACCCGCGCGCGGCCCGCCACGCCCACGCAGAAGGAGAACACGTCGCACATGGAGGCCGCCATCTTGGGCGCGCCTCCGCCTTATGACCCTTAACCCCGCCTCGACCTGAGAGGCCACACCCCCTTCTGGTCCCGCCCCCGGCGAGAGTGCCCCTGAGGCTGCGAGGTTTTGGGCTCCACCAAGTCTGAATTTAGGTTCCGTGGTTTGTTGACGGGAGTGTAACTGGGCCTGCCTTTGTGCTTTTACATCGGTGCCTTTTTGTGTCTGTACCTCTGTATCAGAGTCTGTGTGCGCGTACAGTTTTGATGTGTGTATCTTTGAGTCCGTTGCATGTTTTGTTGTGGTTTTTTTTTTTTGAGATAGTCTCACTCTGTCGCCCAGGCTGGTGTGCAGTGGCGCGATCTCGGCTCAGTGCAACCTCTGCCTCCCAGGTTCAAGTGATTCATTCTCCTGCCTCAGCCTCCCGAGTAGCTGGGCGTACAGGCGTGCGCCACTAAGCCCAGCTAATTTTTGTATTTTTAGGGGTTTCACCATGTTGGCCAGGCTGGTCTCGAACTCCTGACCTCAAGTGATCCGCCCGCCTCGACCTCCTAAAGTGTTGGGATTACAGGCGTGAGCCACCTCGCCCGGCCTCCGATGCATGTTTCTATGTATGTTGTCTCTGTCCACACAGTGGCCTGTCTTCACTGAGTAAAGCGCTCTTTGGACCCAGCCCTAGAGTGGGACAGCAGAAGGCCAACTTACTCCTATCCTGTCTAGCTCTCAGCCTGAAGGGAAGGACTAGCTTATACCCCGGAGCTCACTCACCCCACTTGAAGAGTCCAGGACAAGATTTCCTTTCTCGGTAATCCCTCTGGCAGCAGAACAGTCCTGCCAAAGGTCAGGGTGGACTTGTGCCTCTGTCAGATTCTTCAATGGCTTAGGGACCTTGCAACCGGGGGTAGCGGAGGAGTCCATAGGGGACCTCAGATCTGAGAACCTCTGAAACTGGATACAGAAGTGAGTGTGCATATGCACACACTGTCGTGAAAAGGGGGAGGGGCCTGTTCTCTCAGGACCCCAAGAAGCTGCAAACCACAGACCTATGGCATTTGTCCCCACAGCTAGGCCTGACTATCAAGCCTTGTTTTGTTTCCTTGTCCCCTGATTTTGTGAGTTTTGTTTGAGACAGGGTCTCGCTTTGTCGCCCATACTGGCATGGGGCGATCTCGGCTCACGGCAGCCTCCAGCTCCCGGGCTCAAGAACAGACTGGGCAACGTAGTGAGACCTTGTCTCTCCAAAAAATAGAAAAATTTGCCGGGCGTGGTGATGCGTGGGAGGATCACCTGAACCTGGGGAGGTCTAGACTGCAATGAGCCGTGATCAAGCCACAATTATCTATCAAATAATTATAGATAGATAGATAGTTGGCAGGGACAGAGAAAGGTTCTTGAAACTGACCCTGCCTCTCCTCAAGCTTGCAACCTGGTGTCAAGGAGCGAATAGTCCACGGACTTGGGGGAGATAGATAGTTGGCAGGGCCAGAGAAGAGGCTCTTGAAACCGACCCTGGGTCCCCTCAAGCCTGCAGCCCGGTGTCAGGGAGCGAATAGTCCACGTACTTGGGGGCAAACCTACCCGAGAGCAGCTGGGGGCCGTGCCCTCACTCACCACCAGGTGGCAGGGCAGGCTTCCTTCCATCCCTCAGCTCAGTCCCCAAGAGCCATTCTAGAATCTGAATGGTCTGTGCTACAGAAATCAGCTCTGCAAATCCTGGCAGCAGGCTTCTTTCAGAGAAATCGAGCACATTCTTGAGAAGAAAAAGGAGCCATGAGTCAGAGTCATGAAAGGGGGAAATTATAACTGTCCTGTGAAAACACAGCAGAGTTTATGACAAAATGCCAGCCTTGGCATACACAAATTATTCTATAAAAAGATGGGGCTTTGGGAGGCCAAGGCAGGAGAACCACTTGAAGCCTGGAATTCAAGACCAGCCTGGGCAACAAGTGGACGTTGTCTCTACAAAAAATGTTAAAAATTAGCCAGGCGTGGTGTCACGCGCCTGTAGTCCCAGCTGCTTAGGAGGCTAAGGTGGGAGGATCACTAGAGCCCAGGAGGTTGAGGCTGCCGTGAGCTATGATTGCACCACTGCACTCCAGTCTGGGTGACAGAGCGAGTCCTTGTCTTTGCTGCTGGGCCTGAGCTTCTTCTGAGAATGGTAACAGTTCAGACAAAACAAGAAAACGTTGGGAAACTTTGTGAAGTGGGCTAAACAGTCTACCTTCTCTTCTTTGCTCTCAACTCCTTCTGATGGTGAAGAGTCTTCTATGCCCAGATGCTTATTCAAAGAGGTTCCTTCTCCACAGCCAGGCCAGGAAAATATTAATTGCTGGTACAGGTATTACTCCCCCAGGTGAGGGGAGCTGTGATATTATGAAATATATATTTGGTCTTCATCTCGATTTCCTGGCATAGAACTCCTAAAATCCCTAGAATCTCTGAAGTGATGTCTTTTCATATGCTAATGAGTTGACTGATGACTGGTAGACCTTAAGACTCCATAAAAAACAAAAAGGGCAGGGTTGGGCCGGGTGGTGGCTCACACATGTAATCCCAGCACTTTGGGAGGCCGAGGTGGGTGGATCACAAGGTCAGCAGTTCAAGACCAGCCTGACCATATGATGAAACCCCGTCTCTACTAAAAATATAAAAATTAGCCAGGCATGGTGGCATGCGCCTATAGTCCCAGCTGCTCGGGAGGCTGAGGCAGGAGAATCGCTTGAACCCGGGAGGCGGAGGTGGCGGTGAGCCAAGATCGCGCCACTGCAGTCTGTCTCAAAAAAAAAAGAAAGGAGGGGCTGCCATGTGGAATGAGCCCTGAATCTGTGGGGTCAGACACTACCTGCAGGTAGATCATGTCAGAATTTGCTGAACTGGAGGTTGGAATGTGGGGTACACCCCTATACGTTTGGTCACAGAAGTGTTCTGTGTTGATTGTTGTGGGGTGACAGCAGAAGAAAAAAACTTTTTTTTTTCCAGTTGGTCTTCTCTACTCAGGGGCCTACAAGCCTTAACAGTAACCACACACTTTGCACTGTGCATGGCACATTATTGCTTTACAGACATCTTCTCACCCCTGGGTGATCTAAGTTATGAATGCACCCATTATACAGATAAAGAAAAAAGGCTCGGAAGTTCCATAGGTTGGCCAAGGACATAGCTGAAGGCCAGAGTCTGTGCCTCCAATCATTACATTATTCCAGTTTCCAGGAATCAGTATAGAAAAGGGGGTCCCTGCTTGACAGCTCAGATTCTTCTGGTTGAGGAGGCTTTTCGTTGAGGTGTGAGGCAGGGAGCTCCAGTGGGTACCCCCAGGAGGAACTAGTCCAGGCAGCCTGGCTAGGGCCTCTGTCCCAGTCTTCAGCCGTCCACTCCTGACTCGGCATCATCACTCTGGATACTGGCGATGGAGCTGCTGGAAGGCTCATCCAGGGAGGCAGCCTCGGCAGATGTAACTGCTGCCCTCAGCTTTTGCTGCTTCTGATACTTGACCCTGCGGTTCTGGAACCAGACTCTCACCTATAATTGGAGAGTGGGCAGAGATCAGAATGTGACCATCAGGTCCCACTGCTTCCTAATTCCTGGAGTGAACACCCCTCTCTGCCTGGCCAATATTTGCTCTTCCTTCTCAGGGAGGTACCTCCTCCAAAACACCCCTTTCTACAATTCCAGACACCATTCATTCATCTGAGTATTTACTGAGTTTCCAGTATGTGCTAAGCACCATCCTAGGTGATGCTGATACAGTGGTGAGCAACAGAGGCAAGCTGCCTGCCCTCGTGGAGCTCATGAGCTAGTGAAGAAACACTGGCAAGAAACATGTAAACAAACAAAGAGCTATGTAAACACAAAAGGGGGTACAAACAGGGGTTTGGGCAGAGGAGGCCTCCCTAAGGAGCCAGCATTAAAGCTGAGGCTCAAAGAGAGAGAGGCCCACCTGATGGGGACAGAGAAGAGCAGGTCTGCAGGGCAGGGAACAACCTGTAGGAAGGCTCTGAAATGGAACCAAGCTTGGAGTGTTTGAGGACCAGGAAGGAGGAGAGCACGGATGACAGTGAGAGGAGAAAGTCAAGGGAGGGAAATGGGAGAGGTCAGCGGGTGCCAGATCACCCAGGACCTGGAAGGCCATAGATAAGGAATGTCACCCATGAGGCTTTTACGTGGGCCCACATAATCCTATTTACATCTGAAGTGCACTGTGCACCTAGCTGCTGTGTGAAGCATGGATGGCAGCAGAAGCAGGAAGACAGGAGGGAGGCTACTGCAGCGGCCCCGGGAGAGCTGGGGCGTACATTAGGGGTGACAGAGAGAAGTGAAGCCACTCCAGCTGTATTTTGGAGGTAGAGATGACAAGGCTCAATGATGGTTGGAAGCGGAGGAGAAGGAGGAATCTAGGATGATTGGGTTTTTGAGTAACCAGGTGGACGGTGGGGTCATATATGGGAAAGGAACATATTTGGGCAAGAAAAAAGTCAGGAATTGAGGTTTAGACTTGGGTTTGAGATATGTGCCCATGAGACATCTAAGTGGAATCACCAAGAAGGTAGTTAGAGATATAAGTCAGATGAGATGGTTGTGCTGAGGATACAAATTTGGGAGTCATTGGCTTATAGATGGTATTTTAAGCCACGGGAATAGATGAGACCAGCTGGGAAGAGATTTCGAGGTCCCCAAGGGAAGAGTAGCCTGCCAAGGAGGCAGAGCTGGGAGGAAAACTAGACAGCATGGTGTCTGGAGGCTATGAGGAACATGTTTCAATAAGGGATGGGGTGGCTGACTGTCCAGTACTAAGAGCTGCTGAGTGGTGGACTGAGCTGAAGAAAGGAAAGTGTCATATTGTTGGCTCTGGCAACATGGAGGTTATTAGAGACCTTGCTGAGAAGTTTTGATGGAATGGTAGGGAAAAGTCATGTTGGAATGTGTGAAGCAGTGAGTGGGAGGCGAGGACACGGACAAAGTGAACATGGCAAGTTGTTGAGAAGTTTGCCTGTAAAAGGAGCAGAGAAATTATATAATAGCTAGAGAGGAATATAGGGGTCAAAGAAATATTGATTATATTGACTCTTTAATATCTACTTAATTTTTTTCTTCTTCTTCTTTTTTTTTTTTTTTTTTGAGACGGGCTCTCCAAATGTTGCCCAAGCTGGAGTGCAGTGGCGTGATCTCCGCTCACTGCAACCTCTGCCTCCCAGGCTCAAGCGATTCTCCTGCATCGGCCTCCTAAGTAGCTGGGATTATAGGCACCCAGCTGATTTTTTTGTATTTTTAGTAGAGACAGGGTTTCACTATGTTGGCTGGGCTGGTCTTGAACTCCTGACCTTGTGATCTGCCCACCTCAGCCTCCCAAAGTGCTGGGATTAGAGGCGTGAGCCACCGCACCTGGCCACATCTACTTAATTTTACTGGCAGGTCCTTATTTAGCATGGAAATCCTTTATTATCAATTTTTAGACTAATAATCTAAGTTAACATTCCAAGTTGTTCACATTATGTGACTTCAAATGGGACTTTTTTTTTTCATTATATAGAGTGTGCAAAAAGTCAGGGCCTGTCCCCTCAACAGCCTGGCACAGGGAAGAGGGCCCATATCTTCCTCCCACCCTCCTTTTAGGGCCTTGCTGAGGTAGTGTTTGTCCCCAGGTGCAGCCCAGGCCCAATAGGAGTCCCTACTCCCACCTGGTTCTCTGTAAGTTTGAGCCGAGCTGCCAGCTGGGCTCTCTTCTTCCCCACCAGATTGTGCTGTTTTGCAAACACTTTCTCCAACTCTTCCAGCTGCTCCAAGTTAAACATAGTTCGGACTCTCTTTTGCTGTCTCTCAGTGTCCTGTAGGTCCTCCGTTGGGGCCCAGTCTGGGAAGGCCCAGAGTCCTGAGCAGTGAGCCAGCTCCAACCCTAAAGAGCAACCAGCAGCAGGGGAGGTTATCCAGCAGCAGGGGAGGTTAGCCAGAAGCCCCCTGCACTCCCATCTGGGCAAAATGAGAAGGCACACACAGCTCTGCTACCTTGCCTTCCCCTTGGCCAGGTAACAGTGCAAGAAGACAGTGGAAAGAGACTGTGCAGAAATAACAGGAAACAAACAAATGGGAAAGAAGGGACAATGCAATGAGACTGTCTGCCACCACTACTCTCTAGCCAAGTGGCTTCACTTCTGGCCCCTAAGAGGAGTTGCCAAACCTCCCTTCTCTTTGCCTTCCTTTCCTCTCCTTGACTGCTTCTGGCAACGCCATGGAATGGGCAGAGAAGAGACCCCCAGGGGTTCACCCTTTTAATTCACTGAACAAATATTATACTTTTTGAATGTCTACTGTGTGTCATGCATGGTTTCAGGACAAAACAGAAAATCTCTGTCGTTATGGAGCTTACATCTTAGAAATGAGGTCAGAAGAGATAGAAGTCAGAAGAGAGGGTTGAGCTGAGGATACAAATTTGGGAGTCATCACTGAGCACGTTGGCTCATGCCTGTAATTCCAGCACTTTGGGAGGCTGAAGGGGGCGGATCGCTTGAGATCAGGAGTTCAAGACCAGCCTGGCCAACATGGTGAAACCCCGTCTCTACTAAAAATACAAAAATTAGCCAGGCATGGTGGCACATGCCTGTAATCCCAGCTACTCAGGAGGCTGAGGCAGGAGAACTGCTTGAGTCCGGGAAGCAGAGGTTGCAGTGAGCCAAGATAGAGCCCACTCTACTCCATCCTGGGTGACAGTGCAAGACTCTGTCTCAATTAAAAAAAAAATTGGGAGTCATCAGCTTATATAGATGGTATTTTAAGCCACGGGAATAAATGAGACCAAGCTGTGGGCCAGTGGAGATGCATCAACCAAGAGCAGTTCCTAAGTCAAATCTTGATGGGGATGAGGGAGTGAGCCATTGGGCTATCTGGGGGTATAGTATTCTAGGCAGAAGAATGGCAAGCATAATGCTAAGGCCACTCAGCCCCCACTAGCCTTGGGGAGTCCTCAGGGCTGGCAGACAGACTGCCCCAACAAAGGGAGTGTATCTGGGGTCCCGGCTGCTTAGGACTCCAACCACTGGGCCCACTAGGCTTACACTGTGCCTGCCAAGGTAGACCAAAAGATCAGGAAAAGCCCATCAGACATACAGCCTGGTGTATCTAGTCAGCCTTGTTTCAGAATCAGAAATTGACCTTTGGAGAAGAAAGTAGGCTGTACTGTGTGTTCCTTAAGAGCTCTAGTTGAGGCCGGGCATGGTGGCTTATACCTGTAATCCCAGCACTTTGGGAGGCTGAGGCAGGCGGATAGCCTGAAGTCAGGAGTTCAAGACCAGCCTGGCCAACTTGGCGAAACCCCGTCTCTACTAAAAATACAAAAATTAGCCAGATGTGGTGGTGGGCACCTGTAATCCCAGCTACTCAGGAGGCTGAGGCAGGAGAATCGCTTGAACCTGGAAGGCGGAAGTTGCAGTGAGCCAAGGTTGTGCCACTGTATTCCAGCCTGGGTGATAGAGTGAGACTCTGTCTTAAAAAAAAAAAAAAAAAAAAAAAAAGCTCTAGTTGGAATCCTAGCTCTGCCACCAATTACCAGCCAGAGGACCTTGGGCAAGACAATGTACTTCTGTGAGCCTTGATTTCCTCACATGTAAAATGGTGATAATAATCCCTACTTCCAGAGATGTCAGGATTTTAACATGGTGCTGTCTAGGCACAGTGGCTCATGCCTATAATCCCAGCACTTTGAGAGACTGAGATGGGCCCATCGCTTGAGCCCAGGAGTTTGAGACCACCCTGGGCAACATGGTAAAACCCTATCTCTACAAAAAATACAAAAATTAGTCAGGTGTGGTGGTGCACAACTGTAGACCCCGCTGCTTGGGAGACTGAAGCAGGAGGATCACTTGAGCTCGGGAGGCAGAGGTTGTAGTGAGCCAAGCCGAGATCACTCCTTGCCAATAGAGTAAGACCCCGTCTCAACAACAACAACTACCACAACAACAAAAACAAAAGCATATGATGCTTACAGGGTGCTTAGCACTGTGCCAGGCACAGAGCAAGAAGAAAGTCAATGGTTATTATAAAAATTAAAACAGAAGTGATAATCCAATGGGGAAGAGGGATTATTTCCAGATCTGGGAAAAATTAAGCTGGATCCATACCCAATACCTTGCACTAAAAAAAATCTAAATGGAGGAAATATTTAAATGTAAAAAGGTAAACCCACAAAAATTTAGAAAAAAATGGGGAAGTTATTTTATGACTTCACAGTGAGGAAGTTCTTTCCAAGTATCATATAAGATGTGGGGCCAGGCACAGTGGCTCATGCCTGTAATCCCAGCAGTTTGGGAGGCTGAGGCAGGAGGATCACTTGAGCCCAGGAGTTCAAGATCAGCCTGGGTAACATTGTGAGATTCCATCTCTACAAAATAAATGTTTTAAATTAGTCGAGTATGGTAGCGCATGCCTGTGGTCCCTGCTACTCGGGAGGCTGAGACAGGCATTGTGAGATTCCATCTCTACAAAAAAAAATGTTTTAAATTAGTTGAGTATGGTAGCGCATGCCTGTGGTCCCTGCTACTCAGGAAGCTAAGGAGGAGTGCTTAAGCCTGGAACATTGAGGCTGCAGTGAGCCGTGATCGCACCACTGCACTCCAGCATGAGTGACAGAGAACCTGTCTCAAAAAAGAAAAAAAAAAGGATTTGTAAAAACACATCAAACATAAAAATTAAAATTTTTTCTATGTAACAAAAGAATACCGCCATAATCAAAGTCAAAGGCCAATACACAGAAAAACATTTGTAGTTCATTACAGTTAAAGGGCTAATTTCTTTTTTAATTTTTTGAGACAGTGTCTTGTTCTGTTGCCCAGGCTGGAGTTCAGTGGCTTGACCTCGGCTCACTGCAACCTCTGCCTCCCAGGCACAAGCAATCCTCCCACTTCAGCCCCCGCCAAGGTGCGCACCACCATGCCCAGCTAATTTTTGTGTTTTTAGTAGAGACGGGGTTTTGCCATGTTGCCCAGGCTGGTCTCAACTCCTGAGCTGAAGTAGTCCACCCGCCTTGGCCTCCCAAAGTGAGGGAGTTACAGGGGTGAGCCACTGCACCCAGCCAGGGCTAATTTCCTCAATAGAAAAGAGCATCTACAAATAGATTGTTTTAAATAACCAACTATACATATGGGCAAAATACAAGAACAGTAGTTCACAGAAAAAGAAATACATCACGAGGTCAGGAGATCAAGACCATCCTGGCTAACATGGTGAAACCCCGTCTCTACTAAAAATACAAAAAATTAGCCAGGTGTGGCGGCATGTGCCTGCAGTACCAGCTACTCGGGAGGCTGAGGCAGGAGAATGGCGTGAACCCGGGAGGCGGAGCTTGCAGTGAGCCGAGATTGCACCACTGCACTCCAGCCTAAGGACAGAGCAAGACTCCGCCTCAAAAAAAAAAAATAAAAAAATAAAAAAAATTAGCCGGGCATGGTGCTGGGGCTTGTAATTCCAGCCACTCCAGAGGCTAAGGCAGGAGAATCACTTGAGACCGGAAGGAGGAGGTTGTAGTGAGCAGAGATAGCGCCACTGCACTCCAGCCTGGGAGACAGAGTGAGACTCCGTCTCAAAACAAAACAAAACAGAACAAAAGAAAACAACTAACTTGAAAATGAGGCAACTGTAACATGAAGTAGTAAACTGTAATTCAGACCTCAGGTGTGTGAAGAGCTCAGAGAAAGGTGACTGGGAGTGATGGGCACAGCTCCCAGATCCAGTGGTATTGAATTTAGATGGGGCTGCGAGTCCAAGGGTTAATGCACTGCTGAAATGGGGTGAGGAAATGCAGGATTGGGGTGGGTGCCACGGAGTAGGAACCCGGCAAGACTGTGTTACAACTATCTTTGTATGGGTTGATAAGGCTTGGACTAACTTTGCTCCTGTTTTCTTCGTGGGGACATGGGGAAACATGAACCTGGCAACCAAAAATGGCAAAAGCACGTGTAGGTGGATGTTTAATGCTAGAAGGCAAAGTTCCCTCTATAGTTACTTTTTTTTGTTGATTTGTTTGTTTGAGACGGAGTCTCACTCTGTTGCCCAGGCTAGAGTGCAGTGGCGCAATCTCGGCTTAATGCAACCTCAACCTCCCGGGTTCAAGTGATTCTCCTGCTTTAGCCTCCTGAGTAGCTGGGATTACAAGCGCGCGCCACCACGCCCTCCTAATTTTTTGTCTTTTTTTTTTTTTTTTTTTTTGAGACGGAGTTTCGCTCTGTCGCCCAGGCTGGAGTGCAGTGGCGCGATCTCGACTCACTGCAAGCTCCGCCTCCCGGGTTCACGCCATTCTCCTGCCTCAGCCTCCTGTGTAGCTGGGACTACAGGCACGCGCCACCATGCCCGGCTAATTTTTGTATTTTTAGTAGAGACGGGGTTTCACCGTGTTAGCCAGGATGGTCTCGATCTCCTGACCTCGTGATCCGCCCGTCTCGGCCTCCCAAAGTGCTGGGATTACAGGCGTGAGCCACCGCGCCCGGCCAATTTTTTGTCTTTTAAGTAAAGATGTGGTTTCACCATGTTGGCCAGGCTGGCCTTGAACTCCTGACTTCAGGTGATCCACCCGCCTCGGTCTTCCAAAGTGCTGAAATTACAGGCGTGAGCCACCGCGCCCAACCTTACAATTACTTTCTCATGAGATTTAAGTGCCTGGCCCTTAAGCACTACTTAAGAGCATTGCATGCACGCAGGCTCAGAGCGAAGTGTGTAGCTCAAGTTCACAGACGTGAGCAGTGGAGGCGGTAGTGGGGTGTGAGCCTTGACCAGCTCCTAACAGCTCCTCGCTCAACAGCACCGCCCGGAGCGTCCACTTCCCCCTACCCCGTAAAAAAAAAAAACAGGGCCATTGGTTCGGGTCGAGAGCCGCTTTGGGAAGCGTCTCTGTCACTAAGCGCTACCCCGGGGTGTGCGAGGGAGTCAAGGGACGCGGAGACCGGGAGCAGGGCTGGGTCCCCTTGCAGCCCCAGCGCTGGCCTCCTGCCCACCGCATTCAGGCGCTGCGCCGCCCTCACACCCACCCTCTCCCACCTCAGCAGCGTGCGGGGGAAGCCTCGCGCCGGGGTCTTTTTCAGCAAGACTGTCGCGGTCCTCGGCTTCAACTGCAAGGTAAACGGTGGCAGAGCCCCTTCCCACTCCAGCCGTGTGTGATTCTCACACTCAGTGCCCTCTCCTGCACTGGGGCGCCGGCAGTGGCGACCTAGGCTCTCCAGCCCCCGCCCAGTCCCCCGCGTGCGGGCGCCGGGACCGCAGTACCTGTGACGCCGAAGCCCAGCAGGCCGCAGACGGGAGCCACGCGCGGCCCTGGCACAGGGTAAAAACCTACGCTCAGGTAGGCGGGCAGCCACGATGTCGGGCAAGCCCAGGGCAGACCCCCGGTGGCGCACAGGGAAGCAGCGGTCCAGAAGGCCGGGTGGACGCAGGCGGAGCCCGACGGCTGGGAGGCCGCCGGCGCGCAGGGGTCGGGCCTCGCCAGGATGGCCTCGACCGAGAAAGGGGACTCGAAGCGTCCGGGAGCGCGGGGCGTGTTCGGGCCAGTAGGGGACCTGGGCGCCGGAGAGCGGCCAGAGCGCGGAGGTCGGACCCGAGAGCCCGAGGGAGCGGGTGGCGGGCTGCCTCGCGGCCTGGGGCTAGGCATGACGCGGCCGTTGCCCGGACGGACGCAAGGAAGGGAGCTCGGGAGAAGTGAGAAGATTCTGCAAAAGGCAGCGAGCAAGACCGGTTGTCTGGGAACCTCCTGGCGCTCGGCGAAGGCTCTTAAATTTGGCGGGGCGGGGCATGGGGCGGCCTCTCCCCACTGCGGTCCGGGCGGGGCCCCCAAAGCCTGTGAGCGCCCGCTCTGTGCGAGGCAAGGTGGGCACAGCACCAAAGAGTGTGTTCCCTCCCTTCCTCCGCTTTTAAAAATGCCCACCCTGGGGCGGTCGTGGGGAGGACTCTGAGCTCGCTGGTGATCCTGGGCGAAACACCCAGCCACCGGGCTCCGTCTTTCTCCTTTGCTCACTGAAGAAGGGATGCCCGTTTCCCCGGGGCCTTGCAGAGGCGGAGCTGTGATCTGGAGAGCGGTAGGGCAGTGCCTGCGGTCTTGGCCTCAGCTGACCCGCGCCGTCCTTGACGCAGAAGCCTCGGCCAGATTCACCTAGGACCGCGCGGACTTTTTGTTTGTTTGTTTTAAAATGTAAATATTTTATTTATAAGCACAGTGATAAGTACATTTTCCATCTGGCCTCAGCCCTTTAGTTTCCCTGCCTTGAGATGCGCTGTGATTACCAATTTCGTTCTTTCTTTAATATTTTTTTTGGCCAGGTGCAGTGGCTCATGCCTGGCATCCCAGTACTTGTGTGGGAGGCCGAGGCGGGAGGATCGCTTGAGCTCAGGATTTGATTTGATTTGATTTGAGTTGATTTAGGGGTAAAAGATATGGCCACTATGTCTCTAACCTTGGACTTTTAGTATATAATTCTGTGTTTCCATACATAATTATCAGTTTTCTGTTGTGTCATTTATTCCTTCTTCAGACTGTAAATTCCTGAGCATAAGCATTAATATCTCCAATTTACATATTAGTAAATACAGCAAGAGAGGTTAACAGAACTGCCTTGTTTCAAATCCCCTAGGTATGTGGTTTTAATTTGCATTTATTTCCCTGAAGACCGTTCATTGTGAGCATCTTTTTACATGCTTATCAGCCACTTGGATATCCTCTTTTGTGTGAAGTGCCTGTTCAACTGGTTTGCTTATTTTTGTATTGGGTCACTATGTTTTTCTTATTGTAAGAGTTTTATGTATAGATAATTTGGAATCAAGTCCTTCGTTGTAATATACATAGAAGCAGATAACCTCTGTCACTCTGTGGCCTGCCTTTTCATTCTTTTAGTAGTCCTTTTTTTTTTTTTTTCTGAGATGGAGTTGCCCAGGCTAGAGTGCAGTGGCACAATCTTGGCTCACTGCAACCTTTGCCTCCCAGGTTCCAGCGATTTTCCTGCTTCAGTAGCTGGGATTACAGGCATGTGCCACCACACCCAGCTAATTTTTGTTAAGTATACCAAAAATAAAGCCAAACGAATAACAGACTTTATTTTTATTCATTTATTTATTTATTTAGAGATGGAGTTTCACTCTTGTTGCCCAGGCTGGAGTGCAATGGCACTCGGCTCACTGCAACCTCTGCCTCCTGGGTTCAAGCGATTCTCCTGCCCCAGCCTCCTGAGTAGCTGGGATTACAGGCACCCGCCACCATGCCCAGCTAATTTTTTGTATTTTTAGTAGAGATGGGGTTTCACCATGTTGTCCAGGCTGGTCTTGAACTCCTGACCTCAGGTGATCCACCCGCCTTGGCCTCCCAAAGTGCTGGGATTACAGGCGTAAGCCACCGCACCCAGCCCTACAACAGACTTTAAAAAGACCACTGAGATGGGTTAGTACATGAACTAGGCACTTTATAAAAGGAAATATCTGAATAGCTTAAAACCATATGTGGCTGGGCGCGGTGGCCCATGCCTGTAATCCCAGCACTTTGGGAGGCCAAGGCGGGCAGATCACTTGAGGTCAGGAGTTTGAGACCAGCCTGGCTAACATGGTGAAACCCCATCTCTACTAAAAATACAAAAACTAGCTGGGTGTTGTGGTGGGTGCCTGTAATCTCAGCTACTCGGAGGCTGAGGCAGGAGAATTGCTTGAACCTGGGAGGCGGAGGTTGCAGTGAGCCAAGACTGCACCACTGCACTCCAGCCTGGGCGAAAGAGCGAGACTCTGTCTCAAAAAAAAAAAAAGTATGAAACATACTGAACTCTGTGAGTCATCAGGGAAATGCAAATTCAAATCACATCGTGATCCACTATACACGCACCAGAAGATGGAAAATACCAAGGGCTGGCTGGGCACGGTGGCTCACACCTGTAAATCCCAGCACTTTAGGAGGCCAAGGCAGGTGTGAGGCTGAGGCGGGTGGATCACTTGAGGTCAGGAGTTCGAGACCAGCCTGACCAACATCGTGAAACCCCATCTCTACTAAAAATACAAAATTAGCCAGGTGTGGTGGTGCACACCTATAATCCCAGCTACCTGGGAGGCTGAGTCAGGAGAATCGCTTGAGCCTGGGAGGCGGAGGTTGTAGTGAGCCATTGCACTCCAGCCTGGGCAACAAGAGCAAAACTCTGTCTCAAAAAAAAAAAAAAAAAGAAAAAGAAAAAGAAAAAGAAAAAGAAAATACCGAGGGTTGATGATAATATGAAGCATCTGGAACTCTTATCCACTGAGTGTGGGCATATAAATTGGTAGAAACACTTTCGAAAAATGGATAAGCAGTATTTACTTAAGCTTAACCCTCTGATCCAGCAGTTCCTATCCTAGGTATAGTGTATACCCAACACAAATATACATATGTGTTTAACAAGAGACATGTTTCAGAATGTTCACAGCAGCATTATTTGCAATAGCCCCAAATCAGAAACTACCAGAATGTCTACCAACAGTAGAATAAAGTTGCGCCACTGCACTCCAGCCTGGGTGACAGAGTGAGACTCTTGTCTCAAAAAAATAAAAAAATAAAAAAACAAGGCAAACTTATCTATGCTACTAGAAGTCAGGAGAATGCTTGGGGGTGGTTAATGAGTGGCAAAGGGCATGACGGGAACTTCTGTGGTGGTAGCAGTGTTCTATTTATTTTCTTTTTTTTTGAGATTGAATTTCACTATTGTTGCCCAGACTGGAGTGCAGTAGCATGATCTTGGCTCATTGCAACCTCTGCCTCCCAGTTCAAACGATTCTCCTGCCTCAGCCTCCCAAGTAGCTGGGATTACAGGCATGTGCCACCATGCCGAGCAAATTTTGTATTTTTAATAGAGACAGGGTTTCACCATGTTGGTCAGGCTGGCTGGTCTCAAACTCCTGACCTTGGGTGATCCACCCGCCTCAGCCTCCCAAAGTGCTGGGATTACAGATGTGAGCCACCGTGCCCGGCCAGTGTTCTATTTCTTCATCTGGATGCTGGTTACACAGATCTTTATACTTTGTGAAAATTCAGTGCCCACTTGTTCCTGGTCTGGACCATTATCAGTCCTTCCTTTATTTAGTTGTAGTTTTGCTATTGATTTTAATCACAGGATATGGAAATACCATGTTGTTCCCATTATCCCCCTGACAGTCAGGATCAGTCACCCAGAGAGTCTGATAATACTCTTCAGTGCCTATTGATTCACTGGTGAGAGAAGCCCAAGTAGCCAGCGACAGTCTTAACTGCCAGTTCAGTGAAACCACTGCTGTGTCTCATGTGGAAATAGTTCACTCTTGGGAACTCTAGTATCTCTAGATCAGCAGAGCACAAAGTTACCGAGATAGGAAGCAAAAATTTTGCTAGAGAAACACTATGTGTTATATTGAGGAGATCTGTTCTCATTTCTACCCTCTGACCCACAAATCCTGGTTTGGGATTTCTCCCAGCACCATATGTTGGTTGCCGGTTTAGAGCACATCTTGCATCTGAAGGACATTACCCATGCCCTGCAACATGTTACTATCCAGCTAGTGCCATAATTAAGTCTTCAAAAGGTCATCCTACTGTTCTTTCAAGCCAGCTGCTTCAGGGTAATGGTAAGACCAGTGAATACCATGAGCCTGAGCCCATTGCTGTTCTTTACTTGCTGTGAAATAATTCTTTTGTCAGAAGCAATGCTATATGGAATGCCAAAGCATTCTATAAGTTCAGAGATGTTGATTTTGGCAGAAGCATTGTGGGCAGAGAAAGCAAATCTATGTCACAGTAAATGGATATTCCAGTAAGAACAAAGTAATGCCCCTATGTGATTACCCTGGCACTAGGTGGCTAGTTGGTTTTCATATTGGGGGCTCAGTGTTGGTCTCTGCTGTTGGCAGGTTGGGCACTCAGCAATGGCTGTAGTCAGATTGGTTTTAGGGAATGGAAATCCATGTTACTAAGCCCCTGTCCAACCTCCATCCCTCTCGCCATGTTCACATTTTTCATGAGCCATTATGGTAACCACACCTACTTGTCACATCATCCCCATTGAATTTTGGGAGCCCAGCTTGATAGCATAAGTTCCCTCCGTCATTTCGGGCCTACAGAGAATAGCCACCATCGAGTTCTTCAAGGATATCAGGGCTTTCCTCTTGAATGCATTTCTCATAGGCTTGATGAAGGAAGTGTCTTCTAGAACTAACCTGGGCACATATTACAGGGGCAGGTAAATAGGTCTTCCATGGCAAGTCTACCCTAGCATTCTAGCCTTCCTTAGCCATTTGATACCTCTTCTACAGTGTGCCAACTTCATCTAGAAGTTGATATCAACCAACTGAACAAACTGTTAGACTCACTCAAGCTAGGACATTGAATCAGGAATCTCTGCTTAGTTGGCCCTTATAAATAGATTCAGCCTAATATGACTTTATATTTCTTCTGTCCTCATCTCACACCTTTGGGATCCATGTCCATACATTTCCCCAGGTTTCTGTATATGTAAATTGGCAACATCATGAAATTGTTTTGGTGTGTATCATACCACTGTCTCATGGGAAAGGCTTTGTACTTCATTCTCTGTAGCCTGTTTGAACTTGAGTCTACCAGCAATGAGAGGCAGTGGAGGTAAATCCAGAGGGCCACCACTTCAAGGAAGGCCATTACAAGACCTTCAGGCAAGGGGAGATTCACTTCTTTTTTTTGAGACAGGGTCTTGCTCTGTCACCCAGGCTGGAGTGAAGTGATGTGATCATATCTCATTGTAACCTTGAACTCCTGGGCTAAATGGATCCTCCTGCCTCATGCCCAGCTAATTTTTCTTTTTCTTTCCTGTTTTTTTTTTTTTTGGTTTTGTTATTTTTAGTTCTTTTTGAAACCAAAGAAACCATTGGCTAATTTTTTAAATTTTTTGTAGAGACAGAGTTGCACAGGCAGGTCTTGAGCTCATGGGCTTAAGCAATCCTCCTGCCTCAGCCTCCCAAAATGCTGGGATTACAGGCATGAGCCACTGCGCCTAGCTGAGATTCACTTTTTCAGATAAGAGTGGAAAGTTACTTCTACTGTGAAAAGAGATTCAGCAGAATTTAGGGGCTCAGATTTGTTGGAACCTGGCCATATATATCTTCATCGCAATTTTTACAGTCTCTCTTCTTCCCAATCAATGACACAATTTTTAGCAGAAGAGACCTGAGAGGTTGGGAACATAATTTACATCATAGGACAGCCACAAAACTTTCAGGTCCTTTCCATGGACCTTGAGATGGGAATTCAAAATCCCGACTCCTCATATTCTTTCCCTAAATTCTTCAGGGCACTTAGAAACAACTCACCAATGTCATCATAATTGTTATATTCAAGCAAACATTTGGTCAATCAAAGATTTGACTTCTATAGACACCTGATTACAGTGTCTGCAAGTGATCATTTAAATAACTTTTTTGGCTGAGTGCAGTGGCTCACACCTGTAATCCCAGCACTTTGGGAGGCCGAGGCGGGCAGATCACCTGAGGTCAGTTCGAGACCAGCCTGGCCAACATGGTGAAACCCCATCTCTACTAAAAATACAAAAATTAGCCGGTCGTGGGGCTGGGTGCCGGTATTCTCAGCTACTTGAGAGGCTAAGGCAGGAGAATCGCTTGAACCCAGGAGGCAAAGGTTGCACTGAGCCGAGATCTTGCCATTGCACTCCAGCCTAGGCAACAAGAGTGTCAGACTCTGTCTCAAAAATAAATAAATTAAAATTAAAATTAAAATTAAATAAATAAATAACTTTTTTTCCTATGGCATACCATGAAGAACCAGTGATCTCTTTACCCCTGACAACCTCTGGTAAGGGTTATTTATGCCTTTAAATCTATTTAGGTCACAGAATCAATTCTAGATGACCCAGACTGAACCCATCACCCACTAAGGTTCTGTTATTCTTGGAACCATGTCCAGTAGCAGATTCTCTATTAGTCATGATCCAATCGGAGAAGCAGGACCCCTAGGAGTGACAAAGAATAAAGGATTTTTTTTTTTGAGATGGGGATCTTGCTCTGTTGCCCAGGCACATCTTGAACTCCTGGACTCAATGATTCTCTTGCCTCAGCCTCCTGAGTAGCTGAGATTACAGGTGCACACCACTGTGCCTAACAGAATAAAGGATTTTTTTTTTTCATCATACTCAACCCCAAAGAATAAAGGATTTTATTATGGGAATTTGACCTTACACAACTGTGGGAACTGGTAATAGCTCTCTGTGAGGATGTTACTTCTTTGTCTGGGTCTGGGACTAAAGTCCACAGGCAGGCATTGGGGAAGGAAAGATGGATGTGAAGTGGGAAAATTAGGACAAACTGGAACCCAGGAAGAAGGGCAAGAATGAGCTAAAACCTGCCTCAGTCTCACACCACCTCCAAGCCTCTCATTTTGTTAATGCAGGTGACTTGCAAGGAAGTCTGGTGTCCTTCATTCTGAAACTAAGCACATACTCGGCTCAGGAGCTGGGAAAACAGAAGAGGGTCTGGTGGGAGCTGAAGGACCTACACGCCCAGCTGTGGCCTCCATCTGCAAAACGAGCCAGTAGATCTGCCATAATGCGTGTGAGCTGCCATAGCACCTGCTCTGCACTGCTAAACACGGCTGCTGCTTCACTTCTGTGTCCTAAGCATCATGCCCAAAACCATTCAGGGAAGGAAATTCCGGGAAATGTAGTTCCAGCTTAGCTAAGTTGACACAACAAATTTATAATAAGGTTTAACCGGCCAGGCGCGGTTATCCCAGCACTTTGGGAGGCCAAGGTGGGCAGATCACGAGGTCAGGAGTTCAAGACCAGTCTGGCCAATATGGTGAAACCCCGTCTCTACTAAAAATACAAAAATTAGCCGGGCATGGTGGCATGCATCTGTAGTCCCAGCTATTTGGGAGGCTGAGGCAGAAGAATTGCTTGAACCCAGGAGGTGGAGGTTGCAGTGAGCTGAGATCGGGCCACTCCACTCCAGCCTGGGCAACAGAGTGAGACTCTGTCTCAAAAAAAAAAAAAAAAAAGTTTAACCATGTATAACATAAAACATAAATACCTTGGTAAAAGTCTAAAGGCATTCTTAGGCATGATAAACATGACAATCAAAATAAAGATGAGCTCCGGGTAGGGAGAAGGGAGTAGGATTAGGGAGGGTCACTTGGGCTGTCAACTTTCTGTATTGTTTTATTTCTTAACACAAAACAACCATAGTAAAAATGTTTGATGAAACTGAGTAGTGGTGGGTATATGGATATTCTTTTTATTATTCTCTATACTTGTCTATAGGCTTGAAATGTTTCATATTTTTTTCCTACCCCTCTGTATTTAAAAAAAAATTTTTGGCCAGGCCCAGTGGCTCACGTCTATAATCCCAGCACTTTGGGAGGCCGAGGTAGGCAGATCACTTGAAGTCAGGAGTTCCAGACTAGCCTGGCCAACATGGTGAAACCCCGTCTCTACAAAAAATACAAAAATTAGCTAGGTGTGGTGGTGGGTGCCTAAAATCTCAGCTACTCAGGAGGCTGAGGCAGGAGAATCGCTTGAACTCAGGAGATGGAGGTTGCAATGAGCCAAGATTGCACCACTGCACTCCAGCCTGGGTGATAGAGTGAGACTCCATTTCTAAATAAATAAATAAATATTAAAAAAAAAAGTTTTTTTGTAGTGATGGGACATTGCCATGTTGCCCAGGCTGATCTCAAACTCCTGGCCTCAGGCAATCCTCTTGCCTCAGCCCAAAGGGCTGGGATTATAGTCTTGAGCCACCTAGCCCAGCTGCCCCCTGCCCCTTGCCCCCTTGCCCCCTTCCCACTGTGTTTTTTAAAAGACAAAATACAATTTGAGAAAATGTCACAAAAGAAGAGCCAGTTGATAGACAAATTTCCCTAGCATAAAAAAATTCTTAAAAGCTGGGCACAGTGGCTCATGCCTGTAGTACCAGCACTTTGAGAGGCCGAGGTGGGCAGATCACCTGAGGTCAGTTCAAGATCAGCAAGACCAACATGGCGAAACTCCATCTCTACTAAAAATATAAAAATTAGGCAGGCATTGTGGTGGGTGCCTGTAATCCCAGTTACTTGGAAGGCTGATACAGGAGAATTGCTTGAACCCAGGAGGCGGAGGTTGCAGTGAGCTGAGATTGCGCCACTGCACTCCAGCCCGGGGAACAAGAGTGAGACTCTATCTCAAAAAAAAAAAAAGTTCTTACAAGTCAATAAAGGCAGATAGCCCCAAAGAAAAATGAGCAACATAAGTCACAGAAGACATACAAATAGATATAACCACATTAAAAGATGCTCAATGTGTTTAAAAGATTATAAGCACATTAAGATGCTTAAATTTATATAAATATAATAAATGATATTTTTGACTATTTGAGTCCCAAGATTAAAAAGATTAATAATATCCAGTGTTGGTGAAAATGAAGGGAAATAGGCCCTCTCATATATTACAGGGAAGCATGTAAATTAGTTCAAATTTTTGGAGAAATTTTTAAAATTTAAAACCTTTTTCTTTTCTTTTCTTTTCCTTTCTTTCTTTCCTTCTTTCTTTCTTTCTTTCTTTCTTTCTTTCTTTCTTTCTTTCTTTCTTTCTTTCTTTTTGTTGTTGTTGTTGTTGTTGTTGGAGACAGGGTCTTGCCCTGACACCCAGGCTGGAGTGCAGTGGGTGATCTCAGCTCACTGCAACCTCCACCCTCTGGGCTGAAGCCATCCTCCTACCTCTGCCTCCTGAGTAGCTGGGACCACAGGCACGTGCCACTGTGCCCAGCTATTTTTTTATAGTTTTAGTAGAGATGGGGTCTTGCCATGTTGCCCAGGCTGTTCTCAAACTCCTGAGCTCAAGTGATTCGCCTGCCTTGGCCTCCCAAAGTGCTGGGATTTTTTTTTTTTTTAATAGAGATGGGGCCTCACTATGTTACCCAGCGTAGTCTTGAACTCCTGGGCTCAAGCGATTCGCCTGCCTCAGCCTCCCAAAGTGCTGGGATCACAGGAGTGAGCCGCTGAGCCCAGCCAGGAGAATAATTTGCAATAGCTACTAAAATGTCAAAAGATTCCTTTTCAAAGATTCCTGTATAAGGATGTACATTGTAGCACCTTTTATAGTAGCAAAAGCCTGGAGGCAACTTAAGCATTCCCTAGATCTCCAGTGCCTAGAAGCAATCCAGGATTTTCTGATGAAATTAATTTTGGCGCTCAACCTTGAACAATCAGTTTTCTTTTTCTCACTTAATTGTGGAAATTCCTCCAAGCTACCCAGTTTAGACCTAACTCATTCTTTTTAGTGTCTGCTTAATGTTCCACAGTATGGGTGTGCCACAATTTATTCAACCTTTCTTCTGTTGAAAGGCATTCAGGTTGTTTTCTGCTTCTGCCCTACAAACAGAACTGGTAAGAAACATTATTTTAAATATATATTGTGTACTGGCTCTTTTATTTCTATACAAAAAGATCCCTGAATAGTATTAATGGACAGAAACCTGTAAGAGTTTATATTTTTAAATTGTAATTGATATTACCTTATTGATTTCTAAGACACTGTAAAAATTCACATGGCCCTTGTGACCTGCTGTATCCTCAGGGCCTAGTCCATGCCAGGGACTCAGTTGGCCAAACTAAAATAAAAATATTTAAAAAGAACAAATAAATTTGTCCAGGAGCTCTCGAGCTGTCCTCCAGCCAAATTCTTCCCCACTTCCCAACCCTCTTTCCCCACTAAAGGATTTTCCTTCCTTTTTTTTGTCTAAACCCATTAATATGCAAGTGAGCTGGGTAGCAAGGAGGAGAAGGAGGGAAAAATGGTAATAATAATAATGGGTAATATTTACAGATCACTTAAGCTTTGCACTTGGGTTATCTCACTTAAGTAGAGAATGAGTTTCCTTCTCTGGATTGAGGGAAGAAGAACGTTTTGAGCACTGGTTGAGATCTCAGAGTCACTGGGGAAGATGTGTTAGGAAGCCCCTTTGCTGCCCTTTCCCAACACCCTGTGAATCCTTGTCCCTTTTCTCCTTTTTCACTCTCCTTTTGCAGGGTCTTCATCTCTCTTTCTTTCTTTCTCTCTCTCTCTTTTCCCTCCCCTCTCTTTGTCCTTCCCTCTATTCCTTCCTTTCTCTTTCTCTCTCTTTTCTTCTTCCTTGTCTTTCCAAAGGGAAGCTTTTTCATGCAGAAGAAAGGTGCTAAATGGTGATGATGGAGTTTGTTGGACCTGGATGGAGGGCTGCCATGCAACGTGCCCTAAGTCAAGCCCAGCTTGCAGGGTCAGAGGGCCCCAGAGCTGCCTTGGGGAGGCCCCATACCACCTCCCCCTACCCCCTGCCTGGGCTGTCTCAGCTCCAGCCCACACCTGCTCTCCCCTCCCCTGCCCCTCCTGCTTCCCCTGCACCTGACAGGCCAAGAGCAAACAAGGTTGGTTGTTTGTTCCTCCCTCCCTGGAATGCACAGCTAACACATTGCACTTTGCAGTTACCTAGTGTTTCCTAACTTTTTCTTATGTATGCTGCCTTTAAGATTTTCTCTGAAATTCTATGCCCTTCAATTAGACTGAAGTCGACAAACATTTACTTGTTTGAGGCCTATTCTGTGTTGGGTTTTATGAGGGGTACAAAGTGCAATGAAATATACAATTCCTGCCCAATGGGAGCTCAGAGTCTTACGGTGAGGGTGGAGGGAGGGGACAGAGAGACTCATCCACAACTAGCTAATGCAACTGCCAAACCAAAGGGATGGATTCTATGGGAGTACAAAGGATGGAGAGATTAGTAATAACTTCATAGGCCAGGTGCAGTGATTTATGCCTGTAATCCCCACACTTTGGGAGGCCGAGGCAGGCAGATCACCTGAGGTCTGGAGTTCAAGACCAGCCTGGCCAACATAGTGAAACCCTGTCTCTACTAAAAATACAAAATTAGCCAGGCATGGTGGTGCATGCCTGTAATCCCAGCCACTCAGGAGGCTGAGGCAGGAGAATTGCTTGAACCCAGGAGGCGGAGGTTGCAGTGAGCCGAGATCGTGCCATTGCACTCCAGCCTGGGCCACAGGTGAGACTCCGTCTCAAAAATAAATAAATAAATAAATAAATAAATAAATAGATAAAGTAATAACTTCATAGGTCCAGGAGGGCTCTGTGGAGGACACTTTCCTCTGCAGAGGCATCTGAAGAGAGGGAAGTCTATCAAGGGATGAGAGTGGGTGAGATCACACGGAGAGAAAATGCTGTAGTAAAAGAGAAAGGGGCTTGTATGGATCCCTTGGGGACTGCTATGTTTAGGGACAGCAAGGACAGAAGAAGAAGGATTAGTCAGAGAGGAAGGTTGACAGCCAGGGCAAATAACCCTTGTGCAGTGAGATAAGTATGTTTTCTATTCACTTGGAGCACTTTATACAGCTGGTTGGGACTTTAGCAGCAAACTAGTCAAAGCCCTTTCTTTCTTTCCTTCCTTCCTTCCTTCTTTCTTTCGTTCTTTTTTTTCCTTCCTTCCTTCCTTCCTTCCTTCCTTCCTTCCTTCCTTCCTTCCCTCCCTCCTGCTCTCCTTCTCTCTTTCTCTCTTTCTTTCTCAGAGTCTCGCTCTGTTACCAGGCTGGAGTGCAGTGGTGCAATCTGGGCTCACTGCAACCTCTGCCTCCCGGGTTCAAGCGATACTCCTGCCTCAGCCTCCCGAGTAGCTGGGACTACAGGTGCGTGCCACCACACCTGGCTCTTTTTTTGTATTTTTAGTAGAGACAGGGTTTCACCATGTTGGCCAGCATGGTCTCGAACTTCAGACCTCATGATCCGCCTGCCTTGGCCTCCCAAAGTGCTGGGATTACAGGCGTGAGCCACCATGCCCGGCCTTTTTTTTTGTTTTTTGTTTTTTTTTTTGAGATGGAGTCTCACTCCATCACCCAGGCTGGAGTGCAGTGGCACGACCTTGGCTCACTGCAACCTCTGCCTCCCAGGTTCAAACAACTCTCCTGCCTTGGCCTCCCAAGTAGCTGGGACTACAGGCACCCACCATCAGACCTGGCTAATTTTTGCTTTTTTAGTAGAGACGGGATTTCACCATGTTGGCCAAGCTGGCCTCAAACTACTAACCTCAGGTAATCCACTCACCTCAGCCTCCCAAAGTGCTGGGATTACAGGTGTGAGCCACCGCCCCAGCCCTGGCTCATTTTTTATGTTTTTTTTTTTTGTTTTTTTGCAGAGATGGGCTTTTGCTATGTTGCTCAGGCTGGTCACGAATTCCTGGCCTCAAGCAATCTTCTTACCTAGCCTCCCAAAGTGTTGGGATTTTTGATATGAGCCACTGTGTGCCTGCCCTGACAGCCCTTTCTTGTACTGAAAAGGGAAGACATTGAAGACCCACTAAGTGTGGAGTGACTTGCCCAAGAGAAAACTCAGTTCAGGACTGTGAACTTCCAGCTCACTCTGCACACCCCTGTGACAACCCAAGACCCACTTCAGTGCCGTATTCATCTTTTTATCCGCTAGTCACACCTTCCACGGTGCTTAGCACATATTGGTTGAGTTGAATTCTCTCTCTCCCCTATCATTCTAGTTTCTGAAAAAAGGGAAAAGAAAGAGGGATGGTCCTCCAGTGAACCCCTGTTATAGCATAAGCACATTGCAAGGGGCACACCTGTGCATTCTTTTTGATTCCCACAATCATACTGTTATCCCCATTTTACAGATGAGGAAACTGGATCTTGGGCAGTAATGTGATTTCTTTTACAACTAGTGACCTGCCAGAATTCAAACCCATTAGGTTGGTGCACAAGTGATTGCAGTTTTTGCTATTGAAACTAATGGTAAAAACCACAATTACTTTTTTTTTTTGAGACTGAGTCTCTGTCACTCAGGCTTGAGTGCAGTGGCCCAGTCTCAGCTCACTGCAACCTCTGCCTCTTGAGTTCAAGCAATTTTCCTGCCTCAGCCTCTTGAGTAGCTGGGATTATAGACGCGTGCCACCACACCTGGCTTTTTTGTATTTCTAGTAGAGACAGGGTTTCACCATGTTTGCCAGGGTGGTCTCGAACTCCTGACCTCAGGTGATCCGCCTGCTTTGGCCTCCCAAAGTCCTGGGATTACAGAAAGGAGCCACCACGTCCGGTCTAACCACAGTTACTTTTGCACCAACCTAATAGTTCTGTTGACTCAAATCATACGATGAGAGTGTTTATTTAATGGTTGAAATGGAATTGAATTGATTTTTCTTCTGTGCTCATAGCCCTTAGAGAGGAGGGAGGATTTTTTTTCTTTTGTGGGTAAGCAGGAGATGGAGTTATAGAAGGAGAGTGAGTGAGTGAGAGAGAGAGACAGAATCCTTTTAAGGGCCCTTTTTTTTTCTTTCTGTCTTTCTTTCTTTTTGAAACAGAATCTTGCTTTGTCGCCCAGGCTGGAGTACAATGGCACCATCCTGGCTTGCTGTAACCTCCACGTCGCAGGTTCAAGCGATTCTCCTGCCTCAGCCTCCTGAGTAGCTGGGATTACAGGTGCCGCCACCAAGCCCAGCTAATTTTTGTATTTTTAGTAGGGGCAGAGTTTCGCCATGTTGGCCAGGCTGGTCTTGAACCTGGGACCTCAAATGATCTGCTCTCCTCAGCCTACCAAAGTGCTGGGATTACAGCACTGCACCCAGTGGGGGCCAATTAATTTTAACTACTCATAACTGACCAAACTTCCAATACCCATAGGAGAGGCAAACAAAGGTATGAGTTCTTCTTTAAAAATCACCACCTATCTTACACCTTAGCTCCTTTTTCAGCATTTTCACCATTTGAACCTGATCTGAGGGGCATTGTTGAAATGGACAGACACAAAGAGAGTTGGGTTGTGTTGTGTGTGTGACCTCTCCAAGTGCCATAAATAGATGGAGTCAGAGAGGGGAGAGGATGCAAGAACCACCTAGAAATAAGTTTCTGTGCTCAGGAAAAACAGGCGGTGGTGGTTGTGGTGGTGGTGGTGGTGGTGGTGTGTGTGTGTCTGTGTCTTGCAGGTAGATAGTGTTGGGCAGGGGAAGAGGACAATCTTGCCATAAGCTCAGCTCAGACCTTCCCTCCTCCCCTGGTGAGCTTTTTAGAGCTCTTCCACAAGTGGGTTTCTAAAGTTGTCACTGAGCCTTTGCCACTCACTACTAAGGCTAGAGAGGTTGAGTCCAGGAGGAGGGCAGGTTGGGAGAAAATAGGTGGCGGAGGGCACTGGAAGTCCTGGGAAACCTCATTATTCCGGCCAAGAACAGAGGCTGGACCTTGCCACCACTGGGGGTCTAAGAGTGGGATGGGGGCTCTGGCTGGCTGTTTGTTCAGCACCAAACTGAGGTTCCTGTTAGGAAGTTTGTGTCCAGATGGATTTGTTTGCTGTTCACACTTGCAGGGAGAGCTGCCCCTTGGAGTCCTGGCTTCAAACATAGGCATTAGTGTGGGAAGGGGGATTATGGGCTGAACTCAGAGTCCCCATAATCCAGGGAAAGTCAATATCTATAAGCTCCTTTTTTTCCTCTCCATCCCATCTTTAGAACCTGTGAATACAAGCTCCTGAAGAGGAGAGTAAAGGGATGGACCCCACTGGAAGCTGCATAAGATGGCAAGGGGCTCAGACCTGACTTCCTCTTTTCTGGAGAGGAACCACGTGGGGGCTAGTCCCATGAGGAGTCCTGAGTCAGGAAGGGTTTGAGTTTGGCTTTCCCACTCACCAAGGGAACTCCTTACTGAGGAACAAATTATCCTAATGCTGGCGTCCACCTCTGAGATTCTGACTTGTTGGTCTAGGGTGTGGCTGGGTGTTGGAAGCTGGAAAAGCTTCCTAGGTGATTCCACTGTGCAGCCAAGGCTGAGAACCACTGCTCTAGAGGCTGCCAGCTCCTCAAACCTTAATGTGAGCACAGATCCCCAGAGGGTCTAGTTCAGTTGTAGCTGCTGACCTGGGAGGTCTGGGGTAGGGCGTTAGGTTCTGGATTCTAACACTCCCAGGGGATGTTTGTGCTCCTGGTCCAGGGACCACTTGTCAGGTAGCAAGACTCTGTCCTGCCTTGGACTCCTCATTCCATTTGTCCTTGCTGCACAGAGGGAAAGGGACAGAGCCATCTCTCCAAGTTTCCTGCACCTGTTCACCTAGCCCACCCTTTCCCTCCACCCTATTTGATGAAGTGATCAACAGACCTCATAGCCTCTTTGGCCAAGGCTGGTCTTCTAGGCCTTCTTCAGGTCTAAGTGGACAAAACAGATCCCTGACCCTGCCTTGAAACAAACCAATTCAACTAACTCCAGTTGGGGAGTGTGGCAGAATGGGGCAAAGAGCGGGGAGCAAAAGTAGTAGATGCTTGGCAGGGCATGGTGGCACCTGCCTATAGTCCCAGCTACTTGAGAGGCTGAGGTGGGAAGATCTCTTGAGCCTAGGGGTTCAAGGCCACAGTATGCTATAATCGTACCTGTGAATAGCAACTGCACTCCAGCCTGGGCAACATATTGAGAGCCTGACTCTAAAAAATAAAATAATAATAATAAAAAGTAGCAGGCATATCTTTCCCTAGTCCTTTTGGGAACTTAGGCCTGCAGGGAAGGTAGGACATAAACATTGTGTGGTAGGGTGTGTTTCCAAAGATGGCTGCAATAAAATCTTCCTTTCCACATGCTCTGTTACAAAATGACCTTGCCATTTCCCCAACCCCTTTTCTTGAATCTGGGCCAGCCCTGTGGCTTGTTTTGGTTAATAGAATGTGGAGAGAGTGATGCAGTGTAACTTCTGAGGCTGGCCCTTATGACCTGAAGCTTTCCCTCACTGCTTGGGATTTTCACTCTTGAGATCCAGCTGCCATGTGAAGAAGCCTAAGCTAGTCATGCAGAGAGAGACAGAGAGGTCCCAGCCTCCCACCCAACTCTACCAAGACCCTAGACTAGTGAATGAAGCTATCCTGGATATTCCAGCCCCAGCCACCATCTGATTCTAACCAATACCAGCTACATAATTTGCAGAGCCCAATGCACAATGGAAATGCAAGATCCATTGCTCAAAAATTATTTTGAAATTTAAGATGGCAACAGCAGAGCATTAAACTAACTGCAGGGTCCCTCTGAGTGTGGGGCCCTCTACAACTACACAGGTTGCTTGCCTGTGAAGCTGGCCCTGATTGCAGCCTTATAAGATATCCCAGCTGATACCACATGAAGCAGAAGAACATCCCAGCTGAGCCCCGCCCAAATTCCTGACCCCCAGAATTGTGAATAAAATAGTTGTTGTTTTCAACCACAAAGCTTTGGAGTGGTTTTTACAGAACAGTAGATAACTAAAACAAATTGCGTGGTATGACTTTTATAGAATGGGAGAACCCTGAGAAGAGGCCCTGGCAGGTCAATGGCTTGGGAATCTCAAACTATAGGCCAAATTCCAGTCTCTTAGTAAACGATAATACTTGTTCACTAAATCTTCAGATCTGTGAAGACGAAGACAGTCCACAAAGTGCAATAGAGTCAAGAACTAACTATAATTTGGCTGGGCACGGTGGCTCATGCCTATAATCCCAGCACTTTGGGAGGCCAAGGCAGGCAGATCACCTGAGGTCAGGAGTTCGAGACCAGCCTGACCAACATGGTGAAACCCCATCTCTACTAAAAATGCAAAAATTAGACAGGTGTGGTGGCATGTGCCTGTAATCCCAGCTACTTGGGAAGCTGAGGCAGGAGAATCGATTGAACCTGGGAGGCAGAGGCTGCAGTGAGCAGAGATTGCACCCCTGCATTCCAGCCTGGGCAACAGAGCAAAACTCTGTCTCTGTCTCAAAAAAAAAAAAAAAAAAAAAAGAACTAACTATAATTCAGTGTTTGAATGTGTAAATTTCCCAAAATATGCTGACCTCATTGAAGACAGAGAAATGCAGGGATAGGACTACCACTCTTGCTCTGCCTTTTCCTTGGAGCAGGCAACTTGAAGAAGCCAAGGAAGGAAGGTCTTGAGTCAGGCAGACATAGGATTACATCAGGCTTGTGTGCATTCACCCTGTGAGAGTGACATCCTCCTCATCTGTCCCCATCCTGCTCCTCCGGCAGCCTTTCCCACCCCAGAAAATGGCATCTTTATCCTGCCAGCTGCTCAGGGCAGAAAACTCAGAATCATCCATGGATGTTCTCTTGCTCTCATTCTCACAACCAGTTCAGCAGCACCATCCTCTTGGCTCTACCTTCAAAATACATTCAGAAGTTGGGTGCAGTGACTCACACCTGTAATCCCAACGCTTTGAGAGGTCAAGGCAGGCAGACTGCTTGGGCCCAGGAGTTTGAGACCAGCCTGGGCAACATGGCGAAAACCCCATCTCTACAAAAAATACAAAAATTAGCTTAAGCCGAAGAGGCAGAGGTTGCAGTGAGCCAAGATTGCACCGCTTCACTTCAGCCTGGGTGACAGAGCAAGACTTTGTCTCAAAAGAAACAAAAACAAAAACAAAATACATTCAGAATCTGACTTCCTCCATCGCCTTCCACTGACACTTCTGTGGCCCAAGCCTCCTGTCTCTAGCTGGGATCAGTGCAGTAGCTATCTGCTCCCTTGTCTTCCCCTTCTCTCTCAGCACCCTTCAGCGCAGCAGCAGCCAGAGTGGCTCTGGTAAAGAGAGTCAGATCATGTCACTCTGAGCAGAGGCTTAAGACCCTCCAGTGACTCCCCAAGTCAGCCCACATGAGAGCTGACAAGGTCCTACCCTCTTTCTCTCTAACTTCACCCACTGTGATCCCATTCTCTTGCTCTGCTCCCCCGACAATGGCTCTCTGGCTTTCCCCTGACCGTGCATGCTCCTGCCTCAGGACCCTTGCATTTGCTGCCCCTGATGCCTGGAGTGTTTGTCCTCCAGATATCTGCTCGGCTCATTCTCTTACCTTCTTTGAGTCTTTGATGAAATGTCACCTTTTAAATGAGGTCTGGCTGGGTGCAGTGGCTCACGCCTGTAATCTCAGTACTTTGGGAGGCTGAGGTGGCTGAATCACCTGAGGTCAGGAGTTCGAGACCAGCCTGGCCAACATGGTGAAACCCCCGTCTCTACGCCGCACACCCCACCCCCAGCCCCGCGCCGCCATCTCTACTAAAAAATACAAAAAATTAGCCGGGTGTAGTGGCACGTGCCTGTAATCCCACCTATTTGGGAGGCTGAGACAGGAGAATCACTTGAACCCGGGAGGCAGAGGTTGCAGTGAGCTGAGATCGCTCCATTGCACTCCAGCCTGGGCAACAAGAGCGATATTCCATCTCAAAAATGAAAATAATAAATAAATAAATAAATAAATAAATAAGGTCTCTCTTGACCTGACCAAAATGGAGATTTTGGCCTACATTCCTTATTTTCCTCTATTGCTTAATTTTTCTCCGTATCATCATCCAACAAACAGATATTTATTTTTATTACCTTTTTTCAACAAGAATGTGTGCTGCTTAAGGGCAGAATTTGTTTTGTTTTGTTTTGTTTCTAATAAAGACAGGGTATCCATGTTGCCCAGTTTGTACTTGAACTCCTGGGCTTAGGGGATCCTCCTGCCTCAGCCTCCAGAGAAGCTGGAACTACAGGTGTGCACCATCATGCCTGGCCAGGATAGAGAATTTGCTCTACTTTCTTTACTGCTTTTTTTCCCCTGGTGCCTAGAACTGAGCCTAGGAACCCCACAGATATTTGTTAAATGAATAACCAATGAATGAACCTAGCTGATATTAGCTTCACCTGATACAGCCCACTTCACTGGATTGAGTGGAGTCTAAAGGAGGTAATAAAGACACAGTTGTGGAGCAAGGGCTCACGTACACATACGTGTGGGAATCAGGGAGGGGACGTGAGCTGGGCAGCAAGCAGCTCATCAGTTTAGTGTCTGCATCTTTGGCCAGATGTTCCTTTCAAGGAGCCAGGTTAGCCATCACCAGCCTGGGATTCTGGTCTAGGATTAACAGGGCTTCAGCCTTCATCTAGGGAATTCTGGGTGGGGATTGATTTGGCCCAAATATATTGTCATATCACTTGAAACTTGTAGCCTTTCTTTTTCTTTTCTTTTTCTTTCCTTCCTTCTTTCCCTTCCTTCCTTCCTTCCTTCCTTCCTTTCCTTTCCCTTCCCCTTCCTTCCTTCCTTTCTCTTTCTTTCTTTCTTTGTTTCTTTTTTTTTTCGAGACAGACTTCTGCTCTTGCTGCCCAGGCTAGAGTGCAATGGCATGATTTTGGCTCACTGCAACCTCTGCCTCCTGGGTTCAAGCCATTCTCCTACCTCAGCCTCCCACGTAGCTGGGATTACAGGCATGCGCCACCACACCCGGCTAATTTTTGTATTTTTACTAGAGACAGGGTTTCACCATGTTGGCCAGGCTGTCTCAAACTCCTGACCTCAGGTGATCCACCCACCTCGGCCTCCCAAAGTGCTGTGATTACAGTCGTGAGCCACCACTCCCAGCCAAATATATTTGTTTTTCTTCCTTTCTTTCTTTTTCTTTCTTTCTTTTCTTTCTTTCTTCCTTTCTTTCTTTTTCTTTCTTTCTTTCTCTTTTCTTTCTTTCTTTTCTCTCTCTCTCTCTCTTTCTTTCTTTCTTTCTTTCTTTCTTTCCTTCTTCCTTTCTTCCTTTCTTTCTTTTTTTGGATGGAGTCTCACTCTGCACTCTGTCACCCAGGCTGGAGCGCAGCAACACAATTTCAGCTCACTGCATCCTCTGCCTCCCAGGTTCAAGTGATTCTCCTTCCTTAGCCTCTCGAGTAGCTGGGACTACAGGTGCGTTCCACTATGCCCAGCTAATTTTTGGTTTTTGTTTGTTTGTTTCTGAGATAGCGTCCCACTTTGTCATCCAGGCTGGAGTGCAGTGGTGCGATCTCTGCTCACTGCAACTTCCACCTCCCAGGTTCAGTCAATTCTCCTGCCTCAGCCTCCCAAGTAGTTGGGATTACAGGTAGGTGCCGCCCGCTCGGCTACTTCTTGTATTTTTAGTAGAGACAGGGTTTTGCCATGTTGCCCAGGCTGGTCTCAAACTCTTGGGCTTAAGTGATCTGCCCATCTTAGCCTCCCAAAGTTCTGGGGCTACAGGCATGAACTTGAGCTACCGCACCTGGCCAAAACTTGTAGCTTTTTTTTTTTTAAATAATTGTATGTGCTAGACTTTTTTTATATGTATACTTTAAGTTCTAGGGTACATGTGCACAACGTGCAGGTTTGTTACATATGTATACATGTGCCATGTTGGCGTGCTGCACCCATTAACTCGTCATTTACATTAGGTATATCTCCTAATGCTATCCCTCCCCGCTCCTCCCACCCCACAACAGGCCCCAGTGTGTGATGTTCCCCTTCCTGTGTCCAAGTGTTCTCATTGTTCAATTCCCACCTATGAGTGAGAACATGTGGTGTTTGGTTTTCTGTCCTTGTGACAGTTTGCTGAGAATGATGGTTTCCAGCTTCATCCATGTCCCTACAAAGGACATGAACTCATCCTTTTTTATGGCTGCATAGTATTCCATGGTGTATATGTGCCACATTTTCTTAATCCAGTCTATCACTGATGGACATTTGGGTTGGTTCCAAGTCTTTTCTATTGTGAACAGTGCCGCAATAAACATACGTGTGCATGTGTCTTTATAGCAGCATGATTTATAATCCTTTGGGTATATACCCAGTAATGGGATGGCTGGGTCAAATGGTATTTCTAGTTCTAGATCCTTGAGGAATCACCACACTGTCTTCCACAATGGTTGAACTAGTTTACAGTCCCACCAACAGTGTAAAAGTGTTCCTGTTTCTCCACATCCTCTCCAGCACCCCTTGTTTCCTGACTTTTTAATGATTGCCATTCTAACTGGTGTGAGATGGTATCTCATTGTGGTTTTGATTTGCATTCCTTTGATGGCCAGTGATGATGAGCATTGTTTCATGTGTCTGTTGGCTGCATAAATGTCTTCTTTTGAGAAGTATCTGTTCGTATCCTTCGCCCACTTTTTGATGGGATTGTTTGATTTTTTCTTGTAAATTTGTTTAAGTTCTTTGTAGATTCTGGATATTAGCCCTTTGTCCAATGGGTAGATTGCAAAAATTTTCTCCCATTCTGTAGATTGCCTGTTCACTCTGATGGTCGTTTCTTTTGCTGTGCAGAAGCTCTTTAGTTTAATGAGATCCCATTTGTCAATTTTGGCTTTTGTTGCCATTGCTTTTGGTGTTTTAGACATGAAGTTGCCCATGCCTATGTCCTGAATGGTATTGCCTAGGTTTTCTTCTAGGGTTTTTATGGTTTTAGGTCTAACATTTAAGTCTTTAATCCATCTTGAATTAATTTTTGTATAAGGTGTAAGGAAGGGATCCAGTTTTAGCTTTCTACATATGGCTAGGCAGTTTTCCCAGCATCGTTTATTAAATAGGGAATCCTTTCCCCATTTCTTGTTTTTGTCAGGTTTGTCAAAGATCAGATGGTTGTAGATGTGTGGTATTATTTCTGAGGGCTCTGTTCTGTTCCATTGGTCTACATCTCTGTTTTGGTACCAGCACCATGCTCTTTTGGTTACTGTAGCCTTGTAGTATAGTTTGAAGTCAGGTAGTGTGATGCCTCCAGCTTTGTTCTTTTGGCTTAGGATTATCTTGGCAATGTGGGCTCTTTTTTGGTTCCATATGAACTGTGAAGTGAAAAACTTGTAGCTTTTCTAAGCAAACATAAATACCTGCACTCTGGCAAGCTCCTCTACCTACCTGCCTACCTCCAAATCTTATATTTAGTTCATCATTTACTTCAGTGATGCGCAACCTTTTTCTGCATTTAGGAACACCTTTTTTTCTTTGAGACGGATTCTCGCTCTGTCGCCAAGGCTGGAGTGCAGTGGCACGATCTTGGCTCACTGCAACCTCTGCCTCCTGGGTTCAAGCGATTCTCCTGCCTCAGCCTCCCAAGTAGCTGGGATTACAACCACCACACCCAGCTAATTTTTGTATTTTTATTAGAGACAGAGTTTCACCATGTTGGCTAGGCTGGTCTCAAGTGATCCGTCCACCTCAGCCTCCCAAAGTGCTGGGATTACAGGCATGAACCACCGTGCCCATCCCCTATTTTTAAACGATTTTTTTTTTAAATTTTGGATCTCAGAAGCAGAGGGCTGAGATATTCTCTCCTGCTCTTTTGTGGGCATTGCCATCAGAGGTCCACACTAGACCCCACTCTTCATTCTGGCTTTTTCTCTTTCCCCCTATTTCCTCCTCCTCTCCTAGTAAGCCCTTCTCTTGTGTATTTGCTATTATTTATGGATCCATGTAAAATGTGCAGGGCTGTTCTGTATTTGTTTTTAATTTACATAAATGGTATTGTGTATAAATCTCTTTTTTAAAACTATTTTTAAAGTCTCTCTTTGGTGCTGTATGCATGGAAGTTTCATTGCTTCTAATAGCTGTTTTCTAGTATTTCACGTTGCAGATGAAAAGTCGGCTGTCAGGTTAACTATTTGCAGAAAATCTTTCTGTTGTTAAAAAGTTTGGAAGGTTTTTTTCTTTATCATCAGTATTCAAAAGCTTCAGGAAGATGATTGGGTGTGTATCTTCTCTCCACATGCCTTTCCAGCTGTAGGCAACAGGCAGTTGGAGGGGGTAGTTATCAATTGAGTTTTGCTTGTGTTGAGTCTGAGGTGTCTGAGAAACATCCTAGTGGAGATACCTAACCAGAAGTTAGATAACAGAAGTTGTCTGGACTGGATATAGATTTGGGAGTCATCTGCATGTGGGTTCTAGTTTGAAAAGAAAAATGAATGGATAAGCTCAGAGATGGAGGAGAATTGGTCAAGCAGGAAGATGAGTGGGCCAAGTTGCCAAAAGCAGAGGATCTATTACTATCAGTGACCAATGGTTTTCCTCCCCTTTCTTCTTTTTTTAAAACCATAATAAAATATTTCGAACACCAAGAAAGTTATAGATAAAAATGTAAGTACTCAAGAACTCACCATTCATCATTCTTGACTGTAGGTTTTGCCACTTTTACATGAGTTTTTTTTTTTTTAAATAAAAGCACATTGCAGACACATATGGGGCCTTTTGTACCCCTCTCCAGTCCTATTTGCTGGAGTCACCTCCAAATCTAATTTGGTATTATTTACACTCACAGACTCATACAATTCCTCCATATTTATTGACCCATAAGTAGCTTATAGAAGTATTTTGTATGCTTTTAAACTTCATATATGGGGCCAGGCACGGTGGCTTATGCCTGTAATGCCAGCACTTTGGGAGGCCAAAGCAGGAGGATTGCTTGAGCCCAGGAGTTTGAGACCAGCCTGGAGAACATAGTGAGACCCTGTCTCCAAAAATGTTTTTATTAAAATTATAAATATAAATTTAAAAAAGAAAAAACTTCATATATGTAGTATCATACTGTACTAATGCTTCAGCTTGCCTCTTTCACTCAGACTGTTTGCAAGTTTTATGTACATAACCCTAGTTTATTAATTTTCATTGCTATAGAGTATTCCAAAGATGAATATATTACACTTTGTTTATCCAGTTATACTGTTAGTGGATATTTGGTTGTGTCCAGTTTTTGGTTAACAGTGCTACAAAGGATAGCACCTGCTGCTCTGGGCTGACCGCCACACTCAGGCAGTTCTGGGAGTTGATTGGAGATCCCTGAAGGAGGTAAGGGCTGCTTCAGAGACCGCTAATGGAGCATCTGCTATATGCTAGATATTGCAAAATTGTAGCCCTTAATCCTCTCCACAACCTATGAAAATCACAACACCCCCCCCCCCTTTTTTTTTTTTTTTTTTGAGACAGAGTCTCACTGTCAACCCAGGCTGGAGTGCAGTAGTGTGATCACATGGCTCACTGCAGCCTTGACCTCCTAGTCAAGCCATACTCCCTTAGCCTCCCAAGCGATTCTCCCACCTCAGCCTCCCTAGTACCTGTGACTACAAGACGCATCACCATGCCGGGCTAATTGTTTTTTTTTTTTTTTTTTTTTTGGAGAGACAGGGTTTCGCCATGTTGCCCAGGCTGTTCTCAAACTCCTGGGCTCAAGCAGTCAGCCCTCCTCGGCTTTCCAACGTGCTACGATTACGGGCAGGAGCCACCGACCCCGCCGAAAAATCACCAATCTTTATAAGGAACACAAGGCTCAGAAACAGGGGTAACACAACTAGTCCAGGTCACGCAGCTAGTAAGTGGCAGAAGGGGGGGGGCACCCTCTCATCCCTCCAGGCTCCTCTGGCCCTGACCTTGCATTGTCCCTCCTTCCCCAGCGAACGCACTGCCTCAGCTCCCCTCTTACAGCCGCAGCCCTGGAGGAAGGGATGCTTCTGGAACTGCTGGGGTTGGTGCTCCGCAGTTGACCGGGACATTCCTGGGTTTGGTGCTGGGATGGAACCTGTCAGTGCCTACTGCCTGGGTATACTCCACCCAGGGGCAGAACAGGTGACTCACAGCACTGCCCAGCACAGAGCTAGGCCTGTGCCTGTTTTGGGGGTCCAGGTTCCTGGGTGCCAGAACCCCATTTTCTCAGTCTCCACAGAGCTGTACGAGGGGTACAGTGCCCTGGAGAATTTAAGCCCTTCATTAATGGTTTGTAAAAGTCTGGACTTCCTTTTGGGAAACCTGGGCTCCAGTCCTGCTGCTTGATGCAGGAACGTCACTGAGGTCCCCTGAAAAGTGGGGTGATAGTGTCAGGTGGTACTGAGCCCAGTGATGGAGGCAGCAATTTGTTTTGTAAGTGCCTGCGGCTCCTGGGCGCAGTCCCAGCGAGGACGCGAGAACGCGCGGGGATGTGAACGGTGGGGGGCGCCCGGAACCGAGGAGCTGAAGGGCCCGGCGGACGTAGGCCGTCATTTCTCGCGGCGAGCAGCAGGGGGCGCGCGCAGACTGTACAATGCTGGCGCCCCACCTCCCGGCAGCGGGCGGGGACGCATCCCGCGGGTCTCTAGAGCGGGAGATCGCGCGGGAAAGGGCCGTGCCGGGAAGGGGCTGTGCCGGGAAGGAGCGGAGGGATCAGTGCTTCGAAGGGATCTGTACGCCAAGATGATCCTAACTCCTTAGGAGCTTCGAAGCTACGGGAAATGAAGCTGGAACGGGGGAGAGGGGGAAGGGCGCTGTGCCCCGGGGGCGGTAAAGGATGGGTGGTGGTGGGGAACGGGGACACTGTCGAGCGCTGACTACCGCTGCGCTCGGGCTGGTGGAGTCACTGCTTCCTAACTGTGGGGAAGAAACAAACATTCCCCGCCCCTCCTCCCAGGAGGAAGAGCCGGTCACTTCTGGAAGTCCCAGCAGCTCACTACGGAACTTAGGGGAGGGTGAAGAAGAGAAGGCGTAGAGCGGGGAAGTGGCTTGGTCAGTTCAGAAGCACCAATAGCATAGGACTTCATAACCTTCCAAGAAGAGGGCTGGTTACAAAGCGTCTTCGCCTCCCAGGGGCTGGGTTGGGGGTGTCCCAGGAGCCAGAGTGAGGCATGAGTGGGGAGTCCCTGCGTCACTCCAGAGAGGAGGCCCGCTTGGGCACAGGTGCCCCAGGGACCAGCCTACTGCGCTTTCAAGCCCCTACGTCTTTCTAAGGGATGAGGGATCCTATCCTAGACCAAACCTGCCAGCCCATACTGAACATACCGCCTTTCTTTGAAAGAAAAGTGGGGGGGAGGCTAAAGACCTTCGCAGAGGGACCCTGAGATGGAATCAGATGCTAAATTTGCGCACAGCCCTCTGAGCTGGAAAACTGGAGAACTTCCTGGAGGAAGAGGCTGGGAGCTAGCTGTGCCTTGATAGGTGGGCAGAATTTGGAGAAGCCAGGGCAAAGTCTTGTTTGTAGGAATGAGCAGTCCGCCTGGGAAACGGGAAAGAGTTGGAATTTGCGGGGCGGGAGGGCAGGGGCAGGGCCAGAGGAACTCTAGCTGGGGGTGCGGCTACCAGGAGAGGAGCTGGTTCTGGAGTTCTAGGCTGTCCTTCCGACCTCTGGGGGCCCTGAGATCTGGTTTAAGACTCGGTCTTGTACCCTGGGGCTGCTGGATGCCTGCCGAAGTCTCGCTTCCCGGAGCAGCTGAGGACTCAGCCCTGCGGCTGAGGTCCGCGAGTTCCCTGGACATCACCGGGTGTCGTGCCCGCCGCCCCGCCCTGCGGTCGCGGGCACTGACCCCCAAGTACGCACCGGGCGGGGCCCCGCCACTCTCCAGTCTTCACACCTCCGCCTTTGGGTCTTTTTCCTTCCCTTCCCCAACCGGTTCCCCTTCCCCTCGACCCACTAGGCAGACGGGGAACTAGGGGTGCGGGAGACGGGAGGGTTAGAACCAGGCCTCAAGACGGCGCGGCGAGGTGTGCCTGAGGATGGGGCGAAAGGAGACCGTGCCCGGGTGGCCTCTCCCGAAGGAAAAACCCGTCGCTCCCCATCCGGTGCCTGCCTCCCCGAGTATCCCCCGGGGTGGGCGTCGAGGGCACCCGGGCGCTGGGAGCCGGGGCCGCCCCCTTCCCCCACCACCGAGTCACTGCCGGGCAGGCACCGCCGCGGGCGGAATCGAGCACTGGGGATTGAGGCGGCCGCCGCGTGTTTGCCCAGCGCCCGCCCCCGCCGCCGCGGGCCCTAATCTCCGATACACTTGCGAGTTGGCTTCCTGCCCCGGGGCCCCGGCTCTGCAAGCAAACAGGCCGAGCGCGGCGCTGCATCCGAAATGCGGCATTTGAGCAGCGCGGCGAAGGCGAGCGGGGGAGCGGCCCACCCGGGTAATTGCCCTTCTCGGCTCCTAATCCCCCCGCCGGGCCCCTTCCGCCGGCTGCAGCCCATTGATTAGCTCAGGAGCCGCCGGCTCAACCCAGCTCCCGAGGGGCCATCACAATCCCCACCCTGGGCCCGGGAGGCTGTCAGGACCCCCGCGGGGTCCTTCCGGACTCAGAGCGGGAGCGTGCTCCTGGAAAGGGCAGTGAGATCGCCAGGGAAAAGATGGGGTGGGGGAGAAAGGGGACGTCCAAAAACTTGCAATGGAGCCCAGGCCATGCACGCCCCAGGCCGAGAAAGGCGGGACCTCAGACCCTGCTGTCCCGGTGAAGGAGACAGTGCAGAGGGCCCTTGAGCGCGACTGGGCTTGACACCCCTGAGAGCTCACTGTGGAGCCCGGGTTAGGAGATCCCCAACCACCCAAACACAAATCACCCTCAAGACCCCGTACTTATGCGGTGGCCTGAGCCTGCTTCCTGTGGTCTGCCCAGAGAAACCTGGGCCTCACAGGAGAGGAATGCCAAGTGCTTCAAGCTGGGAAATTGACATGGTCCATTCTACAAAATAGAGCTCAGTGCAGATGAGGAGAGAAATAGGGTTCTATGGAGCCTTTCGGGGCAAACCCACTGATGACTGGGTGATAGCTTCACAGGGACAAGACCCAGTTGCCATCTGGGGTGAGTTTTGTTTCTTCCCTCCCACCTTTCAGCTTCCTATCTGAGCCTGAACTTACACCCCTTCCCCCTCCCAGAATAGCCACCCCAGGCCAGGAAAACTGAGCATTTGCCTACTGAGTCGACCTCCCTGAGTCTAGGCCCACAGTTCAAAGCCTGACTTCTCTGTGCAGGGGCAAGGCTTGCTGCGGGGCCCTCTGGGATCTGGTGAGCAGGGGCCTTCTCTGACACCCTGAAACCTGGGAACAAACACTGGGGTTGGGGGCAGAGGCTGGGCCAATGTAGAACACAACAGCAGAGACACAGGAGAGAAATCAGGCTTCTGGCTAAGAGGAAACCATAGCAAACTAGACCCTCATGCCTCAGTGACCTCCCCTTGTATACCCTTGAACACGGCTGCACTAGGGTGAGGCAAGTGACGTTCCACTGAGGCACACATCTTAAGGAGGCACTCCCTCTCGAGGCCCTGTAAATGCAGGGCTAGCACCTGAGGGAGTGCGTCCTCCCCTCACTCTCATCCTTGGCCTGCCCTCATCTTGCCTAAGAGAGCTGTCCCCTGGCCTCAGATAGCTCCAGTCACTCCCATAACCTGTTGATTTGCCTCAGAGCCCCCCCATCACCTCGCCGTCATCCTCACTACTCACTCGGTTGGTACTGACTATATCTTAGGTGGAACAGCGCGAGGCAGGGACGTCATGCTTTGCAGTCACTGCCAAGAGCAGTACCTGTGTTATTCAGACACAAAGCTAGGCTCTATTCAGACATGGAGTGCTGAATAATACCTGAGTGAGTAAATACCATGTGTCTGCCACCCTCTTCTCCCTGAGGCCTGCCTGAATACTTTCCCCTAGACACGGCTGGCTGCAGTGGGCACTTCTAGGTTGCTCGCTTTACCTCAAGCCCCTTTTAATACTCAGGCCCCGCTGCCTGAGCGTGAGTTTGCACAATTGGTGCGTGCTTGCTCTCACATCTAGTTCTATGTCCTGTTTCTCTTTCCAGCCAAATGCTGAGCTCCCTGAGGGCAGGGACCAAGCCTGTCCTGGAACTCCTTATCTGCCCTGTATGATGAACCCCAAGGCCCTCTCACCCACCTCTGAAGACTGGTCAGACAAGTCCTCCTAATGCCTATTTCTGGTTGAGGAGAGGGTGATCCAGGTCATGTGTTTCTACGTTGACAGAGATGTGTGGAAGCCAAGGTTCTGGGTCCTAGAAGCCTCTCTTTGTGCATGGACTATGAGATCTCGTCATACTCAGTAATCACATCAGGCAAATTATGAAGATTCGGCCGGGCGCGGTAGCTCACACCTGTAATCCCAGCAGTTTGGGAGGCTGAGGCAGGCAGATCACTTGAGGTCAGGAGTTCGTGACCAGCCTGGCCAATATGGTGAAACCTTGTCTCCACCAAAAATACAAGAATTAGGCCAGGTGCGGTGGCTCACGCTTGTAATCTCAGCACTTTGGGAGGCCGAGGCAGGCGGATCACCTGAGGTCAGGTGTTTGGGACCAGCCTGGCCAACATGGCGAAACCCCATCTCTACTAAAAATACAAAAATTGGCTGGTCGTGGTGGTGGGTGCCTGTAATCCCAGCTACTCGGGAGGCTGAGGCAGGAGAATCACTTGAACCCAGGAAACAGAGGTTGCAGTGGGCCGAGATCGTACCACTGTGCTCCAGCCTGGGAGACAGAGCAAGAGTCTGTCAAAAAAAAAAAAAATTGTGAAGACTCAATACTCTCTGACTCACTATTATGTAGGTATGGGCTGGCGGAGGTTTCTCAGCCCTTCTCATGGCCCCAACTCTAATGAATGTGAAACTGCACATGTGAGTGGGCGGGAGTGTGCATATCTGTTGGGGTGTGTGTGTGTGTGTGTGGTGTCTGCTATATTCGAATATGTGTGCGCCTGGGGAGCTGTGTGCGTGTGAGTGGTGTGTGTGGATTCTGTTGGATATGAGTGTAGGTTTGTGGAGGTGTTGGCGGGTGTGTGTGTCTGCTGAGTGTGGGTGTGCATGTATTTTCTCTGGGGCTGTGTCTGTGTTTTTGTAGTGTTTGCTAAGGGTGAGGGTAAGTGGTATCTATGGGGCATGTCTGCAGAGTGTGTGTGGTGCTGGCTGCAATGTATGCATGCAACGTCTGCTCTGTGTGCATGTATGGGGCTGGGGTGCCTGCAGGCTGCATCATAATGCCATAAAATGCCTGGTGAAATCCCCCTACCAGTGACTGTGCTGGCCAGAGGCTGCCCCTTAGAGGCAAGCAGGGAAGGTCTGGGAAGTCCCCTGTCTCAGGAAGCTGAGGGACCACAGTAATTGCTGTGCCCAGGGGCATGGAGACCCAGGCAGGGACAGGTGCTGGCTACAATAAGTAGACAAAGGCCAGTGCCTGGAAGTCTCGAATCCTATTGAATACAGATGGCAAGGCTGCATGCACAAAACAGATCCCAGGCAGGGGATAAGGATGGACATGTCAAGTCTGGGTCTCAATCCAGACAACATATTCAGGCTCAGGACAGTTCAGAAGGAGAGGAGCCCTGGGAGAAGGCTGAGCTCAGATGGTTGGGGCAGTTGGGGGAAAGAAGTGAGCTGGCTCTGGAGGGCCAGGCTACTCCATATGGCACCCTGCTGGGCAGAGGCAGCTCCATGCCAGGGCACAGGACTTGGTGAGGGGAACAGGAGCTGGACCTCAGTCCCATTGGCCCCCTGGCTGGGTGCCCTCTTACAGGGGCCCAACTGTACGTGGTGACCCTGGATGTTGGCCTGGGAACCTGTGATCTTCTACTACATCTGGGGCTGGCAGAGGACTCGGGGGCTGAGAAGGAGACATGGTCTCACGATTTGGAGGAGAGAGAAGGCTTGACCAGAAGGGACTGGCTGTGCAGCAGGATAGCTGGAGGCCTATTGGCTGGGCATCCTGTCTCCTGGGTCCTGGGCCGGTCTTGGCAGCAAAGTCAGGGCAGATAGCACCAGCAAGCCACAACCATCCTGCTCCACAGAGTGCTAGAACAGCCACTCATCAGTTACAGCAGGACTATAACGACGACCAAGAAGAGAAGACAAAACAGAAGAGGGTAGGTAGACCAGAAAGAGTGTTCAGAAAGAAGCTTGAAAGAGGAGAGGAGAGACACTCCTGAGTAGTAGCACCAACCTACCAGCTAGATTTGTAACTTCCAACTACTACTTTCTGGCCTCAGTTTTGTCACCTGACTAAGAGGGTTGGAATAAAACGAATTTAAGTCTCTTTTACCTTTGACTAGGACTGACCCAGGCTGGCCTTTCACCAGCTCCTGTCCCCATTTCCAAGGGAAGCTGGGTGGGGGGTAGAGGGTGTGGACGACTCAGTGTGGTCCATCCTCAGACCAAAAACCCAGCTAGGGGCCCACACATTACTGTCTGAAACACCATGCTCAGGTGTGAACAAAGATGCTTGGTTACTGTGGACTTTTAGTTCCAAGGAGGGCTGTGTCTTTCTTAACTCAATGGAAGAATCAAATTAGGAGCCTGGCTGGGCATGGTGACTCACACCTGTAATCCAGCACTTTGGGAGGCTGAGACAAGAGGATCACTTGAAATCAGGAGTTCAAGACCAGCCTGGGCAACACAGCGAGACCCCATCTCTTAAAAAAAAAAATAGGAGCCCACATCTTCAGATTCCCAGGGCTGAGATTCTGGGAAACTCAGCCAAACTCCAGAGCTGATGCAAGTAGCAAAGGACCTTTTTTTTGGTCACTGGAGCCTGGAGGACAGACAAGGGCAAGAGGCAGAGAATTCCAGCCTTTACAGGTCACAGAGAAAGTGGAGGAGGAGGAGGTAGCTGATGCCTCCACACCCAGGAGGGAGGGGGAAATGATGAGCAAGATTTTTCACCCTTTCAGTAAAACAAAAAAAATTATTTCTCCTATTTCCTTCTCTGAGATTAATGATAAACTGTCTATCCCCTAAAAGAAAATGATAAAGACTCTAATTTTACTTGGAGGCTTAGAAATGCCATTTCTACACAAAACAGGGAGCCCATAATCAGACTTGAGCGGGGCAGAGCTTTGATAGAAAATGTTTTCCTCTCTCCCTCTATTTCTTCCCCTCCTTCCCCTTGCAAACCAAGATGCCCGACAGCTAAGAACAATGCTCAATAAAATGAAATAATATTTTAGTCAAAATAGGCCAAGACTGCTCCCAGCCAACTGTAAATTAGCATTTTGAGGGCAAATATGCAGACAATTTGAGATAATGAAGCCTGATTATTCAATCCAATGAATGTTAACTAGGGAGCAGAGGCTCCACTGCCTTATCTCACTCCCTTCGATTTATTTTTTTAATCGTTTCACATTTGAACTCTTTATTTGTTTCTGTTTTATGCGCCCCCTCCCTTCCTCTGTCACACACACACACACACACACACACAGTCTCCCTCCCTTCTCTCCTCCATTCCTGCCCAGGCTGCAGAAGGGGACCGTTGCAGGGGCCGTCAGTCTTTCCACCCAGCCTGGCCTTCGGGTTGGGGTCAGCACGCCCCATGGAGCCCCTACTGTGTGCATGGTCCTTTGTAGAGTTGCAGGGATTTGGGGGTCAATGTGCACTAAACAGATGACACACACCCTGCTTCTCAGGGCTTAGAACAGGCCTGGGTGCAGGAGCTGGAGAATGGCAGGTTTATAAAGGAACATGCCAGGTACATGTGGGGCTCAGGGAAGTGGGGGTGGAAGGACATTGCCTTTCATGTCCTTCAATCCACCCTCCATGAAAGGTCAATGTGGAGCACGCCCTGTCCCCAGGAGTCATGGAAAACTTTCTTAAATTATCCTTTGTCCCAGGCAGGACTCACTGCATAATTTGCAGGACCCAGTGCAAAATGAAATGCAGGGGAACTTGCCCAAAAATCATTGAGAATTTCAAGATAGTCATGGCAGAGCATTAAGACACCAAGCAGGGGACCTTCTGAGCTCGGGGCCTGGGCAACTGCGCACGCCACACACCCATGCAGCTGGCCTGCCTCCAGCAGCTAAGGGGCAGCCTCAGGCCAGTGGGAGGTAACATAATGAGGCCTTCTGAAGGAGGGTTGAAGCCCTTCTCAAGTGAAAAGAGAGGTTTCTGAGACGCTGGGGAGGGTCCCAGCTGACTGGGGCTAGCCCCTGGGGTTGCGGGGTGCCATAGGCAGGAGCCCCAATGCCTGAACAGCTGTCAGCATGGTGGTTTCCCCTTGGAGGTACCCATCCTTCAGCCTAGAGATGATGTTTACTTGGTGGTGGAAAGAACAGCTCCCAATTGGGCGAGGCTCCCAGCTGTTACGGTGCTCACCTGGCCTCAACCTCCTCCTTGGGTCCTAGCCCTGCTTTTTCCCTCACCAGTATGGCCTCCCAGTCCCTGCCCTGTCCCCATGAGCTCCTGCCTGGGTCCAGCCCCTGCAGCTGCCCTTCCCTCGGGGCCCCCTTACCACTCCTTTCAGTGTGTGTAGCAGGAAGTCCCCGCCTGAGCATGGCCTCCCACCTTGTCTGCTCTGCTCCTCAGCTTGCCCTCTCCCCACCAGACCTCCTGCTTGTCGAGTGCCCTGTCCATCACTCTCATCTTCCCGCTGCCTCTGCTCATGCTGGGCCCTCACCTGGGGGGTCTTCAGCCCCCTTCCGCCTCCTATCTCCTCTCTTTCCACCCATTTCTTCACACCCAGCCAAAGAAGGCAGCTCTGCCTTTTACCGGATGTGCTCTTGAGTGGGTGATTTCACCTCCTTGAGCTTTAGCTTCCCTGTGTGTAAATGGGATTGTAGTGGGGCCTGTCTCGTGAGGTGAGTGAGAAGACCAACCAAGCTGGTGTAAGTAAAGCCCCGACCCCGGGCTGGCCCACCTGAATGTGCATACCTGTTAGCTTGCACTCTGGGGAGCCTCTGGGAAGCTTCAGAATGCTACAGCCAGTTGGAACAGCTGCCCTCCTAGAACTTCCGTAGCCTTTGGAATCCTGGTCACGCAGTGTAGCCTGCATTCTTACACTGTTTCCTCCACCTGATAGAAGTTTCCCAAGAGTAGTGTGGTGAGCACTTAGGACGTGCTCCCTCAGCCTCCCATGCCACCCTCCTTTTGTCTGGAGAGGCTGGAAAATTAAGAGCTGCATCTCCCAGATTCCCTTGCAGCTAGGCTTCTGGAAGTGAACTGGGTGATACTGATCAGATAGACTCCTGAAACTCAGAAGGTGGACATGAGACTCTTTCCTGCCCTGGGTTTCTAATGGCTATCAAGATAGTAGAAACACAATTGCCTTTTTCTGCACCAGATTCCCATTGTCCATCCTCTAGCTTCTGGGTGTCAGGAGTCAAAAGCTGTTGTTTTGGTTTCAGTAATGGCTTGATTCTGGTCCTTCCTACCCTTCCTTCCTTCTTTCCTTCCTTCCTTCCTTCTTTCCTCCCTCTCTCCCTCCCTTTCTTTCTCTTTCTTTCTTCCTTTCCTTTCTTTCTCTCTCCCTCTTTCTCTTTCTTTCTTTCCCCTTCCTTCCTTCCTTCTTTCCTTCCTTTCCTTCCTGTCCCTTCCTTCCCTTCCCTCCCTTCCCCTTCCTTCCTTCCTTCTTTCCTTCCTTCCTTTTCCTTCCTTCCTTCCTTTTCCTTTTCCTTTCTTCTTTTCTTTTTTCTTTCAAGATAGAGTCTCACTCTGTTGCCCAGGCTGGAGTGCAGTGGTGCAATCATGACTCACTGCAGCCTCAACCTCCTGGGTTCAAGCGATCCTCCCACCTCAGCTTCCCAAGTAGCTGGGACTATAGGTGCCACCACGCCCAGCTAATTTTTACATTTTTTGTAGAGACGGGGTCTCAGCCTTCCGCTTCAGATTACTAGTATAAGCCACTGTGTCCAGCTGATTCTGGGTTTCTTGATCTCTGTATTGCAGCTACAGTGGTTTCAAACTCAATTCAAGGGGTGGTCTCAGAGGTTGTAGTGCCACTGGGAGTTAGTTCAGAATTCTGGAATTCCTTCCTGGATGTTCAGGTTAGAACCTACCATTCTGGCTTTTCCAAAAATTTCGAAAGTATCTAATTCTCTATTAAGTCTCTCTTTGGTGGGTCAGTGCAGTGGATCATGCCTGGAATCCCAGCATTTTGGGAGGCTGAGGTAGGAGGATCACTTGAGCCCAGAAGTTTGAGACCAGCCTGGGCAATATAGGAAGACCTCCCATTTCTACAAAAAATAAGTTTAAAAAATTAGCTGGGGCCAGGCATGGTGGCTCATGCCTGTAATCCCAGCACTTTGGGAGGCCCAGGTGGGCAGATTGCCAGGTCAAGAGATTGAGACCATCCTGGCCAACATGGTGAAACCCCGTCTCTACTAAAAATACAAAAATTAGCTGGGTATGGTGGCACCTGCCTGTAGTCCCAGCTACTCGGGAGGCCGAGGCAGGAGAATCATTTGAGCCCTGGAGGAGGAGGTTGCAGTGAGCCAAGATCGCGCCATTGTATTCCAGCCTGGTGACAGAGCGAGACTCTGTCTCAAAAAAAAAAAAAAAAAATTAGCTGGGTGTGGTGGTGTGTGCCTGTAGTCTCAGCTTCTTGGGAGGCTGAGGTGGGAGGATGGCTTGAGCCCAGGAGATTGAGGCTGCAGTGAGCTATGATTGTGCCACTGCACTCTAGCCTGTCTCAAAAAAAAAAAAAAAAAAACAAATTAGCTGGGTTTGGTGGTGTGTGCCTGTAGTCCCAGCTTCTTGGGAGGCTGAGGTGGGAGGATGGCTTGAGCGCAGGAGATTGAGGCTGCAGTGAGCTGTGATCATGCCACTGCACTCTAGCCTGTCTCAAAAAAAAAAAAATCTCTCTTTGGTTAAAAATGCCCAGATGGGCTTTCTACATTAAATCCTGACAGGCACAAGAATAAACTAAGCCATTTCTTTCTCCTGCACCCCCACTGCACAGCACCTAGCGTAGGTCTCCCTCTTCCTAAGAAAGCCGCATGTCCCATACCAGCTGACCCGGCACCATGGCTGGCCTCTGAGCTGCCCGAGCACATGCTGGACATTTGCCTCTTTGTGCATCGTTCATTTCCTGCCGTTGCCCTGCTCTGTCCTGTAAGCAGGAAGCTGACTCCTGCAAATTACATTTCCCTTGTCCACATGCACAGTGCCTTGTCCACTGGTTTCTTGTTGGGTTCAACCAATGCAAAGCACTGGTGAGAAACCGGAGGGTGAGAGACGGGGAAGGCCAGAGTATTTCCTGTCCTCTCTCTGCTTCCAGTGGCATCTATTTTGTGGAGCCAGCTTCTGCCAGGCAACACCTGCACCACGGCCTCCCAGCTCCCAGCCATTGGCCCCTCCACAGTTAAAGCTCTGCCCTGGCACCCCAGCTCCTGGAGTCATGTAAATACTATCTCCCTGCTCTGACTGTCTAGATCTATGGGTAGTAGCAGCTTCCTGAAATTGCTAATCTTCGAGTTGCCTCACCCTCCCCTGTTTTCGGCTTTTCCAACACTGTTGTAACTGGGTTCTCAAATGAAATCACCTCTCTAGTGAGCTACCTGGTGAGCTGGGTTTTCCTGACAGTGTGGTTCCTCCTATCTGCTACAAGTGGGGTTCGGGGCCTTGAGCCACGTCTTCCCTCCTTGTGGACACAGTCTGTCTCCCCTGCGGCCTCCCTGGCCATTTTGTCCTGGCCCAGCCTGAAGAAACATCTGGGCAAAATCCTTCGGGGTCCCTTTCCCCAGCTGAGGAGTGGGGGGGGCGCAGGGGAGGAGCCAGGGCGAACGGCAGCTTTCGCCAACACCTCACTCTTCTCTTCTCGACATGTTTACTCACAGGCTGTCTGGGAAGTGAGAATCCTCCCTAATGGATGTTTCACCCAATTAAATAATTAACTCCAAGTGTTGCTAAGCATCCTCGCCTCTCGCCTTCCAGTCCTGGAGGCGTCCTCATGCCAGGCCGCGGCTGCTGCTGAGACAAGGAGCCTAGCGGGAGGAGCCAGGAGTGGGGGACAGTGCCCCTGATGCTTCTGTACAGGATGAGGGAGATAAATGCACCTGAGAGGGAAGGTAAGGAGGGCTGTTCAGATAGGAGGCTGAGGGGAGGCTGAGACTCACAGGAAGTGGCATTAGAACCTTCTGGAGCCTTTCTATTGAATATTAAGTCCTTGAAGGTTTCCCTCTCCCCCAATTCTTCCCATACGCCACAGCAGGGTCCTTGTTCCTTCAAAGAAGGGGAAAGGAAGGGACACAGGCTTCTTCCTAATGGGTAGTCTTGCGTTATGAGGACTTACAGAGCTGAGCTGCTCTACTAACCAGACAGTCACATAAGGAACCCCGAGGGGAGAGGCTAAATACATTCATACTGTGGAATATCACTCAGCCGTTAAAAAGAACAAGATACATTTTCCTGTATAGATAGGAAAAGATCTGTAAGATACTATAAAGTGAAAAAATGCAGATACCAGTAAATGCAGTTTAATTTAAGTAAAAATAATGTGCACATGTATGCATATACTTGTCTACCTGTGGAAGGAGGACTGGAACTAGGGACACCAAACTATTCCAAGGGGTGACCTCTGTGCCTTAAAATGGAGTGGGGAAAAGGCTAGTGCTCTCATTTTATTCTCTGCACCCCTGAAATGCCTGATTCTTGCAAGAATGTGTTATTATATCACTGCTACAATTAAAACAGCAATAGAGGCCGGGCGTGGTGGCTCATTGCTTGTAATCCCAGCACTTTGGGAGGCCGAGGCAGGTGGATCACCTGAGGTCAAGAGTTCAAGACCAGCCTAGCCAACATGGTGAAACCCCGTCCCTACAAAAATACAAAAATTAGCCAGGCATGATGGCAGGTGCCTGTAATCCCAGCTACTTGGGAGGCTGAGGCAGAAGAATCACTTGAACCTGGGAGGCGGAGGTTGCAGTGAGCCGAGATCGTGCCATTGCACTCCAGCCTGGAGGACAGAGTGAGCCGCCGTCTCAAAACAAAAACAAACCAATACCATGAGGAATATGAAAGGAAAAAAAGAAACAACTATGCTCTTAAAAAATGGCACAGGGAAGCATGTGCGAGTTATAGGACAAAGTGAAGAAAATACATTCTTAACCCTAGGGATTTTAGATTCTTGAATCAATATTTTTCTATCATTTTGGCCTCAAATCACAGTAAGAAATAGCTTTTCATCAGATCCCAGTATACATATGTATACTTGTATTTATGTATTTGAAACAGACTTTCCAGTAAATAATGCTCGCATTTAGTATGCATCATGTACCCTGGTATTTTCTATTCTTTTCTAATTTTCCCTTTAAAAATACTGGTTGTGGCCAGGTGCAGTGGCTCATGCCTGTAATCCCAGCACTTGGGGAGGCAGAAGTGGGCGGATCACCTAAGGTCAGGAGTTTGAGACCAGCCTGGCCAACATGGTGAAACCACGTCTGTACTAAAAATACAAAACAAAATTAGCCAGGTGTGGTGGCAGATGCCCATAATCCCAGCTACTCAGGAGGCTGAGGCAGGAGAATCATGTGAACCCAGGATACAGAGGTTACAGTGAGCCGAGATCATGCCACCACTGCACTCCAGCCTTGGCCACAAGAGCAAGACTCCAACTCAAAAAATAAATAAATAAATACTGGTTGTGACTTTATTTTATTTTATTTTTTGAGGCAGGGTCTCACTCTGCCACCCAGGCTAGAGTGCACTGGTGCAATCTCAGCTCACTGCAACCTCCACTTCCCAGGTTCAAGTGATTCTCCCACCTCAGCCTCCCAAGTAGCTGGGGTTACAGGCATGTGCCACCACGCCCAACTAATTTTTGTATTTTTAGTAGAGATGGTGTTTCACCATGCTGGCCAGGCTGATCTCGAACTCCTGGCCTCAAGTGATCCGCCCACCTCGGCCTCCTAAAGTGCTAGGATTACAGGTTTGAGCCACCGCGCCCGGCCTAAAAATATTGGATTGTAACCTTCTACATAGAGTTCATGAGCATTAATGGGTTCCAGACAGCAGTTTGAAGAAACTGCCTCAACTGATGGGGCTCTGGGCCCTCTTGGGAAAGGTTTGACCACCAAGTTCTCAGGGACCCAGCGGGTCAGGAGGGGATCCTGTAAGTCTTTTCAGCAAGTCCCTGAAGGAATGGGGAGAGTGGTCCTTCAGGACATGACCACTGGGTGGCAGTGCTGGCTGCATTTCCCACCAATCCAGGCACCAGCCCAGAGGCTTTTTCTTTTAAACCACTTAGAAACCAGAATTGAACCATTGCCTACCTCCCACCCCCACCTCCACGGCGCTCCTGAACTGGAAAGCATTACAGATGGCTCCCAAATAGGAAAAAAAGAACCCAAAGAACTTTGGATGAGAGGCCCAGACCTCCTTCTCCACTAGTGTAGCCCAGTCAAGAATGGAAGCTAATCTTACCCAGGTCCAAAACCCAAGTCCTCACTACTGGCTGTGTGGCCTTGGGCAAGTTCCTTAACCTCTCTGTGTCTGTTTCCTCATCTGTAAAATGGACATAGATAATAATACCTCCTTCCCTCAAGGAGTTGTAAAGGCAAAGTGAGCCAGTACATGCAGAGCCCCACACTCAGAGCCTTAGAGCCAGTAGTAAGTAATAACAAACTGTCATTAGACTGCTTTCCCTTCTGATTCCACCCTCTGTGGAGGTGGCATGGCATTGGGAAGTGCTTTAGGGGTCAATTAACTGCAGAAATGAATGAAACACTGGAGAGCCCATTTCTACCCCCTCCCCTAGGAGAGCAGTAGGCTGGAGCCGATGGGGTGAGAGGTGGTGGGGGTGAGGGGAGGTGGGGTGTGGCGGGCTCCGATGGAGCTGATAAGCCACGTCTCCCAACTCCCACTCCCTGGTGACCGAGCCCTGAGCCCTGGGGCCTGTGGCCTGGCCGCTGCCCCCTGACTTATCCTCTCCACCCCACCCCCGACACCCCCCAAACCCTCCCACCCCTTGGGAGCCAGGCCTATCTCTGCCATCACTGGCCCGAAAGCCAGGCCTACCCTTCCCCTGACCCCGTGGGGCGGGGCAGGAGACAAACTGAGCCCTGTAGACCCAGGGACGGCTCATTCCACCCTCTCTGTGTCACCTTAACTTCCCCTTCCTTCCTCCACACCTCCTCTAGGTGCACGGCTCCTGCCCATGGCCAAGGCTGCCTCCTCCGCAGGGCTCTGGATCCCCGGGTCAGCCTCCTCTCCCCAGCAGCCTCCCATTTCCCTTCTTCCCTCTCTGGCCCCACTGAAAAGCATCCTTAACGCACCCCTTCCCAAAAGTCTTCCCCTAACTCGAGTCCCTTCTTCATGCACACCCAGAGCCAGACCTCTCTCCACCATCATTGACCCCAAGGCCAGCACCTTCAATTTCCTCATCTTCTGAATATTAGGGCATGATGCTATCTATTTAGAAACCTGTAAACAGCTTCCAGAATATTAAAAGTATACCTTGGAAAGGGCCACTTTTCTTCTTTTGAAATTGCCTAATTTGACATAAATAATGCAAGGGTGGGAAACAAAGAACCAGAGAAGTAACCGCAACGTTAACATTTAAACACAGTAACATTCACTCTTTCTGGTATACAGGGTTATGAGTTTAGACAAATGAGTAGAGCCCTGGGCCACTACCAAAATCAAGATATAAGACAGTTCCATCCTTCCCCCACATTTCCTTTACTGTCTCATTTCAGTCAACTGCTCTTCCACCCCTAAGCCCTGGCAACCACTCATCTGCTCTCCTTCCCTATAGTTTCACCTCTTTCAAAAATGTTATCTAAGTGGAATGCTACAGTATGAAGCCTTTTGAGTCTGCATTGATTCAGTGCATTTGCAAATCATTCATATTATTGCATTGATCAATAGTTTGTTCCTTTTTATTGCTGAGTAGCGTTCCATTGTCTGTATGTACTATGGTCGATTTACTCATTACCGGTTGACAAATATTGGGTAGTTTCCAGTTGGGGGCTGTTATAAATAAAGCTGCTATATGTACATTGGTGTACAGGTTTTTGTAAAAATATACATGTTTGGACAAGCATGGTGGCTCATGCCTGTAATCCTAGCACTTTAAAATCCCGGTTATTTATTTTATTGTATTTATTTTTGAGACAGAGTCTTGCTCTGTCGCCCAGGCTGGAGTGCAGTGGCGCGATCTCGCCTCACTGCAATCTCTACCTCCTGGGTTCAAGAGATTTGCCTGCCTCAGCCTCCCGAGTAGCTGAGATTACAGGTGTGCACCACCATGCCCGACTAATTTTTTTGTATTTTCAGTAGAGACGGGGTTTCACCATGTTGGCCAGGTTGCTTGAACTCCTGACCTCAGGTAATCCCCCTGCCTTGGCCTCCACAAGTGCTAGGATTACAGGCATGAGCCACAGCACCCAGCCCCAGTTATTTTAAAATAAAGAGCAAGTCCATTTCCCAGTCTTCTAGCTCTCCATTATTTTTTTCTTTGCATTTTTCTAAAGATATTTTATGTGTGCCTGTGTATGTGTCTGAATGTGTATGTGTGAGAGAGAGTAAGAAAGAATGTCGTCTTTTTGGAGCTCTGATCAACTTCCTGCCCATGCTGTGAGACCAACATCCCAAAGCTGACTTAGCATCTTGTTACCCCCAAGAGCTGTTCCTCACCTGCCTGCCCCAGCTTTGTTTTTGGAGCTGCCATGCTGCTAGGAACCTGAAAGACTTTGTGTCCCTCATCCCATATTCATAAATGTACTGTTGTCCCTCTCTTCTACCACTAATTTGTCATCAAAAGTTCTCCTTCCCAAAATTTTTCCAATAATCAACCACCCTAGGGTTGGGCTGCTCTTAACAATACAGGATAACTTTTACTGACCATTTACTGTGTGCCAGGCACTGTTAAGAATTGCCAACCAGTTGTAAATTTCACACAAACTTACAAGAAATGTACTATTAGCACTTTATAGTGAAGATTTGGTAACACAGCTAAGGATGGACTCAGGATTTGGTCCCAAGCAGACTACAGCCTGTGTATGTGGCAATGCCCTTGCACCCTCTTACTCATTGAGATTGTCTTATAACAGGTTGTCTGGCCTTTAGACTTTACCAAATCTAACCTTCACTCCGCTCACAGATTGATCTTCCTAGAGCAGGGGTCTTCACCCCCAGGCCACTGACTGGTATGGGTCTGGTGGCCTGTTTGGAACCAGGCCACACAGCAGGAGGTGAGTGGTTGGCCAGTGAGCATCACCACCTAAGCTCTGCCTCCTGTCAGATAAGAGGCCTTGGATTCTCATAGGAGCGCGAGCCCTATTGTGAAGTGTGCATGCGAGGGATCTAGGTTGCTTGTTCCTTATGAGAATCTAATGCATGATGATCTGTCACTGTCTCCCATCACCTCCAGATGGAACCTTTTAGTTGCAGGAAAACAAGCTCAGGGCTCCCACTGATTCTACATTATGGTGAGTTGTATAATTATTTCATTATATATTGCAATGTAATAATAATAGAAATAAAATGCATAATAAATGTAACATGCTGGAATCATCCTGAAACCATCCCCCCTACCCTTCCATCCATGGAAAAATTGTCTTCCACGAAACTGGTCCCTGGTGCCAAAAGTTTGGGGACTGCTGGACTAGAGCACTGCTCTAATTACACAACTCTGATCAAAAGCCTTCACTGCTTCCAAGGAAAGCCCCGATGCCAGACTTGCCATTCAAGGCCCTCCATGCATGGGGCCCAACCTGCCCATCCTACCTCCCATGGGCACCCCACCCTCCAGCTGTCCTTGGTGTGACCCTCTCATTCTCGCATCTTCATCTCAGCTCATGCTGAGGAGTGCCATCACCCCTTGGCACCCCTCATCTTGGCGAGGCCAAATCCAATCCAGGCTTTGTGGTTCAGATGAATGCCGCTTCCTCCAGAAAGCCTCCACTTCACAAATAGTTGGCATAAAAAAGAAATACTGTCAATTTGTACCCCAAAACTTCTTTCCTCTCTCTTAACATGAATCCCATCCTCTGTGCTCCCACCCCAGCCATTCTTACCTTCTCAGAGGTCTCATTTTAGCAACTACGCTGGACTGAAACCAGTTTGGCCAAAATCAAGCTGAATAGCATAACAATTTTATTGATTTATTTATTTAGAGACGGAGTCTCATTCTGTCCCAGGCTGGAGTGCAGTGGTACGATCTCCATCACTGCAAACTCCGCCTCCTGAGTTCAAGCGATTCTCCTGCCTCAGCCTCCTGAGTAGCTGGGGTTACAGGTGCCCACCATCAAGCCCAGCTAGTTTTTGTATTTTTAGTAGAGATGGGGTTTCACCGTGTTGGCCAGGCTGGTCTCAAACTCCTGACCTCAGATGATCCACCCACCTCGGCCTCCCAAAGTGCTGGGATTACAGGCATGAGTGAGCCACTGCACCTGGCCAATTTTATTTTTTAAAAAGAAAATATTCCACAGTCATTTAAAATTTATTTACTTATTTCTGGATAGTTAATAGATTTACACTGTTAAAAATTCACTTTTTAAAAATTTTTTTGAGACAAGGTCTGGCTCTATTGCCCAGACTGGAGTGCAGTGGCACGATCTCAGCTCACTGCAACCTCTGCCTCCTAGGCTCAAGCCATCCTCCCACCTCAGCCTCCCGAGTAACTGGGACTTCAGGCATGCACCACCATGCCTGGCTAATTTCTGTATTTTTTGTAGAGATGGAGTTTTGCCATGCTGCCCAGGCTGGTCTTGAACTTATGAGCTCAAGCTATCTGCCCGCATCAGCCTCCCAAAAGAGCCACCTGCCCAGCCTCAGAAATCCTTAAGATAAAGTGAGTACAAAGTAAAATCCTCCCTTCTTCCCGTCTCCCAGCCACACAGTTCTTTTCCTCACAGGAACCAAATTTTATTAGTATCTTATGTATTTTCTCAGAGATCTTTTGTTGTGGTAGTTTTATTTTGTTTTGGTTTGGTTTGGTTTGGTTTGGTTTGGTTTGGTTTGGTTTTTGAGATGGAGTCTCTTGTCGTCCAGGCTGGAGTGCAGTGGCATGATCTCGGCTCACTGCAACCTCCGCCTCCCAGGTTCAAGCAATTCTCCTGCCTCATGTTGTGGTAGTTTTTAAATATCTCACATTTATTTGATACTCCTCCCTTCAGGAGATGGCACTTACTTCCACTCCCCTTGAGTTTGGGTTGGACTTAGTGACTTGCTAATAGAATAATCACACATAAACATTCTATTCTAGAATCTTCTAGAATAGAATATTCTATATTAGCAAATAGAATATAGTGGATGTGGTGGTGATACAGGCGTGAGCCACTGCCTCCGGCCTGGAATTCTGGTTGTTCTTTATGTAAGGTATTTTCTGACTTTTGCTGAAATGAGTATGTATTACTTCGTGATAGAAAAAAATGATAAAACATAAAAAAGAAAATATTTAAGATTATATCATTAGATATGTTTGTTCCAGTTAGTTACTTACTGTTAGAACATCATTTTGTAATAAATCTCATCTTGTTAGGCATTTATTTAGCCTAACCAATCCCTTATTGGACATGTAAGTAATTCCATCTTATCTTAAACCACATGACTTTTGCCCACATGTTAGACTAGCTATTCAATCACCCTTCTTTTGTCCTTCTTCTGCAACCTCCCTTCACAGGTTTTGGTTCCTTCCCATCTGCAATTAAACCCCCTCGGGTCTCTCCCATTAAAACAAACCACACCCCTCTTTGCCCCTTTCTCACTCCTAAACTCTGGTTCCACCTTTCTTGAACACTGGTCAACCTTTTGCCTTCCTCCATTGAGCAGAAGTGTTCTCCTGATCTCCTTGTGGCTAAGGTAACAGACACTTCTCAGGTCCCTTATTACTCAAGGACGCCATGCCATTGCTCCTTCCTGAAGCACTGTCTCTGGGTTTCCAGGTCACACACTCTCTCCCTACCTGTCTAACTGCTCCTCTGTGGGCTCCTGTGCTTCAGAGCCAGTGACCTTCAGGTTTGGCTCTGTTGTCCTCTCCTCACTCTACACTCCCTCTCTGGGGGCTGGCTCACCCCCATGGCTTCAGTGACCTCTGTCTGTCGAGGGCTCCCAACAGATCCCATCAGCTCCCTGCTGTCCCCCCTAGTGCTAACCTGAATAGCAGCCACCTAATGAGCCCCTCGCTGGGAAACACCCCACACACTCAGCTTGTCCCACGCAGGACCCATCATCGCACACCCCTAGCCTCACTCAATCTGTTCTTCCCTGTTCCCATCAGTTTCTCAGGCTAGAAGCTTGGGGGAGACTCCCCCCTCTTCCTCAGACTCCACACAGAGCCTGGCACTCAGGAGCAGTCAATAAATATTAACATTTATTTAGTGACTTTAATCAACCACCACATCCAGATGACTTTATCTTCTAAAAGGAGTCTGTTGGCCTCCTTCCACCATCTTCGCGTTTGTTACTTGTTTATCTCTCCATGAGGCTATGGGATCCATTTTAGAAGCGGCAGAGGTGTGAACCCAGGACACCTTAATGAGATGCTACGGGAGGCCGGGCGCGGTGGCTCTCGCCTGTAATCCCAGCACTTTGGGAGGCCGAGGTAGGTGGATCCCGAGGTCAGGAGATCGAGACCATCCTGGCTAACACGGTGAAACCCCGTCTCTACTAAAGCTACAAAAAAATTAGCCGGGCGCGGTGGCCGGCGCCTGTAGTCCCAGCTACTCGGGAGGCTGAGGCAGGAGAATGGTGTGAACCCGGGAGGTGGAGGTTGCAGTGAGCCCAGATTGCGCAACTGCACTCCAGCCTGGGCGATAGAGCAAGACTCCGTCAAAAAATAAAATAAAATAAAATAAGATGCTACGGGAGAATGAAATCCAGGCTGCTTTCAGGGCGTCGCGCTGCGGGACTTCACGCTGTCCCCCAGGCGTTCCCCCTTCCATCCAGGAGGAAGAGCGCCTTTTGAGTTGCACGTCCTCAGGGCTGCATCCGAAGGAGCAACTCTTTCTAAGCACCCGAAGGACAGGTGACAGCTGTCCACTCCCAGAGTCCAGGTCCGGCAGGCTGCACCCCCCTCACACTGGCTCAGTCTGACTGAGCCCAGGGGCGTGGGGGTCTTCTGCTTTCGGGAGGTACCCCTCAGGCTGTGAGCTAGGGGAGGGAGGGCCGTGCGTCTTGTGGATCAGTGGGGGCAGTGAGGTTGACCTGGGTCTGGGAAAGGAATGATGACCGACTTTCTCACTGCTCGCAGCCCGCAATGGGGGCGGCCTTCCTGGCTGGAGCCAAGCGACCTGATTTCTTGGAGAGAAGGAAGTCAGAACCCTGATCTGGCAGCGCCTCCGGGAGCCGAGCTGCTCACTGGAGTGGGAGTTCTGGGACAGCAGCAGAGGGCGCCCTCGGTTCATCACTGCGCCCTGCGGAAGTTGCCTGGTGGGGACTTGGGGGCGCACGTTCCAGTGGCAGCGGAACAGAGGGGTAGCGCCAGAAGACTGCAAGCCCCAGTCAGGAGACCAGGCAGGAGGCTGGAGCATGAGACCTGGTAGGAGGCAATCAGTGTTGTACAAAGACCGTGACAGCGGGGATGGAGCCGGGATAGGAGTTTGGATGTGATGGGAAAGTTCTGATAAGCCATTGCATGTGGGGAGCAACTGTGAGGGCCTGGGGAGCTGACTTCCACCTTTGTCTCCTGGATGACATCCAGAACTCGGATAGGAATACAGAAGAGGGGCCGTGTGGTGGCGGTCAGGGAAAGTGAGTAGGGTTTTGTGGAACGTGAGGTCCTGAGGACATCCTGTAGGAGATGTGTACTGGCAATTGATAAATAATTCTGGAGCTCTGGGGAAAGGTTGGGGTTAAATATGCAGATTTGGGATAATCATTTTGTGTGCAACCATGCAAGCTATGAAGTGGCTGAGAGTTCCCAGGTTTCGGGATAAAGGCAGGTCCAAGGCAGAAGCACTGGGGAGCATCAGCATGGGAGGGACTGGGGGTGTATATACCAGAGAGGTGGGAGAGAACCCAAGGGAGCGTGTGGTGAATGCAAGGGGCAGGAGAGTCTAAAAGTGGATGAAGCCGGGCGTGATGGCTCACGCCTGTAATCCCAGCACTTTGGGAGGCCAAGGTGGGTGGATCACTTGAGGTCAGGAATTAGAGACCAGCCTGGCAAACATGGCAAAACCCCGTATCTACTAAAAATACAAAAATTAGCTGGGTGTGGTGGCGGACACCTGTAGTCCCAGCTACTCAGGAGGCTGAGGCAGGAGTATCACTTGAACCTGGGAGGCAGAGGTTGCAGTGAGCCGAGATGGCACCACTGCACTCCAGCCTGGGTGACATAGCAAGACACCGTCTTAAAAAAAAAAAAAAAAAAAAAAATGTGTCCACTTGCCCGCCCTCTAAAGAAACTTTGCCAATCTGGTCCCAGGATCTTTTATCATGTATGGTCCAGAGTGGGAAAACAGACAAAATTAAGAGGCTGGAGGGAAGGTGGGGCCTTCAGCCAGAAAAACGAAGTTTATCTATACAATATAAACAGGTGTGTTGACGGGGTAGTTAGAGAAAGGAAGTCCATGTGGGGTGGGGCGGGGTCCCTGCATTGGGGCTTAAGTATGAGGGTTTCCAGAAGAGCTCTAGGGTAAAAGAGAACTGGGAGAGGGAAATCAAATGGGTCTTGAAAAGTGTGTTCTAGTGGAGTATAAGTTGAATTTCTTTTTGATTTCTGTTTGGAAGCCAAATAACACATATTTGAATAGGACTCTGTATCTATGTTGAACCACATAGGACCTCAGCTTTCAGTAGAATTCATTAAACTTTAGCAAGCTAGGATTAGAAAAAAACCTTAACATGACAAAGGGAAACAATCAGAAATCAATTGCATACTTAATGGTGAAATAGTGAAAGCATTCTCACAAAATCTAAGACCGACACATAAATGTCCACTGTCATTGCTATTATTCAACATTATACTGAAGGGTCTACTAAGACAACAAGACAAAAGAAAGTATACCTTCTGGGCCAGGCGCGGTGGCTCATGCCTGTAATCCCCCAGCACTTTGGGAGGCCAAAGCAGGGGATCACCTGAGGTCAGGAGTTCAAAACCAGCCTGGGTAACATGGCGAAAACCCATCTCTACTAAAAATACAAAAAATAGCTGGGCATGGTGGTGGGCACCTGTAATCCCAGCTACTTGGGAGGCTGAGTCAGGAGAATTGCTTGAACCCAGGAGGCAGAGGTTGCAGTGAGCCGAGATCGCACCACTGCACTCCAGTCTGGATGACAGAGCGAGACTCCATCTCAAAAAAAAAAAAAAAAAAAGTATACATTTGGAATTATTAACTGGAATTCACCCACTGGAAACTTTCCTTTATTAACTACTTGACCAAAACACAACTAAAAATATCATTATTTGCAGATGCTGTTACTGTACTATGTACCTAGAAAAGAGAGTTAACAGAAAAACTATTATAACTAACAAGATAATTAAGTGACCACATACAAGATTAACATATAAAAATCAACAGTTCTCCTACTTACCAGTAACAAGTGATTAAAAAACATCAAAAGTTCAAAAGATCAAAAATACCATAATTACTCAATACAGGCAACATTTGTTTACCTACATGTTACCAGTTGATTTGCTCACCATTCCTTCTTGAATCTCTGACATTCCTTCATTTTCCTTCTTCCTGAAGGAAGATCATTTTCCTTCTTCCTGAAGAATATTCCTTGGCAGTTCTTTAGGACAGGTTTATTGGTGCTAAATCAGTTTCTGTTTATCTGGATATGTCCTTAATTCACCTTATTCTTCAAAGTTGGTTTTGCTGAATATATGATTCTAGTGTGACAGTTATTTTCTCTTAGTCCTTTGACTTAGCCCTTTCTCTTAGTCCTGTATTATTCTGTTGTGTTCTGTTTTTGTTTTTTGTTTTGTTTTTGTTTTGCTCCTGAGACAGAGTCTCACTCTCTTGCCCAGGCTGGAGTACAATGGTGGGATCTTGGCTGGGATTACAGGTATGCACCACCACACTGGGTTAATTTTTGTATTTTTAGTAGAGACAGTGTTTCACCATGTTGGCCAGGTTAGTCTCAAGCTCCCAACCTCAGGTGATTTGCCTGCCTCAGCCTCCCAAAGTTCTGGGATTACAGACGTGAGCCACCATGCCTGGCCTATTCTATTATCTTCTGTTTTCTGCGCTTGCTGTTGAGAAAGTCAGTTCAATAGTTGTATCTTTATAGACGATACAACTTTTCTTTTTTTTTTTTTTTTTTTGAGATGGAGTCTTGCTCTATCGCCCAGGCTGGAGTGCAGTGGCGCGATCTCAGCTCACTGCAAGCTCCACCTCCCGGGTTCATGCCATTCTCCTGCCTCAACCTCCCAAGTAGCTGTGACTACAGGCGCCTGCCACCACGCCTGGCTAATTTTTTGTATTTTTAGTAGAGACGGGGTTTCACCATGTTAGCCGGGATGGTCTTATCTCCTGACCTCATGATCCACCCACCTCAGCCTCCCAAAGTGCTGGGATTGCAGGAGTGAGCCACCACGCCTGGCCAGGTGATATAATTTTTCTTCCTGATTACCTTTTTTTAAAAAAAAATCTTATGGAAAATTTTATAAATTTACCTCAAAGTAGACAGAACAGCATAATGAACTTCTACATTCCCAACATCCAACTTCAACAGTTTAACAACATTTTGCCAATAGTGTTTCTACATTCTGCCTCCCCTCCTCACAGGCATTCTTTGTTTTACTGGAGCATTTAAAGCGAATTTCAGATATATTCATGGATCAAGTTGTATTTCTTAGAGATAAGGACCTTTCGCCTTATTTTTCTGTTAATTTCTTAATATTATCTAATTCCTTATGCATGTTTAAAAGTGGATGAGTATCCCCATTGCCAGCCTGATTGTTCCAAAAAGCCCTTTTTACAGTTGGTTTGTTTGACTCAGCATCCAAAGTCTACACTGTGCATTTTGTCTTTTAAGTCTCCTTTCATCTATAACAGTCCCACTCCAGCCCTTTTTAAAGCTATTTATTTGTTGATTTAAAACAGGCCATTTGTCCTGCAGAATTTCCCGTAATCAGAATTTAGCTGATTGCTTCCTCATGGTGTCATCTCACTTGTTCCTCCAGCCCCTGTATTTCCCATAAATATCTATATCTAGAGCCTTAATGTAGTTTTTTGGGTTTTGTTTTGTTTTTTTTTTTTGGCAAAAACATGTCATAGGTGTCACTGTGTGCTTTCTATTATGTCAGTCTAGGAGGTACATTTTGCGTGGTTGTTGTGCTTTGATGTTAAATTCATCTGTTACTTGATTAGGGGTTTCTAAACGGTGGTTTCCCTCGAATTCTATCATTTCTTCTCTAATTATTAACTGGAATTCACCCATTGGAAACTTCCCTTTATTAACAACTTGACCAAGACGTAACTAACATCCCTTGATTGATGAGGTGTGGCAGCGTGTATGTATGTGTAATTATGAAAATTTTCTGTAAAATGCAGTTATTATTTATTATAATGATGCTATTATTATCTTGTCTTTAGCAAATGTCCCTTCAAGTTGGTTCCTGTGTCCTTTTATTTAATTAATTAATTAATTACTTTGAGATGGAGTCTCACTCTGTTGCCCAGGCTGGAGTGCAGTGGCGCGATGTCAACTCACTACAATCTCTGCCTCCCAGGTTCAAGTGATTCCCCTGCCTCAGCCTCTCGAGTGGCTGGGACTGCAGTTGTGTGCCACCACGCCTGGCTAATTTTTTTTGTGTGTGTATTTTTAGTAGAGATGGGGTTTTGCCATGTTGGCCAGGCTGGTCTCAAACTCCTGACCTCAAGTGATCCACCCACCTCGGTCTCCCAAAGTGCTTGGATTACATATGTGAGCCACTGCGCCCCACCTCCTGTGTCCTCAACCTTAGTCATTGCTGACAACTTCCTTCCTTTATGGCTCAATGAGATCTCCCAGGTTTCTCTTGTCCATTTCTTGCCCTAGAACTGGCACCAGCCATTTCTCCAGGGAGCACTTGTTCCTTTTAGTGAGCAAAATTGGCCACTAAGTGTGCTTATTGCTACTGGGTTGTCATTTCTTCAGAGGACAGAGCTGGAAAATACATATTAAAAGTAAGGCATGGGTCCATATTGATATTTGTAATTCAGTTGTAAGATGATAAGATTTTCTTTTCTTTTTTTTTTTGAGAGAGAGTCTCACTCTGTCACTCAAGCTGGAGGGCAATGATGCAATCTTGGCTCACTGCGACCCCCATCTCCTGGGTTCAAGCAATTCTCCTGCCTCAGCCTCCCGAGTAGCTAGGATTACAGGTGTCTGCCACCACGCCTAGCTAATTTTTGTATTTTTAGTAGAGACAGAGTTTCTCCATGTTGGCCAGGCTGGTCTCAAACTACTGACCTCAGCTGATCTGCCCGCCTCGGCCTCCCAAAGTGCTGGAATTACAGGCGTGAGCCACTGTGCCCAGCCAGATGATAAGATCTTTAACTGAACTTTTTTTTTTTTTTTTTGAGACGGAGTCTCGCTCTGTCCCCTAGGCTGGAGTGCAGTGGCGCGATCTCGGCTCACTGCAAGCTCCGCCTCCCGGGTTCACCCCATTCTCCTGCCTCAGCCTCCTGAGTAGCTGGGACTACAGGTGCCCACCACCACGCCCAGCTAATTTTTGTATTTTTAGTAGAGACAGGGTTTCACAATGTTGGCCAGGATGGTCTCGATCTCTTGACTTCGTGATCCGCCCACCTCGGCCTCCCAAAGTGCTGGGATTACAGGCTTGAGCCACTGCGCCCGGCCTTGAACTTCTTTTATTTTCAATCTCTGGCTGCTTTTACAACTTTGTCTTTAGTATTCTTCAATATCCTTACAAGAATCCCATGAGTGGAATTCTTTTTATTTATCCTTTTTGATATTATATTGTGCATCCTGTATGTCTGGATTCATATATTTTATCAATTCTGGAATACTCTTCCTTAATCTCTCTATATATTATTGATTTTCTGACATTCTTTCCATAATGTCTTTCTAGTATTTCAGTTAGACAAATGACAGGCCGTTTCATTCTATACCCCATAGCTATTACATCTTCTTTCACATTTTCCATCTCCCTGTCTGTCTTTGCTGCATTTTAAGTAATTTCTTCACTATTTCTCTTTTTAGCTGTGTCTAATCTGTGGTCCAATGTACAAAATAAAATGCTTTTGCATTATGGTATTGTTTGTTGATATAAAACTAGAGGAAAATTAAATTCTATCATGAGGTGAATGCTTAAACAATTATTATATGTCCATAGATGAATAATATGAAGTCATTTTCATGGTGTTTCACAAAGTTTTAAAAATGTACAAAATTGGCTGGGTGTGGGGTGGCTCATGTAATCCCAGCACTTTAGGAGGCCAAGGCAGGAGGATCACTTGAGCCCAGGAATTCAAGACCAGCCTGGGCAAAAATTTAAAAAATTACCCAGGCGTCGTGGCATGTGTCTGTGGTTCAAGCTACTTGGGAGGCTAAGTGGAAGGATTGCTTGAGCCAGGGAGGTCGAGGGTGCAGTGAGCTGTGATTGTGCCATTGCACTCCAGCCTGGGCAACAGAGTGAGACCCTGTGTTAAAAAATAAATAAGTAAATAAAATGTACAAATCACCTAAAATAATTTTAGGTGGAAAAAATTAAGATATCAATTATATATACTTTTATCTCAATTATATATAAATTATACACAAAAATAAAAGTGTGATACATTGAAAGTGAATAGATAAAAAAAAAATAGATAAGACCGTGGTCCACATGACACAATGGAGCAGTGAAAAATAAATGCCATATGGCTGCACAAATCAAAGTGAATGACTCTCATGACTATGAAAAAGCAAACTGCAGAAAAATACAGTATGCAGTAGGATTTAAAGAAAAGTCAAGACTAAACAAAATATGCTGAGAAGACTCTGGTAGAATAATTTTTTTAAAAAAATTAAAGGCTGGATGTGGTAGCTCAAACCTGTAATCTCAGCACTTTGGGAGGCCAGACAGGAGGATCACTTGAGTCCAGGATTTGAGACCAGCCTGGGCAACATAGCGAGACCCCATCTCTACAGACCCCATCTGTTTTTTTTTGTTTGTTTGTTTGTTTTGAGACATTGTCTCTCGCTCTGTCGCCCAGGTTGGAGTGCAGTGGCACAATCTTGGCTCACTGCAAGCTCCGCCTCCCACATTCACGCCATTCTCCTGCCTCAGCCTCCCGAGTAGCTAGGACTACAGGCACCGCCACCACGCCCGGCTAATTTTTTGTGTACTTTCAGTAGAGTCGGGGTTTCACCGTGTTAGCCAAGATGGTCTACAGACCCCATCTCTACAAACGATACAAAAATTCTCTGGGCGTAGTGGTGTGTGCCTGTGGTTCCAGCTACTCAGGAGGCTGAGGTGGGAGGATTGTTTGAATCCTGGGAGGTCGAGGCTGCAGTGAGCCATGATTGCACCACTGCACTCCAGCCGGAGCGATAGAGTAATACTCTCTCGAAAAAAAGATCTGAAAAAAACTGGGCCTGGTGCGATGGCTCACACCTGTAATCCCAGCACTTTGGAAGGCCCAGGCAGGCGTGGGAGGCCTAGGCGGGCGGATCACCTGAGGTCAGGAGTTCAAGACCAGCCTGGCCAACATAGTGAAACCTCGTCTCTACAAAAATACAAGAAAAAAAAAAAAATTAGCCAGGCATGATGGCGGGTGCCCATAATGCCAGCTACTCGGGAGGCTGAGGTGGAAGAATCGCTTGAACCCGGGAGGCGGAGCTTGCAGTGAGCCGAGATCGCTCCACTGCACTCCAGCCTGGGCGACAGAGGGAGACTCCGTCTCAAAAAAAAAAAAAAAAAAAAAAAAGACTGAACAAAACAATGTATTGTTTAGGAATGAGTACCAACTTGAATCATATGAAACTGCCTATTACATATGTGGTAAAACTATAAAGAAAAGTAAAGAAGTGAAAAGACAAAATTCAAAACACTTTAGGCCAGGCGCGGTGGCTCACGCCTGTAATCCCAGCACTTCGGAAGGCTGAGGTAGGGGGATCACTTGAGGCCAGGAGTTTGAGAAGAGCCTGGCCAACATGGTGAAACCCCGTCTCTACTAAAAATACAAAAATTAGCTGAGTGTAGTGGCGCACACATGTAGTCCCAGCTACTCGGGAGTCTGAGGCAGGAGAATTTCTTGAACTCGGGAGGTGGAGGTTGCAGTGAGTGGAGATCGCGCCACTGCACTGCAACCCGGGTGACAGAGCAAGACTCTGTCTCAAACAAAAAAACACTTTAATGTCATTGGGATGAAGGGGGCTGAGATCTGGGCAGGATGGCAGGGATTTCAAAAGTTCTGGTTTACTGAATGGTGGATCCACTGATGTTTGCTTTATTTTTGTTCCTTATATTTTACACATATGTAATGAATATTCTTTTGTATTTATTCAGTATTTCATAAGATCCTATGTTTAAAAGGGTAGAAGGAAATATATTACATATCTATATGTAATATGTGATGTGATACACATATGTGATACATATTCATATGTAATATGTATATGTGACATTTGTTGTTACGTCTGGACATGTTGATTCAGTGTAATTTTTTTCCTCTTCCATAGTTTTATGTCATAAAGAATTTTGTACAGTGAGCATGTATTATTTTTATAGTCAGGAAAAAATCTAGCTAGGTTGGAAAGTTGACAGCAAAAAGATTGAGCATTGTATTGGAATGTTAAAACAACAAAAAAATTAGGTGAAATGTTTCCCTAGTCTTAATGTATAAGAAGGCAACAATATGCATTTTTTGCAAGATGGTAGTAATATCTACTTCACAAGGCTATTGCAAGGATCTCAAAGTAATCACACTAAGAATCTTAATATTCTACAAGTATTAATTATGACTATGAGAAATGAATAGGAAAAACTACATATAAAATTGTTCAGTCCAAATTTATATAGCATTCTCTAAGGGTAAGGCTTGGGAGATTTTGTAAATGTTAACAAGATAGAGTATAATATCCTTCTCTAGAGATTTAAAAATAATTTATTATAGAAGACATCAAGCATGCTCTAAACGTGGGAAGAACAGTTGAATGAATTCCCATATACCTATTGCCGAGACTCAACAATCACCAAAATGTTGTCAAACTTGCTTCGTCTTTTCCTCTTATATGTGTGTGTTGTATTTGCTGTTGTCGGATTAACAATGAACAATTCTGTTAAATTGTTTGGTATTCTTACAATATCAAATGATTGGAATTCCTTGGTGCTCTTTATAGTATAATGCTAGGCCATATTCAAATTTCCTAAACTATCTCAAAGATGTCTTTTTATAGTTGGTCTGCATTAGGGGCCCATATTGCATTTAGTAATTATGTCTCTTAAATTTCTCTTAATCTAGAGCGATCCCTACCTTTTTTTTTTTTCTTTGTGGCAGTGACTTGTTGAAGAAACTGGATCAGTTGTTCTGTGGAATGTCCCAATTTCTGGTTTTGTCTCTCACCTTCTTCATGGTGTCTTTAACCCATTTTTCTCTCTCCTGTGTTGCTGTAAACCAGAACTCAGCTGTGAAGGCTCATTTAGATGTGGGTTCTTATTGGGCAACCCCACTTTATACACTGGGCTGTGTAGTTTATACTGCATCACATCAAGACACACATGGTGTCCACTTTTTCCATGTCCACTAAGTTGTTTTGTTTGTTTGTTTGTTTTTTGAGACAGGATCTTGCTCTGTCACCCAGGCTTGAGTGCAGTAGCACAATCATGGCTCACTGCAGCCTCGACCTCCTGGGTTCAAGCAATCCTCCCACCTCAACCTCCCCAGTAGCTGGGACTACAGGTACATGCCATCATACCTACCTAATATTCAGTCCACTAAGTTTACTTACTTTAGGAATTCTATTTTTTCTTTGCTAGACATTCTAATCTTCTGTAATTCTATTTTGTCCTTTCAGATAGGCTCTTCTTTGTTGCTTACTTCTGTGATTCCATGTTGTATTTCTGTAGACATTTCAGATGTAAGAGTGCTTATTATGTAGCTGATGATTCCCCTCTCAGGAATCTACATCTGTTGTGTAGGGTTTCTGCTGGCGCTCACCTGATGGAGTTTGTTTGGTTCTCTTTGAGAGCATGAGTTTAGGTGAATAGGGACACTCTCCAGAGAGGGCCAGCTTTTGTTTCCAGGGAAAACTGTGGGACTAAGGACTTGGAACCACTTTTGTTCCCTTCTAGAGTCCCCACCTTGCTGCAAGAGTCTTAGGTTCAGGTCCCCACCTGGGCTGGGTCTCACATATTGATTGAAGGGCTCTTGGCATTTGCTTCAGGGCAGCCTTGACTAGTAAGTTTCCATCATATACTGTTCTGGTTTCAGCTCAAGGTTTTTGCTTGTTTGCATTTTTTTTCTTTTCTCTTTTAGTATTTTTCTTGTTTCCAGTAAGTCCAGTAAAAATGTTATGCTTAACACATAATGTCTAGGCTGGTCTCGAACTCTTGGGCTCAGGTGATCCTCCTGCCTTGGCCTCCCAAAGTGCTGGGATGAGTACCTAATAGGCCATACTTCTGGGAATGGGAGCCTACAGCAAAATTTACAGAATTAAAATATGGAAACAACTTAAAGGTCAATCAGTAGGGCTAGAGTTTCATGAATTATAGAGCATCAGTACAATGGAACACTCTGGAATAATTCAAATCAAGAAGAGATGGATATATGTGTATGACATGGAAAATCTCTAATACATTGGGTTAGGCCATTCTTGCATTGCTATAGATCCCTGAGGCTGGATAATTTGTAAAGAAAAGGGGCTTAATTGGCTCACAGTTCTGCAAGCTGTACAAGCATGACAGCAGCATCTGTTTGGCCTCCAGGGAGGATTCAGGGAGCTTTTACTCATGGTGGAAGGTGAAGCGGGAGCAGGCACATCACATGGCGAGAGCAGGAGCAAGAGAGAGAGAGTGAGGGGAGGCGCCACACACTTTAACCAATCAGATCTCATGAGAACTGACTCACTATTTAGAGAACAGCACCAAGCCATGAGGGATCTAGCCCTGTTACTCAAACATCTCCCACCAGGCCCCACCTTCAACACTGGGGATGACATCTCAACATGAGATTTGGAGAGGACAGACATCCAAACTATATCATACATGTTGTCAAGTGAAAAAGCAAGCTAGGACTCTATGTGGCATGACCCAACTTATTATTGGCAAAACCAAGTCAATATATATGGAGGTAAATAAACAGAAAAAGGCTTTGAAGAGTCCACAGCAATCTGTTAATAATAGTTCTCTCTGGGGCAGGAGGATGTGGAAGTAGGGGGTGGTGGCTTCCTTCTAGCCACTCAGCTAAGGCTGAGTTTTACTCTTTATATATATTGGTATGGTTTGATTTCTTTTTTCTTTTGGTATCACCAGAATGTACTTACATATTAATTTTGTAAATCCTTTTAAAAAGGAGGTTGTTTACAATGTCACTTGCCTCAGTGAGGCCAAGAAAGGACTGCAAGAGTCCACTGACTTTGGCAACTTGGAGGATATTGGTGACTTCAGGAAGAGCTGCCACTGGGGTGGACACCAGACTGTAGGGGTGAGGAGAGAGCCAGAGGGGCATGGAAGTGGGAAGGTAGCCTGTGAAAGGAGGGAGAAGGGTGGAAGACACTAGATAGGAGTATAAAGCAGGGTAAGTAGAAGTTTCAATTGGATGGCGTTTGAGAACACAGGGAGCAGCCTGAGCCGTGTTTGAGGGGCAAGATATGGTTCTAAACAGAGGAACAAGAAACCAGAAGTTGGAAGTCTAAGGATCAGGAACAGGTTGGGAAGCACAGATGGGTCAGGATGATTTGTTCAGGAAAAAGGCTGTGAACATTATTCAAGGACATTAGTGGCTCATTTTTCTGAGTGTGTGTGCTTGTGTGTGATGTCTGGTGTGGGGCCTAGGGGTGTTGGTGCCAGATTAAAGGAGACCTGCAGAGCAGGATTGTTGAAGTTGGGTAGGGGACCCTTGTTTGGGGCAGGTGCAGGAGAAGCTTGAGGGGCTAAGTTGAGAGTCCTATGGGAGATGGCTTTAAGGATGTCCCTATGAGTCCAGTTGAATAAGAAAGGGAGTTGGGAAGGAAAGCATCTAATATTATACCTGGCACATAGTAGGTGCTTGATACATACTTGCTGACTGTTGCCAAGGCAAGTGTTGTGAGACTAATAGTGTAATAGGCTGGCCAGGCACGGTGGCTCATACCTGTAATCCCATCACTTTGGGAAGCCGAGGCAGGCTGATCACCTGAGGTCAGAAGTTCCAAAGACCAGCCTGGCCAAATGGTGAAACCCCATGTCTACTAAAAATACAAAAATTAGCCAGGCATGGTGGCACATGCCTGTAGTCCTAGCTACTCAGGAGGCTGAGGCAGGAGAATCGCTTGAACCCAGGAGGTGGAGGTTGCAGCGAGCCGAGATTGCGCCACTGCACTCCAGCCACTCCAGCCTGGGTGACAGAGTGAGACTTTGTCTCAAAAAAAAGAAAAGAAAAGAAAAGCAGAATATCGAGAAGTTAAGATTTCAACAGTGGGGTGGGATGGTTTTGGTTCAGCTGTGGCTTGATGGAGTGTGGTGAAGGATAAGGTCTTTGAGGCAATCACAGGACAGTGGAGATTTTAGAGTGCTGGAGAACTTAAAAATGGGGGTGCCCAACTCCAGGTTGTCTCAGCTTTTCTAGTGTTCAATTTCTGGCCTCCCTATTCATTTGTCTTTGATTATATGTACTCCTCTGCCCATGCCTTTACTGGCCCTTTAGTTAACTTCCTAGATGAGTTGAAGCCTGGCCAAGCTCCTAGGTATGCCTCAAACAATTACAACACCCTGCCTGAGTGCTCCCTTCTGCCTCAGGATTTGCTTTCACCTGACTTATAGATCTTCAGCCAATGCAGGGCTTTGTCTGTAAGGCTCTGAGCATCCTATGAGGATGTGAGTATCTATTTACTCATTCAGAGAGAAAGGGACCATTAGAATAGAAAGATTAGGTATTTTATCGTTGTTCAGAGCCTGTCAACTTTCCAAAACTTTTCCATAAGCACCATATTTACCTCTTGCATTATTCCAAGGAGTTAAAATGACACAGGAAATATAAGCAGAGGGAGTCTGGTGGTGGGGGCGGGGGATGGCACCTGACCAAGGAGACCCTATGGATTGTGGTCTGTGCATTCGATTTGCTGAACAAGACACTTGAATTTTGTGGGGTCTCCAAAGTGAATAGTCTCACCAGGACTGATTCACACTGGCCAGCTTGATAAGGGATTCACGTGCAAACCAGACCTAAATTTTTATTCACAGTAAGGAGTATATTGTTCAAAAGGTGCTCCCTGTATCCATACTTCTCCTTCAAAAGATCTCCTCTAGGCTCAGGGCTTTAAGATCTCCTGTGCCCTGATGACTCTCATATAGGTATCTCTAGCCTCAGCCTCTCTCTTTATTTATTTATCTATCTCTTTTTCAAGTTGACTAATAGGCCTCTCTTGGCTGCTCCAGTTTTTGCTAAGATGGGATTTTGCTTGGGCTGTTGGCTCCCTACCCAGGTTAAACACAAGAGAAATTATAGAGGGAAACATGAAAGCCAGGAAATAACAACAGAGAAGAAACTCCTGTGGAGCTGACAGGCTGTTTAGAACTGGGGAGTGTGTGCCTGCATGTGGGAGTGGGGGGTGGTTGCAGCCTGAGGGAGGTGGCTATGATGGTAAGGATGAAGGAAGAGAATAGTGATTGACTCTCTACTCTTGCCTCTCCTGCACCTTTGCATTGGCCAGTCATCACTTGCCCTCACGGCAGAACTGCAGAGGCTCAGACCACTCGCTGGTCAGGATGTCCATGGGGATGAACTCAGGGCAGCGTAGATCCCTGCCAGGGTGAGGAGTTGAATTAGGGAACAACCATTTTTGAGCAATCCCTCCACTCTTTCCCCTCCAAATCACCAGCCTGGCCCATCCCATCAGTGGAGACAGCTTCCTTCTAGCCACAGGGTGGAAAGTGAAACCAAGGCCCCTGGGCAGGATGAGAACAAACCTGTGGTTGTGCAGAGCCTGGGGTGCTCCACTCAAGATCCGAGTCCTCATCCTCTCCTTGAACTTAACAGACTGGTAGATACTAAGGAGTGGCCTTCTGCCTTCCCCAAAGGGCATTACAGGGCAATAATGAGACACTTGAAGGGCAAAACTAAACCAGAAGAAAAAAGGAATGCACAACATATGACACCAGAAGCAGCAGGACTGGGCAGGAGTATTAGTATCAATTGACCAACAATTTCAAATCAGCTCTATAGGCCAGGCACAGTGGCTCATGCCTATAATCCCAGCACTTTGGGAAACCAAGGCAGGCAGATCACTTGAGTTCAGGAGTTCGAGACCAGCCTGACCAACATGGTGAAACCCCATCTCCACTAAAAATACAAAAATTAGCCAGGCGTGATGGCAGGCACCTGTAATCCCACCTACTCGGGAGGCTGAGGCAAGAGAATCACTTGAACCTGGAAGGTGGAGGTTCCAGTGAGCTGAGATCATGCCGCCACACTCCAGCCTGGGCGATAGAGTGAGACTCCGTCTCAAAAACAACAACAGCAACAACAACAAAAACAAATCAGCTCTATAAATACACGAGAGATATGAGAAGTAAGGTATGAGCAGTGTAAAACAAGAACAAGAAAAAAATTAAAAGAATCAAATGAAAATATTAGGTATGAAAAAGATAATGGAAAGAAAGAACAAATAAATTAGTAAGTAATAGTTGAAAAGTAAATTAGAATATCATATTGAGAAACTGCAAGAAGAACTCACTGAAGAATGAGGAGGAAGAAAAAGCTAAGAAATAAGGAGACTAGAAGCAGAATACCCACATTCATATAATGGGAATCCAGAAGAAAACAATAAAAATGAATGGAAAAATACATTTGAAGAAACAATAGACATACATTTTTCATATTTAGAAAGAATGAATGACTTCAGATTGAAAGGGCCTACTGCATAGAAAATAAGAGAGAGAAGGGAAAACCCGCATAAGATATAGTATGGTGAAATTTAAGAATACCAAACAGGAAATTCTAAGAGAATTAGACTGACGTCAGACCTTTCAACAACAACATTTGGGTGTAAGAAGATAATGGAGTAATATTTCTTAAGTAAAAAAGAAAAATAAGTTTGAACCTACAATTTTACATCCAGCCAAGTTGTCATTCAAGTGTGAAAAGGTAAAAATAAAAATATTTTCAGGCAGGGGGTGCACAGTGGCTAATGCCTGTAATCTCAGCACTTTGGGAGACCAAGGCAGGTAGATTTCTTGAGCTCAGGAGTTCAAGACCAGCCTGGGCAACATGGCAAAACCTCATCTCTACAGAAAATACAAAAATTAGCAGGGTGTGGTGGTGTGCACCTGTAGTCCCAGCTACTCGAGAGGGTGAGGTAGGAGGATCACTTGAGCCTGGGAGGTGGAGGTTGCAGTGAGCCGTGATTGTGCCACTGCACTCCAACTTGGGTGACAGAGTGAGATCTCATCTCAAATAAATAAATAAATAAATAAATAAATAAATATTTGCAGGCAACGAGGCCTTAAAATGCTTGCCTTACAAAGAACCACATTGAAAACCATCCCTGGAGTGCCAGAAAACAAGGCCGCATTCAAAGGTCAATGGAGTAATTTCAAATGGTTTAACCTAATATATAAAACAAATTGTTTTAAAGATGTTGACAATTGTTATATCTAGGTGGAGGGATGTATTGATGTTCATTGTACTATCTTTTCTGCTTTTCTAGAAACATTTTACAATTAAAAAAAGTTAAAAACATTTTGGAGGAAATACTCAAGAAGAAAAACCTAGGAGACTTTGCAAGAAATATTTAAATAAAGGTGATTAAATACATTGGTAACATATTCTGTTGTCTAAACAACAACAGCAGGAACAGCAGCAGACTTAAGACCAAAGACAAAGGGAAAGCAAACCCATAAGAATCCCAAATTAAAATTCTGGACAATATTACATTGATAGTGGGTTGTGAGTATCTAGAAATTTGGGAAATCCCCAAATATTTGGAAATTAGCATATTTTTACATTATCCATGGATCAAAGAAGAAATCACAAGGAAAATTATTAAATATCTTTTGAACTAAATGAAAAAGAAAATGCAACGTATCAAAATGTATGGGATGCGGCAAATGCAGCATTTAAGGGAACTGTATAGCTATAAATACCTAGATTAGAAAAGAAGAATGGTCTCATATCAACAATCTAAGCTTCTACTTTAAGCAACTGGAAAAAGAAGGAACAATTAAATCTGAAGCAAACAGCAGAAAGAAAATAAAGATTAGAGTGGAAATAAGAAATAGAAAACAGAAGTCCGGGCGCAGTGGCTCACACCTGTAATCCCAGCACTTTGGAGGGCCGAGGCGGGTGGATCACCTGAGGTCGGGAGTTCGAGACCAGCCTGACCAACATGGAGAAACCCAGTCTCTACTAAAAATACAAAATTATCCAGATGTAGTGGCGCATGCCTGTAATCCCAGCCACTCAGGAGGCTGAGGCAGGAGAATCACTTGAACCTGGGAGGCAGAGGTTGCAGTGAGCTGAGATCGCACCATTGAACCATTGCACTCCAGCCTGGGCAAGAGGAGTGAAACTCTGTCTCAAAAAAAAAAAAAAAAAAAAAATAGAAAACAGAAAAATGATAGAGAAAAATCAATAAAACAAAAGGTCTGTTTTTTGAAAAGGTTAACAAAATTGAGAAATTTTTAGCTAGACTGACCAAGAGAAAGAGAAAACATAAATTACAAAATCACTACTGACCACACAGAAACAAAAATAATTACAAGGAAATATTACAAATTGAACAATTTGGATGAAATGGACAAATTCCCAGAAAGATACAGATTATTAAAACTGACTCAAGAAGAAATAAAGTCTGAATAGGCCTATAGCAAGTAAATAATGGGATTAGTACTTAAAATCTCCCCACAAAGAAAAACCCAGTCACAGAACACTTTACTAGTGAATTCTATCAAATAATTTAAAAACACATAATACCAATCTTTCACAAATTATTTCAGAAAATAGGGGAAGAAAGTACACTTCCGAACTCATTCTGTGAGGCCAGTATTACCCTGATTCAAGACAAAGATATCATATGAAAAGAAAGCTACAGACCAACATCCTTTTTGAACACAGATGTAAAAATCCTTAGCACAAAATTAGCAAATAAAACCCAGCAACACATACATAGAAGCGTATACCATGACCAAGTGGGCTTTATCCCAGGAAAGCAAGGTTGAGTTAACATCTGAAAACCAATTAAGATGAATCACTGTATTAATAAAATAAAGGACAAAATCATATGATCTCAACAGATGCAGAAAAAACATTTGACAAAATCCAACATCCATTGATGGTTAAAAAAAAACCCTTGAACTTGGAATAAAAGGGAGCTCTCTTAACTTGATAAAGCATATCTAACTGAAACCTACCATCAACATTACATATAATGATGCAAGACTGAATGTTTCTCCTTGAGATCAGGAACAAGGCAAGAATGTCAGCTCTTGCCACTTTCAATCAACATTGTCCTGGAGATTCAAGTCAGTGTGATAAGGCCAAAAAATAAGAATAAAGGCATCAACATTGGAAAAGAAGTAAAACTGTCTTTTTTTCCCACAGATGACGTGATCCTGTATATAGAAACAACAACAAACTACTGTTGTCGCCTGTAATCTCAGCACTTAGAGAGGCCAAGGCAGGAGGATTGCTTGAGCCAGCCTGGGCAACATAGCAAGACCCATCTCTAAAAACAAAACAAAACAGATAAACTATTATTGTTAAGATAGCAATATTGTAATATTGCCCAAATGGATCTGCAAATTTAATGCAATCCTGTGACATAACAAGAAATATATATTTGGTCTCTTCCCCGGGTTCCTAGCACAGAGCTGCTAAAAGTCTTGTGATTCCCCTGAGTGATAGGGGTGAGAGGAACACCTTTGGTTATTCATAATAAGCCCCTTTCAACCATACCTGGGTTTATGCTAATGAGGTGACTCTTGGAGGATGGGGGCTGGTTGACAGAGGAACCAACCTTGTAATTAGAGGGTTGGAATTTTCAGCCCCATCTCTTTGACCTCTGGGGAGGGGAGAAGGGCTGAAGATTAATGTCAGTCACAGAAGGTCAATGATTTAATAAATCATGCCTACATAATGGGACTTCCATAAAAACCCTAAATGACAGGGTTTGGAGATCTTCCAGGTTGGTGAACACATTAAGGTGCTGGGAGGGTGCGAGGCCTGAAAGGCTATGGAAGCTCTGTGCCCCTCCCTCCTCATACCCTGTCTCTTCCATTTGGCTGTTCCTGAGTTGTATCCTTTATAATAAACCGTACATGTAAGTGCTTCCCTGAGTTCTGCGAGCCATTACAGCAGATTATTGAATCTGAATAGGTGGTTGTAGGAAACCCTCACTTGTAGCTAAGTCACACAGAAGTGTGGGTAACCTGGGGACCCATTACTTGAGATTGGCATTTGAAGTCAGGGGCAGTATTGTGGGACTGAGCCCTTAAGCTTTGGGGTCTCACACTAACTCCAGGTAGCTACTGTCAGAGTTGAATTGAGTCATTGGACACCCAGTTGATGTTTGCAGAGAACTGAAGAATTGCTTGATGTGCGGGGAAAAAAATCCCAGACATTTGGTTTCGGAAGTGTTTTTGAGTATAGAAAACCTGTTTGTTTTCCCCTTTCAATACCTATCAAAATCTTGGTTGCCATTTTTGCTGAAATTGACAAGCTTATTCTAAAATTAATATGGAAATGCAAAGGATCTGGAATAGTGAAAATGATCTTGGAAAATAACAAAACTGGAGGACTCACACTTTCTGATTTCAAAACTTACTACAAAGCTACAGTAATCAAAACAATGTGGTATTGGCATAAGGATAGACATACAGGCCAATGGACTAGAATTTAGAGCTCAGACCTCACATGTAAGGTCTACTTATTTTTGGCCAAGGCAATTCAGTGGGAAAAGATATTTAATACAGTGTTGGTAAGGATGTGGAGAAACCAGATACCTCATACATTTCTGATGAGAATGTAAAATGGGCTAGGCACAGTGGCTTATGCTTGTAATCCCAGCACTTTGGGAGGCTGAGGTGGGTGGATCACTTGAGGTCAGGAGTTTGAGACCAGCCTGGCCCACATGGTGAAACCATGTCTCTACTAAAAATACAAAAAAATTAGCCGGGTGTGGGGGCGCATGATAGTCTCAGATATTCGGGAGGTTGAGGCAGGAGAATCAGTTGAGCCCAGGTGGCAGAGGTTGCAGTGAGCTGAAATTGTGTCACTGCACTTCAGCCTGGGCGACAGAGGGAGACCCTGTCTCAAAAAAAAAAAAAAAAAAAAAAAAAGAAAAAAGGAAAAGAAAAAGAGAATGTAAAATGTTACAGCCACTTCGAAGAACAGTTTGGCAGTTTCTTAAAAAGTTAAAACGAAAAACTTACCATTCCTAGGTATCTACCCAAAAGAAATGAAAACATATGTCCACAAAGACTTGTACATGAATATTCAGAGCAGCACTATTCATAATAACCCCAAACAGGAAACAGTCCAAATATCCATAAACAGGTTAATGGATCAACAAAATGTGGTAATGTGGTATATTCACACGACAGAACACAGCAATGAAAAGGAACTGCTTTTTTTTTTTTTTTTTGAGATGGAGTCTTGCTCTGTCGCCAGGCTGGAGTGCAGTGGCGCGATCTTGGCTCACTGCAACCTCTGCCTCCCGGATTCAAGCAATTCTACTGCCTCAGCCTCCTGAGTGGCTGGGATTACAGGCGCCCGCCACCACGCCCGGCTAATTTTTTTTTTTTTTTTGAGACAGAGTCTCGCTGTCACCCAGGCTGGAGTGTAGTGGCGCGACCTCGGCTCACTGCAAGCTCCGCCTCCCGGGTTCACGTCATTCTCCTGCCTCAGCCTCCCGAGTAGCTGGGACTACAGGCGCCCGCCGCCACGCCGGGCTAATTTTTTGTATTTTTAGTAGAGACGGGGTTTCACCGTGTTAGCCAGGATGGTCTCGATCTCCTGACCTCGTGATCTGCGTGCCTCGGCCTCCCAAAGTGCTGGGATTACAGGCGTGAGCCACCGCGCTCGGCCAAAAAGGAACTACTTTTTAGTAAAAAGGTCAGGCGTGGAAGCTCATGCGTATAATCCCGGCACTTTGGGATGCTGGGGTGGGAAGATCCCTTGAACCCAGGAGTTCAAGACCAACCTGGGCAACATAGAGAGACCCTATCTCTACAATAATAATAATTTAAAAAAGATGAAAAAGAAGGAACTACTAATATACACTGTGACACAGAAGAACCTCAAAAACATATTATACTAAGTGAAAGCCAGACATAAAGACTACATATTGTTGATCCCATTTACTTATATATATGTTTTGTTTGTTTATTTTGTTTATTTTATTTTACTTTTTTGAGACAGAGTCTCACTCTGTTGCCCCGGCTGGAGTGCAGTGGCGTGATCTCGGCTCAGTGCAACCTCTGCATTCCACATTCAAGCTATTCTCCTGCCTCAACCTCCCGAGTAGCTGGGATTACAGGCATGCGCCACCACACCCAGCTAATTTTTGTATTTTTTGTAGAGATGGGGCTTCGCCATGTTGGCCAGGCTGGTCTCAAACTCCTGACCTCAAGTGATCCGCCCACCTCAGCCTCCCAAAGTGCTGGGATTATAGTCGTGAGCCACCACGCCCGGCCATATTGTATGATCCATTTATATAAAGGGTACAGAAAAGACAAATCTATACAGAGAAAGTAGACCAGTGGCTGCCTGGGCTGGATCTGGTAGTAGGAACCAACTGCAGATAACCATGAGGGAACTTTTTGGGGTGATGAAAATATTCTAAATCTGGATTGTTGTAATAATTGCATAACTATAAACTTACTAAAAATAATCGAATTGTGTACTCACAATGGATGAGTTTTATGGTGTATACATTAAACTTCAATCAAGCCGTTGGAAAAAAAAAAATCATAGGATCATGGCCCAGAGTATTAGGATATTTTGGGTATATTTTACTATTCCACTTGGGGGAAAATCTGTCATGCTAGTTTCTGCCTCTAACAGGGTCCTAGTAGCAAAGATGATGTTTTCATGGATGTTTTGACTATCTGTGCCTGTATCAGGGAGTCCATGCAGATCCCGGTCATCACATCATCACCTAGGATCATTACATAGTTTCAAATCTGAGGGCTGCATCCTACTCTGTACTTGTGGTAGGCTGAATGATGGCCCCCAAAGATATTCAGATCTGAATCCCTGAAAACTGTGAGTGTATCCTCCTATGGCAAAAGGGACTTTACAGTTGTGACTAAATTAAGGATTTGGAGATGGGGAGTTTATTCTGCATTATCCAGGTGGGTGGGCCCTAAATATAATCACAAGTGCTTTTATAAGAGAGAGGCAGCAGAAGATTTGACAACAAAAGTAAGACATATGAAGATAGAAGCAAGAGGCTGAAGTAAGGGGTCACGAGCCAAGGAATGCAGGCAGAGTCCAGAAGCTAGGAAAGGCAAGGAAACAATTCTCCCCAGAGCCTCCAGAAGGAACGCAGCCCTGTAGACACCCTACAGCACTTCTTTCTCTTTCTTTCTTTCTTTTCTTTCTTTCTTTCTCTTCTTTCTTTCCTTCTTTCTCTTCTTTCTTTCCTTTCTTCCTTTCTTCCTTCCTTCCCTTTCTTTCTCTTTCCCTCCCTCCCTCCTTCCTTCCTTCTTTTTCTTTCTTTCTCTCTCTTTTTCCCTCCCTCCCTCCCTTCCCTCCCTTCCTCCCTCCTTCCTTCCTTCCCTCCTTCCTTCCTTCCTTCCTTCCTTTTTGACAGAGTCTCTGTCGCCCAGGCTGGAGTGCAGTGGCACAATCTTGGCTCACTGCAACCTCCACCTCCTGAGTTCAAGAGATTCTCATGCCTCAGCCTCCCGAGCAGCTGGGATTACAAATGTGTGCCACCAAGCCTGGCTAATTTTCGTATTTTTAGTAGAGACGGGGTTTCAACATATTGGCAAGGCTGATCTCAAACTCCTGACCTCAAGTGATCCACCCACCTCAGCCTCCCAAAGTGCTGGGATTACAGGTGTAAGTCACCGTGCCCGGCCAAATCTGTGCTGTTTTAAGTTACCAAGTTCATGGTAATTGTTATAGTGGCAACAGGAAGCTAATATTAATATAATATCCAACCTCAAACATATTTGATTTCTATTTTATAATTTTTGAATTAGTTGTAAATATAGAAAAATTCTAAACTTTTACATTAAAATCTGGATTTATAGTTCCGTTGTTGTGTTTAACTAGAAAATTAGACAGCATAGATCTTCCCCAGCAGCATGGCAGTACTAACTGCCTGGAGCTGAGCAATGATGCCCCAGGACCCTGGGCCCTGCTTGCCTCCCTGTGATGCCTGCCCGGCTCCTGCAGGCATACGAATGTGTGACTTCCACTTTAGAATGAATACCAGAGCTTCCTGCAGCCACATTTGGATCTGAGGGTGTGACTCAGTCACTTTGAATGAATGTGACTTCTTTTTTTTTTTACTAGCATGAATTATAATTATCTGCTTTTTGAAAGGTTCAAAAGGCGGACAAGAGGGGCTACTTCTCAAGCTACCTGATTATTTCAGCCTGTGTCACCTACACATCTTCTGGCTGAAAATCCTCTGCCCATGTTATTGCAGGGACTTTTTCTTTCTGTCAAGCTTCTGACCTTTCTAGAATATTTGGGGAGTGACGGACTCTCTCCTGTCCATACCTCGCTTGTATTTTCCGCTTTGCCAAGTACTCATGCTTACCTCCTGGAGCTCCAGGACCACCACACTCTCTTGAAAGATGAGAGCATCTTGGCACCCTCACCAGTGCAGAAGGGGGGCACTGGGAATGCTGTTCTCTGTCTGGGACAGTGACACAGACCTGTTTAATTATTTGCTTCAGCACAGGTGGAAGGTTAACAGACTTATCTGAAATCTTGGTGTGAATTACAATGCACAAAAAGAAATCTTAAAAGTATACATTAGAATGCTCCAGCACTCAGAGGCCAAGCTTCTCCACTGAAGTTCCCTCCTGGGCACTCCCTCTTCCCTATCCCTCAGGAAATGATACGCATAGCAACTTCCTCCACCATGAGTCCTGGTCTCTTGCAGCTTTTGTCTCAGGTCAGGATTCTGAGGCTGGTCTTTCCACACTCTGACCTGGCCCTTTCCAAAAGACTGACAGCCTTACCAAAACTGACCCACTGGCTGCACCCCCATCCCCACCCAAGAATACCACGATCCTCCAGTCTGCAATCTGGATCAGCAGCCTGGGCTTTGGCACTGCCAGCGAGGCCCCTCTGGAGTCTTCATGCTGAAGAGGAGTTCCCCTGGAGTCTTTCTGGCTGCCTTCCTGGCTCTCCTCCCATTTTCCTCTGGGTAATGGCCTTGACCAGGATATACCCACACCCTTGCCCAAAACACAGCTACAGAGACTGCCTCGTCTGAATTATATTTTTTAAAAAGAAGCATTTTACTAATCCTTAAATGGTTTTGCATTGCCCTAAGGAGGAAATCCCAAATCCTTAAAGTGGCCCACGAGGCCCTGAAGCGTTGTGCCTGCCTTTCCTCCTGCTCAGGCCACACCAGCCTCTTTCCTTACTTACTTCCTCCCTCCCTCCCTCCCTCCCTTCCTTCCTTCCCTCCTTCCCTTCTTCCCTCCCTCCACCATCTCTCCTTCCCTCCCTCCCCCTCTCCCTTCCCTTTTTTTTTTTTTTTTTTTTTTAATTGAGAGGGAGTTTCGCTCTTGTTGCCCAGGCTGGAGTGCAATGGTGCTATATCTCATCTTACTGCAACCTCCACCTCCTGGGTTCAAGCAATTCTCCTGCCTTAGCCTCCTGAGTAGCTGGGATTACAGGCATGTGCCACCACGCGTGGCTAATTTTGTATTTTTAGTAGAGACAGGGTTTCTCCGTGTTGGTCTGGCTGGTCTTGAACTCCTGACCTCAGGTGATCCGCCCACCTTGGCCTCCCAAAGTGCTGGGATTACATGTATGAGCCACCGCACTGGCCCCTCTTTTTCTTCTTGTTCTTCTTGTTGTTGTTCTTCTCCTCCTTCTCCTTCTTCTTCTTCCTCTTTCTTTCTCTGTCTCTCTTTTTCTTTCTTTCTCTCTTTCTTTCTTTCTTTCTTTTTTGATACAGGGCCTTGCTCTGCCACCCAGGCTGGGGTGCAATGGCATGATCATAGCTCACTGCAGCCTCAAACTCCTGGGCTCAAGCAATCCTCCTGCCTCTGCCTCCTGAGTAACTGGAACTATGGGTGTGTGCCCCCACTAGCAGCTTTTTTTTTTTTTTTTTTTTTTTTTTTTTTTTTTCTGTAGCGATAAGGTCTCACTTATTGCCTAGGCTGGTCTGGAACTCCTGGGCTCCTGAGATCCACCTACCTTGGCCTCCTAAAGTGTTGGGATTACAGGGATGAGCCATCATGCCCAGCATTGCTATTTTAAGTCATGCAGAAATCTACATACTTATATTAATACAATGTTCTTTGAACACTTGTGTGAGGATTTCCATAGGGTAAAGTCTTAGGAATGGAGTTGCCAGATTACAGGAACCAACCATTTAAAATTGTTGATAGTAATTACTGAATTTATTTCCAAAAAGGTTGTGCCAGTTTGTGTTCACATCAAGGGTATCCTTCCCCATCACTGCTGTATTAATTGCAATTTTAAACCAGTAGTGAGGTTAAGCATTTTTTCATGTGTTTAATTGCCTTTTGTATTTCACCTGTGAACTATTTATTCAAATTCTTTGAGCAGCTGAGATAGAATCCCAAATATAAAAAATAAACTCCTATAGTTTATTCTATTACTTTAGTGGGGTTTCATGTTTAGATCTTTATTCTATCTGACATCTTTTTTATGAGCTGGGACTTACCTTTATGTTTAATATTTATTACTATTATTTTTTACAAATAAAAACAAAATTGTCTTTTTCCTACATATTTGAAATACCATCTTTATAACAGATCAAATCTTATGCACATGTAAGACTATTTCCAGACTTTCTATTCTGTTTCTGCTGACTCTATTTGTAGATTTCTGGCTCCACCTCACATTGTTTTAATTATTACAGCTCAATAATACATGCCTGGTACCTATTACGCACTCAACAAATATTTGTTACCCTCTGAATCTACTCTTTTGAATATGCTTTGAAATCCATTTGTCAAGTTATTAAAAAACCCATTGAGATTTTAAATTCTTTTGCTTTCGAGTTCTTTATACAATTTTTTTTTTTTTTTGAGATCGAGTCTTGCTCTGTTGCCCAGGCTGGAGTGCAGTGGTGCAATCTCGGCTCACTGCAAGCCCCGCCTCCCAGATTCACGCCATTCTCCTGCCTCAGCCTCCCGAGTAGCTGGGACTACAGGCGCCCGCCACCACGCCCGGCTAATTTTTTGTATTTATAGTAGAGACGGGGTTTCACTGTGTTAGCCAGGATGGTCTTGATCTCCTGACCTCGTGATCCACCCACCTTGGCCTCCCAAAGTGCTGGGATTACAGGCGTGACCACTGCACTCGGCCACAAATTTTTTTTTAAATTGACCCACAAACCACACACAGATGGGGTCTTGCTGTGTCGTCCAGGCTGGTTTCAAACTCCTGGGCTCAAGTAATCCTCCTGCCTCCACCTCCCAAGTAGGTGGGATTATAGGCACGTGCCACCACACCAGGCTGCAATTGTATTTTAAGCATATCTTTTGTTGATAGCATATGTTCGCATTTAGTGTTTTTAAATCTCATTTGAAAGTACTTAATTGGTGAGTGTCCATCAATCAATTATTGCTTTACAGATAGATTTAGTCTGGTCATCTTTTGTTATTTCAGATTGCTTTTTAAGTACTCCCTTATTGTTTTTCTTGTTTTCTGTCATTTGCTTTCTGGCCTGTGGTTTCTTTGTTGCTTTTCCCCACTCCTAACAATTTGAAAAATGTAATCGTGTGCAATACACAATTTACCCATGTATCAAACCTGCACATGTACCCACTGAACATAAAATAAAGTTGGAAAGAAAAAAATATATACTTTTTCAAAACTATTATTTTACTTTTTTTTGGTTTTGTTTCTTTTCTTTTTTCTTCCCCTCCGCCCCCCCGCCCCTAGAGACAAGATCTCTGTCAATCACCCGGGCTGGAGTGGAGTGGCTCAATCACAGCTCACTGTTGCCTGGAACTCCTGGGCTCAAGCAACATGAGTTTCCTCAGTAGCTGGCCTATTTTTTAACTTTTAAATAAATATGCTTACGCCTGTGCAATTCCAAAAGTCACTACTTTTAGAGACCAAGAGAGCAATCAGAGAGAAAATAAATAGGGATGTTGAAGATCTAAACAATACAATTAATAAATTTGCTCTATTAGATATAATTGAACTCCACATCCAACAGAGAATTCACATGCTTTTTAAGCACTAGAGCACTAAATTGGCCTAAAAGGAACTGTAATAAATGTCACAGAATCAATAACATGTAGACTAAAATTAGAAGTGAATAATAAGGTTGAAAAGCACATGACTCTTATAATTTGCTGGCTCTGCTATCCCTCCTGATCTCTCTTACCTGCTCCTCCCTCCTGGATTGCTGGATGGCTCTGGGAAACTGGAAATTTTTACTCTACACAGCAATTCAGTTCTCCAGCATTTCCTCTCAAACTCAGCTCCCAAAACAACTGTCCTCATTGAGAACCCATCCATGTGCCCAGAAGAAACAAAAGGGTCATCTTCTGATTTACCAGGATCTGCCTTCCTAAGCAGATTTTATTTATTTTTATTTTTATTTATTTATTGTTTTGAGACGGAGTCTTGCTCTGTCATCCAGGCTGCAGAGCAGTGGCACAATCTTCGCTCACTGCAACCTCTGCCTCCTGGGTTCAAGCGATTCTCCTGCCTCTGCCTCCCAAGTAGATGGGATTACAGGCATCCGCCACCGGGCTAATTTTTTTGTATTTTTAGTAGAGATGGGGTTTTGCCATGCTGGCCAGGCTGGTCACGAACTCCTGACCTCAAGTGATCTGCCTGCCTCAACCTTCCAAACTGCTGGGATTATAGGCATGAGCCACCATGCCCAGCCCTAAGAAGATTTTAATGGCAACTTACACACTAGTAAGCAATATCTATTGACCTTCCTTTCCCACTTCCATGAAAAGGAAATAAATCAGCTAAAAACACTGTGGTAATTCCCACCTCCTCTTTCTCTTCCCTGCTCCACCTTTCGGGCATGTTTTGTTGTTTTTGTTCCTTTCTTAAGTCAACAAATATTTCTTGAGCACCTGCTGTGTGCCGGGCACAGTGGTGGAAGCTGAAGATGTGGAGGTCAGCCAGGCAGGTGTGGTTCCTGCTCTCATGGAGCTTACAGTCTAGCAGGGGGAGAGACACAAACACAAATTATCACACAAACGAGTGTAACATTGCCCCTGTGGATAGTGATGAGAGCCTGTGGTAAGGAGATTTTACTATTAAAGACAGTTATTCAATGATAGTTGTTAAAGCATGGCAAGGCAGACTTTATTCAAGACCATCACAATAGGCATAGGGACCACTACAGTGGGATTCTGCAATGGGGGAAAGAGACTGGGCTCAATTCTGAATACAGCTTGGGCAAGTGGGAATTTATCGCTAAGAAGCAGGGTAGGATCAGTGGATGGTAAATGACTGAGAACGAACATTGAGGATAAGGGATCATTCTGGCTAAACCAACCTTACAGGATTCTTGCTAAAGTCAGTCCAGGTGATTAGCTATCACCTGGGGGATAGCGGAGGATGAGAAACCCAATCAGATATCAAGGGTGATTGTGATCAGCTGTCCAAGGGAGGTGTTCTTGCTCAACCGACTTAGCAAGACTCCTTGCTAAAACTAGATTTTACAAGGAAGTGCACAGGTGGGCCTAGGAGAAGGTTCAGGAGGCTGACTAAAGTTTAGTCAAGCAAGGAATCTTTGTCACTGTCTGGCCAGGGAGCCCAGAGAAGGCTGGACTGCTAGAGGGATGCTGGGGTGATGTCAGTGGTGGGGCAGGAGTTACCTTGGCAAAGAGGAGGGAAGAGTGTGCTGGGAGGAGGCAACAGCAGGTGCAAAGCCCTTGTGGTGGAAAGGAGCAAGTCAAATGTGAAGGACTGAAAGGAAGCAGTCTGCCTGGGTCATTGTGAGGCTGGGAGAGGCTGCAGAGGTGGGCCAGCACCAGGCCACGCATGGCCTGGCAGATCAGGCTGGGGACAGCTGCCCTGATTCTAAGAGCTGTGAAAAACCATTACGATTATTTTGTTTTTGTTTTTGTTTTTATTTGTGTTGTTAAATATAACATGAATTTAGAAAATCATATCAAGCAAATGTACCATTTAATGAATTACTATAAAGTAAACATCACAGATGGGAGGAAACTAAGGAGACACGATGACTAAATGCAGTGTGGGATCCTGGATTGGATCTTGGAACAGAAAAAAAATTAATGGGAAAACTGGTTAGATCTGAATAAAGTCTGTCGTCTAGTTAATTGTATTGTACCAAATGTTGGTTTCTTAGTTTGGACCAAAAAAAAAAGTAGGGAAAAAGTATTATATACTAGTAAAATGTTAACATGAAGGGAAGCTGAGTGAAGGGTATATGGGAACTTTCTGTACTATCTTTGTAACTTTCTGTAAATCTAAAATTATTCCAAAATAAAAAAAATTTAAGCTGACAAATACCAAAAACATACCCAAATCGAGAAAATAATGTAATTTAAAAAATTAACTGCCTTACCTACTTCTGCAGTACTTTTTTCCTACTTTTTTGGGTTTCATTCAATCACGTCTTTTTTTTTTTTTGAGATGGAGTTTTGCTCTTGTCGCCCAGGCTGGAATGCAGTGGCGCAATCTCGGCTCACTTTTGCCTCAGCCTCCTAAGTAGCTGGGATTACAGGTGCCCACCACCACACTGGCTAATCTTTGTATTTTTAGTAGAGACAGGGTTTCGCCATGTTGGCCAGGCTGGCCTTGAACTCCTGACCTCAGGTGATCCACCCGCCTCAGCCTCCCAAAGTGCTGGGATTACAGGTGTGAGCCACTGCGCCCGCCTTGATCATGTCTTATATAACAATGATTTTGTAATATTTTGTAAAGTTAGAATAAAAAGTAATTTAGTCTTTTTTTTTAATACAGATAAAACCAAAAGATAGTGTTTAGGGCTTGCACTTGGGAGATGTGTTAGACAGCGACATGCACAGCCCAGGTCCCCGCAAGGGCAGATATATCCTCTTAGTTTCCTCTTGTTCGTGATGGTTTCTTGGTCTTTCCTTGTGTCTCATGATCTTGACACTTTTGAAGGGTACTGATTGGGTATCTTGAAGGATGTCCTTCAATTTGGATTTGTCTGATGTTTTTCTCTTGATTAGAAAACAGCTTGGAACCACCCCAAATGTCCAACAATGATAGACTGGATTAAGAAAATGTGGCACATATACACCATGGAATACTATGCAGCCATAAAAAATGTTGAGTTCATATCCTTTGTAGGGACATGGATGAAATTGGAAACCATCATTCTCAGTAAACTATCGCAAGAACAAAAAACCAAACACCGCATATTCTCACTCATAGGTGGGAATTGAACAATGAGATCACATGGACACAGGAAGGGGAATATCACACTCTGGGGACTGTGGTGGGGTCGGGGGAGGGGGGAGGGATAGCATTGGGAGATATACCTAATGCTAGATGACACATTAGTGGGTGCAGCGCACCAGCATGGCACATGTATACATATATAACTAACCTGCACAATGTGCACATGTACCCTAAAACTTAGAGTATAATAATAAAAAAAAAAACACACACACAAAAAAAAACAAACAAACAAAAAAAAGAAAACAGCTATGGGTTTTTGGTAAGGCACAGAGGTGATGTGTGTGTGTGTGTGTGTGTGTGTGTGTGTGTGTGTGTGTGTGTTTTGAGACAGTCTCACTGTGTCGCCCAGGCTGGAGTGCAGTGTCGCGATCTTGACTCCCTGCAACCTCCGCCTCTTGGGTTCAAGCGATTCTCCTATCTCAGCCTCCTGAGTAGCTGGGATTAAAGGCGCCCACCACCATGGCCAACTAATTTTTTTGTATTTTTAGTAGAGATGGGGTTTTGCCATGTTGGCCAGGCTGGTGTTGATCTCAAGTGATCCACCCGCCTAGGACTCCCAAGTGTTGGGATTACAGGCGTGAGCCACTGCGCCTGACATACCTTTCTCATGGCTGCATATCAGGGGTACATTCTGTCCATGGGACTTATCACTGGTGCTGTTAATCTGGACCACCTGATGAAGGTGGGGCCTGCCAAGCTTTGCCATTGTAAAATTGTAAAATTGCTGGTTTTCATACTCTTTTTTGAAGGTGAGTCTCTGAGTCCAGCCCATACTCAAGGAGAAGGGAATTAAACTCCACCTCCTGGCCGGTGGGGACGGGGGCGGGGGCAGTATCTACATATAGTACTTAGAATTCTGTAAGGCAGATTTTTCTCTTTTCTCTCATTTACCTTATTTATTCAATCATTTATTGATATCACTATAGATACATATTTATTTTATTTCTTGGGTTATAATCCAATACTATTGTAATTTATTTTGTGGCTCAAATTGTTCCAGCTTGTTTCTGGTTGGCTCCTGTATTCTGCTGACATAGTGCACCTTCCTCACCCCCTTTTCTTCCCTGATGACTTCCTTATTTTTTGGCATTACAAAATGATCCAGGCTAATCTTGTGTTTTCTCTGCCCTAGTCCTAGAATCAGACATTTCTCTAAGGAGCCTTGTTCTTTGTATTGGAGGACGGTATTTAGAAACCATGATCTGAGTGCTAGATGTGCTCATTGCTGCTGGGGTATTTACCTATTTAAAAAAATGTGTTTTTCAAGTTTTAAGGTTCCTCTTCTATCTTCTAGCTCTTCTTCTTCTTCTTCCTTTTTTTTTTTTTGCAATTTGTTGAAAAAACCTGGATTGTTTGTCCTATAGTTTCCTACAGTCTGAATTTTGCTGATTGCATCCCTACATTATTGGTTTAATGTTTTTCTCTGTCCCATATATTTCCTGTAAACTTATATATAGTTGGATATAGAGGCTTGATCAGATTCTGGTTAAACTAGGGGGTGGGGCAAGACTACCTCATAGATGGTGGTGTATTCTTCCATCAGGAGGCACACAGTTCCTAGTTATCTCTTTTAGTTAACAGCCATTGACAATCACTGCTTAGATCCATTAGTTCATTATGGGCTATGAAATGGTGCTATTCCAACTCAATCATTCCTTCTTCATTCATTTTCTGGAACACTTCTATATTTCAAATCTTTGTCTTGTTATTCTCATTGGTGCTCAATTTGTTGTGCCTTTGTCCAGTAGAAGCATCTTGAGTTGGCTCTGGAATCCTTTTGATGCAATCCTGGTGGTCTTTAGTGGCTTTCCTTCAATATGGCATCTGGGAAGCAGGAAAGAAGCAATGCTCTCTGCAGCTTGTAGGTGGCAGTGCTTCTTTCCCTTGAAAAAAAACAAAAAACAAAAAAAAACCCCACTAAGTTTCTGGTTAGGGCCTTCAGAGATTCACCAAGAGAGGGAATAAAGGAGAAGGAGCAGGTGGTGATAGGGAAGATGATGAGTTCAACTTCCATTTTTTTTTTTTGTGGGGGGTGAGGACGGAGTCTTGCTCTGTTGCCCAGGCTGGAGTGCAGTGGCACAATCTCAGCTCACTGCAAGCTCCGCCTCCTGGGTTCACGCCATTCTCCTGCCTCAGCCTCCGGAGTAGCTGGGACCATAGGCACCTGCCACCATGCCCGGCTAATTTTTTGTATTTTTTTTTTAGTAGAAACGGGGTTTCACCGTGTTAGCTAGGATGGTCTTGATCTCCTGACCTCATGATCAGCCTGCCTTGGCCTCCCAAAGTGCTGGATTAGAGGCTTGAGCCACCGTGCCTGGCCTCAACTTATAATTTTGTTATGGGCTGAATTGTGTGCCCTCAAAATTCATATATTGAAATCCTAACCCCAGTGTCCCAGAATGTGACTGTACTTGGAGATAAGGTCTCTTTTTTTTTTTTGAGACAGAGTTTTAGTCTTCCAGGCTGGAATACAGTGGCGCAATCTTGGCTCACTGCAACCTCGAACTTTTGGGCTCAAGCAATGAACATAGAGTCTTTTTTATTTTCTTTTTTCGAGACAGAGTCTCACTCTGTTCCCCAGGCTGGAGTGCAATGGCGTGATCTCGGCTCACTGCAACCTCCACCTCGTGGGTTCAAGTGATTATCCTGCCTCAGCCTCCTGAGTAGCTGGGATTACAGGCACGCACCATTACACCTGGCTAATTTTTGTATTTTCAGTAGAGATGGGTTTTCACCATGTTGGCCACCCTGGTCTCAAACTCCTGACCTCAAGTGGTCCACCCGCCTCGACCTCCCAAAGTGCTGGGATTACAGGTGTGAGCCACCGTGCCTGGCCTGAACATATAGTCTTTAAAGAGGTGATTAGGGTAAAATAAGGTCACATTAATGGGGCCTAATTCAATATGACTGGTGTCTTTGTAAGAAAAGGAGGTTAGAGCTGAGAGTGGTGACTGAGAGGTAATCCCAGCACTTTGGGAGGCTGAGGCTGGAGGATTACTTGAAGCCACGTGTACAAGACCAACCCAGTCAGCATAGTGAGACTTCAGTCTCTACCAAGGTAAAAAATTAGACAGGTGTGGTGGTGCATACCTGTAGTACCAGCTACTCGAAAGGCTGAGGAGCGAAGATCACTTAAGCCCAGAAATTCAAGGCTGCAGTGAGCTATGATTGTGCCACTGCACTGTAGCCTGGGCTACAGAGCAAAACCCTGCCTCTGAAAATAAATATATAAATTTTAAAAAGATAACAGGAGGTAGGACATAATCAATACACAGACTGAGAAACAACCATATGAGATCACATAAGAAGGTGGCCATCTGCAAGCCAAGGAGAGAGGCCTCAGAAGAAACTAAACCTGCCAACACCTTGATCTTGAACTTCCAGCCTCCAGAACTGTGAAAAAATACATTTCTGTTGTTTAGTCACCCAGTCTGTGATATTTTGTTATGGCAGCCCTAGCAAAGTAATAAAATTTGTTGAATTTGAAAGTATGTGTGAGTATACAATAAATACATGCAATTTCATATGTCAACTTAAAAATAAATAAATTTGAAAAAAAGTATGTATGGGATATTTCATGGCATTTGTAAGTGTTCATCTGAGGTTCAGGAAAGAGGACTGGGCTGGAAGTAGACATATGGGAGGTGAGAACATTTACAGAATGAATAAAACCACATGTGTAAAAGGGAATCTTTAGGGAAAGTCTAAGGAGTGAAAAGAGAAGAGGGCCGAGAAATAAACCAACATTAAGAATTTGGAGGCTTGGCATGGTGGCTCATGCGTATAATCCCAGCACTTTGGGAGATCAAGGTGGGCAGATAGCTTGAGCTGAGGAGTTCAAGACCAGCCTGGGTAACATGGTAAAATCCCATCTCTACAAAAGATATGAAAATTACCCAGGTGTGGTGGCACGCGCCTGTGGTCCCAGATACTCAGGAGGCTGAGGCTCAGGATCGCTTGGGCCCTGGAGGTTGAGACTGCAGTGAGCCATAATCGCGCCACTGCACTCCAACCTGGGTAACCCCCTGCTTTGGGGGAAAAAAATTTGGGAAAGGAAGAGAAACCCCCTGAAGGAGACCCAGAAGGTATAAGGGAGAGGCAGAGCAAAGGCATGAAAGAGTGGGGTCCCAGAGGCAGAGAATAGGTTTGAGGGAGTTTGGGGGAAGGAAATGGTTAACTACCACATGCAAAGGGGAGGTTAAGATAAGGACTGAAGGAGGGCCTGGGATTTTGCAATTACGAATGCAAGAACAACAGGGTAGAAGGATAGAGAGCCAGGATGCTGTGGAATTGGGTATGAATGGGGCAGTGAGCGGGTAAAGGCAGAAGAAGTCAATCAAATTTAGGAAACGTCTCAGAAAGAAGGACGTGGTACCGGCAATATTGAAAGGGTGTTGTGGTTTTCTGGCTTTATCGGGAAGGACATGAGCATATTTATGTGATGAGAGGAGGAAACAGTGGATGAGAGGTACAGAAATGAAGGGGAGGATAGAACCCTGGTCTGCCTCAAAGCAGAGGAAGGAAAGTTAAGCACTCAGGAACAACTCTTCCTCTGAGATGCAAAAAATGCAGTTGGAGATTGTAGATTTTGGGTAGGAAACTGGGGATGAATATTCATGTTCAACTTTTTGTATGGACACACGTTTTCATTTCTCTTGGATGCATATCTAGGAGTGTGAAATTGCTGGGTCATATGGTTACTCCATGTTTAACAATTGAGGATCTGTCAAACTGTTTTCCAAAGTGGCTGCACTGTTTTACATTCCTACCAGCAGTGTATTAGTTTCTAGTGTCTCCACATCTGGAAAACACTTGTCATCTGTCTTTTTATTATATCCATTCTAGTTGGTGTGAAGTGATATCTTATTGTGATTTTGATTTACATTTCTCTAATGGCTAGTGGTTTTGGTGTCTTTTCACATGCATGTTGGCCATTTGTATATCTTTGTAGAGAATTATGTATTCAAATCACGCACCCATTTTTAAACTGGGTTGTTTTTTTATTGTTTTTCTTTTGTTTTGGTAGAGAAAAGGCCTCACTCTGTTGGCCAGGCTGGAGTGCAGTGGCAAGTTCATAGCCTACTGCAGCCTCAAATTCCTAGGGCTCAAGGGATCCTCCTGCCTCAGTCTCCCAAGTAGCTAGGACTACAGGTGAGTGCCACCATGCCTGGCTAGTTAAGAAAAAAAATTTTTTTGTAGAGATGAGGTGTTGTTATGCCCAGGCTAGTCTCAAATTCCTGGACTCAAGCAATCCTCTTGCCTTGGCCTCCCAAAGCATTGGGACTACAGGTGTGAGCCACTGTGCCCAGCCTGTCTTTTTATTGTTGAATTATAAGTTCTTTATACATCTAGATACTAGTTCCTTATGAGATATATGATTTGTAAATACTTTCAGCCTGTGGAGTGTCTTTTCACTTTTTTCGATGGTGTTCTCTGAAGCCTAAAATTTTTAAATTTAGACGGAATCCATTTTATTTTATTTTATTTCATTTATTTTAAGGAGTCTCACTCTGTTGCTCACGCTGGAGTGCAATGGCATGATCTTGGCTCACTATAACTGTTGCCTCCCAGGTTCAAGCAATTCTCCTGCCTCTGCCTCCCGAGTAGCTGGGACTAGAGGCGCACACCACCACACTCAGCTAATTTTTGTATTTTTAGTATAGATGGGGTTTCACCATGTTGGCCAGGCTGGTCTTGAACTCCTGACCTCAGGTGATCCACCCACCTCAGCCTCCCAAAGTGCTGGGATTACAGGTGTGAGCCACTGCACCCAGCCTTTATTATTTTTTTTCAGTTGCTTGTACTTTGGTGTATCTAAGAAGGTTTTGCCTCATACAAGGTCATGAAGATTTATTCCTATGTTTTCTTCTAGGAGCTTTATAGTTTTAACTCTTACATTTGGGTCTATAATGTATTTTGAGTTAATTTTTGTGTGCAGTGTAAGAAAGGGGTCCTGCTTAATTCTTTTGCATGTGAATATCAGCTGTCCCAGGCCATTTGTTGAAAAAACAATACCTTCCCCATTAAATGGTCTAGGTACCTCTGTTGAAAATCAATTGGTCATAAATGTAAGGATTTATCTCTGGACTCTATTTTATTCCACTGGTCTATATGTCTATCTTTATACCAGTACCACACTGTCTTTATTTGTAGTAAGTTTTGAAATCAAAAAGTGTGAGTGCCCTTTGTTGTTCTTTTTCAAGATTGATTTGGCTATTTTGGGTCTCAAGCGTTTCCATGTGCTTTTCAGGATCAGCTTTCCAATTTTTGCAAAAACAGCAGTTGGACTTTTGAGAGGGGATATGTTGAATCTGGCGAGTATTGCCATCTTAACAATAAGTCTTCAGTTCCATGAACATGAAATACCTTTCTATGTATTTAGGTTACTAATTTCTTTCAACAATGTTTTGTAGTTTCCTTAGATTTCTTTCTTTTTTTTTTTTCCTGAGACGGAGGACAGAGTCTCACTCTGTTGCCCAGGCTGGAGTGCAGTGGCACGATCAACCTCCACCTCCCACGTTCAAGCTATTCTCGTGCCTCAGCCTCCCAAGTAGCTGGGACTATAAGTGTACACTGCCACGCCCAGCTTATTTTTGTATTTTTTGTAGAGACAGGGTTTTGCCATGTTGGCCAGACTGGTCTCGAACTCCTGACCTCAGGTGATCTGCCTGCCTCAGCCTCCCAAAGTGCTAGGATTACAGGCAGGAACCACTGCACCTGGCCTAGACTTCTTTTGTTGAATTCATTTCTAAGTATTTTATTTTTTGAAGTTATTATAAATGGAATTGTTTCGGCCAGGCGCAGTGGCTCACGCCTATAATCCCAGCACTTATTGGGAGGCTGAGGCGGGCGGATCACGAGGTCAGGAGATCAAGACCATCCTGGCTAACATGGTGAAACCCCGCCTCTACTAAAAATACAAAAAATTAGCCAGGCGTGGTGGCGGGCACCTGTAGTCCCAGCTACTCGGGAGGCCGAGGCAGGAGAATGGCATGAACCTGGGAGGTGGAGCTTGCAGTGAGCTGAGATAGCGCCACTGCACTCCAGCCTGGATGACAGTGCAAGACTCTGTCTCAAAAAATAAATAAAAATAAATAAATAAATAAATAAATAAATAAATGGAATTGTTTCCTTAATTTTATTTTCAATTGTTCATTGCTAGTGTATAGAAATACAATTGATTTGAATGTGTTGATCTTGTACCCTAATAACCTTGCTGAACTCGTTTATTCACCCTAACAGATTTTAGTGGACTCCTTAGGATTTTCTATTTACAAGATCATGTAGTCTACAAATAGAGATTGCTTTACTTTTCCTTTCCAATCTAGATGATTTTATTTATTCTTTTTGCCAAATTGCCCTAGCAAAGATATAAGAAATCCCATTTTGACTTGTACCCTGAACAATTGTTTTGCTCTGAGATGCTGTTAATCTGTAACTTTGCCCCAGCCACTTTGCCCCAACCTTGAGCTCACAAAAACATGTGTTGTATGGAATCCAGGTTTAAGGGATTTAGGGCTCTGCAGGATGTGCCTTGTTAACAAAATGTTTACAAGCAGTATGCTTGGTAAAATTCATCGCCATTCTCTAGTCTCGATAAACCACGGGCACAATGCATTGCGGAAAGCCGCAGGGACCTCTGCCCTGGAAAGCTGGGTATTGTCTAAGGTTTCTCTCCATGTGATAGTCTGAAATATGGCCTCGTGGGTGAGAAAGACCTGACCGTCCCCCAGCCCGACACCCGTAAAGGGTCTCTGCTGAGGTGGATTAGTAAAAGAGGAAAGCCTCTTGCAGTTGAGATAGAGGAAGGCCACTGTCTCCTGCCTGCCCCTGGGAACTGAATGTCTCGGTGTAAAGCCCGATTGTACATTTGTTCAGTTCTGAGATAGGAGAAAAACCACCCTATGGCGGGAGGCGAGACATGTTGGCAGCAATGCTGCTTTGTTATTCTTTACTCCACTGAGATGTTTGGGCGGAGAGAAACATAAATCTGGCCTACGTGCACATCCAGGCATAGTACCTCCCCTTGAACTTAATTATGACATAGATTCTTTAGCTCACATGTTTTTTTTCTGACCTTCTCTCTATTATCACCCTGTTCTCCTACCACATTCCTCTTGCTGAGATAATGAAAATAATAATCAATAAATACGGAGGGAACTCAGAGACTGGTGCCGGTGCAGGTCCTTGGTATGCTGAGCGCCAGTCCCCTGGGCCCGCTTTTCTTTCTCTATACTTTGTGTCTTATTTCTTTTCTCAGTCTCTCGTCCCACCTGATGAGATATACCCACAGGTGTGGAGGGGCAGGCCACCCCTTCACTACAAATATATATATAAACTTATATGATAAACCCAATGGCTAAGGGATAGGGCTTTGCAATAAATATTGGGAAACTTGGATAGCTGTTGGGGGAAAGCAGGTTAGATATTTACCTGAAATCATTCATCAAAATGGTTGCTAGCAGGATTTAAAGAGAATAAAAGAACAAACAAAAATCCAAACAACTTAAAAACTTGAAAAAATCCAAATGAATATTGTTGGACCTGTAAGTTTGGAAGAACTCAAGCTTAAAACAATGGAAAGAATTCAAAGATTTGATTATCTAATTTTATTTATTTATTTAGACAGGGCCTGAGCTCTGTCACTCAGGCTGGAGTGTAGTGGTGTGATAATGGCTCACTGAAGCCAGGACGTCCCGGGCTCAAGCAATCCTCCTGCCTCAGACCTACTCCAACCCCCTCAGTGGTCAGGACTACAGGCGTGCATTAGCACACCTAGCTAATTTAAAAATAATTTTTAAAAAGAGACAGGGTCTTGCTACGTTGTCCAGGCTGGTCTAGAACTCCTGGGCTCACAAGTAATCTTCTTGCCTCGGCCTCCCAAAGTGCTAGGGTTACAGGCATAAGCCATTGCACTCAGCCTACCTAATGTCTTATATCGAAAACATATCCAGGCTGGGAGCAGTGGCTAAAACCTGTAATCCCAACACTTTGGTAGTCTGAGGGGGGTGGATCACCTGAGGTCAGGAGTTTGAGACCAGCCTAACCAACATGGCAAAACCCTGTTTCTACTAAAAATACAAAAATCAGCCGGATGTGGTGGTGCACACTATAGTCCTAGCTACTGGGGAGGTTGAGGCAGGAGAATCGCTTGAACCCGAGAGGTGAAGGTTGCAGTGAGCTGAGATTGTGCCACTGCACTCCAGTCTGGGTGTCAGAGCAAGGCTCTGTCTCAAAAAAAAAATTAAATTAAATTAAAAAAAGAAAACCTGCAGTAAATATGAACAACAAAGTGTTACTATTCTTTTTCTTTTTTTTTTTTTTTTTGAGATGGAGTCTCGCTGTCTCCCAGGCTGGAGTGCAGTGGCACGATCTTGGCTCACTGCAAGCTCCGCCTTCCGGGTTCACACCATTCTCCTGCCTCAGCCTCCTGAGTAGCTGGGACTACAGGCGCCCGCCACCGCGCCCGGCTAATTTTTTCGTATTTTTAGTAGAGACAGGGTTTCACCGTATTAGCCAGGATGGTCTCGATCTCCTGACCTTGTGATCCGCCCACCTACGGCCTCCCAATGTGCTGGGATTACAGGCATAAGCCACCGTGCCCGGCCTTCTTTTTCTTTTTCTTTTGAGACAGGGCCTCATTCTGATGCCCAGGCTGAGGTGCAGTGACATGATCACAGTTTGTTGCAACCTCGACTTCCCAAGCTCAGGTGATCCTCCCACCTCAGTAGGCATGTGCCACCACACCCAGCTAATTTTTGTATTTTTTTTTTTAGAGATAGGGTTTCACCATGTTGGCCAGGCTGATCTCAAACTCCTGGACTCAAGCAATCCTGCCTCCTCAGCCCCTTAAAGTGCTGGGATTACAGGCATGAGTCACTGTGCCTGGCCATGTTACTATTCTTAACATATAAAGCATTTGTATAAATAATAAGAAATTAAGGCTTCAAAGAAAAACAAGCATAGAAAATAGGCAATTCAGAAAATAGACAATTCATTAAAGAAGGAAATACAAATGACTAATAACTGAAAAGAAGTTCAATCTCTCTGGCAATCAAAGAAATGCAAATGAAACAACAAGGAGGCAGAAGCTTTTGCCTTCAGCAAAGAGTTCTAAGATGATAATTCATGCTCATTACTGCTTAGGGTGTATTGAGATAGCTCTCATACTAACCCTATGAGGTAATTTCTTATTAGCAGGCCCATTTTACAGAGGTGGAAACAGACTCAGTAGGGTTCAGTAATTTGCCCATGCTTATACAGTTAGTAAGTGGTGGCACCAGGGCTTAGACCTGGGCATGTGGTTCTGCTATAAAGAGGGCCTGGAAAATAGCTGCAGGAAGGTGAGGTGAAGAACAGAGGGAAATGTAGCTGGAAGAGCAGGACAAATACATGTGAAGTGTCTACATGGAAAAGCAAATGGGCTTAGTGGTACTGAAGAGGGGGCAATGAGTGGAAGCTACACATAGGTGGATGCTTTTCAAGCAAGAACTGTCTCCAATGGACTAGAGAGGCCCAGGAAGGCAGTGAGGACACCCAGCCCTGGGGAGGCAGAGGAAACTGATGCTTTTGGGGTCTTCTTGTCTAACTCTTATGCAGGCTGCTGCAGGGAGTGGGGGGGATCTCATCTTATAGAGGAGGAAACACACCTTTAGATGGCCAAGACCTCAGTATCTGGTGTTTCTGCTCTTTTCTCAACCACAGACAGCTAGCAGACCTGGCTTTTCCTTCTAGGGCCAGGCAACGTGGGGTGGGAGCCCTGGCTGGTTTCGTTCCCCTCCTATAGCCAGCCACAGTCCAGAGCCAGCAGGAAGCTTGAGCTTGCCAATCTGTGAGGGCCAAGGCAGGAGGAAAGAGAGCCAGAGGGCAGGTGAGGCAGAGGAGCCATCTGAGTGCTCTCCACCTTTTCCCCTTTCCTGGTGCTTTGCTCCTCCTTGGCGGAGGAGGAGGGAGGGAGGAGGTAGGAGCAGTAACGTTGGAGAACAGGCAAACAGATGAAACAGACCCGCTGAAGGAGTGACACATTTATGTTAGTTGAAGTTTAGTGATGATATCGTCACTTGCAAAGTCCTTGAAGAATTCACTCTTAAAGTGGGAGGTTCATCCTGACTCTTGTAACCTTGGTTGCCTCAATCTTCGTCTGTAAAATGGGTATGAGAACACTTCCTTCTTTATTGACTTTAAATGGATCTAGTGCTTGGCTGACCAACAAGCTGGTGTGAGAGCAGAGTACCACAGCCAGTAGAGCCACTCAGTCTCTACAATTTTCCGGTTGGAGACTTGGGGAAAATCACCCAAGCTCTTCCTGCTTCTGTTTCCTCATCAGTGAAACCAAGGGTAGCACTTGCTTTAAATGGTTATCTTCAGGGTTAAACATGACTATGTGTGTGTGTGTGTGTGTGTGTGTAAGTATTATATGTATATACTTTTTCTTTAGTATACAGACTTATAGCCAAGAGTGATAATATATATAAAGTAATGGTAGAACCAGGACTCCAAAGCCCACAGATTTAATAATTATACTTTAGATGTCTCAAAAACCATAATGTATATAAAACAAACACATACAGTATAAAGACTAGAAAGAAACACAACAAATTATTAACAGTGTTTATTTATGGATGGTTGCGTTATGATTTATTTCCATTTTTTCTTTTTTTGAGAGAGAGTCTCACTCTGTTGCACAGGCTGGAGTGCAGTGGTGCGATGTTGGCTAACTGCAACCTCTGTCTCCCAGGTTCAAGTGATTCTTGTGCCTCAGCCTCCTGAGTAGCTGGGATTACAGGTGTGCCCCACCATGCCCTGCTAATTTTCATAGTTTCAGAAGAGACGGGGTTTCACTATGTTGGTCAGGCAGGTCTGGAACTCCTGACCTCAAGTGATCCATCCGCCTCGGCCTCCCAAAGTGCTGGGATTACAGGCATGAGCCACCAGGCCTGGCCCCATTTTTTATTTTTTTGAGACAAAGTCTCATTCTGTCGCCCAGGCTGGAGTGTAGCAGCACAATCTTGGCTCACTGCAACCTCTGCCTCCCAGGTTCAAGTGATCCTTGTGCCTCAGCCTCCCAAGTAGCTGGGACTACAGGTGCCCACCACCACGCCAGGGGAATTTTTTGTCTTTGTAGTAGAGGTGGGGTTTCACCATGTTGCCCAGGCTGGTCTTGAACTCCTGGCTTCAAGTGATCCACCAGCCTGGGCCTCCTAAAGTGCTGGGATTACAGGTGTGAGCCACTCCGCCTGGCTTGAGGTAAGAATCATTATCCCATTATCCAAATGGAGAAATAAGGCCAAGAGAGGTTAGAGAGTTGGCTTAAACTTCAGGTTTCATAGCTACTAAGAGGCAGATGGCCAATATCTGTAGGCAGATCTGGCTGTCTCTAAAGCTAGGTGCTATCGTCAGGGTTGCTGGACCATGGGGCTGGTGCCTAGGACTTCCCCACTCCAGTCTTCTGATGGAAGAGTTAAGGTGGGAGGCTGTGAGGACTGGGCCTGTGCTGGGTGTGCTATCATGGGTCTCCTCTGCCTACTCTACTGGTTTCCTAGGTTCATATTCCCAGTAGAGGACATGGCCTGGAAGGTGGACAGTTGAGGGGTACTGTGGAGTCTCCCTAAGAAGAAATACATGTTTCTCCTGTTGGGTATCCTATAGAGCACTGGTTCCCCACCTTTTTGACACCAGGGACCAAAATGTAAGTTTCCACAGACTGAGGGTGGCAGGGATGGTTTCAGGATGATTCAAGTGCATTACATTTACTGTGCACTTTATTTCTCTTATCATTACATTGTAATATATAATGAAGCAATTATATGACTCACCATAATGTAGAATCAGTGGGAGCCCTGACCTTGTTTTCCTGCAACCAGATGGTCCCATCTGGGGATGGGAGACAGTGACAGATCATCAGGCATTAGATTCTCATAAGGAGTATGCAACCTAGATCCCTCGCATGCACAGTTCACAATAGGGTTTGTGCTCCTAGGAGAATTTAATGCCACAGCTGATCTGACAGGAGGTGGAGCTCAGGCGGTAATGCGATAGGAAGCGGCTGTAAATACAGATGAAGTTTCACCAGCTAGCCCCTACCACCACTCACCTCCTACTGTGCAGCCCAGTTCCTAACAGGACATGGAGGGTTACCAGTCTGTGGCCCAAGGGTTGGGGACCCCTGCTATAGAGGAACTAAAAATAATAGCATAACTACACAAGATTGAGGGATGGAAGTGGGTGTGAGCCAGCTAAATCATTATCTATCATAGGAGGAAGGCAACAGACAGTGGCCAGTCCTGATAAATGCAGATGTAGCTATGTGAGCATCTTAATGTAGTGATGTGGAGGTAACCATCAGACCTGAAAACACCAGTGGCTTTAAGCAGCATCCCTGGATTGAAGGATGGAGAGGGAGTTCTTGCTTTTCATTGCAAGCCATTCTGTCCTATTTGATTTTTTTAAAAAAGCTGTGTGTATTATTTTTAAATTATTATTTTAAAAGTACAGGCTCTGAAAGTTAAAAAAAAAAAAAACGCTCTGGGGGCATCTAGTGGATTCACAACCCTCCCCCATCTGAGCTGACATTTTATCTTCTGGAAAATAGGGATAAAAGCCATACTCACCCCACAGAGTTGCTCTGAGGATAAAATGAGGTAATGCATATAAAAGCGCACTGACCAGAGTTGGCTGAAATTCAGCATCTATAATTACTAAACATCGTTATTATCAATAATAAACCAAGTATACGTTAATACTTAGGCCCTGGCACACAGTAGGCACTTAATAATGGGTGGAAGTAGTTATTTAACCCCCCACCAGGGCCTGTAATTTCCCCCAACCCGTGACACACTGGCCCCAAGGCTCCGAGTGAACACTTAAATATTGATGTGGTTACTCATTTATTCATCACTCGGCTCTCCGCCGCAGAGTCTGAGGAGGGTGAGCCCCGCTCTCGGGCCTCCCGCGCCGCCGCATGGCCGCATCCCGGCCCCCTGCGCCGGGAGAGATTGGAGGCGGCGGCAGCTCACCCGCTTCCAGGTCGCCGATGCGGGACCGTCACGTGGCGGGGCGGCAATCGCTCCAGTTTCACTCCGGCATTTTCCCCCGCAGGGGCGGACTGGAGGAGGGGAGAGCGCGGCCCGGGGTCAGGGGAGCGGCGGGGGTCCCCATCACCCCAAGTCCGCGCCAAGAGGCTGGCCATCCCAGGAACTGCGGGCCGGGACCCTTTTACGGAGAGGGCTTTCCGGAGCAGGGACTTTTAGAAGGAAGACGTGGGATTGGCCTGGAGGCGCAGAGCGGGTTTTTCGTACCTGGCCGCGGGTGTAGGGCTCCCCACAAGCGAGGCCGGGTTGCTTCGGGCGCCCCCAGCCAGGGGCGGGGCCACCGCGGGAACTCCGCCCACCCTCTGCAGAGGCCGCGCACCGCCCCTTCCCGCTCCGGGCTGGTCTGCGGCTGCCGGGGCGCGAGCTGCGTGCCCGCATCCCTGTCGCACCGCCTCGCCGGTTGGGGCGGCGGGCGCGGGGCGGGGCAGGGGGCGGGGCGCTGACGTCGCGGCGCGGCCCGCGGCCAGCGGCCCGGTGAGGCGGGGAGGCGGCGGCCGGTCGGCCCGGCCCAGCCCAGCCCGCAGCTGCGGCGGCGCTCAGAGTTGGTTCCTGACCGCCTTCTGCCGCGGCCGGGTTTGTCACCAGGTCCTGGGGTCTGCACCGGCTCGGCCAGACCTCGCCCCCCGCTTCTCCGCCATGGCCCTGGTGCGGGGCGCGGAGCCGGCGGCGGGGCCTTCCCGCTGGCTGCCCACGCACGTCCAGGTGACGGTGCTGCGGGCCCGCGGGCTGCGGGGCAAGAGCTCGGGAGCGGGCAGCACCAGCGACGCGTACACGGTGATCCAGGTGGGCCGCGAGAAGTACAGTACGTCGGTGGTGGAGAAGACGCACGGCTGCCCCGAGTGGCGTGAGGAGTGCTCCTTCGAGCTGCCGCCGGGGGCCCTGGATGGCCTGCTGCGGGCGCAGGAGGCCGACGCGGGCCCGGCGCCCTGGGCCGCGAGCTCCGCCGCCGCCTGCGAGCTGGTGCTCACCACCATGCACCGCTCGCTCATCGGCGTCGACAAGTTCCTGGGCCAGGCCACGGTGGCGCTGGACGAGGTCTTCGGCGCAGGCCGCGCCCAGCACACGCAGTGAGTAGGGGGCGCGGGGGCACAGAAACGGCTAAAGGCCTAACAGGGCGGGGCTGGTGGGGGATCAGGACCCCGAACTTCAGCCGGGCCAGTGAGCCCTTGCCTCGTGCTTAAGGGCGTAAACCGACAGAAACGTTGGTTCTTCGCATTTCGGGGTCGTCTTCAAGCTTCCCAAACGTGCGCTGTGTGGGGCTCAGCCACTGGTGGTCCCTGGGAGGCCTGGGGGAGGTTTAAGTGGTGGCGAACGTTAGGAGTAGATTGTCAAGTAAAGTTAGGAATGAGATTCAGAGGCTTTGGGGCTATGGAAACCTCAAGAAGGGAAATCTTGGGGCCGTTCTTAGAACCTCCGGGCCTGCCTCCCTTTCCTCAAAGGGGAGGGGAACTGCGGGCGCCTGTCCGGCAGGGGAGTGGAGAGGCGCAGCCTTGCCCTACGGGGGAAGGAAAGCCAGGTGTCTTCCTCCAGGGCGAGGTTGAATGTTGATTACCCCGCTAAACGTAGAAGCTGGCTGCAGGGGGCATCTGCCTCTTGCTCTCAAGATGCCCTCCACTATCTAGAGATGTCACCCCCCCACCCCCATCCTGTCCCTCTGTGTCCTGTGTCCCTGGTCTGAGGATAGGAGGAGCTTCTAAGTTAAGGAAGGAAACACTTGAGTCAGCCTTCCAGTGGCCTGCCTGCCTGCCCTGCCCTGCCTGAGGTAGAGGCAGCGGCATGGTTAATGAACAGCAGGAGATTATCTCCCGGTCACTTCCACCTCAGTGGGCCAGGGTTTTTTTAAATCATTTATTTTGGCAGCATTTAACCTTGCCTGTGTTAAGATCAAGGCTTCAGCCTTGGAGCCCCATTTCCTGTTTTGGGCTTGGGCAGGAGCTGGAAGCCAGTCCCCGGGGCTGACAGCCTGCTGTGGATCACTCAAGTGGTTAACTTGGGAGTGATCTGGGTAGGAGGGTAAGGGGATTGGGGCAGGACTGTGCCTTAGGTCAGGAGAGGTGCCGGAAAGGTTTGCCCCAGTGGAATGGCATCCACTGAGTGAATAAATCCAGGAAGGCTTGCTGGAGGAGGGGGATGAGCCTGGTGCAAACCCAAATGAAAGCAGGATTTAGGTAAAAAGGATCTGACCTTGAATGTTTTCTGAAACATGGGTGTGGAATGACTTTCCTGGCTGGCTCTCTGTGGTCTGGGATGGGGAGGGCGTTAGTGCAGGTTCCAGGCATGGCTGTGACCTGACTCCATTTCCCCATCCCCTGGCCTGCTCCCCGCCTTCCTTCATGACTTGCTGTTTGGTGGCAGGGTGTGGGATCATGTGGTATATAGCTTGGACCTTGTTTTTTTCCTCCTTTCTGTCCTCTCCCTCCTTCCTGGTTCCTGGAGCCCAAGGGGGTGGGTATATGGGGCGAAAAGCTCTCTCCTGGATCTCTTAGCCCATTCTTTTTCAGAAGAGGTGCCTATCCCCCAAATCATTCCACCCCTTCCCCCAGTCCTTCACCCTCCACCAATCAGCTACTCTGACCAGACTGTTAGATGACACATCTGTTCAGGGGGTGCTGGGGGAACAGGAGGAGGCAGACCAAAAAAAGGCTCCAGGCCTGCAGGGAGCAGCTTCTTTGATTGTTTTTTCCAGTTCCTGCCCTTGCTTTCCTCTTGGCCTCTGGATCTTCCTTAGCTGAGCTGGCCAAGCTTGTAGGTCCAGGTGGACCCATTTTCAGCCAAGAACAGCCTGTCTTGGAGAATTTGACTTACCACCCCTTGATCTGAATGGGAACCTTAATTTATTTTATAGAAATCATCTTTTCCACCAGGATCTTTCCACACCCACCTGGCTGTTTTCTCTGATGCAACAACCTGGTTTATTTATAGAACCGGGGGGGGAACAGGAGTGGGGAGGGTCACTTAGGATGGGCAGAGGAAAGTCTGTGAAGTTGGCCTGGTGCTCTAGTTTACTGGACCTAACAGCATGCCCACTGACAGAGGGGGAGGGCTGTCACCCCCGCTGTGGTCCCCACCTCTGGCTGTAGTGGTCATTCCTGGTGGTATTTCCTGGAGCACCCTGGTGTGGGCTACCAAGACTGAGTCTGAACGCTGCCTGGTAGGGAGAGGGCAAGGCAGAGAAGACCAGGGTGTACCCTCCTCAGCTTTGGATAATGGTGGAAATGAAAAGTATCCATTCTTTAACTCCAGGAGTTGGCTGTGGTGGTCTCAGGTAGGGCAGGTGGTGGCCCTTTGCCAAGAGAGGACCTGACTGGGGAAGGTACCCTTATGGTTAGGAAGGGGCTACAGAGTGGCACTGGACAGATCCCAGTCCCAAAACTGCCACCTGTGGCAAGTCATATAAACTCTTGGTGCCTCAGTTTTCACGTCTGTAAAATGGAGATAATTTATACCTTCATATGGTTGATGTGAGGGATGAAATGAAAATGCAGCTTAAGCACCTAGTACAGTCCCTGTACATGGTAGGTGGTCAGTGCAGAGCAGTGATGGTGAAGGGAGATTTTAGTAACAATGTCTGGAAGAGCTTCTTATGGGATGGGGGAGACAGTCTAGAACTTAGAGCCTAGGAAAGCCTTAGGACCATGGGTGACGGAGTACACAGAAGAGTACGAGAGTTCCCAACAAAATGAGCTGGCCCTTTGCAGCTCTCTGTATTCTATTTGCTGCAAGAGGCCCAAGAAATAGGGCTGGGCTTGAGAGGCCTCTGCAGTCCTGAAACCAGGCTCAGATAAGCCCGCAGCTCTGCAGCTCTCCTCCCTGGCAGCCCTGCCTGGAGCTGCCCCTGCCCTGTTGGGAAGGAAGGATGGCCCAGGGCTTAAAAACCTGGAGACTGGGATTTCACTCCCCGTTCTGTGACTTACCAGCAGACAGGTTACTTATCCCACTTCCTCACTTTGAAAAAGGTCATGATAATAATCATAGAGTTGTACAGATTAGATAAGACACCATCTGTAAAAGCCTTAATGTAGTTCTGGATACATAGAAGCTCTCAAAATATTAGCGTGGTGGTGACTCTGGGGCCCCATTTTGTGTGATGGTGGTGGCTGGGGTTGTAGGTGCTTCAGCAGCCTCCGAAGGTCTTGTGTGAGTGGGGCAGTCTTTGAAATGAGGAATTTCACCAGAGGCTTCCAAATAATTGAAGAGGATATTCTCAAAACAAAATGTAATGGTAGTACACAAGGAAACTAATGATCTCCCCACCCTCAGTAGAACTGTCCATGGATCGTCATGTTCCTGTTGGTCTGGAAATCCTGGATGCTTCTCTGCGATTTATTTTCTGGTTTTTATCTTCAACATCCTTTTTTTTTTCTTTTTTGAGACAGTGTCTCACTCTGTTGCCCAAGTTGGAGTGCAGTGGCAGAATCTGGGCTCACTTGCAATCTCTCCCTCCCAGGTTCAAGCGATTCTCCTGCCTCAGTCCCCTGAGTAGCTGGGATTACAGGCATGTGCCACCACACCCAGCTAATTTTTGTATTTTTAGTAGAGACTGGGTTTTGCCATGTTGGCCAGGCTGTTCTCAAACTCCTGACCTCAGGTGATCCACCTGTCTTGGCCTCCCAAAGTGCTGGGATTACAGGCATGAGCCACCACGCCTGGCCCAACGTCCTTCTTAGCACTCCCCAGTGGGTGTCCTGTGTTTGCCTCCCTAACTCCCAAGACAGGGATGGGATGTGGTGGTTAGTTAGTTTTCCTTGTTCCCTGTGGGGTCAGATGGGTCATTTGGACCTTTTTGGTCTTTATGCGATTGGTGTGGATCACACCCCCAGGGAATGGACCTGGATATATCAGAAGAGGGAAGGAAGGAAGCAGCAGCAAAGGTTTTGGAGTAAGAAGACAGGGCATCTGCCACAAGGCCATTTTGGTTGGGGAGACCTGGTCTTTGCCCCCTGGAATGCTGGTCTTTGTGTGTTTTAGGAGAGGAGGAGAGAGCACAACTGTGTTATATGGAGCCCCTGTCCACCTTCTCCCTCATCCTGATAAGGGTGAAATGGTCCCTGCGGTAAGGCCTGGAGTGTGGCAGACAGGATCGTCATCCTGGGCCTGTTGGATCAATGGTTAGAAGCTGGCCTCTTGGGAAAGCAAAGGCTGTGGGTTCAGCTTGGGTTGGGATCAGTTTGTCTTTTTTCATCACAAAGACTAAAACTGTTGTGACCATGAATTGTGGCCTGCAAGAGGCTCCGTTCAGCCCCTGCTTAGACTGTGCCACTTGGCAAGGGAGCTCGGAGAGCTGAGGCTGTGAAAGATGTAGGTCTGAGATGAGAGCCTTCTGCCTGGCTGGTCATGGTGTTCTGAGACCTCCTTAGGTGGGTGGGTTTGGGGGCACTGGGAGGCACCTGAGGGGACATGCATCCCATTAGCCTAAGGCTGGGATGGTCTTTGAGGGCTTCCATCTATCCCGTAGCCCACAGACAGCCTGGGCAGACAGTTGGTGGGCAGATGGTGCGTGACCCCACAGCCTTCTCTCTGTTGGCTTCTGGGTGTGACTCTGCCCCTCGGGAAACAGCTGTGGTCACTTGAGCCCCTGGCCTTGGCTCCTGCTCGGCCCCAGAGCTGGCATGGGAGGCCTGTGGCACTGCTGGGGAGGTCTACTCTGGCTGCAGAGGAAGGGTGTGGCTGCACTCAGAAGCCAGTCGTTGGTATGCCGAGGCTCCACGGCCCTTAGTTATGGGGTGGTTTTTATTTGGGGTTGCTTGAGCAGCAGCGTCTTGGGGTGTGGGGCGGGGTAGGAAGTGTGACTCCTCAGTCAGGCTGGGCAGCTCCTCCTCTCTGGCCTGGCAGCTTCCCCTGCCCTCCCCATCTGCCCCTGGCCCTGAGCCCTGGCTGGGACCAGGGAGTTTCAAGGGGCCTGTGGTCAGCCCCATCTCTGCCCCACCTGTCTCTCCTTGTAGGCAGCTGGCTGCAAGGCACAGCTCAGCAGAGCCACATCCCGGTGACCTTGAGGGCTGTCCTTCTCTGCTGGGAGCTGCCCGCCCCACTTGTCACTGCTGCCACCTCAGTGCTGTGACGCTCTTGTCTAAACCACTGGCCTGGCCTTGTCCAGATGTTCTCCTGCCCTTCTCACCCTACGCAGGGACAGATGATGAATACAAGAACAGAAGCTGTTGTGGCTCTGCTCCAGGGGAAGCAGTCCTCTTTTTCTTTCCTTTGCAAAATAGTGTAGCCATGAAGCAGTTTTGTTCTTCCCCACAGCCAAGTAATAAAAATGAGTCCACATGTGAGTCTGCTGTGCACCTGGCAGTCCCTTCAGGGAAGAGTCTGATCACAGTGCCCTTACTGAGCTGGCCTGAGGTTATTTCTACCTTGGGAACAATGGTGGCCAGAGAGGAGAGGGACTTGGCTGGCCACATGAGGCCTCTGTATGGAGCTGGGCCCCGGCCTCTCAGGAGCAGTAAGTGGGGCCTCCCAAAACGGGGCTCCCAGGGGCAGCCAGCACCTCCGAGAAGCTGCAGGGTGGGGAGGGGGTATCACAGGCCACTGTGACCTTTGGTTCACCTGGTAGTGGAGAAGGGAGCACAGCCCTTACTCATGGGACTCCAGCATGGGAGCTGGAAGAGAGCTCAGACAAGGAAACTGGGGTTTGCAGAGGGAGAGCTGCACACTCTCACTACCCAGCACTTAGTGGAGGGTGTGCTCTGTGTGGTTTCCATTAGACCCGGGCAGCCCACAGAGCTGTAGGATTTGGGGTAAAGAAGAGGTGGCATTTGGAGCCCTGTGTGCACCCCGGAGTTTCTGTGGAAGTGCCTGCCAGGTTTTAGTGAGATGGGGACATTGGGCTTCTCTGCTGACCTGGAAGGGTAGTCCAATCCAAAGGCAGTTCTAGAGGCCTGAAAGGCCAAGAGTGGGCCACTGGTGGGGGAGAGATTCCAAAGGGGGGGAAGCCTGGATATCTCCCTACATTTGGAGGAAGCCCTATAGCCAAGTGCTGTGTTTTGGGGCCTAGACAGGGAGCCCTGGAGATGTTCGGAGCAGACAGAGCCACTGGCGCTGGCTGTGGTCTCCTCCTCTGTGAGGAGGGGACATACACCAGAGACCTGTCGGCCATCATGGAACCCATCTGCCTCCCCAGCCTTCTCTGAATCCCCACATCTGGAGCATGTGGCACCTGTTTTGGTGCATTATTTTCATTGCCTCGTTGGTCTAGTGCATTGCTGATGAAGGCCTATCTGGGTGCTGGCACTGTCTTAAGGTCTGGACTTCCATTTGTCCACAGCAAGCCCTTGAGGTGTAGGTGCTGTTTAACAGCTGAGGAAACCTTGGCACGGAGAGGTAAAGTGACTTTGCTTTTTCTTTCTTTTTTTTGAGGGGGTGGGGTCAGGGTCTGGCTCCATCACTGAGGCTGGCATGCAGTGGTGCCATCATAGCTCACTGCAGCCATGAACTCTCAAGTGATCCTCTTGCCTCAGCTTCCCAAAGTGCTGAGATTATAGGCATGAGTCACTGGACTTGACCACAGCACATGGCACAAAGTCAGGATGTGAACCCAGGCAGTCTGGCTTCCCAGTCTATGCTCTTGGCCACCACACCACACTGCCCACCTCAGTCTTCCCCCATGTCTTCCATGACCCTGCTCTGCACAGGGCCAGGTGCTCAGCTGCTGCCTGCCAAGGCTTCCTCTCTTCTCCTTGACATGGATCTCGGGGGTTAATCTGGTGCTCTGTAGGCATGACCTGCTTCTCCTGGGTGAGTCCTTGGTTTATTGGGATAAGCACATTTGGTCTGCAGCTCTAGCCTTATGTCTGTCCCAGAGGCTGGGGGATGTTGTCTCATACTTTGGGAGGGAGTCACTGCCACCAGATACCTCTCGGGAGTGGAGTGAGGGCTGGGTGTGGTGGCTCATGCCTGTAATCCCAGCACTTTGGGAGGCCGCGTCAGGAGGATCACTGGAGGCCAAGAGTTCAAGAGCAACCTAGGCAACATAGCAAGACTCCATTTCTACAAAAATACAAAAAATTAGCTGGGCATGGTGGTGCACACCAGTAGTCCCAGCTACTCAGGAGGCTGAGGTGGGAGGATCACTTGAGCCCGGGAGTTCAAGGCTGCGATTAGCAATGATTGCCCCACTGCACTCCAGCCTGGGTGACAGAGCAAGATCCTGTCTCAAAAAATAAAAATAAAAAAAGGAGTGGAGTGAGGCCTGAGAAGGTCAGCCTCACTTTCCACCAGGGCACTTTCCACCCTGGGGAGATTTGCTCCTTTCAAGCAGGGCTTGGGGGCATCAGCACATACCAGACTCCGTAATCCTTCCCAAGACGTCACATGCTGGTTTTACTGTGACAGAACACTCCAAGCCATCCTGTTCTTCCTCCTGCAGCAATACAGTCATTTGCTATTTTTTCCCTTCTGTTTCACAACATCCAGGAAGCAATTACTGGACAACCATTGTAACCACTGTGCCTAGGTCAGTGCTGTGGGGGAAACCAGGGAAATAAAGTGGATAGCCCTTTCTCCAGAAGGGCTAAAATATGTTTGAGATAAGCCTAACGCAGCAAGGACAATTCCTCTACAAAGCAGCATATAAAAAGCGTGAGAGAATGAGGGGGTCAGGAGAAGAGGGAGCTCACCAGTTGGAGTGATCAGGGTGGGCTTCTTGGGAGAGGTGAGGCCTTGAATAACAGGTGAGACCTGATTAGAGGCAGGGTGAGTTGGAGGCAGGGAAACTGTGAGTGTGGTGGGACTGGGCCAGGAGAGGGAGTGAGGGGAGCCAAGCTTAGTTCCCTGTGTGCCACTCTCAGCAAAACAGCAGGACTTTCTTTACTTCCTATTTAGTTTTGTTTTGTTTTGTTTTGTTTTTTGAGACAGAGTCTTGCTGTGTTGCCCAGGCTGGAGTGCAATGGTGTGATCTTGGCTCACTACAGCCTCCGCCTCCCAGGTTCAAGTGATTCTCCTGCCTCAGCCTACCGAGCAGCTGGGACTACAGGTGCGTGCCACCACGCCCAGCTAATTTTTGTATTTTTAGTAGAGACCATGTTGGCCAGGCTGGTCTCGAACTCCTGACCTCAAGTGATCTGCCTGCCTCAGCCTCCCAAAGTGCTGGGATTACAGGTGTGAGCCACCACACCTGGCCCCTATTTACTTTTGAGTAGTTCACCTGGTCCAAATTCTAAAGGTACAGAAGGGCACATAATGAAAAAAATTTCCCTTGACCCACCTTAAGTCACCTAGCTCCTCTCTTCAGAGACATCCAACATTACCAGTTCTTGTGTAACCTTCCAAAGGTGTTTTCTGCATTTAAAGGCAAATGCGTTGTGTTTTTTCTTCCCTCCCTCCTTGTTCCCAAATGCAACGTTCTCACCACACAGTTCTGTACTTCCCATGAGCCTGGCAGGGAAGTTATTGTTTGTTTCCCCCTGTTGTGGGGTCTGAACTGAGACCTTGGCAGAGGGGACCATCGCCACTTGGTTTTGTCTTCCTCAACCTGAGTCTCCTGGTCAGGGTGAATATGGGGTTAGGAGCACACTGGGGAGGGGGATGGGTTAAGTGGAATTTCTTTATTTTTCCACCTGCCAGAGATCCCCTGAGAGAGGTCATCTTGCGGGTTCTCTCCTTCCTCCTGGGCAGGGTTGTTGCTTTTTGGTCCTGGGCCACCTCACTTATATGGGGCTGATGATGGCCTGTAAAAGGCCTTTGATAGACAATAAACCCACATCTTTCTGTGTGGTTTGGCCTACTTTTAAGGGTGCCTTCCCAGTATCACCTCATTTCATTCTTCCCTGAGGGCAGACAGGGGGATCACCATTTTTGCGAATATGGAGACTGGGGTCTCAGGAGGTGGAATGACCTGTCCAAGGTCACACAACTCTTTAGTGGCAGCCAGATTTCTGATGTCTAAGCCTGATGCTTTTCTCCCTACACTGTGCTATCAACCCTACATCTTTTCTGTTGCTCTCTGTGGTTTGACTTGTCTCCAGCCATTTTTGCAGCTTTTCCTTGTGCTGGGTGAGCTGACAGTGACAGACCTTTGGAGCCTACAGCATTAGGATGAGGATTAAAAGTGCTTGTGCCCAGGAGGGAGGGAGGCTGGACCTGGCTGGGGTCTGAGGAGGGATGAGTGAGCTGTCCCCACAGAGGCAGGGGGAACTCATGAATGAGGACCTGGGCTCCCTCCAAAGGTTGCTGGTGCCAGGCATGGTGCCAGAGGAGGTGATAAGAATCATCTTCTGGCCTGATAAGAGGCTGTATCCTGTCCTGCAATTATGTCTGGCTTGCAGTTTTACTGTAGATACCAAATCAAAAGATGGGGTAGGCGGTGGATGCGGGGAGACAGCAGGGGTTGGCTTGAGGCCCACACAGCTCCTGTGTGCCAGTGTGTGAGGCAGGCTGCTGTGGTGGGCACTTGGAGAGGAGAGGAGGCATCAGGGTGGAGGAGGCTCTAGGGAAAAGGGTTTTCCAACTGTGTCACCATACTCTGAATATAATAGTTCTAGTTTCACTTTACCTTGTCTTTAACTGCATGATTTTATCACCCTCATTTTACAGAGGTGAAATGGCTGCTTCAAGCCACTTAGTAAGGCAGAGCCAGGACTAGAACCTAGGTCTCCCATCTTCCAGTCCACTGGGGTTCTCACACAAGGCCCTTAAAATCATTGTTTTTCCAACTTGTTTCTGAGACAAAAGCTGAGCCCTGCCAGTTCCATGTCATTTACCTGGCAGGTGTTAGAAGATGTTCTGCATCTCGGGTCCCTTCTCAGGTGGTGAGGGATAAGAGGTCAATAACTGTCCCTGCTGCCAACAGTAGTGAGAGATCAGAGTGGAGTGGCTCTGCCATAGTGCTGCCGCAGGGGGCGAAAAAGGGGTGCTCCCAGGGGCCCCCCTGGCTCTCCTACCTTCCCCATTGTTCCTGTCCTAGTTCAGGCTTAAAAAAAAATTTTTTTAACCTCTGCTCTGGGCTGTTACCTTAGCTGCTGCTGCCTTTTTATAAACCAGAGTGCCAGTTTATTAATTAATGGTGAGAAATAACTGCTAAGGCATTAGGAGTTGCTCAGGTCAGCCTGGCCATGGGAACTACCCTGGGCTGTGACTGCCCCTTGCTGGTCTCCTGCCTCACCTCTCTGCTGTCCCTCCCTCTTCCTGCAGCATAGTGTCAGTCCTGTCCTTGTGTTGTACCCTGTCGTGCATTTCAGGGCCCAGAATACAATTATGGCTCCTTAGTGTGACATTAGGGGTAGTCTCCTTCTCCTGCCTGCACTTCTGCAGTCTGCATATCCTGTCCCTCGCAACTGGAATGTCTCCCTACCCCCTCCTCGCCTCTTTCCCACCCATTGTTCAGAGCCCAATATAAATGCCACATCCCGCACCCTCATCCTGAAATCAAACCCCTCCCCTTGAGCCTTCCCGTGTGCTTCATTTGTGCATTTTTGTGGTGTCAGTCACCATCTTCCGTTAGCTATGTGGCTGTCTTCTCCACCAAGGCATAAGCTCTTCAAAGACACCTCCGTTCTTGTTCCTGGCAAATACTTGGGGAACATTGGAGCAGAGGCCTGGCTGAGGCCTCCTCTGGTTGGGTGGGATCTCGCCGACTCATGCCCTGTGCCTTTAAGGGGTGGTGGGTGTCAGGCTGGTTGTCAGGATGTCAGGATCCCATGCGGGGCTGTCAGCCCCTGTGCGGTGGTGAGCGGGTGGGCTGATGAGTTCACAGGTGTTCACAGGGGTGTTGGTAAGCACAGGGGCTGAGGGAGGAGAGCAGGGGTGGGGCTCAGTCTTAGGACAAGGAGGGAAAGCCTGTGTCCTGGCCCAAGACACGCTCTGACCTCCGCAGGAGTCTAATGTCAATCCACCATCAGTCCCAGGTGGGAGCAGGAGTGTCAGTACACCCTAAATGCTTCAGTATGCCTCTCCAGCCCACTCCAACAGATTTGGGTGCCTTTAGAAAAAACATAACCTTAATGCCATCCTCACACAAAATCAACAATTCCTTAATAATCATCTAATATCCAGCCCACATTCAAGTTGTCTTGATATCTAAAATGCCTCTTCGTAGGTGATTTGTTGAGTTAGGATCCAAATAGGCACCTGGCTGTTATGTCTCCTCATGACATGTCTCCCCTTTGGAAGTTCCCGCCCCTCCGTTTCATGCTATCACCTGGTGAGGAACCAGGCCATTTGTCCTCAAGACTGTCACACATTGTAGCCCTGGCCAGTTGGTTCCTCGTGATGGCCTGCACCCTGATTCTCCACCCCTGGACACTAGGTTCCCTGGCAAGAGTCCTTCCCAGGGGCTGGCCAAGCCTTGCCTCACCTGGGGAGGCCCACCTGCCTGCAGTCCACCCTCAGCGAAGCCCTGATGGGTGGTTAGCCCCCCAGCATTCCAAATCCCCCCCACCCCACCACCAACCTTTCTCCCAGAGGTTTTAATATCCATTGATGATTATCTCTCCAGGTCTGAATTTCTTCTATACCAGCAGGAAGCCCAGCATAAGGACGAGCTTTCTCTCTCACTGTTTGGTCACTGGGGCAGGAATTGCAGGCTGGCGTAGGTTGCAGTGAGCTGAGATTGTGCCACTGCACTCCAGCCTGGGCAACAGAACGAGACTCCGTCTCAAAACAAAAAAAAACAAAAAAACAAAAAAACACAACCAAAAAAAACCTGTTGGGAATGGCAGGAGTGACAATTCTTGGCCATTATTTTTCAGTCTGGGGCCGGGCATGGTGGCTCAGACCTGTAATCCCAGCACTTTGGGAAGCCGAGGCAGATGGATCACTTGAGGTCAGGAGTTCAAGACCAGCCTGGCCAACATGGTGAAACCCCATCTCTACTGGAAATACAAAAATTAGCTGGGTGTGGTAGCACATGCCTTTAATCCCAGCTACTCAGGAGGCTGAGGCATAAGAATTGCTTGAACCTGGAAGGCGGAGATTGCAGTGAGCTGAGATTGTACCACTGCACTCCAGCCTAGATGACAGAGCGAGACTCCATCTCAAAAAAAAAAAAAAAAAACCACAACCAAAAAAACCCGTTATTTTTCAGTTTGGTGATGACTTTCACATTAAATATATGCCCTGCCCATGGTGCTGTCCATGATACCAGTCATTGAAGGCTGCAGGCCTTTTGTGGGCACATGATTTCATCTATACAGTGTCACTTGAAACGGCATATCACTGTCCCGCGGTAGAAATCCGGGGCAGGGAGTATTATGATCAGTGTTTTGTTTTCCTCCCTATCACCTGATTTTTGAGTAGCATGCCTGTCTAGAGGATTCCTCTGGAGCCCCAGAGTCTCCCGTTTGTACTAGCTCTAAGGGAAGCTAGGTGAGGGGAGTGAGGCTGGGAAAGGAGGCCTGGATCAGTATTTCTTCCTCTTCACATTGGTGCCCTGCTTTCGCTTTTAGAAGACTCTCCCACCCAGTATTTTGGGGCAGCTCAATTGTCTTGACTAAGTTAATCTTGACTTCATTTGCCTTGGGGATGGGGCTTGATTCCTACAACAGTCAGCTTTGCAGGCTCCTTGTCCCCAGGGTGGTAGTAGCTGTTCACCAGCTGAGGTAAGGCCTGTCTTTGGAAGAGGTTGGGGCAGTGGCTGCAGCCAGAAGGAAGAAGCTGCAGACCTGCTGGGTTGCAACCATAGCAGGTGAGGCTCAGGTGGGGACCAGCCCAGGGAAACTGGGGACTGTGATGTTGGGGGCATGATCAAAACAAGCTCCAGAGTAGCTTGCTCCCAGCTAGCAGGTGCATGTGGCTGTTTTTGTTTCTCTGGAGTCACCTTTCATCAGCATGCAAGGATTTGAGGGTCAGCCTGAGCACTGTGGCGTGACGCTGGGGAATCTGAGGGCCTTCGGCCAGCTTCTTGCCCTTCACCAGGCCCCCTGTTCCCTTAGCTGGGTGGGAAATGGGAGCAGCACCCATCCTCTGCTTGGAGCTCTCAGCCTGGATGCCATGCAGCGGGCAGGGAGGGGAGGACCTGGCCTTCTGCTGAGTTTGCTCCCTCCCCACTCTAAAGCAGGTTTTCTCAGCCCTTTTGGTGCCATGGACTCCTCAGAATGTCTTTAAATATACAGCATTGCAAAGTACACCAATGGTGTTGAAGTATAGTTCTCAATATAAAAGCCAGCACTTTGGGAGGCCGAGGTGGGCAGATCACCTGAGGTCAGGAGTTTGAAACCAGCCTGACCAACATGGTGAAACCACGTCTCTACTAAAAATACAAAAAATTGCTGGGCATGGCGGCAGGGGCCTGTAAGCCCAGCTACTTGGGAGGCTGAGACAGGAGAATTGCTTGAACTCAGGAGGCAGAGGTTTCAGTGAGCCGAGACTGTGCCATTGCACTCCAGCCTGGACAACAAGAGCAAAACTCTGTCTCAAAAAAAAAAAAAAAGAAAAAAGAAAAAAAAAACAAAAAAGCATTTACTAAAGAAACATAAGTGCTTTATTACTGTATTAAATAATGAGATCTACAGGAGGTCTAATGACTTTACAATTCAAAGTGGTGATGAGTATAAATATTTGTGACATCCGTAACAGCTAAAATGTGATAGGAAAATAATCCGATTTCTCTTGGTGACAAGCGTATAGGTACTACTTCTGTACTACTGTTGCAAAAATTCATAGTGGGAAGACATGCTAAATTTTGTTAGAGATTAGGGGAAATAAAGATGTGATTTTTCCTCCCATCTAACACATACCCCCTGCTCTAGAGAAATAGGGGGGTGACTTTATTCTGGATTCCTTGGTTGGGCAGAGACATGGGGGTTCCTGGATGCGGGGGTGAGTGTGTGTTGTACTTGCAGAGGGAGGCAGCATAGTATAGTGGTCAAGGTCGGGGGCTCTGGAGGCAGGGAGCCTGAGTTCCAGTTCTGGCTCTCCTGCTTACTGTGTGACTGGACCCAGTGCACGTCTCCTTACCTCAGTGCTCACACCTGCTGAATGTGAGAGCCGATGCTCGTGTGCGTTTCCCGTGTGCCGGGCCCTGTTCTGAGCGCTCCACGCATAGGCCATTGAATCCTCATGCAAGTTGAAGATCCCGTATTCCAAATGCTTGGGACGGAAGTGTTTTGGAGTTTGGATTTTGGAATATTTGTATTATCTGGCCAGTTGAGCATCCCTGATATAAAAATCCAAAATGCTCCAGTGACCATTTCTTTTGAGCATCATATTGGTGCTCAGAAAGTTTTGGAGCATTTCAGATTTCAGATTTTTGGGTTGGGTAACTCAGCCTGTTGTCTTGTGAGGAGAGGGTAGGCTGCTACCATCATTTTATAGATAGGTGAGGAAACAGGCATAGATATGAGGTCACACAGCCAGCACGTGGTGGGCTGGGGCTTAACCAGGCAGCCTGGCACCGAAGTCCATGCTCTTAGCCACTTCCAGAGTCTGCCTCCCATATCAACCTCACAGGGTTGTTAAGAGGATTGAGTAAGATGTAATTCCATGTGTTCAGTGCTTAGTATTGTGCCAGCACACAGTAGGTGCTAACTGAGTGATTGTAGTTGGTAATGGGGATAAGATCAGTGGCCTTTTTGGGCCAAGAGATGGGCTGGAGTTGGGTCAACAGTGACTCCTCTGTTCACAAAGCTGGATGCGTCCCACATCTGGTTGGGCATCTTCTCTCCCAGGGAAGTTAGTGAGATTCTTAGTTCAGTTGGGGGCTGAGGAAGTGTCTCACAATTAAAGAAGGTCTCATTCTGGAAACCTCCCTTTAAGCCTGACATCTCTGGCTCCTGCCCTCCAAAGGCTCCTGTTTGGCAGGTGGGGTGGGGATCCTCTTTGCTCTTTGGGAGCTCCAGCTCTCACAAGTAAGACCCATGGGTTTGTAGCAGTAGAAAACCATAGAGCAGTTGTGAAGGGGGCCCACGTTAGTCACAGAATAATTTGTTGGCTCATTGAGCAAATATTTGAGTGTCCACTGTTAAGTGTTGGGGGTACAGAGATGAACAGAATAATGCACTTGACTGTTGAGCAAGGGAAGACAGATGCTAACAAGCCTTGAACATGTGCAGCATTTTGTCATGTTGATGTGCACATGGGGACACATGCGTGTGCACACACCAGTGCCAGCTTGTGATCAGTATGATGATGAAAGAGGGTGAGGGGGGCCGGGCGTGGTGGCTCACGCCTGTAATCTCAGCACTTTGGGAGGCCGAGGCGGGTGGATCACCTGAGGTCGGGAATTCGAGACCAGTGTGACCAACATGGAAAAACCCCGTCTCTACTAAAAATACAAAATTAGCCAGGCGGGGTGGCACATGCCTGTAATCCCAGCTACTCAGGTGGCTGAGGCAGGAGAATCGCTTGGACCTGGGGGTGGAGGTTGCAGTGAGCTGAGATCGAGCCATTGCGCTCCAGCCTGGGCAACAAGAGTGAAACCCCATCTCAAAATAAAATAAAAACATAAAGAGGGTGAGGGGTGGTTGCAGTTGGGGTACTCAGGGAAGACTGAGGAGGCTTGGATGAACAGAGCCCTAACTCGAATGAGTGAGTGAACCATGGCCAGAAGGTCTGGCCTGTGTCTCAGGCAGAGAGAGCAGCACGTATAGTGGCCTTGAGGTGGGAACACACCTGATGGGTTCAGGGACACCAGGAGAATCACTGTGGCCCAAGTGGAATGAGAGATGCAGAGGAGCCAAGCCCCAAAAGGTGCTGAGTGAGGGAGAGCGGGGCGTGCTGAGCTCCCACTTCACGTCTTTGCTGGGTGGAATGTGGACGTCAGGTAAACAGGGAAATCTAATGTCCATCAGGGAGGTGGTGGTGGATGGGACTATGGGGTGACAGTGGTGAGAGAGTGAGTTCTGGAGATAATTGCAGGTAGAGTTCACAGAGTTTGAAGTTTAGATGTAGGGAGTGAGGGAAAAGAAGAGACAAATCTGGTTTCTAGGTTGTTTGGAGTCTGGAATAAATGATGAGTGGGGGCTCAGAAAGGGGCATTGTTATTTGGGTCTGAATTTTAGACTGATAAGAATTGGGGGTGAGTTAGATGTGTCCAGGCCTGCTGCTGCAGCTACCCATAGCCCCCACACCCCTGTCTGTCTCTGACTGGAGTTCCCTGGCACTTGCATGGGTATGTGTGACAGCTGCCCCAGGTCAGCTCTCCCCTGAGTGCAGGACCTCCCCAGTTATGCTGGATGGCATTGGTTAGCCCAGCTTCATTTTCTGAGAACTAGGTGGAGAGCTGGTTATGAGGGCCTGGGGACCCCACCAGCAGGAGTAACTAGGGCTGTAATCTTGGTGACAGGTGAGCAGACTTGCTCCTCTCCACCCCTTCCATCCACTTTGTCCTCTGCTTTGGTGGTGGGTGGGGGGAGGCTGAGGGCCGAGACCCAAGTCCACACGGGGCCTGGTGAACTTTGTCAGGCAGAGAGAGCTTGGGAGAGGTGTTCTAGCTTAGCAGGGGGCCCTGTAAGAGCTTCCTTGTGGTCCCAGCCTCTCAGGAATTCTGGACCCTGATGGCTTCTGAGGGAGGCTGGGCTGCTCTCGGACAAGGTTTTGAGGGGCTAAGGACAGGACAAAACCCTGAGGTCCCCTCAGTGGCATCTCAGGGCTCTGTGCTCTGGGATTGTGCCAACCTTTTGAAAGGGGGTCTGGTCTTCAGGGTCTGTGATGTGTAGCCAGGCCTTTACTGGCCTCTGTCTTCTCAGGGTACTCAGGGCAGGAGTATATGCATTCTGCTTTTCTGAAAGTTGCTAAACCTTAAAGGTTAAGGACATGGGCTTGGAGGCTGGCATTTTCATGTTCAAGTTCCAGCTCCATTACTTACTAGCTGTGTGGCCCTGGGCAACTTACAAACCATCTCCACAACTTAGTTTCCTCATCTGTAAAATGGGCCTCCCATCTCCTGGGCTGGTTGCATGGATAATAAAAGAGCTGCAGAGCCAGGCACACAGTGAGCCCTCAGCAGGGTCAGCTCTGGCCATTCTCTAGCCCCCTCATGTGCAGCCCTCTGCTCAGGTGTGGCCTCTGGGCCAGCAGCAGCATGGGTAGCTGGGAGCTCTCTCAGGTCCACCTACACTTTGGGTATCAGAATACACATTTTAACAAGATCCAGTGATTTTTTTTTGCACTTTGCAGTTTGAGAAGCACTGATGTGTGTCTTCTGAAGAGCAGCATCAGTAGCTGCGTGTGCCTCTTCAGGTGCAAGGAATTTTCTCTTACTGTGCCTTTTCTTACTGTGTCCATCATGTCCTGGCTGCAGAGGCACCTGGGACAAGTCCCAGATAATCACCATCTTCATCAAAACCCTTGTGTCCTGAGCATGTGCTGGCTGGGCCTTGGAGAGTTCAAGTGCCCCAGATGGTGCCCCTGACAGAGAGATGAAGTCAAGGTGGGTGCTTTGCAGGTGGAGCAGCTTAGTTCCTGCAGTGAAGGATGTGCCAGTTAGTGATATATGTGCTGCAGGCAGCCCGGACTCTGAGCACCAGGTGGGTGTCAGGGGAATTGTATGGGGGCAGAATCACTGTCCTTCCTCCTGGTTTGGTGAGAGTGTTGTTTCTCCAGTGGTTTCTGATCTAGGAGGCCTAATTCATCTTAACACTCTTAATTTCTAGAAAGTGCTTAATGCTGCCTGCTCCTCCCCAGTGTGTTCCTTTGGTAACTTACCCCCTCCTGGGGGAGGGATGAGTATTTCTAGGGTCAGTCCTCTCAGAAGCAGCGTGTCCTCGGGACTTGGGAAGGCAAGCCTTACTGGGCAGGAGAAAGACACAGGTTTCTCCTGGGTACCGATTGAGTGTCCTTAAGGACAAGCCCAGGTGGAGAGCCCAGGTGGCCGCTGACCTTAAAGTGATGTAAAGCGTTAGGGACCATCCTTGTGGTTCCCACATGGGGTCTGGGTGAATTCACTCACCTGTGGGGCCCCACCCCCAAACCCACTGAGAAATATAGATAACCAGGCCGGGACCTTCTAGTTCAGTAAGTCTGGGTGGCGTCTTGGGTGGATTTATATCTGTATATAAATCCTGCACCGATGCATAGCAGGTTTGGGTGCTACAGCTGTGGAGCTGTGAAAATGAGAGCTGTCTTGTGAGCCATTGTCTAGATGAATGTTGGGGCCTTGGTCACACCCTGATTGATTTTGGCCATGTCTCTGCCCTGGATGAAAGTGACAGGTCAGGCCTCAGCTTGGGCTTTGGAGTTCCTAAGCCCAGTGCCCCAGTCAGCTAGGCCTGGTGAAGGGCACAGAGAGGGAGAAAAAACCTTGATCAGGTAGGGAGGAAGGAACAGTAGCAGAATCTCCAAAACTGGAGACCAGGGCCTATCTCTTGCACAGCCAGACTTGGGAAGTTGAGGTTGGATTTTTTTTTTTTTTTTTTTTTTTTTGAGACAAAGTCTCACTCTGTTGCCCAGGCTGGAGTGCAGTGATATAATCTTGGCTCACTGCAACTTCCGCTTCCCAGGTTCAAGTGATTCTCATGCCTCAGCTTCCCGAGCAGCTCAGATTACAAACGTGTGCCACCACACCCAGCTAATTATTGTATTTTTAGTAGACACGGGGTTTCGCCATGTTGGCCAGGCAGGTCTCAAACTCCTGGCCTCAAGTGATCTGCCCGCCTTGGCCTCCCAAAGTGCTGGGATTGCAGGCATGAGCCACCATGCGCGTCCGAGGTTGAATATTTATTAAAGGATCTGGCACGTTCCCTTGAAGGCTAGGCAGAGCGATCGGCGTCAGGGATTCAAGAGCAGGAGTCCTAAGAGCTCACGGTCGTGGGAGAGAGTGAGAGGATAAGCTGGTTTTGCCAACCAGGCTTGGCGTGCCTTAGCCTCCCAACAGCCAAGAGGATGGTTGTCCCCACCTGAGGGCCAAGGAAGCGGAGGCTGAGGGAGGTGACCTGGTCAGTGGGGGACCCAGCACTCACCACCATGCCCTGCTGTCAGGCGCATCCAGATGAGAGCTGAGAGAGGGCCCTGCAGGGTTGTAACAGCTCCAGACTGTGCATGCATGATTTCTTTACTTTGGAGCTGTGTGCCCCAGGGGATACTCAGTCAATATCCACAAGAAACACAGTCCAGCAAGGGAGACCTTGGGTGCCCAGGACATGACAACACCAGGGGGTCCTGGGGCACGGTGCTGCCAGATCTGGCTGTAGAGTGAGTTTGGTTCAGAGTGTGTATGCCTGGTCAGAAAGAGGAGGGACTGGGCCAGGCCAGCAGGATGGTGGCAGCTGAGGGAGCTTCCCAGAGGAGTGGGACTTGAACTAGGTCATAGGACCCTGCTGTCATATTCCCCGTGGGGGCTTCAGTCTCTAGGGATGAGGTGCTCAGAGCCCATTTGCTCTGCTGCGTGTGGGGCTCTGTGAAAAGAAAGCCTCCATTTGTTTTCATTGCGGATTCCTCAGCCCCCCTCGACAGTGTTCATAGTTTTCCATTCTCCAGTGGACCTCCATGGTGCCCGACAGGTCTGTGGGGCTGTCTGGTCCAGGCACAGGGAAGTAGCACCTCTAGGGAGGGGGAGGATGTGGCCATCTCAGCTCATGTAGGCCATACTTCTGGGAGAAGGTCTGCTCTGGTTGAGTCCCTGGGGTGCCCAGGGTGGCCAAGGTGCCAGGCAGTATCCCATTCAGTCCTGCCCTTGACTGGGTTGCAGAGGGAGGTGGGGCTGGAAGGGAGGTGGACGAGTGATGGCAGCTGGGGTCCAGAGGTAGGTCCTGGCCATTCTCCATTTCACTGTGCTCTGGATGGGAGAGCCTAAAAAATATTCAGGGAAGCTTTTTCTTTTTCCTTCCGTGCTTCCTTGAAAAACAAGTCCAGGGAGAAACCCAAATTCCCTGTGGGGGAGGGCTGGGCAGAACAGGAGAAGGGGAAGTGACCTTATAGGGGAGAGAGGCCCAAAAGGTCCTTGTGGCAAAGGACCTGAAACTCGGCCTCCCGCCTTCCTCTGAGGGCTGGGAGGCAGAGGAGCACGGCCCATTTTGTGGCTCAGGAAGCTGAGATGAGATAGGAGCAAGAGCTTTCCCTTGTCTCTTTTTCCTATTACCACAGTAATATATGCTCCTTATAAAACATTCAAATAGGACAAAAATAGACAATGTAGGAAGTGCTAGTTCCCTGCAATCTCACCACAGGGCCCCGGTCCCCTCAGGTAATTGCATTACCGCTGTGGTGTGTGCAGTGTGAGTAGCTGGGGCTGAGGGCCCCTGACCTGTCTGCCCCAGCAAAGGCTGGCTGTGCTTGCTGATCCTAGTTACTCAGGGCTTGGGCGGTTTGGGGCTGGAGTCCATACCCTTCTCTTTTGCCCTACCTCCCAGGACTTTCCTGTGCTAGATAGGGCCTAGCCCAGATTTAGGGAAAGTGACTAGGGCTTGGCCTCTAAATAGGTAAAGGGTCAGGCCCACGGTGGTCACTGGGCTGAGAACGTAGAGGTGTGAGGCTGTTGATGCTGCTGGCTGGTCTTTCTGTCAAACTTCCTCTCCTGCCCCACAGACACCCTCACATACATCCTCCAGTCTGTCTGTCTCAATTAGCCTCTCCTCCCCTCACTTCTGCCCGTGCCTTATGAGAGAGGCACCCGCTCGGGCATTTTCTCTGTCCGCCCTGCCTGTGGCACCATCTGTTCCTACCCGGCCTTCTCAGGGGATTGTCTCTCAGGTTTGGGAGGGAAAACCAAAGTCTAGGCTCAGGCCGCTCAGGCTGCGGAGTAGGTCTCCACGGAGGGGACGGGCCATAGCCCACCAGGATTTCGTCATGATGGGCTCTTCTATAGGGATGTAGAAGAGTCAGAGGTGCCCCAGGAAGCCTTTTTAAAAAAACTTCAACATTAAAAAATAATCAAAATACTACCACCACTACCACCAAGCTTTTGCTGTGACTTAATTCTGGATCTTTGGATGTATAGGGACTTTTCATACAAAGGCTCCCCACACCCCACTCTGTGTCCACCAGAAGCTCAGGGAGCTGGCATTGTTGGGGGCAGAGCTCAGGCGGGAGGTGGATCCTGCATCACTGACTGCGGCTTGGGTAGCTCTGTGTGCGTGTGTGTGTGTGTGTATGTGTGTGTGTGCTGTGCAGTCACCAAGGGACTTTGAGCCCTTTAGTGACCAGCCTGACCACTACCACCGGGCTTTATTCCACCTTCATGCTCGATTGGCTGGGTCTGGAATTCCAGGCTAGTGGAAGGCTTTTCCCTCAGAAATGTGAAGACATTCCTTCATGTGGTGCCCAGTGTTGCTAAGGAAGACTCCAGTGCTGTTCGAATCCTTTCATGCCTGGTGTTCTAAGCCTCATAGTCATATCTGTTGGCATGTGTCTGTCTTAGTTCATTGCGCTGCATACTTGTAGGACTGTTCTAGCATTCATGTTCTTCAGTTCAGAAAAACATTCTTGTATGATTTCCTTCATAGTTTCTTCCTTTTTGTGTTCCCTGCTCTCTTTTTTTTAGTTAATAAAGTCTATTTTTCAGAGCAGTTTTAAGTTTACAGAAAAACGAGTGAAAAGTATAGAGAGTTCCCATCTACTCCACCCACGCCCCCACCGCCATTTCTTCTGTTAACATCTTGCATTAGTGTGGCATGTTTGTTGTATTTGAGAGCCAATATCAACACGTCATTGTTAACTAGAGTCTATACATTATGTTAGGGTTCACTTGCTGTTTTGTGCATTCTGTGGGTGTATAACAATGCATGTCCACCATTACGGTAGCATGCAGGATAGTTTTTCTCTCCTGAGAAGTCCCTGTGCTCTGCCTATTCATCGCTCTGTCCTCTCTTCAATCCCCCAGCAACCACTGATCTTTTCACTGTCTCCATAGTTTTGCCTTTTGCAGAATGTCAAATAGTTTTGTCGTGCAAGCATGAAGCCTTTTCAGATTGTCTTCTTTCACTTATGTATGTAAGATCCATCCGTGTCTGTTCATGGCTTGATAGCCTATTTATTTTTATCATTAAGTAGTATTCCATTGTCTGGATGTACCACAGTTTGCTTATCTTTTCACCTACTGGAGGACACCTTGGCAGCTTCCAAGTTTTGGCAATCATGAACAGAGCTGCTATAAACATTTGTGTGCAGGGTGTTTCTTTGGACATAAGTCTTTACCTCAGTAGGCAAAGTACCAAGAAGTGTGATTGCTCCTTGTGTGATCGGAGTTTGCTTAGTTCTCTAAGAAACTGCCAACCCCTGCATAAGAACATCTCTCCCCAGTAGGGCGGGCCCCAGCCACCCTGTGTGGTGGCCATGTGTGTTGGGGGCTGTCTCTGTGTCTCTCTGGGCACAGTGGGTGTGCACCGGGAAGAACTTAAGCTTTGGAGGGCTGGACACCTGGCTCTGAGTCTCCACGGATGGGTTCCTTTACCACTGAGCCTCACCCTCCTGATCTGTACAATGGGGTAGTACCTCTTACCTCATATGCTTTTTGGGAGGTATGTGCGGGAGTGAGGTAAGAACCCTCATGCTGGTCGTAATGCACCATAGATGCTCAACAGATATGAGCGCTCTTCGTCTTTCCTGGGTCTCTTTCTGCCATTCTTGTCTGTTCCTGCATCTTGTAGAGGTATTCCTGACAGGGCTTGGGGTGAGTCAGTGTGTGAGTGAGGTGTGTGTGTGTGTGTGTGTGTGTGTGTGTGTGTATACATACATGAGTGTATGCACTAGCATTCCTGTGTTCCTGGCCCTGGGCCTCTGGGTGAGCTGTTCTTTCCTGGGCTCACGGTGGCTGGGAGCAGAGCTTTGGCTGGGACTGGCCAGAGGAGATGATGTCAACAGGGAGAAATGTGGGTAGGTCTGTCTGTGCTGGGGCCTGGAGATGGGAGGGCTCTCCCAGGCCCAGCCTCACCCCTCTGGGCCTCAGAGTTTCAGATGTAGGGGAGATGGGGCAGAGGAGAGGTCTCTGAGCACCAGGAGAAGGTCCTGGGGTGGGAGGAGGCATGGTGTGGTAACCGCCGCCCTACCTGGTGGCACCCGAGGAGCTTCCCCACTCAGGATGTGGTTTTCTCCATCATGGAAATGTTTTGGATAGTTTCTCAGCTGCATCTGAAGCCTGGAAGCCCAGGCCGATGGGTCAGAGCAGGAGCCTTTGGGGAGAGGCTATCAGTGGCTCTCAGAGCAAGGAGGGGTCTGGGCAGTGCCTGGTACCGGGCGGGAGCCAGGCTCCCTGGGCCCGTGACTGAGTTCTGCCTGCTCCCCTCTTCTCACAGGTGGTACAAGCTGCACTCCAAGCCAGGCAAGAAGGAGAAGGAACGCGGCGAGATTGAAGTCACCATCCAGTTCACGCGCAACAACCTGAGCGCCAGTATGTTTGACCTGTCCATGAAGGACAAGCCAAGGTCTCCCTTCAGCAAGATCAGGGACAAGATGAAGGGCAAGAAGAAGTATGATCTGGAATCTGCCTCTGCCATCCTCCCAAGCAGCGCCATAGAGGATCCTGACCTGGGCAGCCTGGGCAAGATGGGCAAAGCCAAAGGCTTCTTCCTCCGCAACAAGCTGCGCAAGTCGTCCCTGACCCAGTCCAACACCTCGCTGGGCTCGGACAGCACCCTGTCCTCAGCCAGCGGGAGCTTGGCCTACCAGGGACCTGGCGCCGAACTCCTCACCCGCTCACCAAGCCGTAGCAGCTGGCTGTCCACTGAAGGGGGTGAGCAAGCACAGGGCCGCCGCCCTGGGGAGGGGGGCACTGGCTCTCCCCTTGGGTGGTGATGAAGGCCTGGGGCCAGGAAATGGGGCCTCTCTTCCTGCGAGCTAACTCTGTGTGTTTCCCCTGCAGGCAGGGACTCTGCACAGTCCCCCAAGCTGTTCACCCATAAGAGGACCTACAGCGATGAGGCCAACCAGATGCGAGTGGCTCCTCCTCGGGCCCTTCTGGACCTTCAGGGCCACCTGGATGCTGCCTCCCGCTCTTCGCTCTGTGTCAATGGGAGCCACATTTACAATGAGGAGCCCCAGGGCCCTGTGCGGCACCGCAGCTCCATCTCGGGCTCGCTTCCATCCTCTGGCTCCTTGCAAGCTGTCTCTTCCCGGTTCTCCGAGGAGGGGCCTCGTTCCACAGATGACACCTGGCCCAGAGGCAGTCGTAGCAACAGCAGCTCAGAGGCAGTGCTTGGACAGGAGGAGCTGAGTGCTCAGGCTAAAGTCCTGGCCCCTGGGGCCAGCCACCCTGGAGAGGAGGAGGGGGCCCGGCTACCAGAGGGCAAGCCAGTCCAGGTTGCCACACCCATAGTGGCCTCCTCTGAGGCTGTGGCAGAGAAGGAGGGAGCCCGGAAGGAGGAACGCAAGCCCCGGATGGGTCTCTTCCACCACCACCACCAAGGCCTAAGTCGGAGCGAGTTGGGTCGCCGAAGCTCTCTGGGGGAAAAGGGGGGTCCCATCCTGGGGGCCTCCCCACATCACTCATCCAGTGGGGAGGAAAAGGCCAAGAGTAGCTGGTTTGGCTTGAGAGAAGCCAAGGACCCGACTCAGAAACCCAGGTAAGTCGTTGGCAAGACCAACTTTGCTCCTTGGGGAGGATGCTGGGGTGTGTGCTGCCTGGACCCTGGGGCAGGGAGGAAGGAGTAGATATGGACCTCAGGCAGGCTGCTGGGGCTCTGGCTTTGCATGGTTTAGTGGGGTGTCTCCCTAAGCCAAGGTTCGTTCTGTGCTCACGGACACAGGTGAGTTACGAGGGCATAGTGCTCTGAGAGTCCTATGGATTGAGGGGTCCGACTTCTCAGCCCTAGGCCTTGCTGCATGAGTTGGCATGCCCACCCCCTGAGCTGGAGGGAAGCAGGAAAGTCCATTTGTGTGAATTCTTTGCTTCCTGACCTCCACCTCTTGCCCTCTGGCCTCAAGGTAAGGAAGCCTTGGTAGAGAGATGAGGACTGGAGACCGCACTCTCAGACTTCCCTTCCCCTCTCTGGAGCTAGAGGACTTCTCCCCAGCTGTCTCTGTGATCACTTCCCTCTGGGAGACGGGAGTCAAATAACTGAAGCCACCACTCCTTCCCCCGTCCATTCACCTGCCAGTTGCTTCCCCAGGCAAGAGGCTGTGGGCAGCTCCCATGAAATCTGTAACCCATCTCTGTCCTTGGAGACCCTGGGAGCTCTGGCCCTCTCTGATGTCTCTTGGTCTTGAGGTATGGCACCGTGGGAAGTGCTGGTGGCAGCTGTTTTGTTTTGAATATACTGAGTCCCCCATTTCAGGCCCTGGGCAGAGACCCTGATGCCTACCATTTGCTTCCTCCTAATTCTGAGCCAGGAGAGGCTGCAGAATTGTATAGCAGGGTCCAGAGAGGGGCTCCAGGTACAGGTCACAGAAGTGTGTGTCGCACCTTCCCAAGGGCCTGGGGCCAGCCCTCATAGGCAGCATCTGTGGCAGCCCTGGCCAGTGTGGTGAGAGCACTGTTTCTCTCAACAAGCCTGCCCTTCCCGCTCCATGGCTGCTTGGACAGGTTTAGAGGACAAGCACAGTAACAAGGGGGCAAAAGATAGGGCAGAGGAAGGACCCTAAACCTGTTGCCCAGAGGGGAGAGGAATCTTGTAGTCCTGGCTTTTTGTTTCCCTGTGGCACTCTGAGTCTGTTGAGAGGAGTGGAGAGAGACATGCAGGCCTTTCTAGGTTTGGGCCATGGTCAGCTGACAATCCCTGTTAGACCCTCATAGATAGGGGTATGGGGGGGTGGATCAGTTTCAGGGGCATGCCACCCCTTGCCTCCCTTGCTTGGTATGGCAGCTCCTGTCCCTACTGCCCCGCCCCTACTCACCAGAGCTCAGGTGAGCTGCTGGCCATCTGCGGCCTAGGGGAAGATTGGGAAGAAGGGGACAGGCCTTTCCCAGATGCCAGGCTGAGCCTGGTGTCCCTGTGACAGCCAGCCAGAGGTATTTGGAGGTGGTAGGGTAGAGGGAGGTAGCAGGAGATCTGGACAGGGCATTTGCTGGGAGGAGCTGAGGGCCTGGATTGAAAGGGGCACAGAGCACAGGCTCAGTGTGGTTGTGCGTACGGTGTCTCTGGGCCTTTTCTGGGGCAAGGTGAATGCTGGGGCCATTTGTAGGTGAGTCCTGCCCAGGCTTTGGGCTTGGACTCCCACAGGCTGTGAGTCTGTGGGGTTGTCACTGGCCTGGGGCACTTACAGTCTCCATCCTCTTTCTCCTGCTTCCCCATATCTCCTAATGGCCTCTTGGAATCTGGAGGATTTGGGTCACTGATGGCCATAAGGAAGCTGAGGTTTCTGTCCTGCTGTCACTTGAATTCTGAGCCTTGTCTTTAGCAGGATGGAGGGCACTCAGCATCCCTCCCAAGATGGGGCCTATTTGCAGGTGGCGGCTGCAGGGCCAGGCTCTGTGGCCGTGCATGCAGATGGGGTGGGAGGGGCTGTGCTTTGGGTAAGATGGCCTGGCCTGGACAGATGTGACACCTGGCCTTTGAGCTCAATCAGCAGCATCCTGGCCTTGTGTGCCTTGCAGGGAGGGGAAGGCTGGCCTGGAAGAAAGGACTGTTGGCGCTTCCCCAGAGGGCTTGCTTAGGGCCTCTGAGGAGAGAAGGAGAGGTGGGCTGCCTCATGGCAGGAAGCTGTGGGTTAGACCCAGAACTGGAGTGACTGAATGTAGCTGCAGGATCTCCAGCTGGGGCCTGGGGAGCCTGTCCCCAGGTCCAGAGAATGGGGGCCTCTGCCTTGGGGCTACCATTGCAGATTGTGGGATGTTCCTCACTAGGAAGAACAGCGGCGCCCTCTAGTGCTCCCATGTGGCACTGATGCCCCACAGAGAGGCCCGGGGCTGAACGTGTTGAGTATGGTATCCAGAGAAAGGCTGCTGCCGTGGGGAAGGAACAAATGAGGCTATACAGGGCTGAGAAGAGGGTCCTGCTGTTCCTCTGATGTGGCCTTTGTCTGCTGGGGGCCATGGCAGTCACACTGGGCCCCTACCAGTGTGTGCTGGAGCAGGGAGTAGGTAGTTGAGACCAAGCTTGTCTTGGCCACAGGACTTAGCCTCATTCCCCTGCCCTGTTATGAGCCATTCACACTGAGCTGCAGCACAGGCTACTTCACGTGTGTTTGAGGACAGGCAAGACCACGCATTTTAAACCCGCCAGGGCCAAAGTGGATTGTCTTTGTGTCTATCCCGGGTCATCCTTGTGTTCCCTTGTTCCCCGCCCCCCACACTAACCATAGGACTCTATGCACAGAAGGGGATCAAATGTTGATTACAAAAACTTTTAAAGTTGGGAATAAGTGTGGTACAACATAGAGATGAGTGTATCATGATGGTGGCCTCTGGCAGTCTCTGCAGTGCCTCCCTGCACCAGGTGTGGTAGGCAACAAGGTCCCTCCCTGTGGGCCTGGAATGTGCTGTGGCAGCGGAAGGAGCTTGGCTGCATTCTTGGTGGTGTAAATGAGTAACTATAATGTGCTCCCAGTGGCTTGGAGTTAGTGCAGCCTCACGTCCTGCTCTCCTCATGTGCTCCTCACAACCATGCTCTTGTCATGGTTACTGTATTAACAGTGTTCTGGTTTGGAAGATAAATGATACGTTCTCCCTACTTACAGCTTACAAGGCCCCTGTCACCTCATTGTGCCCAGGTGATGGGAGAGGATGTACCCGTCTCTTGGACATGTTTCCTGCACGTTGGGCCCATCTCAGGAGGGTCAGGAGGTCGTGCCTCAGGATGGAAGGCTGAAGGGCAGTGTTGCTAGAGATGAACGTGCCTCCAAGGCTGGCTTCGGCCTTTGGGGGATTGCCTGGTAGAGAGCTTGTGCAGATTCACTTGCCATCTCTGGGACCAGTGTGTGGAAATAACAAGGACACAGAGCTCTTTTCAGCCCAAGGAAGAGTTGTCTGCTAGTGACACCTGGCCTTCAGCTACAGAGGTAGCCCTGTGGTGTAGTGTTTAAGAAGAGGGGCTGTCAGGGTGAACAGGTGGTTCCTGTGTTGAGTGGCAGGTTCAACCAATTGTTCAGAGCTTCCTGCAGGCAGTAAAGTTTTATTCCCTCAGGTTGAAGGGGCAGAGACATCTGGACTTCTGACTTCCTTCCCAGCATTTGATCCTAAAAGAGAAGACAAATCAGCATATATTGCTGCCCCCACCGCTTGGGGGTGGGGAGAGTGTGCCAGGCCGGCACAGTAGGTTCTAGGATGCAGAGGTGTTTATTTGTTCTCAGAGCATGACCTGCAAAGACAAGCATACGTGGGAATATGTTCCTGACCTGGGCCAGGTGGAGTGGGAGGGAGATGTTTTGAAGTGAGAACCTTCAGAATGTGCACTTGGTGTGGAGCAAGGAAGAGGAAGGCATGAAGGAGGGATGTGTTACCAGATAGGAGGATGGACAGATGCCCTCAGAAGTACTGCTGGCTCTGTAAAGCCTGCCAGGCCTGGTGCTTGGAGTCCCTTCCTCCAGGGAGAGCCCTTTGCTGATTCTATACAAACAGGTTTGTGTGTACCTCTGGGGAGCTGGCCGGGAGAGGGAGGTTGCCGAGCCTAACCTGAGGCTCCCAGTCTACTCCCCTGCCGCTCTTGTCCCTGCAGTTCTGACTGCCAGCCAGGTTGCTGAAAGACTGCAAGGGTGAGTGCAGGCCAGGTTAGGGCTGAGGGGGCAGAGTTAAGCGTAGTGCTTTTAATGTTGATGGGACTCTCTTCCTTCAGACCACTGTGGCCTATTGTCATAAAGGGGGCTGGGGAGAGAAGCAGCTCAGAGTGCTCTAGCCCTGTTCCTGGGGGCCCGGGTCCTGTAGACAGGGTTGGGCTGGGTGTGGTATGGATGCACTAATGGCAAGTGGGCTGAGGTCAGGCTCTTGACCTGGTGGTGGTGTATGTTGCTTCTCACTCCCCTTGGTCCCCACAGCAGGCATGTGTGCCTTGGCCTGGGGCTTGTCTGGAATGAAGGGAGAAAGGGCATCTGCTGGGGTTGAGGCTCTGGGCCCACGATTCTTCCTCTTTTGGTATCTTCACCATGTCCATAGAAGCAGGGTAGTAGTGGAAGCCCAGGTGGGGTGGGAACAGGTGGGAATTTTTACCTCCCTCTCCCTCCATCTTTAGGTGGAGGGGATGAGACTGAGAATTTACCTTTGGATGGGGAGTTATTGTAAGGGGAAAAATAGGGTCAGGAGACTCTCGGGAAACTGATTCTTACGAGAAATCCCTGGGTTTGGGACCTGTGAGGCTGACCTCCCTTCTCCCAGAACCATCTTTGGAGCTACCTGTGCCTCTGTTTAGTTGGACTCCTTCCTGTGGTCCGCCCCTGGTGGTAGCTGCCGAGCTGACCTGCCTCAGTCCACCTCTGTGTGGGTCTGCCCTCTTTGGGCCCTGGGTTCCTGGGAGAATCCGGGCAAGCTCCAGACAGCTCATGCTCTTTCCACAGGTGCCCTTCCTACCCCAAGCCACACTCCTTATGGGCTGGCTGGCCAAAGCCCGGCTTCTGCCCCTTCAGGACTCACTGTCTACATTTCCTGTGCAAGAAGCTGGTTGGCTTGAAAAGTCGGATGTGTAGGGGTTTCCCCAGGATATTTCCACCTGGACAGGCAGGAGCCAAGGAACAGGGGTCCTGGAAGCTTAGAGCCAGGCCTGGGAGACCAGCCATGAGGAGGGAGACTGCTTAGAAGGCAGAGGGTGAGGCCACCGAGGTCTGCCTCTGACGGTGGCTCAGTGGCAAGGCAGCCATTTTTTCTGGCCTTCTGTCTGGGTCCTAGGGAAGTGAGAAGCTCTAGTTTGAGAGCACGCCCCTGCCCGCATCTCTGGAGTCGGCCTCACTCTGTGGATAAGCACCAGTGCAGGGGGCGTTTCCCCCAGAAAGGACCCTGTCCTGGACAGATGAAGGCCAGAACCTGTTCTCCAGTGTCCTAAGAGCACCTGCCCTGTCCCCGTCCCCAGAGTCCCTGAGAAGCCCCTGGTGACATCCAGAGTTGCTGCTGCTGTCACACTGCCAGCCTTGGCAGACAAAGGCTGGACCATCAGGGCACCTTTTGGTTGACGTTCTCCACAGGTGGCTTATATTCCTTAGCCAGTTAGGCTGCCCCTCAAAGAAACAAGACACCTTGTCACACCCAATGACAGCCCGTCATTACTTCTGCTTCTGCAAGGGATCAATAGAACCCAGGCTGTTTCAAGTGTCAGAATTCTAGGTGCCCTGCTAGGTCCTATAAGTTCTGGTTTTGTCCAGCCAGATACCTAGGCCTGGCCTTTCTCTGGTCTCTTTATCCCCCCATGCCAGCTGGTGTTTTCTTTGCTTTTAGTCCTAAAAGGGGCCAGGCTTAGTGGCTCATGTTTGTAATCCCAGAACTTTGGGAGGCCAGGTGGGCAGATCACGAGGCCAGGAGTTCGAGACCAGCCTGGCCAACATGGTGAAACCTCATCTCTCCTAAAAATACAAAAATTATTCAGGTGTGGTGGCACACACTGAGGCACAAGAATGGCTTGAGCCTGGGAGGCAGAAGTTGCAGTGAGCCAAGATCGCGCCACTGCACTCCAGCCTGGGCAAGAGACTCTATCTCAAAAAAAAAAAAAAAAAAAGGGATGTAAGGCGCTTTCAGATTAGTTTTCCCAGATGTAAATTCCTTGTTGAGTAGAACCTTAGAAGCTTCAGCATGGGATAGAGGAAAGAACACTTGGTTAGGTTTGGATCGGATCCTGCCTATCAGATGAGATGATTTCTCTCTGGGGTTGGAGTGAGCATTAAAATAGCTTTGCCTGGCATATTTCTCCTTGGGAGGCACTTGATAATGTTACATGTTGGGGTCTTCCCTCTGTACCCTGGCCCAAGTAGGTAAATCCAGCCTATGTGTGTGTTATGGCCCCTGGTCCCGAAGCAGGGGGTGGGGCGTGGGACTCAGGGGCCTTTCCAGTCTTGGCATTAACCAGGAGGCTCACGGTTTTGTCTCCCTCCACAGCCTGGACGTGTCTCCTCAGGTAGAATCTGACCCAGCTGCTCTTCCTCACCACCTCCCCTGCTCCCCCTGGGCTCCGGCCCCTCCCACTCCTGCTCCCACTGCTGCTCCCATGCTAAGCACTAACCTTTTTGCAGCCGCCTCCCCCGCTGCTGCCACTGCTGCCGCTGCCGCCACCACCGCCGCCCCTGAAGCCACCCCACCTGGATTATTGGGTCTTACCAACCCGTTCCTCACCTCTTTGCAGAGCAACCCCTTCTTCGAGGAGCTCATAGCCGACATAGCACTAAACTCTCCTTCACCTGCTCCCTCTCTCCCCAGTGCCTCGAGGGCCAGCCCCACCCCCCTGGCCTCCCCTGGGAAAGCCCTGCCTGAGTGGGACAACACCTTCAACGTCTTTGCTGCCAGCAGGCTGCGTCCAGAGGCCAGGAGCGAGATCCTGGCCCCTGCAGGAGTGGGGCTGGAGGCGGCAGGGCTGCAAGACCCAGGCCCTGGGGCCATGACTGCGAAGGCAGCTGAGCCCCAGGGAGAGCCTGGGGGAGGAGGAGGAGGAGGAGGAGGAGGAGGAGGAAGAGGTGGGAGCAGCGTGTGGCTGGAGCCCAGGGTTCCTCTGGACTTGGGACCGAACCACCAGAGCGCGAGCGCGGCTGACCCAGGGCTCCTCGGGTCGGTAGGGGCTGGCCTGCCCTCCTCGTCAGCCCAGCTACAGCTGAGAGCCTCAGGCTCAGAACCAGACAGGGAACTGCCAGCCCCGGAAGTGGAAGCAGGGCAGAGTCCGGCAGACAGTGGGACATCTCTATTTAGCTCCCCAGAAGTGATCAGTGTGTGGGAGAGGCTGCCGGGCCCAGAGAGCGCTGCTGAGGGCCAGGACGATGAGTCCTCCCGAGGCGAAAATCAGCTTTGCCCTGACGTCGAGACAGCTGATGATGCCTGGCCTTGGGATGTGGTCACCATTTCTCCTGCAGCTGAGACAGCCTCACTAGTCTTTCGGGGAGAGTCTGATGAGCCTGCTCCCCAGGTGCAGCCTGAATCACCAGAAACTGTGAGCCCCAAGGGGAGCGAGGGGCTTCCCCCACCGGAGCCCGAGCCTAAACCCGAGTGGGTGTCTGACAAGGGGCTGCAGCCCAGCACCCCACCTCCCAAGCCACCGCGCCTCTTCACACCCTCAAGATCCCAGGAGGAGGAGGAGGAGAAGGCCGCAGTGGGGCTGAGTAACAGGGGGCCGGAGACAGAGGGAGAAGATGCCTCCCCAAGTGCACTGGTTGTCGGTCCCCCGGAGACCAAGGAGGAGGGAGAGAAGCGTGAGTCGGAGGAGTCTGACAGCTGCTCCTCTGCAACCCTGCTGGGCCAGCCTGGCCTGGAAGAGCTAGTGGAGGATGCCAGCCCCCCTGTGTCTGGGCCCTGCCTGTCTGCACCCGCCAGCTGCCCTGAGGGTCCTGCCCCCATACCCTGTCACTCAAAGAGCTTGGCTCTTCAGAGTCAGCACATCTGGGGGACTCCAGAGGTTGGAGAAGGCCCTGAGGCTCCTGAGGCCCAGGGCCAGGATCCAGTAGGAGAGGGGCTTGGGTCCTTGTCAGCCACCTCCCAGCAGGCTGATGTGTGGGTCTCCAAGGAAGATGCCTTGAACCCCTTCTTGTTTCAGGGGAGCCGAGATCCTCCCAGCCTCTCATCTGCATCCCCGCCAGGGTCGAGGGAATCTTCTATTCATTCTGGTCCAGAAGAGCTGCCCACTCCCCCAGAGCCTGACTTTCCACCGCCCCCTCTCCCGCCTTGGGCCAGCCACCACCGTGGGGGGCCCAGCCCTCCATGCTCTCCCCTGTCTGAAGCCTGGCCCCTGACTACCTCCTCTGCACCACCAGGGGAGCCAGCCTTACTCCCTGGCCCCCATGAGCCCTCCCCACCTGGGGGCTCCCCTGCCCTACTTAGGGAGGACCTCGCTGCAGCCACCCCAGCCTCCCCGCTTGTGCTTCTGCCCTTGGAGACACGACCAGCTGAGGAGCCACAGCCCAGTGCCAGGTGAGCATCCACCCCCAGAACACTGTCCAGGAGGAAGGGGGTGGACAGGGGGCAGAACAGCCCAAGGGACTGAGGGGTTCACACTCCAGTCTCATCCTTTGTGGGGCAGGTGAGGGTCTCTTTTACCCCAGAGGCAAGACGGTACAGGCTTTGAAGACAGGAGCTTTCTATGGTACCACCTCTGAAGCTGCTGTCTTGGGACTTGGGATAATCAAGGCAGCCCCCCACAAGCCAGGGGTTTGGAGAACAGCACTGATGAGGTGCAGGGTATAAGGAATGAAGTGGGGAGAGCCGATGTGGGCTGGCAGGGAAGGAGAGCAGTGCTGTAGGCCCTTCTGGAGTGTGTGCACTCAGCCGCAGGGGAGCTGTGGGTGGGGGGCGGTGGAACTTGTCAATCAGGGGGTAGTTCTTGGGGCAGACCGTGGCAGAGCAGGCTGGCAGTGGAGCCTTGAGCAGTTTCCTATTCTGCTAGAGTGAGGGTGCAGGCTGGGGAAGGCAGAGAGCCAGAGGAGGGACCAGCACTTAGGTCAGAGAGAAAGCTGCAGACACCTTCAGAAGAAAAAGGAAAACTCAAACACTTCCCACATATGTAACTCTCAGAAGAAAGGTTCCCCACGCGCAGCAGTTGCTTCATTGGTTTGCGTTTGGTGCCTTTTAAGGGGTGGTTCTGATGCACTTAGGACCGCTGAGTGGACAGCGGATGCCTGTGTGACTGTGCTCACTGTGGCATTGGGAGGTTTGGAAGAATTATGAAGCTGTGACCTCACCAGGTGGCTGGTCAGGGGTGATGTGGGCAGAGGCCTGGAGACTCAGGGCACTGGGAGGTGATGGGGTGTGACTTAGAAGGCAGCAAGTCCCTCTGGGACGATAGCGCTCTAGGAGGACCGAGTGAAGGGAGGGGAGAGCAGGGCAGGCTCCAGCACTGGCCTCCCGACCAGGCATTCATGTTTGGTCATCCACATTCACTGAGCACCTACTATGTGTCAGATGCTGAACAGATGAAAGACACTGTCTCCACTCTGTTCCCAAGGAATGTCCAATCCACTGGGGAAGATAAAGTGGACCCAAGAAGGGAAGAAACCCCAAGGGGCCAGAACTACATATGGGAAGTGGGTGGGAGGGAGTCCAGGCTGCCCCCAGTGTCCCTCCCTGGTGGTGGTGGTGACTCTCCTCCCTTGAGGTGAGGGAGAGGATGTGGGGGAGCTGGTGGTTGCAGTGTCCTCGGCTGGCCCTGCTGTCTGCCAGCATGACCTCTAATAATACTTGCCACTTTTTATAAGTTTTATTCGTCCCAGAGTTGGCTTCATGTCTGTACTGGGCTTGTTCCTTCTGTTATGAAGTGGACGGGCCAAATAGAGCTGTCTCATTCCTCAAAGGAAGAAATAGAGCCCATGAGAGGCGCAGGGTTTAGGATCCCAGATCCCTCTGATGTAAGGGGGCAAACAAGCCAAGGCCTCCTGGCCCCTCATTCAAGGCACTTTTATACTACACTGGTCATCCTCCCCTTCCCTGGCACAGCCCGCAGGTGGCATTAGAGCTGCTTTTATACCCCATCCCTAGCACAGGCTCCTAGGTGTCAGGAAAGGACTGAGATGCATTCTTTCTCCATACTGTCTGCCCAGAGCATGGGTGCTCTGCCACTCTTCCCGATTTGTGAGAATGAATGCATGGATCTAGCCTGAGAGTCTCTGGGTCTGGGTGACCCTTCCTTCAGTGGAGTTCAGGGCCTTGGACTAAGCCATTTTGCTTTCTACTCCTGAATGGTCTAAATCCTCTGTGAAGTAAGCATAGATTTGTAAGAGGTCCCCCTGGGCAGGATAGTTAATGTGGGAGCCTGATGCAGTTTATGTTATAGTTTATGTACCTGTCACAGGGTGCTGGAGGATCCCAGAGAAGGGTCATCTTAGCCTGGAGGAATCAGGAAGGCTTCCTGGAGAAGGTGGCTTTGCACAACTGTGAAACATGAGTAGGAATTAGTGAGCCAACGGGAGGAAGGGGCAATGTTGTTCCAGACAGAAGAATAGCTTTTGTAAGATCTTGGTAAGAATGTGGCTTTGGGAGTAGTGGACCATGAAGAAAGGGCAGGGACCAGATTGTGTTAGAGATTGTATTTTCTTACCTTGATAGAAGCCATTAAAGGATTCTCAAGCTTTGAGAATGCTGAGATCATTATCCTGCAGCAGCATGGTTGGAGGTGGGCAAGACTGAGATGGAGGAGCTGATTTAGTGGCTGTGACTAGAAGGAAGGTTTAAGCATTGGCCTGGAGAGGAGTGGGGTGGCTTGAGAAGGTAGGAAGGTGGCAGTGCTTGATTGTTAAGGCCGAGGCTGAAGAGGATGAGCCAGAGGACCTCCTAGGCTTCTGACTTTCTGACCTGAGCCAGTGGGGGCCAGAGGTGCTCCTCACTGCTAGGGCAGCACAGAGGAGGTGTGGCGGGGAGTGGGATGCACCTGAGGGGTAACCCAGGGAGCAGCAAGCCAGTCTGCACCTGACTCTGCAGGTCTAGAGTCCAGGCAGTGAGCTCTGGGTTAGAGATGGAGATTAGGAGAGTGGTAGGATGCAGGGAGGAGGAGAGGAGAGAACCCAAGGGCAGACTAGCAGTTGTTAAGACTGAGAAGGGGCTGTGGGGTCAGAAGACGAAATGGAGGTCTTGAAGGGAAAGGGAGGCAAGCAGCCCAAAGGAAGGAGTGCTTCAAGTGTCGGCTCCACAGAGGTCAGTGAGGTGAGAACCAGCAGGGCTTGGTGACCTCAACAAGTCCACTTGTGGTGGGCCGGTAGAGACCGACGTCCTGTTCTAATGGGTTAAGGAGTCAATGAAAGGTAAGAAATTATACAAATGTAGTCTCCATGCTGCTGCGGAGAGGCTTGGGTGAGAAGAAAGGGGAAGGTGACTAGGAATGATAGCTGGAGCAAATATAAGGTCAAGGGAGGGTTTTTCAGGGCTATGTAAATGCTGATGGGAAGCAACCCCTAGAGAGAGCTGGTTGACCAAGTGTCCCAGTTTGCCCAGGTTTTAGCACTCAAAGTCTCATGTCCTGGGAATCCTCACAGTCCTGGGAAAACTGGGAACTTGGGAGGGTTGGTCACCGCACTAGAGAAAGGTTACAGTATAGAAGAGAAAGGAGGGAAGATGGCTGGGGGAGGGTGTCCCTGACAGAGGGTGGGTGCAGGTGCACAGGAGTCTGTAGCATGGCCTTTGCTGTCCCTGTGAAAGGGTCAGTTCACCCGGTGAATGAGGGAGTGAAATGGGGAGGGAGCAGGTGGTGGGGTGGGAATTGAGGCCAGCCCAGGGGGTTGCTGAGGAGTACTGGACACCGCTGCCCTGAAACCTTGACTCTGTAGGGGCAGCTACCACCCAGTGCTGGGCTTTCTGTCCAGCAGACCTGGAGGCTCCACAGGGAAGGCAGCCCCACCTTTGACCCGTGCCACCCTTCTCTCTGTGTAACCCATCTCTTGTATGTCTTTGCAGTCCCCACCCCGTGAAGCCCCTCAGTGCCGCCCCTGTGGAGGGCAGCCCCGACAGGAAGCAGTCCCGCTCCAGTCTGAGCATAGCCCTGAGCAGTGGGCTGGAGAAGCTCAAAACAGTCACATCTGGGAGCATTCAGCCTGTGACCCAGGCCCCCCAGGCTGGCCAGATGGTGGACACCAAAAGGCTGAAGGTAAGGCCCAGCAGGGTGTGGGGGCCATCTGACAGAATGTGTGGTGGAGTCTCAGGGCTTGGTCCTGGTGAGGGTGGGGCAGGGAGCAGGCCAGGTCCCCCATATCAGAGTCCTGAAGCCAGTTAGGCTCTGACTTTGGAGACAGGCAGCCTGGGGCCCTGTGGTGGTGAAACTTAGGTGTTGGTGGGCAGGCGGGCGGGCGGGCAAGCGGGCAGGCAGGCAGGCAGGCCTAGGGCTGCCCTGCTCACTGTCTTCGGTCCGGCCTCAGGACTCAGCTGTGCTGGACCAGTCGGCCAAGTACTACCACCTGACCCACGATGAGCTCATCAGCCTGCTCCTGCAGCGGGAGCGGGAGCTGAGCCAGCGGGACGAGCATGTGCAGGAGCTGGAGAGCTACATCGACCGGCTGCTGGTGCGGATCATGGAGACCTCACCCACGCTGCTGCAGATCCCCCCGGGCCCCCCCAAATAGCCTTCCTCACCCTACCCCCAGGAGGGTTGGCATGGACCTATTGCTGCCTGCCCTCTCTCCTCCTGAACTCTCTCATCTGCAGTGGGGCATCGTCTGTCTTGCCTTGTCACTCCTTGCTCCTCTCCCTCCTGCCTCAACTGGGGCTGCTGGAAGGGGGCCCTCTGGATTCCCTTTGGAGGCATCAGGTTCTGTGCACAACTTGTGTGTCTTTGGGAGCCCTGGGTCTTTCCCACCTGCCTGTTTTCATATCCCTCAGCTTTGGGGGCCCCAGGGAATTGGAACTCTTCCCCCAAGACAGAGCAGGGGTGAACTGTAGCTTGATGCAGTAATCTGGGACAAGACTGGTTGCTAGCACATACTTTATTATCCCCCAAGGATGGTCAGCCATTTCTTCCCACAGCCAAAGCCCCATCCCCTTCATTTCCCTCCAGTCCCTGGAGGGGCTTCTAGTATTACTGGGACAATGACCACGCTGCCTGTTTGTCTGTGAGTTACGGGCAACCAGCCTCTTCAGCCTCACACCCATTCCCCTGAGAGCAAGAAGCCTGTGTGGTCTGGGCCAGTCTCTGCCATGTCCTGAGTCTGCTTCAGTCTGGAGCTGTTTGTGGGGCGAGTGCCATGTGGACAGTGGTGGATGATGTGTGTGCTTCAGGCTGCTCCCTGACCCCTCTGACCTTTCCACGAGTGTCACATGGGAATGTGTGGGGCGCAGGGGCGGGTGCGGAGAGAGCACCTTTTTGCTTTTCGAGCTCTTGACCACCTCCAATGTGTAGGTCCCTCCAGGCTGGGGCTTGGGACTGCTTATGATTTGGGGATCAAGCCTCCATGTCTATTCTTGTTGCCTGTCCAGATGCCAAAACTCTGTGTTGCTGCAGGGTTTGAACTTTTGGAAACCAATTAAAATGTGCCTTTGGTGGGCGGGGTCAAGAGCCCCTGGATGTCGACCTCTCCCGCTGTGTGGCGTCCCCCTCCCACCTGTTGAATACATAGGGATGGCTCTCTCAGGGCCCTGGGAATGGGAATGGACAGCACTGCTGTGGGCTGTTCCCCTCCCCTAAAGTTAATCTCTTGGTCTGGCCAAGTTGCTGCTCCCTCAACCTTCCTGCTGTCTTCCCCTCCCTCAACCCCAATAGGAGGATCCCAGGATAAACACTGCTGGGCAGGCGGGCAGGCAGGCCTGGGGCTGCCCTGCTCACTCTCATTGTCTGGCCTCAGGACTTAGCCATACTAGACCAGTCAGCTTGCCTGGAAGAGGGAGGTCCCACTATGCCTTTGGGAGACACCTATACTTAGGAAAAAGCCTTTGTTGTCCTCCCATCCATCCATTAAGCTGCTATCTCAGCCTGTCCCTTCTGCCCCAGGGGCTTGCCTGGCTTGGCTGCAGTGCACTTTGAAATGAAGTATCTGTCCTTTGGCCCAGCCCCTGGTTTGCTTGTAGAAAACATGGTAGGCTTCCCCAAGGCATCTGCAGGGAACTTTGGCAGCTTGGGGCACCCTGAATTAGCAAAAATGGGGGGTGATGAGGTGCTGAAGAAGGATACTTAACAGCTTAGTGAGGAGGCAAGAGCTCCTCTGGGACCACCACTTCTTCAGGAGAGGGCCTGTGGGCTTGCTTTTGGAAGGCCTCAGGCAGACACGTGCCCTCTGGGTGATGTCTGTCTGCTGCCAGGATGGAGCAGAGGAGCGCCACACATGGAGGAAAGCCCCTGTAACGTTACCTACCTTAAACTCCACTCATCAAATCTGAGAAAAGTATCCACTGGTCCCCAGGGTTTCAGTCATGCTTTTGGGGGTCATTGGGTATTAGAGAAGTAAGTATCTTTTCTGAGAGAGGGGGAGTCACCCCCCCTACTGGGGATTCCTCTGGGCTTTATTCACTCCCAGCCCTGGCCCTGACCTTTGTGGGCCTCCCTAATGCCCAGGGCATGGATGGCTTCAGAGGAGTTTTTGAATCGAAGCCCAGGGTCCTTGTTGATGTTTCTTCTCCTAGCCACACTTGGAGGAAAGTTGCAGGTGGGTTGGGCAGGGAGCAGGCATGGTTCTGCTTTGCTGTTTGTCTTCCTAGTTAAGGCTCTTTATAAAGAGCTTGTTCTTCATGTTTTAAGCACTTTATGAAGAATAAAACATTCATGTACTGCAGGTGGCTCTGTTGTGTTCCTGTTTTGGAATGAACAGTTACAGGAGGCTGCTGTGGGAGAAAGCACCTTAAATCAAGGTGATGGGATTCTTGGATGACACTGTCCCTGCCCCTTATAAGGGGGCAGCAGCACAGTGTTGCCCAGCAGCCTGAACTTAGTCTTTTCTGACTCCCAGGGTACCCACATTTATTGCGCACCTAAGATGGGCCCATTTATTGGTAATACAGAGGGTAAGAAATGGATTCCTATTCTCAAGTTGCATGGTCTAGCAGGGGAAGATAAGATACAAATCCAAGATACAAATAGTTCTTCATGGCTAGATAGAATCTCTAAGATAAGATACAAATCCAAGATACAAATTGTTCTTCGTGGCTAGCTAGAATCTCCCCCTAGCTTTATGAAAAGTGTTTCTTGTGGTTCAACTACTAGAGGATGAAAAACTTTGACTGCTACAGCTCATGTAGTGTCCAGAAACACTGGCAGACATGAGCCAACCCTGCACTCCACCACGAGACTAATGAGACCCAAAGTGGAGTTCCCTAGAAGACCAAATATTTCTACTGTCATCTTGGGCAAAACAGGCAGCTCCCGAAGTCTGGCTCACTGACCAGGTAATTCAGCTGGGAATCTTCAGCTAATCCATTCTACAACTGTATGTGTTTATTATCCATACTGATCCTTACTCCACAATCTGTAATACTCCCCCTTACCTAACACCCTCCCCACCCACCCTAGTCCCAAGTTCTCCTCCTGCCCAGGAATTAGGCCCAGGAGGGATCTTCCTTGGTTGGCCAGACAAGGTGAAAGCTGCCAGGGCTCTTAATCCCCCACTGATGAACTCACAGCCAACACTTATTTGAGTCTCTACTGTGAGCCCTTTTATGTCTGGCTCTGAAAACTGAAGTGAATCAAAAAGTCATAGCCCCTGCCCTGTGAACTTTACAGTAAGAAAGACTGTCCAGAACAGTAAGTAGTTGTGAGTGCAAAAGAGAAGTGCTGGGTGCCACGGAGCCTCTGTGGGATTTTGTGCAAGCAGAGTGATGGACTGGGAAATGCAATGTTTAGGCTAAAGCCAGAAAGCCAGCATCAGGCGAAGATTTAGTCTTCCGGGTACAGAATGTTCAGGGGTCGGGAGGCGGGCAGGCCCCAGCATGCTCCAGGAACTGAGTGTCAGGGCAGCCGGAGAGCACAGGACGAGTGGGCAGGGTGGCGACGGAGGAAAGTACGAGAAGGTCCGCAGTGCAACTCCTTGGAGAAAGCCTTCCGAGGTTAACCCTACTCCGCCTGGAGTCTTTGCCCATCTGGTCCCAGGTTCCCCCTTGAATGGGACCCTTCTGCGCTGCCTGGCCCCAGGAGCGACGCCCACGGCAGCAACTCTAACTTCTGGGGGCAACTAAGCAGCGAGGGGTGGCCCGTGGTCGTCGTACAGGAACACCTTTCCTGGACTGCCGACCTTGCACCTTGCAACGCGGACAGCGGGCACCGAGACCTCTCCGGACGGCCGCAACTCTCCGCAGTCTACGGTTGTAAGCGCCGCGACGCGAAAAACTACACTCCCCACAACGCCTTGCGCCTCCCGCTCGCTGCGGTTGATTAGGGCCAATCGGGAGAGGCAGCTGTGGCGGGGGCCGAGGAGGGACATTTTAAAAGGGCCGGAGATTGCGGGCGTCAGTGGCCATGGCGGATACAGCGACTACAGCATCGGCGGCGGCGGCTAGTGCCGCTAGCGCCTCGAGCGATGCACCTCCTTTCCAACTGGGCAAACCCCGCTTCCAGCAGGTGAGGACCGGGCTGTGGTCTGCGGGCCGGCGGGTGGCAAAGAGAGGACGAGCAAACTCCCCTCCAAAGTCCCCTTCCGCCCAAGGGTCTCCCACCCGCGGCCAGCGGAGCCTGCAGCTAGCGCCAGGGGGGGAACCTCGGTCACAGTCACCCTTTTCCCATTGGTCAACGGGGCGGGCGCGGACTCCCATCTTGGCTTCCTATTGGCCCTTGGCGCCGTCACTCCCCGACTGCCCGCGCCCTCTAGCCTTTCCCGCCCGCGGCGCCCTGTGATTGGCCACCGGCGGCTGCGGTCAAGGTCCCGAGCGCCCGGCTTCGAGCGGCTGCTCAGGGTCGCTCCGGGTTGTGCAGCTGCCCGCCCGGGACGCAAAGTTCTAGTCTGGCCCTGGATGGGAAGTTGGCGTGGCCGGGATGCCTTCTAACTTTTTCCCCCGGTGGGGACTGACGTTCCTTTCGAGCTGCTGGCGGTGCCGCCGGGCAGCGTCGCGCCCCGCGGTCACTCCCCAGCCCTGGCCCCCAAGCCGGGCTCGGCGCGCGCAGCAGGTTGAGGGGGCGAGTGCCGAGGCGAGCGGCGGTCCGGCGTCCCCCGTCCCTGCTCTCCATCTCGGGCTGAGGATTCGCTGACGCAGCAAGCCGGCCGATGCCCTGAGGGGACGCAGCCAGGGCGTGCGGGGGAAACGCTGTGTCATCCCCTGGGGCCGTCGTCCCTCCGAGGGGCTGCCGCCTGGGAACCCCCCCCCAGCCTCTTCCTCGCTGTGTTCTCCGCGGAGGGTCTCCCGCGCCCGGGCCCCCGCGCCGCCGGGGACTGGCTCTGGGCACACCCGCTCAGGCTCTTCGGGGCACGGCGACAGGGGTCCTTTCCCTCCGGGACCTCCTCTGGGGCGTCGCCGACTCGGCCCTAGACTGCGGAGGCGGGGGTGGAACGCGGAGCCCGGGCGCCTGGTTGGGCCCGGAGACCGGAGCCGGGGAGGGGCCGCTCCCGCGCCGCAGACCCTCGGGCTCCCGCGCCTCCCGCACCAATGAGACGGAATTTATTAGGAAACAGGCAGAGAGACCGCTGAAGTGAACCGGGGCTTGCCAGGGGTGGGCGGCAGCCGAGGCGGCCAGAAAAGAACTTTGAAGGAAGAAAGGAAATTGTGCTAAGGTCGGTGCGGTGGCTTTTTTTTTCTTTTTTTGTTGTTGTGGTGGAAGGGGACTGGTTCCAGCAAGGGGGTGCCCCGAGCTTTGCTGATAATTAGGGAACTTGGCTCCTGAGCCGTCTGAAAAAAATGTCCCCAGTGTTTCTTAACAGGACTTTAATTCCTTTTAAAAGTAGGCCATCTCAGCATGTAGGTATCCGAGGCGAGACTGGCATCTTCCTTCCAGTGTAGGAGGCCATCTAGGGCGAGAGTGTCGGGGTGTCCCTGCCTGGACTTGAGTGACCTTATTACATTGCCTGTCCCCGCTCCCACCCCCATTCTGCTCGTTCTTAAAGGCTCAGTCGGGCCTGCCTCTCTGGCAAACACTTGCTCCCTTCTTCTCTGGTCCCATCAGATCGCAGGCTTCCTCCTGCACATCTCTTTGGCCACCTGAGTCAGATCCTCATAGCTCTCCATACAGTCTGCCCTGTGGTCTTCTAAATGTTTGCTGTGTGACGACTTGGTTTCCTCAAACCCCCTGTAGGCCTTTTGCAAGAAGGGGCTGATCTTGCCCTTCTCTGCCTCTGTCTTACCCTGATGGAGACAGGTTAGGCATATAGTAATGTGCCGAGTAAAAGATTTGTGTTTCCTTTTTTTTTTTCTTTTTCTTTTTGTCCTGGTGTCTGTTATCTGTATGTGGCACTAGGGACATTCAGTGACCTAACAGACATTTATCAAATACGTCTTAGTGGCTTATATGACTGAGCCCTGTGCTGTGAGCACTGCTCTAGAGCCATAGATAAACATTTTAGGCTACCCTGTTCCTGCAGCCATAGCGGTACTTCTTTTTGGCACTGCTCTTGAAGGCAGTAAAAGTGTTTGTTGTATGCACTTTTGAAGCTCCCCTCCTCCAGCATAGTGGCCTGCATAAAGCACGTTGCATGTGATTCATCCATGTTAAGGATCTTCTCTTTCCTCCATATCTGCTCCTCCCGCATGGCTCCCTGGCTCTGCAAACAGCCCAACTTGCCACCCAATCAATGCAGCCAGAAACCTGGGAGCCGCCTGTGTTCTTTCCTTCTTCTCCCTCACCCTTTAAATGCAACCAGAGGCCCAGTGATCTTACCTCTTACACAGCTCTCAAGTCCACCCATCTCTACTGCCAGAATCCTAGACCAAGCCCCCATCGTCTATTTCCTGGGTCACTGCAGTAGCCTCACAACAGGTCTCCCTGCTTCCACTCTGGCCCTCTTCCAGTCCTTCCTCTTTCTGCAAGTCAGAGTCCCAACAGTGCAGATCTGATCAAGGGACTCCCTACGCCCTTGTAGATTTAAATACCCTCCAATGGCTTCCCCTGCTTCTGAGATAAAGACCTCACTTCTGAAGGGGCCCCCAAAGTATGCATGGCCCACCCCACTGACTACTTCTTCCTTGAATCCCACCACCCACCCACCCACACTTCGCACCCTCCTTCACATCACACTGGCTGCTTTTCAGCCTCTGAACCCACCACGTTCCCTCCCACCACTGGGCCATCTGCTTGGAACATCACCTCTTCCTCTACCCCCAACTCTTGTTCCCATTCTTCCTCATCCCTGGTGTATCCATGAAGCATCACTTTCTTGGAGAAGCCTCCTGCACTCCCAGGTTGGATTTTTGAGTGTTCGCTTACTGCAAAGTACCTTTCTCGGTGTATACATTGATTTGTGATGAGTATTTCTTTGCCATCTGTGTCTCTCTGTTGACTATGGACTTTGCAGAAGTGGGGGCTGTGCCTGTCTTTACTCCCTGTTGACTCTCCAAGGCTCAGCACAGTGCCTGGCAGTTAAGAGGTGCTTAATGAAGATTTGTTATATACATGAATATCCTGGAGACAATTCAGTAGGGCTTTGCGGACTTGAATTAAATTGACTTGTAAGGTTGTGACTGGGGAGGTGGACCAACTTTTCTCCAAATTGTCCCTTAGGGATCTTACAAAATTGCAAGTGGTGTCATGTTTGACAGTGTAAGGTTCATCAGTGCTGAGACATCCCAGAGTTGGGGTGTCTCTAAGGAGGTGAGTCTAAAGACACAAAGGTTGGCTACATATGTACTGGGTTGATGAGCTCCTTTAGGGCCCAGCCCACATCTCTGTGTCCTGCCCTGGCATGTAATAGTTGTGTAATATATATGCTCATAGTACCTTGTGCTGGCCTGACAGAAGCCTGCTTCAAGGTGGTTGATAATCCAGGGTTCATTCCCAGCACCCATGCCAGGGACATGACCCTTATTCCCCAATTAATCTCACCGCTTTCTGCAGGATTTGTTACCAAGGTCTTTCCTTATTCCCTGGAGTCGCTCTAGAACTCCTCTTTATTCCCTCAAGTGTCTCCCTGTGCAAGAGGACGGGCAGAAAGAGGGTGGAGGGTGTGGAGGGTCAGAGTGTGAAGAAAGGGTGATGAGTGTTGGTGGTCTGTGACCATCTTTCTCCCCATAAGATGGTGACGATAGCCAAGCATCATTCCAGCCTTTTTGTGTATTGACTTACTGAATTTTCACAACAACCCTGTGAAGCAGGTGCAATGATCTCCAATTTATGGGTAAGAAAACTACAGCACACAAACAGATTAAGTAAATTCCCAGGCAGTCTGTCTCCAGAGTTCATGTTTGTTTGTTGGTTTGTTGTCAACTTTTTATTATGGAAGTTTACAAACATACTAATCTGGAGACAGTTGTCAGTAAACCCCTATGCACCCATCATCCAGCTTCAACAGTTGCCAACTTAAAGCCGGCCTTGTTTCATCTATGCACCCACCCCCCACAACCCAATCAATGAATTACTCTGAAGCAAAGGCCAAACATCCCATCATTTCATTGAACCCACTAGTAGGTATCTCTAAAAAATAAGGACTCTTTGGTTAGCTTTTTAAAAATTTTTTTATTTTGGAATAATTTTAGAGAAGTCAAAAGACAACAAACAATTCCTGCCTAGCCCTCACCCATTGTCCTCTGTTATCATCTTGCATTGCCACAGTACATTTTTCAAAACTAAGAAACTAACATTGGTACATTATCGTTAACTACACTCCAGACTTCATTGAATTTTACTACTTTTTTTTACACTAATGTCTCCTTTCTGTCCCAGGATCCCATCCAGGAACATGTTACATTTAGTCATCATGTCTCTTTAGCCTCCTCTGGTCTGCGGCAGTCATAGTACCTGGGATAGTTTCTCAGACTTTGCTTGTTTTTGATGACCTTGACAATTTTGGAAGATATTTTATAGAGTGTCCCTCAACTTGGGTTGCCTAATGTCTTTCTTTTGGGTTTTGAGGTAAGAATATCACAGAGGTGAAATGCTCTCTTTATCACATGATATTGGAGGGTTTTTTGATTTGTTTAACATAACCATGTCCTTAACACACCTAAAATCATTATTTGTTTTTTCTTTTTTTTTAGAGACAGGGTTTCTGTCTGTCACCCACAATAGAGTACAGTGGAACAGTAATTAATGGCTCACTGCAGCCTTGAGCGCCTGGGCTCAAGCAATCCTCTGGCCTCTACCTCCAGAGTAGCTGGAACTACAGGGGTGTGCCACCATGCGTGGCTATATGTATTTTTTGTTTGTTTGTTTTCTTTCTGTTTTTTCTTTTCTTTTCTTTTTTTTTGTAGAGACAGGTGTCTTGCTATTTTGCTGAGGCTGGTATCAAACCCCTGGCCTCTAATGATTGTTCTGCCTGGCCCTCCCAAAGTGCTGGGATTTACAGGCATGAGCCACCATGCCTGGCCCATTAATTCTTAATATCATCAAGTAACCAGTCGCTATTCATATTTCCCTGACCATCACTTAATTTATTTGTAGTTGATTTGTTTGAATCAGGATCCCATAAGTCCCACATATTATTACCTTTGGGTATTTCTCTTTTGTATCTTTTATTTTTTTTTTTTGGAGACAGAGTCTCTCTCTGTCGCCCAGGCTGGAGTGCAGTGGCATGATGTCAGCTCACTGCAACCTCCGCCTCCCGGGTTCAAGTGATTCTCCTGCCTTAGCCTCCTGAGTAGCTGGGATTACGGGCGCATGCCACCATGCCTTGCTAATTTTTGTATTTTTAGTAGAGATGGGGTTTCACCATGTTGGCCAGGCTGGTCTCAAACTCCTGACCTCAGGTGATCCACCCGCCTCGGCCTCCCAAAGTGCTGGGGTTACAGGCGTGAGCTACCACACCCGGCCTCTTTTGTATCTTTTAATCTGTTAGTTCTGTCTTCCTTTTTTCCCTTCCTATTGAAGAAGCAGTTGTTCGTCCCTGTAGAATTCCCCACCTTCTCAATGTTGCTGATGGCATCTCTGTGGTAGTGGTTAGCATGTTCCTTTATCCCTTGTTTCTCCTGTAAACTTAAAGTCTATGCATTTAACCACTACTCCAGCTGCCTAGTGAAAGGGAGGAGATGACAGCACAGCACCCAGGGAACCTCTGAGACCTGCTTTGCTTCCTTTCCTCTTCCTTTTCTGGTCATTTCCTCTCCTGAACTCACTGTTTTTCCTTCCGGCCCAGACACCATGTTTGCCATGTTGGGGCCCCAGGACAGGAAACAAACACACATACTTTCTCCCATTTGTGTTTCAGTCCATCTGTAAATAAATTGTTGTCCAGGACCAGGCGCGGTGGCTCATGCTTGTAATCCCAGCACTTTGGGAGGCTAAGGCGGGCAGATCACTTGATGACAGGAGTTCGAGATCAGCCTGGCCAACATGGTGAAACCTGTCTCTACTAAAAAATACAAAAAATAGCCCTTCAAGATTCCCCCACATGGCCAGGCACAGTGACTCATGCCTGTAATCCCAGCACTCTGGGAGGCCAAGGCGGGCAGATCACTTGAGGTCAGGAGTTCAAGACCAGCCTGGCCAACATGGCAAAACCCTGTCTCTACAAAATACAAAAATTATGTGAGCATGGTGGCAGGCGCCTATAATCCCAGCTACTCAGGACTGAAGCAGGAGAATTGCTTGAACCCGGGAGGCAGAGGTTGCAGTGAGCCGAGATTGCACCATTGCACTCCAGCCTGGGCAACAAGAGCGAAACTCTATCTCAAAAAAAAAAATTGTTGTCCAGGTGCAGTTGGCTCATGCCTGTAATCCCAGCACTTCGAGAGGCCAAGGCAGGAGGATTGCTTGAGGCCAGGAGCTTGAGACCAGCCTGGACAACATAGTGAGACCCCATGTCTACAAAAAATTGAAAAACTAGCTCGGCGTGGTAGCATGCACCTGTAGTCCCAGCTACTTGGGAGGCTGGGGCAGGAGGATCCCTTGAGTCCAGAAGTCTGAGGCTGCAGTGAGCTATGATCACACAACTGCACTCCAGCTGGGCAACAGAGTGAGACCCTGTCTCAGAAAGAAGGGAAGAAGTTTTTTAACAACTTCTGGCGAGGTGTGGTGGCTCATGCTTGTAATGCCAGCACTTTGAGAGGCCAAGGTGGGCAGATTGCTTGATCCCAGAAGTTTGAGACCAGTCCAGGCAACATGGCGAAACCCCGTCTCTACAAAAAATATAAAAATTATCCAGGTGTGGTGACACATGCTTGTAGTCCCAGCCACTCTAGAGGGTGAGGTGGGAGAATCACCCGAGTCCAGGAAGTGGAGGTTGTAGTGAGCTATGATCGTGCCACTGCACTCCAGCCTGGGTGACAAAGTGAGACTGTGTCTCAAAAATAAAACAAAAATTCCTTGCTCCTTTGGAAGTCTCACTTATCTGCTGAGATGACTGGGGGTATGAGTGTGCTGGGGACCAAGGCCTAGTGGGGCAGAGCAGGCTGGTTGCACAGGGCTCCCTCTGGGGTATGGAGAGCTTGCTGGGCAGACAAATGCTTTCTTCACTTCAAGGTTGGGAGATTTGTGTGGGCTGAGAGTTGGGAGGCAGGGGGGATATGTCTCATAGTTTGCTTGAAATAAAGTTCTAAAATCACAGTACCTTGCAGGTGGTTATATATTTTAATCATTTACTTCCTATAGGCGAGACAGTGAGTTTTTTCTAGTGCTGCTCCTGGGCTGGTTTGTGCAGTGGAGAGGGGTCATAATTTCCAAGAGTCACACTGGGCAGGTTTTAAAATAGACACTGATGCCTGGAGGCCACACCCAGAGCAATAGAATCAGAATCCCTGGGTGTATGGCCTGGTTTTTGAAGTACCCAGGTGGTTCAGGGTGCAGCTGATTCAGGACTACTGGGCTGGCCCAGCCTTTCTGCTTTGGGCTGTAGGTTCAGCGAGTATATTATTCCTAATCGAAGAGCAGTAATTTGGAGGTCTGGTGTGTGTAGTTGCGGGGCGGTGTCAGCTTCTTCTGGGATCTTTGCCCTCTGCTGCTGCTCCCAAGGCCTGCTCTTCCCTGGGGGGCTTGCAGATGGGAGAGAGCTGGCTGGTGGAGGTGGGAAGGCAGCTGCTGCTGTAGGCCCTGGCTCCTGCTGAGAATTAGCTGACTCACCTTTCTTATGAAGGGAAAGAGAAGGAATCACTTGGCTGACTCATTCTTCCAGTAAAGAAAAAGGGGAGGAAAAACATCCACCGATTGTGCGATTGGGTAAAGATGGGAGCTGAATTTGGGAGGGAGGCTATACATTTTGAACTATTGAGAAAATAAAAATGAACTGAGACTGAGAAAGTATAACCTTCCTTGCCATTCATCAGACAGGGAGGACAGACACAGAGCCAGCTGCAAAGAAAGAATGTTTCTCACGAGGACCCACAGGATCTATAAAGTATCGAACAACCTTCTTCCAGTAACCACCTCTTTCATACTCATGTCTCACTCTATAAGGTCCTAGACTGCCAGGAACTTTGCTGTTTAAGTCATATCATTAGGAATGAACCATCTACCTCTTGATTGGCAGGTCTAAGTCACTTTGCCTCGGAGAATCAACCCATAGCTGCAAATAAGGGGTTTCTGGTCACAACGTTTCTCATTAATCTTAACTTTATAGTTTTTAAGGAAACAAGACCCTGAGTGGTTGGTCCAGACCTATGATGACTCCTTTTCACACAGTCTTGCTTTGCTTGGAGCCTATTGAAGCACTGCTTCATTTACATTTTACTCTATCTTCCTTAAATTATATACCAAATATTTTTCTTTGTTTGGCAAGGCACCCCATAATTCCTCTGCTGTGGTGCTTTTCTTTGTTGAGTGAGTCAGTAAATCTGACTTGGTCAGACTATAGGTTTGTCTCTATAGTGGGTGGGGTGGGGGTCTTAGGGCAATCTGTACCTGACATTTCCAATTCAGAGTCTCTTTCTTGAATCTCAGTCCAAATGTTTGCTGAAAAATTATATCTGGAAGTCCCTTTAAATATCTCAGACTGATATGACCAATACAGAGTTTTTATCTTCTTTCCACTTAATCAGTATGCTTCTTCCTGTCCCTATTCTGGTTAACAAACATTCATGTCTCACTAGAAAGTGAGGCATCATCTGTGGCTGCTCTTCCTCATTTCCCCACAGTCGGTCAGCCTTGCTACCTCCAGGACCTAGCACAGTGCTGGGCACACAGTAGATCCTCGGTAGTGGGTTGAATGATGAATGAATGAAGAGACCACAGGAGTCTGGTGCAGCTTCTGATCCTAAGCTTTATGCTTTCATCCTCTTGCATATACCCTCCTCTGCTAGGTAAACTCATCCATCCCTTGGTCCCAGCTCCTCTGGGACACCTCCTTGACTTAAACTAGGAAGACATAGGAAGAACTCTGTGTGTCCCCAGTATACTTCGCGATGCTTCATTTAAACTCTGATCAGTGTTTTGTAGTTACTTGTTTATAGTTATTAGTCTGTTTTGATGGGCTGTGAGCTCTTTGAGGGCTTGTTCATTTGGTGTCTGTCCCCTGAGCCTAGCTCATTAGGAGTTTGTAGGTGTCTGTGGAGCAAAATGCCTTATCTGGGAGTCTCCCCCAGTAGCTATGGTCGAAAGTGACACAAGAAGGCTGGCAGGGCTGGGACAGGATGAAGACCGTGCCAGACCATAGGACAAGTCAAAGGCTGAAGTTTCTGCTGGACCATCTTCAAGAAGTTGCTTCACTCAGGCCATTCTACTTCCAGGTTCTCTCCTCTTCCCCTGCTCATCCTCTTTCCTCCTTGGACCACTAGCTGCCATACTGTTACCCTTTCCTAATCCTGCCCTCCCTTCAAAGCCCAGCCCAGCTCTACCCCACCCAGAAGCCTTGAGGCCATTGGCTGCTCATCAGCCCACTCATGGATTCCTGTGGCAGAAGACCCTTCCTTCCAGATATGTAAGGAGACTTCGAGCCAGGGAGGATAAGGAAGGAACATTCAATAGCCCATGTCCTTCAGGAGCTCTTAATCAAGTATAATACTTAAAATATCAGTTCATGTTTTACTTTATTTTATTTTTGGAGACAGGCTCTCACTCTGTCACCCAGGCTGGAGTGCAGTGGCATGATCATAGCTCACTGCAGCCTCGAACTCCTGGGCTGAAGTGGTCCTCCTACCTCAGCCTCCTAAGTAGCTGGGACTACAGGTGTATACCACCATGCCTGGCTAATTTTTAAAATTTTTTGTAGAGATGGGGTTTCACTGTGTTGCCCAGGCTGATCTCAAACTCCTGGGCTCAAGTGATCCTATCACTTCAGCCTCCCAAGTAGCTGGGATTATAGGAGCAAGCCACTGTGACTGGCTTGCATTTTACTCTAAATATGTATTTTTAAATGTAATATCATTTCTGTATATTAGGTATAATATTGATTTTTTTAATTTCAAAAGCAATTTAAAGATCTGGAAATATAAATCATACATAAGCCTATTACCCAGAGGCAATCTCTATTAGCATTTTAGTATATTTTCATCTAGCTTTTTTGAAAATATAATTTTTACCTTTTTATTTTGAAACACTTTTAGTCTTACAGAAAGGTTGCAAGAATAAGGAAAACTTCGCTATTTGCCTAGATCTACCAATTTTTAACATCACATTTCCTTTATTATTCTCTTTGTCTACAGGTAATCATAAAGTCTGAAAAGATAGCAAATATACATGGTATCATTAGGACATCTTCAATCTGCATTCAATTATAGTATCTACATTTCCAGGTTTTATGGCTGCCCTGTATTTTTACACATGTTATTTTTCTTCAACTATTTACAAATAGGTTGTATTCATTCATCTCCTAATACATCAGAGTATGTGACTTTTTTTTTTTTTTTTTTTGAGACAGAGTCTTGCTCTGTCGCCTAGGCTGCAGTGCAGTGGCGCGATCTCTGCTCGCTGCAACCTCCACCTCCTAGGTTCAAGCGATTCTCCTGCTTCAGCCTCCCAAGTAGCTGGGATTGCACTACCACACCTGGCTAATTTTTATATTTTTAGTATGGACGGGGTTTCACCATGTTGGCCAGGCTGGTCTTGAACCCCTGACCTCAGGTGATCTGCCTGCCTTGGTCTCCCAGAGTGCTGGGATTACAGGCATGAGCCACCACGCCCGGTCCAGCATATATCTTTTAAGAACAAGGACATTCTTGGCCAGGCGCGGTGGCTCACGCCTGTAATCCCAGCACTTCGGGAGGCCGAGGTGGGCAGATCATGAGGTCAGGAGATCGAGACCATCCTGGCTAACATGGTGAAACCCTGTCTCAACTAAAAATACAAAAAAAATAAGCCGGGCGTGGTGTCACTGGCCTGTAGTCACAGCTACTCGGGAGGCTGAGGCAGGAGAATTGCTAACTCGGGAGGCAGAGGTTGCAGTGAGCTGAGATCGTGCCACTGCACTCCAGCCTGGGCAACAGAGTTAGACCCTGTCTTAAAAAAAAAAAAAAAAGAACAAGGACATTCTCTTATATAACCGCAGTGTAGTAATTATATTCAGGAGACTTAACATGGATACAACACTTTTATTAACCTATGGTCCATATTCCACTTTTGTCACTTGTCTCAGTAATGCTCTTGAGAGCATTCCCCCCTCTACGCCAGGATCCAATCCCGAGTTACACAGTGCATCTAGTTGTCTCTTTAGTTTCTTTAATGTGGAACAGTCTCATTCCCACTCTTTCTTTGTCTTTATGACATTGACATATTTGATGAACAAAACCAATTAATTTATGGAATGTCTGTCAGTGTGGGTTTGTGTTGTTTTCTTGTGATTAGATTTATTTAGTCCCTTTGGAATATTATGTGAGTGATGCTGTGGACTTCTCGGGGTATCACATTTGGAAGAACACAGTGTCCCACCTGCCCTTCGTTGATCCTTTTAACATATCCCCATCATTTTTTGGGGGTAAGACTTCATTACTTCCTGGTGCAACAAAATGTACCAGTTTCATCTTGTACCCTCCCTACCCCAGCCTTTGAATCCGCTCCTTTCCTAAGGAACCCTGGTCTCTGTTAGTGGACCAGGATCTGGATGTCATTTGGTCTTTTTGCTTTTCACTTAGTATCTGTCTAGCTCTGTTTATCCCCTTGTTTATTGAGTTGGAATCACACTGCTTATATGCATTTCATAAAATTTTAAGCATTATTCCATGTCATAAATGTTTGAAAACATAGTTTTAAAGGCTGCATAGTATTCAGTCATATGAATGGACCATCATTTATTTAACCATCCACCTTTGTAAAGAATGCAGCAGTGAATATCCTTGGTATGTACACCTGACCAGATCTTTGAACATCTTGGATTGTTTCCTTAGACTACATTCTCAGAGGTGAAATTTTGCCAGGACAGCATTGTGAGCCTCCCTTATGTATGTCTTTAATGGGAAAATGGTCTGGGCTGTGTGGATTATAAGAGGTTAGAGAGGCAGCTGTTTCTGTTAGGAATGGACCAAAGCTTGATCTGGTTTGTGAGAGACAGCACCTGGGTAGGGGTGGCATTAGGGGTTAGAGGTTGCTTCATGCAGGGGTGCCATGGTGGGAGAGAAATGGAGGTGGGATGAGAACTGGTGTGTGGGGGGACTTTGAGGTGACCTGGAGCCTATTGCAGGGTCCTTATTGGGAAGGGAAAGGAACAGGAATTGGCTGCAGGGTCTGGTGTCCTACTAAATAAGGGGAGGGAATGTGGAGGCTTCTGTTTCCTCCACTGTGCAAAGGATGGTGCTTGGAGAGTTGTGGGGCTCCAGGGAGGAATTTGGGGCAGAGCCCGGAGTGTAGTGAGGCATGAACCCCAGCGATTGCAGCTTCCCCTTCATCCCCGAGCTTGGCACCCTCTGTCTTCCCCTTGAGCTCAGCTTTGCCCAGCTGGCTTAGTCCCCAGGGCAGAAGGCCCAGCAGCCGGGTTGCTTGGTTTCCTTTCATTGTGCTCCAATGCCTGTGGCTGCGCTTAGCATAAAGCCCTCCTTTTCCACGGCCCCTGCTCTGGGGCAAGGTTGGGGGAGCTGCCCCTTGTCCTGCACTTCAGCAGCTACAGGGCTGTGGGTGAAGGAGGGCCTGAGGATTGTGAGCTCAGTGCTTTTAGGCTTGAGCTGCCCTTGGGGATCCCCCCTGGAGGCAGAGCTGGACCTTGGGGAGGGACCCTGTGGCGGGTAGGCAGGATGCTTTGTCACTCAAGGTCCTGAGCAAGGCAGGGAGGCTGGGAGAGGGCTGGGGACCAGGCCTCACCTTCAGCCTACATGTCCAGGGATGCTTGGGAGCTTTTAATAGGCTCAGAATAGATCTCAGGGCACTGGGAGAGAGAGGGGAAAATGGAAGTCACCTGGAAGAGCAGATGGGCCTGTCCTTGAGTATCTCAGTGGTCTCTCTGAGTTGACTTTGGAAAACTCTCAGCCCCAGGAAAGCTGTCCTTAGATTTCTGAGGCCTCATTGGCATTTATCACCCACACGAGGAGTCCTGGGGACCGGGGGACCCCAATCATAAAGGGTGGGGCTCTCCAGTGTCTGGAGAAGGGTGTGCAGCAGCTGATCCATTCACTCTTCTCTCTCATCCTCTTCTTCAGACGTCCTTCTATGGCCGCTTCAGGCACTTCTTGGATATCATCGACCCTCGCACACTCTTTGTCACTGAGGTAAGTCATGGCTGTCACCTCAGTGGCCCTTGGGCCTTTGTACCTTGTCATTTCAGAATATGTGGGTCATTAAGGGAGGGTGAGGATGGGGGAGTGAAGAGAATAGGGGAGGTGAGAGGTGAGAGGAAGGTAACAAATTCTCTCTACCTGTAGCTGTCTGTTTATGTATCTGTGTGTCTGTCTGTATCTGAGTTGATACATTGTGCTGTATGCTTTTTACATTATATCATTTGGATCTCACAACAACCCTTTAAGATAGATATTATTGTTATTCTTTAAAACTTTCAAGAAATTATTATCAAGTACATAAGTTATTTGCTCATTAGAAAAGTTCAAACAGTACAAATATGTTTAAGTAGAAAAAAGTATCCTTTAATCGTCCTCCCTACTTAGTTCCCTCCTCTTATAGGTAACAGCTGTTAATGGCTTTTAACATCAGGTTATTAAGGTATAATTTACCTTTCTTATGTGTGCAGTTCTTTAAGTTTTGACAGCCATATTCAGTCGTGTGTCCACCATCACAGTTGTATTAGTCCGGTCTCATACTGCTATAAAGAAATTCCCGAGACTGGGTAATTAATAAAAAAAGTGGTTTAATTGTCTCACAGTTCCTCATGGCTGGGGAGGCCTTAGGAAATGATATGGTGGAAGGGGAAGCAGGCACCTTCTTCACAAGGTGGCAGGAGAGAGAGGAATGGAGGAGGAGCTTCTGAGCACTTACAAACCATCAGATCTCATGGGAACTCACTATCACGAGAACAGCATGGGGGAACCATCCCCATCATTCAATCACCTCCCACCATGTCCTCTCTCAACATGTGGGGATTATGGGGTTTACAATTTGAGATGAGGTTTGGGTGGGGACACAGAAGCAAACCATATGGGCAATCAAGATGTGAAGCATTTTCATAACCCTACATGTTCTCTCATACCTCTTTATAATCAATTCCTCCCTGTCTTCACCCCCTGTCAACCAATCATCTGCTTTCTGTTTCTGTTGTTTTGCTGTTTCCAGAATGTCATATAAATGGAATCCTACAGTATGCAGGCTTCTGTATCTGGCTTCTTTACCTTAACACAATGCTTTTGAGGCTGGGTGCAATGGCTCACACCTGTAATCTCATCACTTTGGGAGGCTGAGGCAGGAGTTATCCTCCTGGGCAACATAGTGAGACCTGCCTGGGCAACACAGTGAGACTTGTCTCTACAAAATTTTAAAAAATTATCCGAGTGTGGTGGTGCATGCTTGTAGTCCCAGCTACTCGAGAGGCTCAGGTGGGAGGATTGCTTGAGCCTGAGAAGTTGAGGCTGCAGTGAACCATGATTGTACCACTGCACTCCAGCCTGAGTAACAGAGTGAGACCCTATCTTTTAAAAAAAAAATGCTTTTGGGATTCATTTGTGTCATTGCATGTATTAGTAGTTAATCCCTTCTTACTGCTGAGTAGTGTCCCATTGAAAGGATGTTCCAGAATTTGTTTATCCATTCACTTGTTGATAAACACCTGGATTCTTTCCAGTTTTTTGGCTATTATGAATAAAACTATATGAACATTCTTTGTGTGGATGTATGCTTTCATTTCTCTTGAAGGAATAAGAATGGGATTGCTGGATCCTATGATAAGTGTGATAAATATATGTTTAACTTTATCAGAAACTGCCAAACTGTTGTTCAAAGCGTTGTACATTTTACATTTCCATCAGCAGTGTATGAGAGTTCCAGTTGCTCCACTTCCTCACCAACACTTGCTATTGTCAAATTTAAAAATCTTGTTTTATTTCAGCCATTCTAAGAAGTATGTCTTGACAGACTTTTTGTTTTTTGTGTTTTTTTTTTTTTTTGAGACGGAGTTTTGCTCTTGTTGCCCAGATAGGAGTGCAATGGTGTGATCCCAGCTCACCGCAACCTCTGCCTCCCAGGTTCAAGCGATTCTCCTGCCTCAGCCTTCGAAGTAGCTGGGATTACAGGTGTGCGCCACCATGCCCGGCTAATTTTGTATTTTTAGTAGAGATGGGGTTTCTCCATGTTGGTCAGGCTGGTCTTGAACTCTCAACCTCAGGTGATCCACCCACCTCAGCCTCCCAAAATGCTGGGGTTACAGGCGTAAGCCACTGCGCCTGGCCTTGACATACTTTTTTTTTTTTGAGACAGAGTCTCGCTCTTGTCCCCCAGGCTGGAGTGTAATGGCACGATCTCAGCTCACTGCAACCTCCGCCTCCCAGGTTCAAGTGATTCTTCTGCCTCAGCCTCCAAATTAGCTGGGATTACAGGCACCTGCCACCACAACAGGCTAATTTGACGGACTTTTTATATGTATTTACAAATGTATGTAGGAATATATGTACATATAAAATGTCAAATATTATTTATTTTTATTTATTTATTTTTTGAGATAAGGTCTTGCTCTGTTGCCCAGGCTGGAGTGCAGTGGCATGTTCTCAGCTCATTGCAGCCTCCACTTCCCGGGTTCAAGTGATTCTCGTGACTCAGCCTCCCGAGTAGCTGGGATTACAGGCATGCACCATCACGCGTGGCTAATTTTTGTATTTTAGCAGAGACTGGATTTCACCATGTTGGCCAGCTTGTCTCAAACTCCTGGCCTCAAGACATTCACTGGCCCGGTGGCCGACGCCTGTAATCCCGGCACTTTGGGAGGCCAAGGCGGGCAGATAACGAGGTCAGGAGATTGAGACCATCCTGGCTAACATGGTGAAACCCGGTCTCTACTGAAAATACAAAAAAATTAGCCAGGCGTGGTAGTGGGTGTCTGTAGTCCCAGCTACTCAGGAAGCTGAGGCAGGAGAATGGCGTGAACTTGGGAGGCGGAGCTTGCAGTGAGGCGAGATCGTGCCATTGTGCTGAGATCGTGCCACTGTGCTCCAGCCTGGGCAACAGAGTGAGACTCTGTCTCAAAAAAAAAAAAAAAAAGAAAAAGAAAAAAAAGAAATCCACCCCTCTCAGCCTACCAGATTGCTGGGATTATAGGCGGGAGTCACCGTGCCCGGCCTAAAATGTCAAATATTTATTAAGTACTATGAACAAGGCAATTTGTAAGCATTTTACATGCATTAACTTATCAGATTAACTCAAAGCAGCCCTAAGATGTGGATGCTATTATAAGTTCCATTTTACAGACAAAGAAAAGGACAGACTGGAAGTTAAGCCTCATGCATATGGTTCTGGCAAGTGATGGAGCCAGGGTATGAACCCGGGGACCCTTGTCTCCAGACCCTTATTCTCACCCCATTTGCATTCCTGTTCAAATAACTTGAGTTTAGGGAACTTGCCCGAGATTACACGGCAGAAGGCCTGAGCTTTGGCCCTGGCCGTCACGTGGGCAGCACTTCACTGCACATCTTCTCTGTGCTGACATTGGCTTACTTGCTTTAAGCCCTGGAGTTGACCAGCTCTGGGAGAGAAAAGCCATGATAGAAAGGAGCACAAGGCTTGCTGGGCACCTGGGCCTAGAACCATCCCCCCTCATGTCCAGGGGAGCAGCCCAGTAACATGAAATGTGGGAATTACCCTGACAGGTGGTTTCCTACTGCATCTCAGAAGGACAAAGGGCATAGGTATTTTAGTTGCTTACCTGGGCTCTGTCTGGATTCTCCTAAGAAGTAATCAAGGAATAATCAATGCAATTACATAAAAAGTTGCAAGAGCACAAAACTAGAGAAACTACTTATCTAGCCCACCTAATGTGTGATTCTAGAAAGTTCCAGAACTGCAAAACTAGACACATTTGCAGTCCTAAAATCCCAACATAAATGCCACCTATTTGATGGAGGAGTCAGCTGAGACTTAAAGGATAGAGGTGCTAATGGTGGACTTCAAGACATATTGAGACATGGTAGAGGGAGACGTGGGAAGCAGGGAGGTATTTCATTGCTTGCCAGATTACCATGAACAGGCAGGGGCTTTGGTGATGGATGAGCAGCTACAGGGTAGCATGCTGCCTGTGCCAGGAGGGTCCCCGCTCCCTTTTCCCAGTCCCTCCTCCTCCCATTCTCGGATCATTTCATTTCACTACTCTCCTCCTTGTACCACAATTTTATTCTTCAACTCTTGCATTTTGAAAGACCCCAACATTCTTGTACATTTTTGGCCCATTTCTCCTATGAGTAAATTGTCTAAATTTCATACTTAAAAAAAACTATTAATTTAAATATCAAGGCAACTTAAATATTTACTGACTAGAAAATAATGAAGGCAACTCCAATTTTAGAGTATTTTTCAAATTTCAATGTTCCTTTCTGTCATCAGAGATTCAGATAGACTTTGTAGAAAGATCTGCACTTCTCCTCCCCACTGTACCCCAGTTGGGGATTGTTTCCAGGACTACCTGCTGGCCTTTTTGAAAGCTTCTGCCAACAGAAGATCTTCTAGGCTCCACAAACTCTGGAAGGGCCATGAATGGGACCTCTGGGCAAGCAAGATAGCGGCCATACTCCTCATTGGCTCTCGTCTAGGCAGGTTATTTAGCAAGGTCATCTCCATCAATGCAATGGGAAATTAGAGGCCTCTGAGTCCCTCCCGATGAGCTGTGGGGCACTGGGAGGGCCAGGCTCCCCCTCAATGCTGGAGTCAGTCCACAGACCATGGCTCATAAATACTGTTTTCCTCCCAGGGCCCTTGGCTGGTGTCCTGGGAGGGAGCACGGGGTGGTTGCTGCTTAGCTGGAGGAAATTTGGATGAGCTCATTTGTCTGTGATGAAGAGAGAACAGTAGAGGTCGTGAGGACTTGAGGAGGTGGCTCTGGAAGCTGGGGGGTCCAGAAGTAGAAAGATCCTAGGCAGCTTGAGCCATCTGGTGACCTGGTTCTGAGGGACATTAGCTGAATCAATGGAGAAACTCCTCTTGAGGGAATTTTGCAGGTACTTCTTTGTAGTTTATAAATGACCTCACTTTAAAAAGATCCCAACCCTTGTATGTGTAATAAGGCAGAGGAAATTTTATTCACTGTAATTTTTCTTAGGAAGAAGGCTGTCTTTGTTCTAAGAATGCCTTGAACAAAGCTTCAGAGGAGGAGGTTGCCCTGCTTGACAGAGGAGAAGAATGGTGCATTTTGATCCTAAATGGAGAAAGGAGAGGGAAGGAAGAGGAGGAAAAAAACAGCGGGAAGGAGAGCATGATACTGAGATGAGCTGAAAGACCAATAAAGAAATGCCACAATGAGGTGTGGCTGGGGGCTCTTTTGAGATCAGTGTTGCTGACTGTTTTTGTGAGAGCTGTGAATTTGCGCTGTTATTCCTTCTACCATAATTCCTGGGAAGTTGTCAGCAAAATATGCCTGGTTTGTGAAATCTCTGCAAGAGATGATTTGGGGGATTTTTTTTTCCTTTTTTTTTTTTTCGAGGCAGAGTCTTACTCTGTTGCCCAGGCTGGAGTGCGGTGGCATCTTGGCTCACTGCAGCCTCTGCCTCCTGGGCTCAAGCAATTCTCGTGCTTCAGCCTCCTGAGTAGCTGGGACTACAAGTGCATGCCACCATGCTCGGATAATTTTTGTATTTTTGTAGAGACGGGGTTTTGCCATGTTGGCCAGGCTGGTCTTGAACTCCTGACCTCAAGTGATCTGCCCGCCTTGGCCTCCCAGAGTGCTGGGATTACAGGCATGAGCCACTGTGTCTGGCCATGTGGGGGAATCTTGAAGGGCTATGAGTCTCCTTGCCAGGGTGCAGTGTGTGCAGAATTATTTTCAATGAAGGAAACTACCAGGAGCTTGCAGAAGCAAAAGGGAGAAATCTTTGGCCTTCTCTGTAGGCCAGGGAATTAGATCTAGATCTCTAAAGACAAGGCTGTACAACATCTGAATTACTCTTAATTATGGACCGAAGATGGAAGGCATTTGCTATCCTGAATTCAGTAATTACTTAAGGAAATGAATGGCTGACAGATTATCATCATGAAGGGCATAGAAAACTAACTGAAATAGTATTAATAACAATTCAATACTAGAACTCGTGTCACAATCTGAAACTATTTGGGGTATATTATAGGATAGAATAAATAATTATACTGATGGGGAGAACCAGCATTTTCACTGTGGGAGATGAGAGATACAAATACAGAGTAGGGGAAAAGACAAAGAACTATGTGATGTTGTATTTGAATTGGAGGTACCAATATGCACTCATCACACACACACACACACACACACACACACACACGCATACACACACACACACACTCTCTCTCTTACATTTTCTAATTTTCTGGCTCTGTTTTCTGAAAGGGCCTAGAACTTTTGACACCACAGTAACTATGAACACATGTAGCACCCAGATCTTGGTTTCTAAATACTGCTACCCACAAAAAGGAACGAGGGCTTCCTGGATAAATGGTGGATTCCAGGTCTGAGGCTGCAAGTGTTGCTACAGAAAGCGAGGAAGTGCTCAAAGAATGATGGAGACAAAGGAACTGGCTTGAAAGGAAATCCACTGGCTGCATTGGGACAATTTGAGCATTAAGAAAAACAGCAATGGATTGTAACACATTAAATTAAAAAAAAAATCCGTGAGTTCATAAGCTATGGTTTGAATGTGTCCACGCCATACATAATGGTGAATGTGATAGTATTAAGAGGTGGGGCCTTTACGAGATGGTTAGGCTGTGACTGGGATTAAAACCTTTATAAAAAAGGCTTCCCACAGCTGCTAGGGTCTCTTGCCTTTCTGCCTTCTTCCCTGTGAGACAACAATATTTCTCCCCTCTGAAGGATGCAGACCTCACCAGACACTGAATGCTGGTTCCTTGATCTTGGACTTCCAGCCTCCAGAACTGTGAGAAATAAATTTCTGTTCTTTGTAAATTACCCGCCTGTGGTATTCTGTTATAGCAGCACAGACGGACTACAACAGAAATTGATACTACAGAAGTGGGGTGTTGCTATAACAAATACCTAAAAATGTGGAAGCAGCTCTGGAGCTTGGTAAAGGGTAGAGGCTGGAATGGTTTTGAAATGAGTGCTGGAAGGCTGGGGGCGGTGGCTCACGCCTGTAATCCCAGCACTTTGGGAGGCCGAGGCAGGTGGATCACAAGGTCAGGAGTTCAAGACCAGCCTGGCCAAGATGGTGAAACCCTGTCTCTACTAAAAATACAAAAATTAGCCAGGCATGCTGATGGGCACCTTTAATCCCAGCTACTCGGGAGGCTGAGGCAGAGAATTGCTTGAACCCGGGAAGCAGAGGTTGCAGTGAGCTGAGATTGCACCACTGCACTCCAGCCTGGGTGACAGAGTAAGACTCCGTCTCAAAAAAAAAAAAAAAAAAAGTGCTGGAAAAAGTCTCATTGCCATGAACAGAGCAATAAAGGCAATTCAGATGAGGGCTCAGAAGAGAAGAGCTGTGGGAAAGCCTCCTTCCTTTTAGAAGTAACTTATGGGATAGTGACAGTGAAGACCCTTCTGATAAGGTATGAAACAGAAATGAGGAACAAGGTATTGGAAATGGGGGAAAGGCCATTCTTATTACAGTGACAAAGAACTTGGCCAAATTATGCCTGTGTCCTAGGACTTCGTGGAAGGCAGGGCTTGAGAGCAATGAACTAGGGTATGTGGCAGAAATCTCTAAGCAGCAAAGCATTCAGGATGCTTCATGGCTTCTCTTAACTGCTTATAGTAAAACGTAAGAAGAGCGAAACAATTCAAAAATAGAATTTATAATGAAAAGGGAAGCAGAGCATACATATTTGGAAAATTCTTAGCCTGGCCATGTAAAGAATAAAAAATCATGTTTAGGAGAAACCAGCAGTGTGGCCAAGTGACCATTTGATAAGGAGATTAGTATGGCTAGAAGGAAGCCAGGTGCTATTCATTAAGACAATGCGAGAATGACCCCTGAAGGCATTTCAGATCTTTGAGGTTGCCACATCCATCACAGACCCAGAGTGCCAAGGCCTTAGGGGCAGAAGTTTCTAAGGGTGGCGTGTAGAGTGTCTGTGGGACTTCAGGGCTCACTGCCCCTTGTCTCTGCCCACTGTATTCTGGCACATTGCTTCTCAGCCACCCCAGCTGTGGCTCAGGCAGACCCAGGTGCAGCTTGGGCCACTGCTCCAGAGGGCACAAGCGTAAGCCTTGGCAGCATCCATGTGGTGCTAACTCTGCAGGGGTGTGTGTGTGTGTGTGTGTGTGTGTGTGCGTGCGCTGTGGCTGCGGCGCTACCTCCACCAAGATTTCAAAGAATGTTGCAGACAGCCTTGGGGCCCAGGAAGAGAGTTGCTGCAGGTGTGGAACCACTGCAGTTTCCACCAGGGGAATGCTTAGTGGCATTGTGGGGATAGGGCTGTCTCTGCAACCCCAGAACAATAGAGCCACCAGCATGCAGCACCAGCCTGGGAAAGCCGCAGGAATGCAACCTCAATGTGTGAGAGCTGAAGCATGGCTGTCTGGCAAAGCCATGGGGGTGGGGCTGTCCAAGGCCTTGGGGGCCTAACTCCTGCCCCAGTGTGTCTGGAAGGCAGGACATGGAATCAAAGATGATTCTCAAGATCGAATGTTGTTTGCCCTGTTGGATTTTAGATTTACTGAGGACCTGGTACTCCTTTTTTTTTTTTTTTCGTATTTCTCCCTTTTGGAAGATAAATATTCGTCTTGTGCCTGTCCCACCATTGTACCTTGTTTGATTTTACAGGCTCACAGCTGGAGGAAAATTTGCCTCAGGATGAATCACACCTTTGGGTCTCATCCATACCTAATTTAGAGGATTCTGGATGAGACTCTGACTTCAGACTTTTGAGTTGCTGCTGGAATGACTGACTTTTGGGGCTACTGAGATGGAATGAATATTTGTGAGAAGGACATAAATTTTGGGGGGCCAGGGTGAGATGCTATGGCTGAAATGTGTCCCATACAAAATTCAGGTGTTGAAACTTAATGGCAAATGTGATAGTATTAAGAGGTGGGATCTTTAAGAGGCAATTAGGCCATGAGGGTCCCTCCCTCATGAATGGAATTAAGGCCCTTGTAAAAGAGGCCTGGCCGGGTATGGTGGCTCACGGCTGTAATCCCAGCACTTTGGGAGGCTAAGGCTCAAGAATCACTTGAGCCCAGGAGTTTGAGACCAGCCTGGGCAACATGGCCAGACCCCAACTCTTAAAAAAATTTTTCAAAAATTAGCTGGGTGTCGTGGCATGCACCTATAGTCCCAGCTACTCGAATCGGTTGAGCCTGGGAGGTCGAGGTTGCAGTGAACTGTGATCACGCCACTGCACTCCAGTCTGGGTGACAGAGCAAGACACTATCTCAAAAAATAAAAGAGGTTTCACACAGGGTTTGGCCCTCTTGCCGTTCTGTTCTGTTGAGTACACAGCCTTCCTTCCCTCAGAAAGATGCCCTCACCAGATACCAAATGCTGGTTCTTGATCTTGGACTTCCAGCTTCCAGAACTGTGAGAAATAAATTTCTGTTCTTTATAAATTATCTAGTCTGTGGCATTCTGTTATAGCAGCACAGTTAGTGTAAGATAACATAGTAATACTAAAAATGTGAATGGGGAAGCTCTTCTTTTTACCTTTGGTAACTCAGTGAAGTAACTGATTCTGTCCAGGATCATTAATAAATACTATTTCCAAAGAGTAAAACGTTTTTGGGAAACTGAATACTCATTCGCTCTCAAAGTATCACCCTGCAGATTACTTAGCAATTACAAAGGAGAAGAAAGGGTACCTTTATAATGGAGAACCTTAAAATGTCTTTCATTCAGAAATCTCACTTCCAGAAATTTATCCAAAGGAATTAAGAGAAGTACAGTGAGATTTATATACAAGGATATTAATTGCAATGTTACTTATAATAGTGGACACCTTTTAGCCAGATGACCAAACTTAGCATCCCTAACAATTGAAAAGAAACTGACGTTGTGTGCTTCCTGATGTGATGTGATACTGGTAGTAGTTCCTAAATACTGGAAGACATATAAAAGTCTAAAGAAAATAAAAACTGCTCATCATCCAACCTGCTAGAAATAATCACCATTAACATTTTGGTCCATGTATGTGTGCAATATTGGGATGACTGGCCGGGCACAGTGGCTCATGCCTATAATCCCAATACTTTGGAAGGCTGAGGCAGGTGGATCACCTGAGGTCAGGAGTTTGAGATCAGCTTGGGCAACATGGTGAAACCTCGTCTCTACTAAAAATACAAAAATTAGCTGGGTGTGGTGGCACATGCCTGTAATCCCAGCTACTCGGGAGGCTGAGGCACAAGAATTTTGAACTCGGGAGGTGGAGGTTGCAGTGAGCCGAGATCACATCACTGCACTCCAGCCTGGGTGACAGAGACTCTGTCTCAAAAACAAACAAAAACTGGGATGACTGATACAATATGTACGTATCTATATCTCTATATAAATATATATAAGGAATCATATGCACATATGCATGATACGTGTATATACATGATACATAGATGTCATACATGGTTATATAGCAATGGATATCCATGGTATGCATGATACCTGAAGTATATACTTTTACCTATGAGTATATGAGCAGTTTTTCATGTCATGAAATGTTTTAAAATGTGTTTAACTGCATAATAATTCATCACATGGTTATTCTATTAATTATTTACTCTTGACCATTTGGGTGGTTTCTTTTTCATAAATAATATTGCAATAAATATCCTCTTACAGAAATCTCACTGTTTTTCCTTTAATTCCGTTGGATAAATTTCTAGAAGAGGAATATCCAGATGAAAGACTTTAGATAAATATTTCACATTTACTGTATTAGTCTGTTCTCATGCTGCTAATAAGGACATACTCAAGACTGGGTAATTATAAAGGAAAGAGGTTTAATGGACTCATAGTTCCACATGGCTGTGGAGGCCTCACAGTCATGGTAGAAGGTGAATGAGGAGCAAAGTCACATCTTACATGGCGGCAGGCAAGAGAGCTAGTGCAGGGGAACTCTGATTTATAAAACCATCAGATCTAATGAGACTTATTCACTACTATGAGAACAGTATGGGGGAAATTGCCCCATGATTCAATTATCTCCACCTGGCCCCGCCCTTGACATGGGGGGATTATTATAATTTAGGGTGAGATTTTGGTAGAGACACAGCCAAACCATATCATTGTCCTGCAAATTATACCAACCTGTACCAAGATTTTATATGTATATACACACACACACATATACATGTATATATACATATATATACATATATACACATATATATGTACATATATATACACATATATATACATACACACACATATATATTTTATATATATATATATATGTGTGTATATATATATATATATATATATATATATATTTTTTTTTTTTTTTTTTTTTTTTTTTACGAGATGGAGTCTCACTCTGTCACCCAGGCTGGAGTGCAGTGGTGCGATCTTGGCTTACTGCAGCCTCCCAGGTTCAAGCAATTCTCTGCCTCAGCCTCCTGAGTAGCTGGGATTACAGGTGCCTGCCACCACGTCCAGCTAATTTTTGTATTTTAAGTAGAGATGGAGTTTCACCATGTTGTCCAGGCTGGTCTTGAACTCCTGACCTCATGATCCACCTGCCTTGGCCTCCCAAAGTGCTGGGATTACAGGTGTGAGCCACCGCACCCGGCCCAAGATTTTATATTTATACTCCCAATAGCAGCAAGTGAGATGTCCATTTAAATGTATTGTAGGAAAAAAAAAAGGAAAAAATAACCAAAAAGAAAAAAATGTATTTTAGACAGCACTGGATAGTGTAACTTCAAAATCTTTGATGGAATTTTTAAATTTAAAACATCCCCATTGTCAGTACCCTTAGATACTTCAAGTTCTTGTCCATCTGCATACATTTTGGCAATTATGACACTGAACATACACTTTTTTTATTCTATTCATTTCCAAGTCTTTATAACTTTAAAAATAGTTTTTGGGGTGCAGTGGCAGTGATCATGGTTCACTGCAGCCTTAGCCTCCCAGGCTCGAGATCCTCCCACCTCACCCTCACAAGTAGCTGGGACTACACCAAGTCTTTATTATTTTTAAAAATCAAGTTTTGTGGCATAAATAACCATCCCATTAGACTTTTTGGTCTAACAGATAGGTTGTTTCCTATCTTTTGCTTTCCTGGACAAAATAGCCTTAGACATATTACTTTTTTTTTTTTTTTTGAGATGGAGTCTCACTCTATTGCCCAGGCTGGAGTGCAGTGGCGTGATCTCGGTTCACTGTGGCCTTCACTTTCCGGGTTCAAGCGACTCTCCTGCCTGAGCCTCCCGAGTAGCTGGGACTACAGGTGTGTGCCACCATGCCCGGCTAAGTTTTGTATTTTCAGTAGAGATGGGGTTTCACCATGTTGGCCAGGGTGGTCTCGAACTCCTGACCTCAAGTAATCTGCCTGCCTCAACTTCCCAAAGTGCTGGGATTACAGGCGTGAGCTGCTGCACCCGGCCAACATATCGCTTTTAGTTTTTGCTAAGTTTACTTTTTAGAGTAAATTCCAAGAGGAGGGTAGCCAGGCTTAAAGTTCTTGGGATAAGTGGATCGGTTTCTTTTCTGAAGGGATAGGCTGCCTGTCATGCTGCTGGAACTGCATCAGTTTACCTCACTTGGCCTCCTAAGGCAACTAGAGGTCAGGGCAGGGAAAGCGACGTGTCCCTGGTTCCCCTTCTTTGGGCATCTCATAGGGTGGGCTTCTGGCTGATGGGAGCCAAGGACCCATCGCAGCACAGACAGGTAGAACCCTGGGGGTTCCAGGACTGCTGGGTGGGAACATGGAGTTGGGGATGGCTGAGGGAAGACAAGAGAAAGGCTTGGGACTTTGCCTGCACATAACCATTACCTTGGGCCTCCGAGACCCACTGCTTGGAGGCGACTCTAGTAATGGTCAAGCTGTGGTAAGGATGCACGGCCCTGCCCTCAGTGGTGCAAGATTGGCCCAGTGAGAACAGTCAGCTACTGAACCATCAAGACATGGTGGAACATAACCTCCCTGCCATCCTGCACGCCCCACTGCCAGTTCATCCCCTCACCCCCACCCCCCGCCACAGTCTTTTAGTTCTATAACCACTGGGGCTCCCAAACTCTCTACTTTGCCTGAAATGGCCCATGTTTCAGCTGTACCTACTTCCTCTAAGTGTGTTCGTTTTTTCTGTGTTACGCTGGACTCAGCTTTGAGAGTAAAAGAGGCTGTTTATTTTTTTACTTGGGGTGCACTGCCTCAGAGGCCATCAGTTCTGGGGGGGCTTTGGGCATTGCTGAGGTTTCTTTGGGAGATGGTTGCTGGCGTGAGTACAGCAGGTTCTTCTGTGTGGATGTCTCAAGGAAATGGCTTGGAACTAGAGTTGAGGTTTCCTGGGATTTCTAGGTGTCACTCACCAACTCTGTGACCTTGGGCAAGGAAGTACCTTTCCCTCTTGGCCCCAGTTTTCTCAGAGAGGGGATGGCCCCCATGTTTCTAGCATGTGTACATGCAGAGGGGTAATCTTATCCATATCTCCTGTGAACAGGGCCTGGTCTCTCCAAGAAGAGATGAGTTTTGCTTCCGATGACTCTTCCTCAGCTTTCCTTTTTGTGCCTCTTTTTCTTCCTTGTCCCTCTGTCCCCATTCCCCTCCATCGGGGTATCCTGCCCTCTTCCCACCCTTTCCCCTCAGGTGGGGCCTTGAGGCAGGACCAGTGGGGCCAGGATTCTCCTCTGTTCAAATTCTGTGCTGCTGGAGCAGACCTCCTGGGTGCAGGCCCCTCCAGAGGGATCTTCTGGAGACCATACCCCTCTCAAATACATGGAGGGACTCTCATGGTGACACTTGCTGGCAGGCTGGCGATGGAGTAGTGTTTGGTAAGCAGCAGCCTGGGCTGTGTCCTCCCACTAACCACAGCCGGGCCCCTCACAGCCTTTGTGTTCAGGGGCTGGTGCCTGTTTGTTTCTGGTTGAAAAGACTTCCTGCGGAGTTCACCCTGCCACCAACCTCCCAGCTTTCACCACCTCTCAAGTACCCGGGCCCTTCTGCTGAGCCTCACGGTCCAGGGGCGTGTGAAGAGTTTAAACAGGGAGACTCTCCTCCCATTTCCCAGGTATCTGTGATATAGGCCCTTTCTCTGAAGTGGGGACACCAGCCACTAGAACAGCCAGGCCTCAGGGCCCTGTCCAGACAGCTGTCCTGGGGCCTTGCCTGTCCTACAGGCCTGGAGCCTCAGCCCCTCGGCCTTTGACAGAGGTTTCGTAAGGTCCAAGGCCAGCCTGTAGCTCTCAGAGGCAGAAAAGCAGGTTCCAGCTTCCTTCAGTCCTGGGCCCTCAGATTTGTCTGCAGGAACCTTGGATCTTGTTCTCCCGCAACCCATGCCCTTTGCCAAGATGAGGGCTCTTTGGAATTTATTCTTTTGGTAGGAGGGCTCCCTTTGATGACTGTGTCAAGTGAGATGGAATCTGGCCAGGTTGTTATAGGAACTCAGGAGAATCCCTGGAGTGGGAAAAATAATGAGAACATGGGGCCATTCACCATTCAGCGTTGGAAAGTAGAGCATTCATTGTCCAGGTCCGGAGGGGCAGGCTTAAGGGTGGGGGCCTCGCTGCATCACTAGGAGGCTTTGGTGGCATTGAGGGGGTGTGTGGTGGGTTGTGCAGAGTGAGGGTCTGACTAAACTTGGTTCAAATACTAAATCACCCACTTATTTGTGTGACCTTAAGCAAGTTGAAACAACACAATCCAATTTTGTAGATAAGCGTATTATGTCTAGAAGGAAAATCATCCTCACTTTTGGAGTTGTTATCTTAGGGGTATGTTTACAGATTTAAGATTACTTTTTGTACTTTTCCATTTTTTGTTCTGATATTTTCTTTAAACAGCATGAATTAACTTGTACAATGGGGAAAAAATAAAAACAACCACAAAGCTATCTCCACTTTGGAAATGAACGTATCCGGGAAGGGGCTCTTTGGAATCTAGGAGCTGCTAGGCCCTTCCATATTTGGAAGGGGAGGGACAGTACTTTTCAGCCTTCAGGCCATTCCAAGTAAGAAAAGTGTTCCTGGCCCCCTGACTGCCTATGGTTCTGTCTCGGGCCAGGCCTGGCTTACACCAGTGCTGGCCACCACGGTGTTTCACATGCCAGTGCTTCACATGCAGGCCTGAGGGGTCGAGGGTGGCCTCTCTGGTTTGCCTGTGTTGGCAGTTATTCCTGCTGCCATAGTACAGGAGGTGGCTGTTCATTTCCCACTCTGGCAGCCAGCTCAGAAAACCCTGTGTTCCCTACTGAGGGCCCTTCCTGAGGCTACATCCTTCTTTTAGACTAAGGGGCTTATGTTGAGGTCTCTGCACTCTCATGCCTAGCCAGTCTCATCTCTCCATCAAAAGGGGAACACAGCAGCTTCGCTGGGTTTCTTCCCCCATGCTGGGCTTCCTTGGTGTCTGGGTCCCTCATCTGGACCTTGACACGAGCTTCCTTCTATCACTGTTGTCTGTTTATTGTTTTTTGCTGCTGTTTGTTTATTTGTTTATTTATTTATTTATTGGAGACAGGCTCACTCTGTCGCCCAGGCTGGAGTGCAGTGGTGCGATCTCAGCTCACTGCAACCTTTGCCCCCCAGGTTCAAATGACCCTCGTGTCTTAGCTTCCTGAGTAGCTGGGACTACAGGCACCCACCACCACACCTGGCTAATTTTTTTGTATTTTTAATAGAGATGGGGTTTTGTCTCAAACTCCTGGCTTCAAGTGATCCACCTGCTTGGCCTCCCAAAGTCCTGGGATTACAGGTGTGGGCCACTGCACCTGGCCTGTTGTTTTTTGAGATAGGGTCTCATTCTGTCACCCATGCTGGAGTGTGGTGGTGCAAACACGGCTCACTGTAGCCTCAACCTCCCAGGCTCAATCAATCCTCCCATCTCAGCCTCCTTAGTAGCTGGGACTACAGGCACTCGGCACCATGCCTGGCTAATTTTTTTTATTTTTTATTTTTTTATTTTTTAAGATGGAGTCTTGCTCTGTCTTGCAGGCTGGAGTGCAGTGGCGTGATCTCAGCTCACTGCAACCTCTACCTCCCAGGTTCAAGCGATTTTCCTGCCTCAGCCTCCTGAGTAGCTGGGATTACAGGTGCGCACCACCATGCCCTGCTAATTTTTGTATTTTTAGTAGAGACGGGGTTTCATCATGTTGGTCAGGCTGGTCTTGAACTCCTGACCGCGGGATCCACCAATCTCGGCCTCCCAAAGTGCTGGGATTACAGGCATGAGCCATCATGTCCAGCCCATAGTTTACTTTTTAATTACTATATAATAGTTATAGTGTGCATATATTGCTGTTTACTTATCCATTCTACAATGAATTATTTGCAGTTTGGGGCTATATAAATGCTGCTGCTATGAACATTCTTATACAAGTCTTTTGGTGGGGACAAAGGCTACCTTCTGTTACTGTTGCTGTCTCTTTAGCTTTTAGACTTAAAAAATCATACGGTTTTATCCTTTTTTTCTCTTTCTCCCCATCAGTTACTCTGGCCATATGTACTTTAGTAGGTTAATCTCTGCCAGTGTTTTTAAAATGTTGAAAATATATAAGTGCTACTTAAATATGTTCTCCTGGCCGGGCACCGTGGCTCACACCTGTAGTCTCAGCACTTTGGGAAGCTGAGGCAGGCAGATCTCGCTTGAGCCCAGGAGTTTGAGACCAGCCTGAGCAACAATGCAAAACCCCATCTCTACAAAAAATAAATTAGCCAGATGCAGTGGCGTGTGTGTATAATCCCAGCTACTTGGGAAGCTGAGGTGGGAGGATCACTTGAGCCTGGGATGTTGAGGCTGCAGTGTGTTGAGATCGTGCCACTGCACTCCAGCCTGGGTGACAAAATAAGACGTTGTCTCAGGAAAAAGAGAAAGGAAAAATCCTCCTTATAAAGGCTTTCTATTTTTTTCTTTTTTAGATGGAGTCTTGCACTGTCCCCCAGGCTCACTGCAACCCCTGCCTCCTGGGTTCAGGTGATTTTCCTGCCTCAGCCTCCTGAGTAGCTGGGATTACAGGCATGCACCACCATGCCCAGCTAATGTTTGTATTTTTAGTAGAGACAGGGTTTCACCATGTTGGTCAGGCTGGTCTCGAACTCCTGACCTCATGATCTTCCCGCCTCAGCCTCCAAAAGTGCTGGGATTACAGGTGTGAGCCACCGCGCCTGGCCTAAAAGCTTTCAACATTACATTAAGATTAAAGTTCCTTGTGACACCCCTTGCCAAGTCTTGGCCCTTTCCTCCTATCCTGAGGTAACCCCAGCCACCAGTTTGGTTGTTCTCCTTCTAGGGCTTTTCTGATACTTTGACATATACAAATATTCACATAGGAAATATTATTTGATATGTGTGTGTTGTTTATTTGGTACAACAAACAGCATCATATTGCTTGGCCATTTGCTTTTTCACTCAACAAAATATCTTGGGGAGATGACCATGGAAGCACATGTAGCTCTACTTCATTTTTTAAACTGCCGAGTAAGAACATTTAGGTGGTATTTCTATATGATTTTGTGTGTGTCCCATGAACTGAGGGCAGGCCCAAAGCCTTGCACTGGCAGTATTTGATACTGATGTAATCCCACAAAAGAAAAATTTGCGGGAGCCCTGGATCTGTGCCCCTCAATGTCTCTTTTCTTTCTTCTGCAGAGACGTCTCAGAGAGGCTGTGCAGCTGCTGGAGGACTATAAGCATGGGACCCTGCGCCCGGGGGTCACCAATGAACAGGTAACTCTGTGGGAGGTGGGAGCATGGCCAGTGGGGAAGGGAAGGAAAGTGAGAAATTCACAAACCCTTCGCTGCAGCCAGAACCACTTCTTTCGTCCAGCATATACTTCTGCTGGTACATACCCCTGTGGACTAAAAGCTCTTTGGAGATGCTCAGATCTCTCCTGTGCTCTAGGTCCAGTGGGAAGCATGGAGGCTGATAAGGCTAGGGTGGCCCAAAGGCCAAAGGCTTGCTGAAGCTGGCCCGCACTGGCTTGCGAGAGCTGATTGTGGGCATCTCTTCCCAATTCCACGATCAGGGATGACACAGTGGGAAATCAGCCATGATGGGAGTATTTATACCATAGAAGTTGGCAAATGCTACAAATCAGGACTTTTTCTCCAGAGAACAGGTTATTAAACGTTTACCAGCATACCACTGTTCAAAAATTCAGGTTAAGGGTGGGAAGGATGGGGGAGGATGTTGAGGATTAGGATTAGGATACTGTTGTTTTATTCTTTTTTAATATCGTGTAGGAACTCAAATTAGAGATACCTGAAATGTTGAAGGTGGTGTTTTGTTTTGGGGAGGGGTAAGGGAAGGTAGTAGTTAATGATTACAGAGACTGATGGTTCATGTGCCAAAGTCTGTCTTTTTGTTCATAAACTTTATTTCAAAAACTTTTTCAAACATTAATTTAAACATTTTCAAAGTCATGTGTGCATAATTCAAGAAGTCAAATAGTACTAAAGTGCTTGTAAGGGGCTGGGCACGGTGGCTCACACCTGTAATCCTAGCACTTTGGGAGGCCGAGGCAGGCAGATTGCCTGAGCTCAGGAGTTCAAGACCAGCCTGGGCAACGTGGTGAAACCGTGTCTTTACTGAAAGACAAAAAATCAGCCGGGCATGGTGGTGGACGCCTGTAATCCCAGCTACTCATGAGGTTGAGGCAGGAGAATCGCTTGAACCTGGGAAATGGAGGTTGCAGTGAGCCGAGACTGCGCCACTGCACTCCAGCCTGGGCAACAAAGCGAAACTCTGTCTCAAAAATTAATAGAAATAAAATAAAATAAAATAAAATAAAATAAAATAAAATAGTGCTTGTAAGGAAAAATAGTATATGTTCCCTATCCCTCCCCAGTTCCCATGCCTGTTCCGCAGGAGCAACTACTTTTTGCTGTTCTGCAGATAGAAATTTATATTCTATCTTTCAGACAAATATGCTTATCTACACTGCTATTTCTCAATTAGTTCTTTTGGGTTATCTATTATGGTAGTTGAGGATTCAGCTCTCTTATCATCCACCCCTCTAAACACACTTCTTTCCGCCATCCATACTCACTCTTGAAATAGTTATCATGGTTTTGGGGCCTATACATATTCAGTCTTCATGTCGTTACAATTATAGAAATAACATTTACTGCATAGTCAGACTGGTTGTATCATGATTATGTCTCTTTTTCAAATTTGTTTTATCTGGAGTTAATAACCACCTCAGATTTTTCATTGGCATACTTTCCTTTGTACCATCTCTCACTCTCACTGTACCCTCCCGCGGCCTTTCAATACAGTCATACACCACATAAAGACATTTTGGTCAATAAGGGATCACATATATGACAGTGGTTCCATAAGATGATAATGGGGGCCAGGCGTGGTGGCTCATGCCTGTAATCCCAGCACTTTGGGAGGCCAAGGCGGGCGGATCACTTGAGGTCAGGAGTTCGAGACCATCCTGGCCAACCTGAAGAAACCCTGTCTCCACTAAAAATACAAAAATTAGCCGGGCATAGTGGTACATGTTTGTAATCCCAGCTACTTGGGAGGCTGAGGAGGGGGGAATCACTTGAACCTAGGAGGTGGAGGTTGCAGTGAGTCGAGATCACGCCACTGCACTCCAGCCTGGGCGACAGAGTGAGACTGTGTCTCAAAAATAGATGATAATGGAACTGAAAAATTCCTGTTGCCTGGAGATGTCTTGATGATCCTGACCCTGTGCAGGCCTAGTCTGTTTGTTTGTGTCTTAGTTTTTAGTTAGTTTTAAGAGTTTAAATAGTTAAAAAAAAGTTGAAAGTTTTAAAATAGAAAACTTACAGAATAAGGATATAAAGAAAAATATTTTGTACAATGTGTTTGTGTTTCAAGCTAAGTATTACAAAAGAGTCAAAAATCTGAAATTTAAAATTTTATAAAGTAAAAAATATACAGTAAGCTAAGGTTCATTTTATTGAAGAAATTTTTTTAAGAGGCAAGGTCTTGCTCTGTCACCCAGGCCTGGAGTGCAGTGGGGCGATGTAGCTCACTATAACCTCAAACTCTCAGGCTTAAGTGTTCCTCCCACCTCAGCCTCCTGAGTAACACACCACCACACCTGGCTAATTTTTTTTTAAAATAAATTTAGCGTGCTTAAATGTATGGTGTTTATAAAGTCTATAGTACTGTACGGTAATGACCTAGGCCTTCACATTCACCCACTACACACTCAGTGACTCACCACAGCAACTGCCAGTCCTGCAAGCTCCATTCATGGTAAGTGCCCTATGCAGGTGACCATTGTTTATCTTTTATGCCATATTTTTACTGAACTGTTTCTGTGCACAAATATACACAAACCGTTTACATACACAAATATCTACCATTGTGTTATAGTTGCCTATATATTCAGTACAGTAACATACTACCCAGGCTTGTAACCAGGGAGCAGTAGGCTCTACCTACGAGGTAGCCTAGGTGTGTTGCAGGCTTGCCCATCTAGGTTTGTGTAAGGATGCTCTATGCTGTTTGCACAATGATGAAATCACCTAATGATGCATTTCTCAGAACATATCCCTGTTGTTAAGTGACGCATGACTGTATTTTCAGTGCTCCTTGCAATCTGAAGATTTCTGTCTTTGAGTTTCTTTTTGTTTTCCTGAAATTTTCCTTTCTGGGGCCTACCTCCGAGTTCCAGGTCTTCCTTTTTCTTGGTATATTTCATCATTTTGGTGGAACACCTCTTCTCGTAGCTTCCTGAAAAAGGGTAAATGAGAAGAAAGTTTTGAGTCTTTTTATGTCTGAAAAATTATAATTCTGCACTCAGCCTTAATTGACAGTTTGGCTGAGGAGAAAATTCTAGGTTGACAATCATTTTCCTTCAGATTTTTGAAGACCATTGCGCTATTTTCTTCTGGGTTCCAATATAGCTGTTGAAAAACCTGATGCCGTTTCATTCCTGATTCTTTGCGGTCTGTTTTCTTTCTTTGGAAATATTTAGGATCTTCTCTTTATCTGTGAAATTTGTTTCTGAAATTCCACAATGCTGTTTCTTTTAAAATTTATCATTTTGGATTCTTCATTACCCCTTTCAATCTGAAGACTCCTGTCTTCAGCTCTGGCAAAATTTTTAATTGCTTTCATCACTTTTTCTCATTCTGGAACTTCTGTTAGTCAAATATTAGCCATCATAGGCTGACACGTAGGTTTTCTCACCTTTTTTCTCTTCTATCCATCTCTATGGGCCAGAAGCGAGGGTAGGGCCTGGGGGATAGAGCAGGTAGGAAGCTGGATGAAGTTCCTGTCTACACCACCAGAAACCAGGCAGTGACAGTGAAAGCACATGATACCATGGGAGAGCCGTGGAAGGGGTGACCCTCCCAGACTGAGGGCATCTGGAAGAGATTTCTCCCCTGAGATATGAGGGCTGACAGGGCTGGTGAAGAGCAGGTGGGGGTGGTCCAGGCAAGGAGGTGCACACTGTGCTGGAGATCGAGGGAGCAAGACCCTACAGAAGGAGGGAATGGGCGAATGTGCTAGACTGGAGCATGGTGATGGGAATAGAGGGCAAATGCATGAGCGGAAGCAGCACCTTGGCCAGATGCCCCTGTGCAGGGCCCTGGGAGAGTGACAGACCCGCAGTGCCTGCTTACATGGGGCCCATCTGAAGGCGTGTGCACTGCGTGCTGAGTCATGGGCAGCCGTCAGCCGGGAGGGCAGGCTGCGATCTCCTCTTCCCTGAGCAATGGGACTTCTCTCTGGCCATGAGCACCTAAGAGCCTGGATGGTGTGACCTGGTACCCCACCCTACTCAGGCCGAAGCAGTCCCCAGCCCTTTTCGTGTTCTTCTGAGACCTGTGAGAGTTGGGTCCTGCCTCTATGGCCTCCTGACCATGTGTTTCCTCCTGGCCCAGGCTCCGCTCTGCCCTTTTCTTGCTGAGGTTGGCCTCTTGGGACCCCTTCCAGCTCCCAGAGTTTGGGGAATGAAGCCACATTTCCTCCTCTTTGCTCCCTTCAGTAGCTTGAAGCTGCCTGTCCTGTTTCCCAGGCCTCCTTTGTTTTCTGTCCTGAAAGCCCCCATGTGCCTCAAGGGAGCTGAGGAGGAGGGGAACTGGGTGGAGGGGCAGCTTGGCACTAACTGTGCTTCCCGATTCTGGCTCATGTTGGTGATGCCTGCAGTGTCCATCTGGTGGCTGGGTAGCACAGTGCTCTAGGTGTGAGCCTGCCACTATGGCCCCCTAGAGGCAGATCCTCCCTCTCCCTCCCTTCCCCCAGCCTCCTGGCTCCCCCAGCACCAGCTCTCACAAATGCTTCCCTCCCTGGGCTTCAGTCAGCCAATCTACACCTTCCTCTGGCCTCTGCAGACACAGGAGCAGAGGGGATAAGTGGTGACATGGCAGCTCAGGGCTTGGGGGGCTTGGCAATCCATAGTTAACAGTCACTGTTCCTGGCCCAGGCTGGCCCTGCTCATCTGAAGCGGCCCGGGTGGTTCTTGTTCTCAGTCTGGACAGTGGCCTCACCTGCACCTGGGCTCTGCGCCTGCTCTCATGCCTTTGCAGGTGTGTGGGCCAGAAGCCTGCAACTGGGTCCTGAGGCCTGCAGGCCTGTCCTGGTGTTGTGGGCAGTGCTGGTTAACTTGTGACACTCTCTTTTTTTACCCAGTTTGTCATCTAACCTGACCTCCAGGTACAACACCTCACCAGTGGGTATGCGCAAATGTATTGATTGTTTGTTTGCTCCTGATGGCCTTGGTTTGGTCTTCTGTTGTGGGTGGCTGCTCTCTCCTCCAGGGACCGTTACCTTGTTTAAAGGTTGCTATACCAGCCAAGCGTGGTGTCTCACACCTGTAATCCCAGCACTTTGGGAGGCCAAGACAGGTGGATCACCTAAAGTCAGGAGTTCGAGACCAGCCTGACCAATATGGTGAAACCCCATCTCTACCAAAAATACAAAAATTAGCCAGGCATGGTGGCATGCACCTGTAGTCCCAGCTACTCAGGAGGCTGAGACAGGAGAATCGCTTGAACCCAGGAGGTGGAGGTTGCAGTGAGCCGAGATCACAGCACTGCACTCCAGCCTGGGTGACAGAGTGAGACTCGGTCTCAAAAAAAAAAAAAAAAAAAAAAAAGATTGCGATACCAATGAATCACTGGTTCTGAGGACAAAATAAAAATGAGTATAATTTAACTTTTGGGTTTAGCAGGTGAAAATTTGAAGAGCTAGTAACCGTAATAAGGACTGTAGCTATCAGTTAAAAAAACAAAACCATGGTATACAAAAATGTAAGCATAGACACAGCCATTAAGTTTCTGAATGTTGACTCTGATCTGTACACTTGTATATGCTGGGGCTTTGCCAGAATGATTTGGTGTGGATGGAGGAGGTGGGTGGGGCTAAATATGGAAGACCCCTCCCCATGGTGAGCCACCGCTCGCTGCATGCTTACGAAGTGGCAGGTATTGCACCATAAGTACTAGCGCTTTCCACATATTATCTCAGCTAATCTTCACATAAACTTGTCAGTAGGTACCTGTATCAACCCAATTTTCCAGTGAGACTCAGAGAGGTTGCATTATTTTCCTAAGGTCACATAGCTAGTATGTGGTGGGGCAGGGATCTGACACTGGGCCTCTTAGATCTAATGGGAGAGACATCTTCTGTAAGTGACAGAGACAGAGAGAAGAGACAAGAAAGAGAAAGCTGGGAAGGAAGTTGGAGGTTACAGGCCAGATTGAGAAAGTCTTTGAAAACCAGGCAGAGATGCTGGATGCATTGTGTGGGGTAAGAGGAAGCTACTGAAAGCTATTGAGCAAGGGAGTAGCACGACAGTGGTATTGTGGTAGGATCAGTCAGTGGCAGTGCCAGAGTGCACTGGGGAGGAATAAGTGCTATTACGGAAATCAGCTCGGAAGCAACTGGAGTGATGGGGAGTGTGGGGAGCAGGTTACTGGGAACCACTGTAGCTCCTGAGTGGCTGGGCTTGTCCATCATTCAACATTCCCCAGAGGTTGGGAACCAGCCAACCTTTCCTAAGTGCCTACCCTGCACCCAGGGTAATGAATGTATGGATTGCTCAGAGCCCCCATGCAGGATGGATTTCTGTCTGCGACCTGCCTAGGAGAAAGAGCTGCTGGGATGCAAGAGATCCTGCAAGTCTTCTCTGGCAGGAAGGCAATGGGGTCAGCTGTGTTTGGGCTTTGCTGAAAATAACAGAGCAAATACCAGAGGCAGGCTTAAAAATACTTGTGCCCCAAGTCTTCTGTGGGCGTCAGCAGGTTTGTCAGATGCCGAAGGGAAGGCTTGGCTGACCCACTAGTCTTACCCTGACTCCTAGCATCAAGCTCTGGGGATCCTGGTCAGCACCCTGCCCCTCTGGGCCAGGCCCAGCATGGCCCTAACTGGTAGCACAGAACAGGCAAGTGATCAGTAGGAGGTGAGTCATTTGTATGATGTGCTAGGTGTCGTACTGAGTGCTGTAGATGCATTTGTGGGCTGGGTCCCTGCAGTGGCCTCCTGGATGATCTGCCTATACTACCTGGGCTCCTCTGTCCATTGCTGATACAGCACACAGAGTGACCTGTGAAATTATACAGGACATTGTTTGTTCCTCTGCTCCAGGGTTTCTCAGACTTGGCACGATTGGCATTTGGAGCCAGATTATTCTTTTTTGCGAGGGCTGTCCAGTGTACTGAGGGTGTTTAGCAACCTGCCTGGCTGTGACCCAGTAGATGCCATTAGCTTCCCCTCCCCAGTCATGACAATCAAAAATGTTTTCTGATGTTGCCAAATGTCCCCTGGGTGCAAAATCCACCTCCTAGTTGAGAACCACTGCTCTAATAGAAACTATAGTGTTCCTCTTTTGCACTTAGAGTAAAAGCCATAGTCCTTAACCTGGCCTGCAAAGCCCCCAGTCCTCTCTGATCTTGTCTCCTACTGCTCTCCCCTATTTGGTCCACTGCAGTCACACTGGTCTCCTTGCTGTCTCTCAAACATACCAGACAGGCCCACTTCTGCCTCAGGGCCTTTGCACTGGCTGTTCTGTCTACCAGAGCAATCTCCCACTAGATAGCTGCATGACTCATTCTCTCCTTCAAGTGTTTCCTCCAATATCACCTCAGTGAGACCCACCCTGACTATCTTACTTATGTCTGTAATCTCCATCTCTGCCACCTGCTCACACTTGCTATCCTCTTGTCCTGGTCTATTTTCCCTAGTTTCCTGAAGCACTTTTCCTTCTAACATATCAGAAAATGTGCTTATTTATTGTTTGTGTTGCTTATCGTTTGTCTGTCTGTGCAACCCTCTAAACTCAACAAAAGCAGAGATTTTGGCCTGTTTTTGTCACTGATGTGTCCTTAGCACCTAGAGCAGTGTTCAGCACATAGTAGATGCTCAATAAATATTTGTTAAATAAGTAAATTTGTTAAATTAATTATTAATTTTCACAATAACCTTGAAAATATTCACATCCTCATATTACAAATGAGGAAGAGGAGGCTCAGAAAGATTAAGCGTATTGCCCTAAATCACATAGCCAGCAAGCGGGAGATCTAGAATTTAAACCCAGGTCTGGATAGAAACAAACTGCGTGTATAGGGAAGTTGCAACTGCTGCTGTGTGCTATGCTGCAGAACTAGGCGAAGAGTCCCTCTTCTTTCGTGAGTCTGTAGAATTGGGGGTACCCTCACCTGACATAGACTTGCAATAGGTACATATTACCTGGGAGTAACCATGGCAACAAAATTAATGGTGAGGTATAATGCGATTGGCCCAACTGATAAATTAGGAAGTTTTTTTTGTTTGTTTTATGGAGGCATTCTTTGCCTTACAGAAGGATCCCCTTCAGGCTCTGTTTAATTACCTTCTGGAGGTTGTTTTAAATAGGCTCTGTCTTTGCTGCCTTGGGAGGTTTGGAGAAGCAGCTTGGAAGGAGGCAGAGGGGAAGGGGAGCGAGCCAGATTGGGGGTGGGGCTGGGCTGTTCCTCCTCCCTCTGGGTGTTGGGGGTGTGCCCCGCTCTGCCCGAGAAGGCCAGTTGGTGAGTGTCCTCTGCCCCTCCCTTGGACTCTACACCGAACTTCAGGTAGGTTCAGATGGCACTTCAGCTGAGATGCTGGCTGTTTTTGAAATTAGCCAACTTCTGGGATCTTCCAGCCACCTCTCACCCGGATTGCTTCTCCACACCTGCTCCATGTTCTTATTTACCAAGTTGAGAAATCAAGCAAGGTTCAAAGTCTCATATCCACACTGATTTGTTGTTGGAGCCAGTAAGTCCCAAGGGATCAAAGCTGCATATTTTTATGCTCAGCAGAGGCACAGAGGAGATGGGCTGAGCCCACACAAGATGAGGTCTTAAGCAGGAATTGTAGTTTAAAGTGGAGATGCTTCAGTGGTCTAGTGAGAAGACGTTGAACTCTTGATATCCTAGGATGTCCCGTCGAACTCTTGACACCCTAGGATGATCCTCCCCCATCACCTGTTTGCAGGACTGGCTTGTGAAACTTCAAACTAGCAACCAGCTCTTGGCTTGTGGGTGGTACATTACCTGCTGCCATTTTTGCATCTGACATTTAACCCCTTAAAGTCAACATTTAATCCAGCAGGTCCTAGGGAAAAGCCTAGACCCAAGGAGTCAGACCTGAGTCCTTGTCCTGTTCTCCCTCTAAGCTGGGCGTGGCCTCATACACCGTAGGACAGGAAGGGGCCCTGGAGAGACTTGCTTCTACCTCCTGTCCCTGCTTCTGCCTAATTTTAAAAATAATACAAGTCCAAGCTGTGAGGTAACTTGCACAGGCAGGCTATGTAAGTTAGTGACTGAGAGAGGGCCAAAGTCCATGATCCTGACTGTTGTCACTGCAGCCTGGTGATGGGATCAGCCCAAACAAGATCAGATCATGACTAGGAATTTTTGTTGAAAATGGAGATGTTCCTCCCAACTCACCCCAAAACCTCTGAGTCTGGTGTGTTGTCAGATGCCTCAAGAAGAGCTTCAAGCACCACTTTAGCTTCCATTCCTTCCTTTCTTCCCTGGAAATCTTTCCCTGATATCACTGGAAGCAGTTTCCAATAACCCCAAATGGGTTATATTAGTTAAAGTGGTACTAGCTGCTGTAACAAAACGATCCCCAAATGTACTAGCTTAAATGAGACAGTTTATTTCTGTCCTGTATAACAGCTCAAGTTCCAGGTGGGCAGCTAGCTCTGCCCCACAGGATTATTCAGGGACCCAGGCTCCTTCCATCATGTTTCTCTACCATCTCTTTGGGCGTCGTGCTATCTTCATGGCTGAGGCTGGGCTGCAGCCACATCCTTGCACTGGCTCACAGCAAGGGGACAGAAAGCATGGAGGGGGAGCCACTGGCCTGGAAAAGGCACATCACTTCCCCTCAGATGCCACTGTGGGTCTCAGCTACATGGACAAGCCTCATTGCAGAGGAGGCTGGGAAATGTGTAGCAGGCCAGCCACCTGCCAGCTTCTGTTCTATGACTATGGACAACACAATAGGACATGGATTTTATTGGACAGTTTGTGGTCTGTGCCATAAGGGTCAATAAAGGGCTTGGAATTTGTGCATCTTCTATTATCTTTTTCTAGTGGTTACCTTTAATTTTTAAACAAATATTTTTGAGGAGGTAATATATGAACAAGATACAGAATTCTAAAGGTATAAAAAGAATAGGAATTTTTAAAAAACTCTCCCTTTTTCTCTCCCCCAGTTGCCCACTTTCCCTCCCTAATTGTTGGTTCCTCTGTATTATGCCAGATATATCTGTATAATTTATCCTTTTTCTTTAAATTCTCACAATATAGTAACTCCAGTGAAATTCACCAGAACATGATTTGTAATAGCAGAAAGATAAGACAGTCACAAAAGAATAAATACTATGTGATTCCACTTGTATGAGATACCTAGTGTAGTGAATGTCGTGGAGACAGAAAGCAGACGCGGTTTCCAGGAGCTGGAGAAGGGAGGAATGGGGAGGTCACATTTAATGGGTAGAGAGTTTCAGGTTGGGAAGCTGGCAGTGTTTTGGAGATGGATGATGGCGATGGCTGCCCACGATTTGAATGTACTTAATGCCAAATGTCTATCAATAGGAGACATTTTATAAAATATTCAGGCTGGGCACGGTGGCTCATGCCTGTAATCCCAGCCCTTTGGGTAGGAGGATTGCTTGAGGCCAGGAGTTCATGACCAGCCTGGTCAACATAGCGAGATCCCGTTTCTACAACAACAACAACAAATATATGTGTATATATATACATATATATTTTTCATTCATTCAAGGGTTTTGGTCGGAAGAATAAGACTGCTTTCTGTGCACTGATATGGAAAGATCTCCAAAATATATGACAAGCCTAAGGGGCAGAACAGTGCAGTGATGAGCTAGACTTTAGAGATGGATGCAAGTGGTAGTTAAGGATAGGGACTCTGGAGCCAGACTGCTTGGGTTCACATCCCGGTGCTGTGAGACTTTTTTGTTTTTGTTTTTGTTTTTTTTTGTTCGTTTGTTTGATTTTAGGGTTTTTTTGTTTGTTTTGTTTTATTTTGAACAGGGTTTCACTCCTGTCGCCTAGGATGGAGGGCAATGGTGTGATCTCAGCTCACTGCAGCCTCTGCTTCCTGGGCTCAGGCGATTCTCCTTCCTCAGCCTCCCAAGTAGCTGGGACTACAGGTGTGCACCACTGCGCCTGGCTAATTTTTGTATTTTTTCTAGAGATGGGATTTCGCCATGTTGCCCAGGCTGTTCTCAAACTCCTGAGCTCAAGCAGTTTGCCTGCCTCAGCCTCCCAGAGTGCTGAGATCACAGGTCTGAGCCACCACACCCAGCCTGCTGTGGGACTTTGGGCAAGTCACTTAATCTCTCTGAGCCTCAGTTTCCACATTTGTAAAAATGGGAGATATATTAATCCCAACCTCCTAGGGCTGTTGAGGGAATTAAATAAGTGAATAAGTCATTCTGGCCAACCTCAGACACTGACATGCTCCAGTGCCGGGGAGACCTAGGTGAGGAGGCCTGGGTGCCTGTCTCCATCTTGCCACCAGCCCCTGGGGCCCTGGCTTAGTCACTTAGTCTCTCTGAGATGCCTTACCTAGTCTAAAGAGCATCTGTCTACCTCCCAGGCATTTGGGGGATAAAACAATAGAGATGAAGTTACTTTGAAAGATGATTAAATCCTTTAAAAAAAAAACTGCTCATTTGAATTGCTTCCCTCTATTTTAGGCAAAACTATTGAGCACGTTCTATGAGTCAAATATTTTATATATGCATATGTCATTTAACGCTTGGTGTTAGTCAGATTGAGCCAAATGTTAGTACAAGTAACGCCCAGGTTTCGGAGGCTGAACACAGTCAGGTGTGTTTCTCATTCATATCTGACTCCGTTGCAACTCAGGGACTTGGCAGAGGCCAAAGATGATGCCAGGATGCCTCCTTTCACTCATGTCTTTAGGGCCTCACTATCCTCCACTGGATTCTCCGTGGGAGGCTCGGGGACAGGCCTGGAACTGGCGAACGTCATTTCCACCCACAATCCATTAGCCAGCACCCGGTCCCAGGAGGCCACTTGACTGCGGGGGAGGCTGGGAATCATAGGCTTAGCTGTGTGCCCATAAATGCAGACTGCCAGGGAACCCTCCCTTACAACGACTCATGTTACTGATGGAGAACCAGGCACAGAGGCAAAGTGATTTCCCCGGGGCCACACATGGAGTAAGCGACAGAGCCAGGGTTTGTCCCCTCCCTCTTTTTCATTGTATCCTGTTCCTCTTTCATGTCTTTCTGCTCTGAAGATGCTAGAGTGTTTTTAAAATGTTCTTTAGTTCCTGCATTGTCTCCTTTCCTCAGAATTTCTTTCCTATGTATGCATGTGTAGGCTCACTGAGCAATGATCTGTTTCACTGGGGTCCTCCAAATATCAGTATTTCTAGGCAGAGCTGACCGTATCATTTGTGAGACTCAATACAAAATAGAAATGCAAGACCCTTGTTCAAAAAACAGAAAGAAGCTTTTCCTTCCTTTCTGAGTTTTCTCTCTCCCCTCATTCTTCTCTCGTCCTGGAAAAATGTTTTTTATTTGCTATTTAATGTTTCTCTTCCTTAGCCACAGGGGACACTCATGGGACAAGTGCAGACCCTCACAGGCACCCGGAGTCCTGCCTCACAACTTGATGCATGGGGACTGCATGGCCCTCCCTGCGCCCAGGCCTCTGACAGGAGTGGAGGGTTGCAGCAGTCACTGGGTGGCCAAGAACTCATTTCATGGCGGTGGCTGAGGCAGTGGGAGGCAGGACCACATGTGAGCTGAGGGTCCGGGCCGCCAGCATGTGCTCCATTCTCCCATTGGGCTTAACTTATAAAACTCAAATTCAAAGATAAAGATACAGTCATGCCTCACTTAACATCAGGGATATGTCCGAGAAATACGACATTAGGTGATTTTGTCATTACGGGAACATCATAGAGTGCACTTACACAAACCTAGATGGTAGAGTCTACTCCACACCTAGGCTGTATGGTATAGCCTATTGCTCCTAGGCTACAAACCTGTACAGCATGGTACTCTACTGAATACTGTAGGCAATTGGAACACATGGTATTTGTGTATCTAAACATAGACAAGGTACAGTAAAAATATGGCATAAAAGATTAAAAAGATGGGGCCAGGCACGGTGGCTCATGCTTGTAACCCTGACACTTTGGGAGGTGGAAGTGGGAGGATTGCTTGAGCCCAGGAGTTGGAGACCAGCCTGGGCAACATAGGGAGACCACGTTTCTACAAAAGCACACAAAAAGTTAGCCAAGTGTGGTGGCACACGCCTGTAGTCCCAGCTACTCAGGAGGCTGAGGTGGGAGGATTGCTTGAGCCGGAGAGGTGGAGGCTGTAGTGAGCTGTGATGATACCACTGCACTCCAGCCTGGGCGACAGAGCAAGCCCTGTCTAAAAAAAGAAAAAAAAAAGATAAAAAATGATACACCTTCATAGAACACTTACCATCAATGGAGCTTGCAGGACTGGAAGTTGCTCTGAGTGAGTGAGTGAGTGGTCAGTGAATGTGAAGGCCCAGGACATGACTGTGCACTACTGTAGGCTTTATAAACACATATCCTTAGGCTGCACTAAATTTATTTAAAAAATGCTCTCTCTTCAAAATAAATTAACCTTAGCTTACTGTAGCTCTACTTCATAAACTTGTACATTTTAAAAACTTTTTGACTATTTTGTAATAACACTTAGCTTAAAACACAAACACTGTACAACTGTACAAAAAAATTCTTGTCTATAAGCTCTTTCCTATTTTTAAACATTTTTACTTTTTTAAAAAACTTTCTAAACGTTTTTGTTAAAAAGTAAGACACAAACACCCATATCATTCTAGGCCTACATGGAGTCAGGATCATCAATATCACTGTCTTTTACATCTTTTCCCACTGGAAAGTCTTCAGGGACAGTAACACGCCGGGACTGTCATCTCCTATGATAAGTATGCCTCTTTCTGGAATACCCCCTGAAGGGCCTGCCTGAGGCTGTTTAACAGTTAACTTTTTTTTTTTAAATATAAATAGAAGGTATACACTCTAAAATAATAAGAAGTGGCTGGGCACGGTGGCTCACGCCTGTAATCCCAGCATTTTGGGAGGCTGAGGCAGGCGGATCACCTGAGATCAGGAGTTTGAGACCAGCTGGCCAACATGGTGAACTCCATCTCTACTAAAAATACAAAAATTAGCTGGACATGGTGGTGGGTGCCTGTAATCCCAGCTACTCGGGAGGCTGAGGCAGGAGAATCGCTTGAACCTGGGAGGTGGAGGTTGCAGTGAGCCAAGACCGTGCCATTGCACTCCAGCCTGGGCAACAAGAGTGAAACTCCATCTCAAAAATAATAATAATAAATAAATAAATAAAATAAAATAATAAGAAGTATGGCATACTAAACATATAAATGAGTAACGTTTATTATTGTCAGGTGTTGTGCTAGGCTTTTATATGAATGGCAATGCAGTAGGTTGGTTTACACCAGTATTACCACAAATGTGAGTAATGCATTGTACTATTACTTTAGGACAGCCACAAGGTCACTAGGCCATAGGAATTTTTCACCTCTCTTGTAATCTTATGGAACCACTATTGTATATGTGGTTTGTCATTGACCAAAATGTCCTTAGGTGGCAATGCCTGTATTAAAGTCAAGGCAGCAACCATGTTGGGCGAGGTGTAATCCCAGCAGTTTGGGAGGCCGAGGCAAGTGGATCACTTGAGGCCAGGAGTTCAAGACCAGCCTGGCCAACATGGTGAAACCCCGCCTCTACTAAAAAAAAAAAAAAAATTAGCCAGGCATGGTGGCGCACGCCTGTAATCCCAGCTACTGGGGAGGCTGAGGCACAAGAATCACTTGAACCTGGGAGGTGGAGTTTGCAGTGGGCCAAGATCACACCACTGCACTCCAGCCTGGGCGACAGAGCAAGACTCTGTCTCAAAAAAAGAAAAAAAAAAAGCAGCCACACAGCATTAGACCACTGGAATGGGACCTCCTTCTCAGCATTGCGCTGATGGCCTGTCCACGAATCCAGCCCTCTTGTGGGTCATTTCTCTGGGAGCCTTTCTGTTTTCCTGGAGAAGGTGTCTCCATCCTCCTGCCTGTGGTGTCCTCAGAGCTGGATGCAGACGGGCTCCTTTAGAGCCTCAGCACTCAGACCCTTGCCTGGTCCCCCTGTGCCTGTGACCATGTCTGGGCTGTTGTGATTTAGCTTCTCTGGAGAATAAACCTCCATCACCTGGATGGGGACTTTGGGCCTCCCTACTTTGTGCACAGGGACATTTTCAACGTCTCTCCCTGATCTCTGGCCATGCCGCCTGCACCTTCCTGGTGTCTGGAGCTCTAGTTGGGCTGAGCCCACTCACTCCCACTGAGCATGTGGGGTGTCCTTCCACCCTCTGCAGCATTGCCAACCGCTCATCTCTTCATCAGCTCACCACCTTTCAAAGATGTGTGACATCTTCTGCCTGCTGTCACGTCCCCTTCCTCCCCGAGAGGGTTTTCAGCTGGTTTATTCCTTTGCTGTTCTTTTCTCGAGGATTTGGGAAGAAAAGGAGATGACACTGTGCATTGGCTTCACCGTGCCTTACCAGAAGTCAACTTAAGTCTAGGTATACTTCTGTTTTAGAAGATGATATTCCTTCATTAAGCACGTATTGAGCACCTACTGTGTTCCAGGCCCTGGGGGGATGGAATGTGCTAGGAGATAGTGCTGAAAAGCCAGTTCCTGCCTGTGAGTGGCCTGACTGTGAATCCAGAGGTGGGAGGATGCAGAAGGTTACGACTGGGGTGGAGGGTGTGGGGTGTCAGGAGTCTGTGTACAGGGCCTGGGGTCGCACCAGGGACAGAGCCCAGACTTGAGGGTGCACTTCAGGAAGGTGCTTACTGAGCAAAGAGGGGACGATCAGCCTTTTATGTTTTTTTTTGTTGTTGTTGTTGTTTTTAAATAACCTCTTTGCTGTTAGGCCCTCACTTAACCTTTGTGCTAGCAGTGATTCTGCTTTTGGCTTTTCACTCATCAGTCCCCTCTGTTCCCCAATTATTATTTTTTAAACATCGACTGCTTCTAATCTGCCTGGGTCTGGAATAGCAGACAATCAAGTGTGTTGGAAATGTGTCTAAAATAAGAGTTAATTAGGCTGTGAAGTAAGGTTTGAGGGACTCAGCTGTGAGAAAAATGCATAAACTTTAATGTATCAATTTTATAACTTCTATTTTTACTACCCAGTAGCCTTCTTAACTTCTGCAGCTTAATTTATGTTCCAGATGACCAACATTGCCATATACATGAAGCATAACAACCATTCTATTATAAAACTTTAACATCAGCTGCTGGCTGTATCTTCCTTCTAGCCGCATAGCCTTCTTTCTCCATTAAAAAAATATACTGGCCTTTGGTTTGCCCATGGTGTCCTTTTTTTTTCTTTTTTGGAGACAGGTTCTCACGCTGTCATCCAAGCTGGCGTGCTGTGGCACAATCATGGTTCACTGCAGCCTCTACCTCCTGGGCACAAGTGTTCCTCCCACCTCAGCCCACTGAATAGCTGGGTCTGCAGGCACATTCCACCACGCCCTGCTAATTTTTAAGATTTTTTGTAGAGATGGGGTCTCCCTTTGTTGCCCAGGGTGGACTGATCCTGGGCTCAGCAATCCTCCTGCTTTGGCCTCCTAAAGTGTTGGGACTACAGGTGTGAGCCACTGTGCCTGGCCCCCCGACAGTGTAAATTTTTATTTGCCATGTTTCCTTGATTTGAAAAGGCCTGGGCTGGGCATGGTGGCTCACACCTGTAATCTCAGCACCTTGGGAGGCCGAGGTGGGCAGATCACGAGGTCAGGAGTTCAAGACCAGCCTTACCAACATGGTGAAACCCCGTCTCTACTAAAAATACAAAAATTAGCTGGGCATGGTGGTGCGCGCCTGTAATCCCAGCTACTCAGGAGGCTGAGGCGGGAGAATCGCTTGAACCCGGGAGACAGAGGTTGCAGTGAAAAAAAAAAAAGGCCTACTTTATCACATCTGTAAAATGAAATGAGTCTTTTAATTGATGGGGGTCTTGGTATTACAGTCATAGTTTTCTTTCGTATGCGGCACATGATAGTATATCTTAGGATCAGTGGTGTCTTAGATTCAATGCAATACAGTATTTAGGTCATTTGAAGGGATTGACAAGTTACTCCGTTTCTCCAGCCTGTCTCTGTGCTGGAAAGAGACAGCCTCATCAGCATTTGAAAGGAACTTTTTCTCCCTACAGCCTTCTTATGATAACAACAGGCATAATGTCAGCAACAGTAAGCACTTATAAGCACATGCTATTGTGCTGACATTGCTCTGAGAGCTTCCCATTCACCCCTTAAACGACTCTGTGTCAGAGGCATGGCTATCATGCCCATTCCACAGATGAGGAAACTGAGGCTCAGAGGTAGAAGTGGCACAGCAGGGAATCCAGGCTATCTCTGAAAAAATTATATTATGCTGTCACTAGTGATTCTGGGAGACAATTGAAGTATCTTCATTTAAATTAGAGGTTTCTACCTGCTTATGACTTAGAGTCAACTAGGGAGCTTTAGGAAAATGCTGAAAAAATTCTCCAAGGAATTCTAAAGTGCAGACATAGTTGAGAATTCCTGGCTTAATTGATGCGCAAGGTCCCCTAGCTCTGCCATTCTGGGACCTCTCTGGCCCTTACTCTCTGATGTCACCCCCCCCAGGATAGGACAGCTGCCCAGCCTGGGCTGGCAAGGATAGCCCGAGCTTCTTTCGGGCTTTCGGAGCTGGATCCCTTGGTTAGAAAACATGGGTTGGAAGCCTTAAACCGATATATGCTTTTAATTTTTGTTCTTTATTTTCTTTTCCTTTATCTCTCTTCCAGCTCTGGAGTGCACAGAAAATCAAGCAGGTAATCCAGTTTTGGATTCTCTATTTCCTTCTCCGTGTTGTCCTGGACTCCACCCTGCCCTGTCCCAGGGATCTAGTGGAAGCCCCCCTCCGGTGGCTCTTCGGGCTCTCACATTTGCCCTTGGCCCCCTCACCCCTTCCTTCTGCCCCGACACTCAAGGGCCAGAGTCTCTGAAGTCTGGAGCTCAGGCCAGGCTGGCCTTTCCCTGGGTTCTCTGAGCTCCCAGAAGAGACAGGGCTCTGTCCACAAAATCCTTATTATGTACCTACCATGTGCCAGGAATGGGGGTAGAGGGCCTGCAAGGTAGACACGATCCCGTTCCCCATGGACTTTTGCTCTCCACTGCATTCAGCTTTTAGGGTAAGTCAGGAGGAGTGGTGCTATCTGTTTATGGCCCATGGTTTGGTATTCTTTTGCCTTGAGTGGTGGAAAGGCCTAACTGGCCACAAGGCAACATACAGCCACTGGTATCTGAATCTTCCCAGAGAAGTTGTCTTCTTCCCTTCTTCCTCCCCTAATGCCTCTGCTTTTCTCCCTCCTCCCTCCCCCTTCCCCCTTCCCCCTCCCTACACCCCCGTCCCCACCCCATTCTCTGTTCCTGCTTTTGCCAGGCTATTCTACATCCGGACACCAATGAGAAGATCTTCATGCCATTTAGAATGTCAGGTAAGCTCCTGGGGCCCTTCTGGTTCTGGTCAGCCTGGGGTGCTTACTCCAGTCACAGTTCCAGGAGCATCCAGATGTGCTGGCCTAAGGAGGGGACAGAGCCTGTTACAATCATGGCCATATTTGCACCTCTACATTCACCTCAGCTCAACTGTACAAGGCGCTGGCCAGGCCTCAGAATACTCTATGGAGCTTACCTGCCTTTTCTGCCTGAGCAGTTGGGGTGGAACCAGGGCTTCCACAGGTGAATCTGGTAGCCCCCACCACCACCCACTCCACATCACTCAGCGCACACTAGGACAGCCTCAGTGATGCCTGCTGTAAGCAAGCCCTGGCTTCTGCAAGTCATTCCCCCTCTCACCGGTGTGTGACCTGCTGTTTCCTTCCAAGTCCTGCTCCCTGCCCTGCCCCTTTTAGGCAGTCAGTCTCCAGCCTAATTCTCTGTTCTCTGATCCTGCCATTAGCCCTCCCTTCAGAATGGATGCACTGTTGTTGCACTGCTGTGCACATACAGAAGGTGGGATTCCTGTTCTGTGGAGACCAGGAGGCAGAGGGTGATACAAGATCCCTGCCCCAGGAAATCCCACTGGTCACTGAAGGGGCAGCTGTGCCTATGTGGGCTTTAGGGCTTAGAAAGCACTGGCATGTACACGAGCTAGGCTGGCATGCTTATCCCCCCAGCAGTTGTGAGAGACTCTGCAGAGTCACACTCATGGGTGTGCTGACGCCTCCTTCTTGCCATTTCTCAGTGCAATGGGGCACAGCCACCTTGAATTATGAGGGTGGAATGGGAGGGCACTGCTGCTGCTGCCTTGGGAAGGCCTCGGGTGGCTGGAGAAAGGCGGTCTCAGTCAAATGGGTCCCTCAGGGTCGCCACCCCCAGAGAGCCTGGCCTCACTGAGGGCAAGAAAATAAACAACCAGGAAGTTGATGGACATGTGATGTCATTGTGTAAACTGGGGCAGTGAGTGCCCTGTGACCCCCTGGCTTTGCCGTGAAGAACTTTAAGGCTCTGAGCATTTTTCTTTCTTTTTATTTGAGACAGAGTCTCCCTCTTTTGCCCAGGCTGGAGTGCAGTAGCATGATCTCTGCTCATTGCAACCTCCACCTCCCAGATTCAAGCGATTCTCCTGCCTCAGCCTCCCGAGTAGCTGGGACTGCAGGCACACACTACCACACCTGGCTAATTTTTGTATTTTTTAGTAGAGATGGGGTTTCATCATGTTGGCCAGGCTGGTCTAGAACTCCTGACCTCAAGTGATCCGCCTGCTTTGGCCTCCCAAAGTGCTGGGAAGGGCTCTGAGCATCTTACAGTTGTGGTTGTAGATGCTTCCCAGTCCCTGCACCCGGCACAGCAGGCTCTCACCCTGAGCCTGGCTTCTCTTGTAATTCTTGACCTTTTTGAGTCATGCATTCCTCTGAGGCCCTGATCAAACTCTGGTTCTCTCCCCAGAGAGAAGTGGGTATGAGAACCATGGCTCACGTGTGTGTGTGATTATGTGCACTCAGGAGCAAAGCTTTACTTTAGATGCAAGTCAGATAAGCCCGATCCCGCTGTCCAGCCACTGCTCACTGGCTGCCACGGTTAGAGGTTGGGGACAGGAGGCTGTCCACTGACAGCAGTTGGGGCTGTGGAGAGAGCCTCGCCTGGGGGCTGAGAGCAGCGAGGAGGCTGTACTCACAGCCTGGCTGCGCTTCACCCCAGCTCCCTACTGCGCCACTGGGGATGCCACGGATTTAAGAAGCTCTGGCACTTAGAGGTGCATGGCTCAGTTTGGGAGGGAATTTTCTTTCCAGAAATGGCCATGATGCCGGGGAAGTAAGGGCCTGTGTTAGAAAGACAAGCTGAGGCAAGAAGGAAGACATTCTGGGGTCCTTGGAGGATGTTCAGCCTCATGTAGTGAGCGTGGGCAGGGTGTGTCGTGCCTCGCAGGAAATCGTAGGAGGATCACCAAGTGTGGAGTGGTGGTGCCCCAGGTCGCAGGCAGCCCTGCCTGCAGGAACAGGCCTCTGGGTTCCAGGGGAGAGTGAAAGCTGCCTGGCCAAAGGGGAGCAGAGAAGAGGAGGCTGGGGACACAGCCCCGGTGAGGGCTGAACTGGGAAAGGGTCTATGAGATAGGAGATGCCTCCCGCCTAACTGACCTGAGCCCCTTCATCAGGGCCACTGATAGCCTAAGACCTAACCCGGAGGCTCCTGGGTATCTCAGGTGAGATGTGAGTGGATTATAAGGCCTGACTCTTTTCTTCTCGTTCACAGGTTATATTCCTTTTGGGACGCCAATTGTAAGTGTTACCTTCAAAGGATTTCCTTTTCTAAAAAATTATTTTAAATGTCTAACTTTATGTTATTGCTCACGGGTATTTGACTGAATTGTTGATTTAGGATAAGTCAATTCCTGGAGGGAAATTACCAAATAAAATGATATGTATTTCTTACCACATCTCTTGATGCTGATTGGCAAACCTCTTTTCATAAAAAGCCTGATGACTTAAATCCAGCGTTGAGTTGAAAATTGCCTTCTTCCCTGCACGTTTTCTGTCCCCACTGTTGTCATTAGCACCTGCTAGTCATAGGGAAGTTTTCTCAAAGAACTTGGGAAGTAGGAGTAGAAGCATGCCTTCTGAAAAATCAAAGTTTAAAATTAATTCAGAAAGAATTTTCAGCATTCTTTTTGTTCAGTTTTAGAATCAGGATTATGTTTACTCCTTATTTTTATTGGAATAAAACATACAGAAAGGTGCATTCATCATAAATGTACAGCTTGGTAAATTTTCAAAAAGCAAGCATATCCAGGGCTGGGCGCGGTGGCTCACGCCTGTAATCCCAGCACTTTGGGAGGCCAAGGCAGGCAGATCATGAGGTCAGAAGATCGAGACCATCCTGGCCAACACAGTGAAACCCCGTCTCTACTAAAAATACAAAAAATTAGCTGAGAGTGGTGGCGGGCACCTGTAGTCCCAGCTACTCGGAAGGCTGAGGCAGGAGAATGACATGAACCCGGGAGGCGGAGCTTTCAGTGAGCCGAGATCGCGCCAGTGCACTCCAGGCTGGGCAACAGAGCGAGACTCGGTCTCAAAAAAAAAAAAAAAGAAAAAAAAAAAAGAAAAGCAAGCATATCCAGTAAACATCACTTAGGTAAGGAATCAGTATAACACCCTCCCAACTGAGCTACTTCGGCCAGCTCACTTAGATAAAGATTCAGAGCATCATTAGCATCTCAGAAACCTCACATGTGTCCTTCCCAATCACCACCCCGACAGAAAATCACTTTTCTGACTTTTATATTTTAGTTTTGCTTGTTATTGAACTTGATATAAATGTAATCATCAACATGTGCTCTTTTGTGTCTGGCTTCTTTTACTCCACATTGTGAGATTTGTTCATATTGTTATCTGTAACATTCGTTTGTTCTTTTCTGTTTGCTGTATAATATTCCATTGTCATAAATTATCAGAATTTCTTTATTCATACTACTGTTGGTGAACATTTGGGTTTTTCTAGTTTTGGGTTTACAACAAATAGTGCTGTTTTGAACATACTTGTACAAGTCTTTTAGTGGATATATGCCCTCATTCCTCTTGGATATAGACCTAGGAAGCTAAATTAAAACAGGTAACAACTATAATAAATGCAATGTGTGATCTGAGAATGGATCCTGGGTTGCAGCAGGTGGTGTGTAAACTGTATTGCAGTTTCTTATAAAGCTGAAGATGCACTTACTATATGACCACATAACACTATTTTAGGTATTTATCCAAGATAAATGAATATGTTTGTTTACACAAAGATCTGTATGTGAATGTTTATAGTAGCATTTTTCACATTAGTCTAAAACTGGAAGCAGACAAGAATGACCAACAGATGTTAAAACTATTGGGTAAAAAACTAATTGAGAACAGAATATTTGCATAGTCTCAAATTTTCCTATGGATATCATAGATACTATTCCTTCTATGTTAATTAGTTGGCATCCTCTCGAGTTTCCCTTCTGCCTCTTTCTTTAATGTTTTCTTAAAACTATCAGTATTTAGATACTGTTAATACAGTCTTTGTGGTTTTTTTTATTCAGTGGGTAAAAATGTACTCTTGTCATTATTTATTTTGATATGCAAATGGGGCCACTTTTGACCCAACCTTAAAGCAGTTTCTCTATTTGACATGCCCCGCTAGTCTTTGAGAGCTTCAGTACTCTCTGACACAACAGGATATTCTAGGTTCATCTTTTCTCTTTCTCTTTTTTTTTTCTTTTCCTTTCTCCTTTCCTTTTCTTCCTTTTCTGTTTTCCTTCCTTCCTTCCTTTTTCTTTCTTTTTTCTTTTATTTTGTCTCACTGTCACCCAGGCTGGAGTGCAGTGGCAGGATCATGGCTCACTGGAGCCTCAAACTCCTGGGCTCAAGTGATCCTCTTGCCTCAGCCTCCCGAGTAGCTAGGGCTACAGACATGTGCCACAATGCCCAGCTAACTTCTCAAAAATTTTTTTATAGAGATAGAGTCTCATTATGTTGCCCAGGCTTGTCTTGAACTCCTAACTGAAAGCAGTCTTCCCACCTCAGCCTCCTAAAGTGCTGAGATTACAGTAGATTTGTCTGTACAGTACTCTCTTCACCCCCATCCTAGAATAATTGATTTCTCCAAGGAGCCCTATTTCCTTTTAGAGGGAAATGATACTTAGAAACCAAGATCTTGATGCTGGGTGTACTCATGGTTACTGGAGTGGCATTGCTTCTAGGTACTCTTGGGGGACAGAGCTAGGAGATACAACTTGTAAAAATTCATGAGTTTATACTGATACCTGTAATTCCCATCAAACATCTCGATGTTCATTTGTTCTCCCGTTTCATATTTGAATGTCCCTTCTCCCTGAATGAGACTCCAACAGTATATGTACTCACTTGCTAAATCTTATACATACAAATAAGAGTTTTCAGAATTGCTACATCAATACCACTCTCAAAATACGTAGTAACTAAAGCCCAAGATTTCTTTGAAGTTCTTTTTGTCCTTAGAAAGTATCCTATTGAGAGTACACAGAGAACCATGTTCAAAAGTTTCTTGAATTAATTTTTTTCTTATGTGTTTATGTTATCTACTTGATACACAGTTAGGTTTAACTGATTTCTGTTGGCATTCCATTTTAGTTGTTTCTCCATTCTTATTAATTTACTTTTTTTGATATTTAGGAGAGGGGAATAGTTTAAAAGTCAAAGCTATTAAAAAGATACACTCATAAAAGTTCCACTCCGCTTCCTATCCCTGCTACCTCCTTCTCACCCATCCTCTGAGGTAAACAACTTCTCCTTCTTATTTTTTTTGTAAGAATAAACAGATACAAATATCTGCTTTCCCCCTTTTTTCTTATATAAAATGTAGTATACTATATACCGATGTGTCTGACGTACGATGGTTCAATTTACAATTATTTGACTTTATCATATGTGACAGCAGTATACATTCACTGAAAACAATACTTGCAGTTTTGAATTTTGATCCTTTCCTAGGCTAGAGAAATGTGATATGATACTTTCACCATGCTGGGCAGTGCAGCTCCCAGTCAGCCATGTGATCACGGGGGTAAACAACCCATACTACAATGTACTCTGTTGCCAGTGTTTTTTTGAATATTGCCTTCTATGTTCCGCATCCCATCATGTCAACAAAATGCCCATTTTCAACTTACGATATGTTCAATTTATGATGGGTTTATCAGGCGTAACCACATCATAAGTTGAGAAGCATCCGTACACCCTTTTGCACAATGTTTTTTTCGCTCAGTATATCTGTTTTTTGTGGTTTCATTGTTTGTTTGTTTGTTTGTTTTAGACAGAGTCTCACTCTGTCTCCCAGGCTGGAGCGCAGTGGCATGATCTCTGCTCACTGCAGCCTCGGATGCCAGGTTCAAGCGATTCTCCTGCCTCAGCCTTCTGAATAGCTGGGATTACAGGCATGCACCTCCACACCTGGCTAATTTTTGTGTTTTTAGTAGAGATGGGGTTTCGCCATGTTGGCCAGGCTAGTCTTGAACTCCTGGCCTCAAGTGATCCACTCGCCTCAGCCTCCCAAAGTGTTGGGATTACAGGTGTGAGCCACTGCCCCAGCTCTTCCACTTGATATATCTTGAAAATCACTGTATATCGATTTATAGAGATCTTCCTCATTATTACTTTTTTACAGCTATATAGTATTCTACTAAGTGGAAGTACCATGATTTATTTAGATAATTTCTTACATTAGATTATTTGTAATACTTTGCCATCATGAATAATGCCAAAATGGTAATCTTGTGATATTGTTGGAATATATCTTCAGGGTAAATTCCTAGGTTCTATAGAAGGACTAATTAAATAGACATTTCTAGAAAGATTGATCAAGACAAAAGAGAGAAGATACAAATAAACAGCATTAGCAATAAGAAGTACAATAATTATAGATGCAGTAGCAGAATAAAAGATCAGAATGCATTGAACAACTCAAGGCAATACATTTAAAGACTTAGAAGAAATGAATACATTTCTGGGAAAATACAGCTTACCAAAACTGCCTAGAAAGACGAAATATAGAGTCTTTTTTTTTTTTTTCTTTTTTGGAGACAAGGTATCACTCTGTCTCCCAGGCTGGAGTGCAGTGATGCGATCATGGCCCACTGCAGCCTCAAATTCCTGGGATCAAGTGATCCCTCCTGCCTCAGCCTCCCAAAGTGTTGGGATTACAGGCATGAGCCATCACACCTGGCCTTAAAATCTGAATAGACCTATAAATAAAAGGAAATTTAATTTGCAGTTTAAAATATTTGCACCAAAGAACAAACAAACCCAAAATTATCACTGGGCTCTGATCTTCCAGGTGACTGTTCCCAAAGGAAGAGCTGAACTTAATTTTATAAAGCTTTCAAAAGCAAAAAAAGTGCCAGGCATAGTGGTTCATGCCTCTTATCCCAGCACTTTGAGAGGCCAAGGCAGGGGAATCGCTTGAGCCCAGGAGTTTGAGACCAGCCTGGGCAACATAGCAAGACCTTGTCTCTATTGAAAAAAAACAAAAAAGAGAGAGGAAAAAAAGGAAATCTTCCCAGTTCATTTATGAGGCACTTTGAGACCAATACCAAAGTAAGTATAAGAAAGAAAAAGTATAAGCCAATATCACTTATGAAATTACATGTAAAAATTATGAAATAAAATAATAGCAATCTGATTCCAGCAATGCATCAAAGTACATCATAACGAAATGCTTTTTACCAAATATGATAACATTAGAGAATGTATTAATATTAGTTGATCACACTGAGAAACTGAAGGAGAAACATGATTTCCCCAGTAAATACAGAAAAAGTATTTGATAAAATAAAACATAACTCAATTTACGGTAATTATTATGATAAAAACAACAGATTAGGTCTAGAAGGAACTTTCTTAACTTGATAGTGTCTATAAAAAATGATTTAAACCAACCATAGCAAGCACCTGTCTTAAAGATGAAACAAAGGTAAATTCTTAATGTGTTGGACAGGGTAAGAATGACTGATAATGTTGCTTCTATCTAACATTTTCCTGGAAGACTAGCAAGTGCAGTAAGACATGAAAAAATAAACAATGGTATTAGAGTTGGAAAGAAAGAAAGAAAAACATTTATGAGAATAGACAAACTATTGGAACTATTTTAAAAGATTTCTGGATGTAAGACAAGTATACAAAAAAATTTTGTATGCCTATAAACCTAAAACAAACATCTAGAATATGATTTTTATAAAAGATGTCATTTACAATAGTATTTTAGACAATAAGGGATATAAAAATAAATTCAAGAAACAATATTCAAGACCTTAATAGAGAAACATATACAACTTTATTGAAGGACATTGGAGATCTAAATAAGTGGAGAGCTGTATCATTTTGTTTTCTTCAAATTAAAATCTATATTCAATGTAATTTCAGTCATAATCTCATCAGGATTTGTTATGGAACTTGACAGGTTGCTATGAAAAGTTACATGAATACAAGCTAGGGGATAAGAATAGTGAAGACAATTTTCAAGAATAAGGTGGTGGGAGAGGACTCACCCTACCAAATATTATAAGACAACTTGGTTTTGGTACAGTGATAAGCAAATATGTCAGTGGAACAGAACAGAGAACCTGGAGACATGCCCATATGGAAATTTAAGATTTGACTAAGGTGGCATTACAAATCAGTGGAGAAAAAGGACAAACCATCTAATAGTATTATATGGTGCTGGGACAGCTGGCTACCTATGTGGAAAAGAAAGAAAGTCAGATCTCTACATCACCTTATATGCAAAAGGACATTTAAATATGAAAAGAAAATATTTGCAGCAATGTTTATGATAGCAAAAAATTGGAAACCGCTGAAATTCCATCAACAAGAAAATGAATCAGTCATGGCTTAGTCACGCAGTGGAATACTTAACACAGGAAAGAAAACAATGAGCAAGGGCGACATTTATGAATATGGATAAATCTCAAAAACAATGTTGAATGAAAAAATAGTAGCAGAGTAGTAATGCTCTCTGTCATTTATATAATGTTAAAAAATATGCAAAGCAATATTATATATAGTTTATGAGTACATTTTTAATGCATCCTTAAAAACATCCATGGGAACAATAAGCACCGGCTTCGTGATACTGTTTACCTCTGGGGAGAGAAAGCAATGAAATTTAGCAGGAGAACAGGGGGTGCTTCATTTGTATTTATAGTGTTTCATCTTTTAAAAACATCTTCACAAAAAAATTGACGAAATAAGATTGGACATATATGGATGCTCGTTATCCTCTAGACTTTTCTGTATCCTTGAAATATTTCATTTTATACATATATTTAAAAATATATAAATATATCGAGAGAGGTATTATTCACATCTCTATTTTTATGTCGTTGCCCTGAAACTACTACATTGTTCTGAAATATTCTGAGAAAGGTTTATAAATTTCCCACCATAATTGTGTGTATGTGCAAGTGTGTGTTTCATTTCTTTGCATTTCTTGCGGTTGTCTTATAGATTTCAATGCAATGGTGTTTGGTGTGTTCAGACAGTTTTGTCTTCTTGATATCATCTCTATCTCTCAAACACACACACACACACACACACACACACACACACACACGAAATATCCCTGTTTCATTGATTATTCTTGCCTTGAATTTTCTCTTAATTTTTTTATTCCTGTTTTGCTTAAATGACTTGCATTATATATCATTGCCTGTACCTTTATGTCAGAGTCATTTAATTTCTGTGCCATTTTGTATTACACATCTCTTTTGGACAAAATATAGCTGAATTCTACTTTTGCTGCATAAAAAGGCTACTTACATTTAACTCAGTTTGAGAAACACTGCCTTTAATTTTAATGAGAAATGGAACCCATTCGTATTTATTCTGCCACTGATGGTTATGACTGCATATCCCAGCTGTCAAATGGGTTTTCTTGTGGCTGTTAGCTTTTTATTAAGCTTTGTTATTGTTTCCACTTCTTCTCCTGATTTATACTAGAGGATAAGTCCTTTAGTTTCTTTAGTTTGGAAGGGGAGCATCCTAATTTTCTCTACTTACCATTCATCTGTCATATTTTATAGTACAGAGAGGTTGCATTATATATACTTTATAATCAAGAGTCAAATAATAAATATGACTTACCTAACGCTACCCACATAGGAGGAGACCTGTAGCATGTAATTTCACTCTACTCTCTACTTGATCATTTTACCTCCCTCCACACACCTGCCAAGTTTTTGGAAATCATCTGGAATTTCATCAGATTTATAAAGCCTTTCTTAACACCTGTATTATACTTAACAATTATTTAGGCTGTGTGTGTGTGTGTGTGTGTGTGTGTGTGTGTGTGTGTGTGTGTGTGTGTGTGTTGTTTGGCTAGAATACCCTTTAGAACAATATTCAGAATATAGGGGTAATATGCCTTTCTGAATCTTTGCATATCTGGAGATCTTTTTTTCTCTTTCATACATGAACAATAGTTGGCCTGATTTTCTTTTCCTTTCTAGGTAAACTTCCCCCTTCCCCTGGAATCGTTTGATATTTTTTCTCTTTATCTTTGGAGTTCAGAAATATCTCCTAGGATTTAAAAAAAAATCTTCTCTGTATATTTTATAAAATTATACAAGTAATACATGAATATGTTCTTTGGGATTCAAAAATACCACCAAGAATGTTTTATAAAGAATATTTTAAAAGTTATACAAGTAATACATGAATGTTCTCTCAGCTCAGAATTTAAACAATACAACCAAAAGTAGAGGTCCTTGTGATGCTCCTCAACCCCGAATCTCTGCCCAGAGTAACCCCTGTAAGAAGTTTGGTGTGTGCCTCTAGGCTTTTTCTAGATATCTGCATACATTTAAGTCATTTAAAGTGTTTTTTTGTTTTGTGGAGTTTTCCATTAAAATATAACAATATACTTATTTATCTATGGTTAGCTTATGACACTTAGCAGTTTGCCTCCATAACAATTGGCTTCATTTATTTATTTGTTTGTTTTCTCTGCTGAATGGCACCCTCTCCTCCAGTGTGATGGGTTGAGGTTATGTCCGATTATTTGCTATTAGAAACGATTGTGCTGTGAAAAATCTTTGTAAAGCCATTTTTGCACAAGGATAAGGGTTTCTCAAGGGCACTTCCAGAAAGTGAATTTGCTGCATAAAAAGCTACACACATTTACATCTTTAACAGATATGGCTGAATTTCCCTTCAAAAAGACTATATTTCTCCATGCTTTTGTAACACTAGTATTCATTCATCTTTTTAACGTTTTTGCCAATCTGATGGGAGAAGGGGTAGATTCTCATTATACTTTAAATTTTTGTTTCCATAAACACCAAAAAGATGTTGGTGCTTTTTAAATCTATTTATTGGTGATTTGTATTCCCCCTTCTCTGAATTACCTGTTCACACTCTTTGTCCATTCTTCCATGGGCCATATTTTTCTAGTTGATTTGTAAGAGCTCTTTATGTATTTTGGACATTAATCCTTTGGATTATATATATGGCACGTCTCTTCTCCAGCTGTTTCTCCCTTATTCTCTGGTGTCTTTGTTATAGAAAAGTTTTAAATATTGATGTCTTTAAATATAATGATCTCTCTTTTGATTGATTTGAGTCTTTTTCCACTCCACACCTCCATCTCCTTTATTAAAATAACTGAGGCCAGGAGTGGTGGCTCACACGTGTAATCCCAGTACTTTGGGAGGCCAAGGTGGGAGGATTGCTTGAGCCCAGGAGTTTGAGACCAGTCTGGGCAACATAGGGAGATCCCATCTCTACAAAAAAGTTTAAAAATTAGCCAGGCATGGTGGTGTGCGCCTGTGGTCTCAGTTACTCAGGAGGCTGAGGTGGGAGGATTACTTGAGCTGAGGAGTTTGAGGCTTCAGTGAGTTTTGATTGTGCCACTGCACAATTGATTGATTTGTGAAAGCTATGTCGTGGAATCAGCTCTTGGATGTATTTATCAATTCTGTATTCTAATTATTCTTTTATGCTTTTGTTTTTATAATATCCTTTTTCCCTCCTTTCTTTGTTTGTGGTTGGTTTTCTTACTTTTTGCCTTGAATGCTTAGTTTATTTATTTTCCTTCTAATGAAAGTGTTTAGTGCTGTGAATTTGCCTCTGAATATATCTAAAACATGGCTATATCTGATATGTTTTCATATATAGTGATCTTATGTTGTTATTTTCTAAATAAGCTTGGAATTATAATTTCAAATCCTCTTTAGTCAATTAGAAGAACACATTTTAAATTCTAAGTGGTTGGGTTTTAAAAAATGTGTTCTTTTGTTATGTTCTAGCTTATCTTATTTTCAGAGAAAGTGACCTCTACAATTTTGCCAAATTTTGCCATTTGGGATTTATTGTGGTTTTCTTTGTAGCATGGTATCTGAATATGTCAGTTAGGATCAGGGTCATCTGCATGTAACAAAGTCCAAAATAACAGTGGCTTAAACAAAATAGTTTATTTCTCTCTTATGTCAAAGAAGTTTGGAGATAAGGAGGACCCCCACAATATCATCAGGAACCCAGACTTCCATTTTTCTACACCACCATTTTCAGTACTGGCTTCTATTGTAAAAAGTCACCCCATAGCCCGAGATGGCTGCTGGAGTTCCAGCCATCACATTCACATTCCAGAGAGGAGAAAGAAAAGAAGAATAGTAGGCTATATCTCCCAACCGAAATACATTTATCTTTAAGATACAGCCTCTCTTTAAGGAGCCTTTTGGGAATTTCCATGCAACATTCCATGTTCTGCATATATTTCATTCAGAATTTAGCTGGGTATATACATTTCATTTAGAATTTAGCTGGGTATATAGTTGATCCCCAATTATATAAGGATTCTATTAGTAAGAAAGAAGGGAAGAATGGTGATAGGCAAACAAGAATGCCATAATAACTTTTATAAATATTCCATCAACACTTTAAAAGATATACAATTTGGTGGTATCATCACTTTGTTAAACTGGGTAACTGGGTATTTGAAATGGCAAAAGTTGAATGTGGGGCTCATTTTTCCCTGAGAAGCCAAATGGACCCTTACACAATTATCAGCTGCCATCAAGTGGGAAGAACTGGCCAACCCAGCAGATGCCAGCACTGTCTTCCATTCACAAGGAGTTACTGAGGCTCACCCCATACGTTTCCACTCTCTCCTTACCCTACCCTAGACAAGCCCATCATTGCAGGGTCACTATGGCCCTGTAGGCAGGTGGGAGACTTGGATGCTGATCCACTCCCCTGCCATTCAGGGGTTCATTGCTGAAGCAGATGCTGTGAATGTCCTAACAGGACCGATCCTTTCCCAGCCTGGAGCAAGCATCCTTCTGTGAATAAACGCATGTGGTGTAAGAAGAGGATGCCCTGGCCCCCAAGATCCTGTGTGAATACTTGATGGAGGCGAAATGGGGAGCATGGCCTGGGATACCTCCCAGCAGCTCTACGAGGCAGCCAGAACTGAAATGACAATGCTCACCTATCCCCACTTCCTAGCCCCAGATATCTGTATCCTGAGGTTCAGAACAGTCAAGCCAGAGGCTGAGTCTCCAGAGGAACCACTGGATTTGAAGAACCTGGGCCTCCCACCTTGGCACTTTCACATGGACAAGCAACATGGTCCGTCACCACTCCTCCCCACCCCTGGGCCACTGCCTCGTCTTGTGTGGAAAGAGCATGCTGGCTGCTCCAGTGCTTCCTGCAGCCCCATCAGCTTCTCCAAGGCCCTGCTGTCGCCTGGTAGCACTGAACATTTAAGCAAATGCCTGGTCTGAAGGGGAGTGAAGGTTCCAGTCCACACCTTAGGAAAGCCCCTGGTCTGATGGAGTGGGTAAGAAAATATACGCATGCAGAAGCCACTAAAAATGCTTACCAAAATAGAAACGAGGGTGCCAGCGAATGTGCTAGGAACTGGGTCCCTGAGTGATGAAGGGAAGGGGCGAGTAAGGCTGGCAGGTGCCTCAACTGAGAAGCTTCTGGAAACCACAGTCAAGCTGCCTTCTGCCCAGGTGCACATCCCCAGCTTGACCCCTACGCTGTTTCCACTTTGCCCGGGAGTCACCTCGCCCTACCCTGCTCGCCCCCCAGAGCTCAGGAGAAACGAGCTGGTTTTCTCCCAGAGGCTGGTGCCAGTTTAGTCAGCAGATTTCACAGATCCACTGGCAACCATGTAGTGTCTTATTTTAAGCTTAACATTTGAAGATGGGAACTTTTTCCCCCTTCGGTGTGTGGCAAAGAGATCCCAATTTATACATAAGCACCGCGGCTATGCCGGTGCACTGAGGCTGTCCCTGAGGCTCTGCGGTTCGTCACTCCCTTTCTTCAGGTATCTTTCCAGAAAAAACCCGCCAGCGTGGTTGCTTCTTATACACGGCCTCTCCCTTCCCAGGTTTCCCCTAAGCACAGCACTGCCGCTTCCATGCACGTGGCCTGGGAGAGGCAGGGCCCGGCTTGGCCCTGGTGGTCCGGCCCTCGTCCTGCCTGCCCTCTCCATTTCTCCTCTGCTCCTGCGCCCTCTTCCCTTGGCTGCTGCGGAATGCCTCGGATGCCAGGGCCTGGGTTTCCCTCATGGGCCTGGGGCTCTCCCAGAGAGCATTTGTGCCTCTCTCAGCCCTGAGCTCCCCACAGCACTGCTTCCCTCCCCTCTCCTTCTCCCCGCTCCATGTCATGTCGAACTCTCAAAACTTAGGGACCAAATGCCTCATTTCCAGCCCAGGGTGCTAAGGAGGGCAGACCATGAACACCTAGTTATTGGGTCTGGTGGCCTTAGGTTAAGTCTAAATCCGATTTCTGTCTTGAGACATTAAGAACTTGGACTCTGTACTTTGCACTCCTTCATTTTAACACACAGGTGATCACATGGGCTTAGAGACTCTAAGTATCAGAAGATGCTGGTGTCGGCCACTTCATCTCCAGGGGTGTTTCCCAGGGCCCTCCTGACATCTCCCAAGCCGCCTCATCCCTCCTCTGCTTTTTTGCACATTTAAATCCCAATCCCAATGTTCTCCCTGGCCTTCCTCCAGCATTACCAGACCCCAGCCATGTTGACCTAGCTCACCACACAGGAGGTGTCGCTCCAGTGAAGCTAGAATTGACCGGTCTGGGGTAAACATTCATTTGACAGAGATTTTCTTTAACTGGCTGACATCCTTTAAGTAGCAACACCCCTTATACACTGAAGTGTAACTTTCAGATCATTAGCCACATAAATCAGAAGATGGAGACACAGTAGAAGGAAAAAACAGGACAATTGTTGTGTGTTGGGGTACTGCGGCCCATGGTGGATGACAAAGAGGAACATTTTGGAGTTGAGCGAGTCAGTGTGGCGGAAGGGGATGAGATGTAAAGACACTTGCTCTACCTGGGAGGCTCCCGGGTATGTGGGGAGGCAGCGTGGAGGGGCCTCATTTCTCTGAAGCTTATAGAAGCTCTCGAGGAAGATAAACTTTCCACAGCTTTTTGCTGATGAGGTGAATGGTACAGAGAAGGCATGCAGGGTGCCGGAGAGCGCGTGACAGACCTAACCTCACTGTGAGGGTCAGAGGAGACATCCTGGAGGAAGTGACGCCTAAACTGAAACCTGAAGGATGAGGAGGGAGGGATTAGCCAAGCAGAAATGGGGTGAAGGGTGAGAGGGATGATTATTTCCATTATCTTGGCGAACAAGACAGTTCGCCCTAGTCTTCCCCTGGCTTCAGTTTTACCACCCAATTGTTTTGACGCATACCCCATTTCCTCTCCAGGTTTCCCACGCTTTTAAAAAAACCTTTCTCCTGTAGTTTGAGTCAGTTTTGTATGGGAGGTGGCCAAGGGGGTGGGGGCTTGCTCAGTTCTGAGTCCTGATATCATCGTACACAGAACTGTGGCAGTGGCCTTACCCCTCCTGCCTTTATCTTCAGCTGTTCATGTTCCACTTCTGGCCAAGCAGACTGAGATATTTGGGGGTGCCTCTCTCCCAGATTGAGACCTCATCTCTCTGCAGCAGTTAGAATACTCTGAAGGAGGAGGCCCAAAGTGAAGATGTGATTTTTCTTGTAGCAAGTTACCATATGGGTGCCATTGGCCCCATTCCTTACTCTGTCTTGAGACTAGGCTCAAGCACAAACTGCCCCTCTTCCTGGGCCTGTCAGGGCAGCCCTAGAGATGGGCTGATGGCCCCTGGATTGGGTGGGTTTGATAAGCAGGGCTGCTTAGGAGCCAGCATCCCTGGTGAAGACTTAATTCAAGGCATATTCATAATGGTACAGAATTTTGGACTAGAAAGAACAGCATAGTCACTCCGCATATGTAGTAAGCTGTGTATTAGCTAGCTATTGCTACCATAGTGTTGTGTAGAAAACATCCACAACACTTCAGTGGCATACGTGAGCATTTTTTTTTTTTTTGAGATAATCTCGCTCTTTGGGCTCTGTCGCCCAGGCTGGAGTGCAGTGGTGTGATCTCGGCTCACTGCAACCTCCTTCTCCTGGGTTTAAGCAGTTCGTGTGCCTCAGCCTCCCAAGTAGCTGGGATTATAGTCACCTGCCACCACCCTCAGCTAGTTTTTGCATTTTTACTAGAGATGGGGTTTCGCCACGTTGGCCAGGCTGGTCTCGAACTCCTGACCTCAGGTGATCCGCCTGCCTTGGCTTCCCAAAGTGCTGGGATTGCAGGCGTGAGCCACCGTGCCTGTAAGCATTCATTCTTAGGGATCTGCGGTTGGCTGGGGTTTGCCCGGTCTAGACAAAGCTTGACTGAGGCAGTTCTGCATCTCACTATGGTCAACTGAGGGTGACCTGACCTGGGATGGACTGTACCCTCCTGTCTCTCCTGTCTGTCCTCCTCCTTGGACCAGGGATTTGTCAGGGATGTCTTCTCGTGGCAACCTCAGATGCTCAGCAGGGCAAGCAGGAAGGCATGAGGCCTCTGAGCCAGGGCTCAGAACTGACACGCTGCCACGTCCTCCCACGTGCTGTCAGTCAGAGCAAGTTAGATGACCAAGCAGAGCCAAAAAGTGAGGAAATAAATTCCTTCTGTGATGAGGCCGTGGCAAGGGTATGGGTGCAGGGAGTGGGAAATAATCTGGACCAAAGACTCAATCTCCCACCCCCACCCCCTGCAATTAGGACTTAATAAAAGGAGTCAGGAGTGCATTGTCCCAGTCCAGCAGAGATCTTTCCCTGGCCAATAATTATCTAATAATTAGGAGTGTTATTCCACCCTGGGGTGTGGGCCCAGCTTTGTGCTGAATGCCATGGCGGGGGCATCAGAAGAAGAGGGAAAAGCCCCAATTTTGCCTTCCAGAGCTCTGTTCTCTGAGGGATAAGACTTGTGTTCCCGAGATGGAGATGAGACGATGTTCAGTGGTGTAATGCTGACTATGGAGCTCAGAGAAAGAAACCAGCAAAGGCCAGGAAAGAACTACATGGGAGGAGAAGAATGGCACTGGCAACCGGCATCCAGGGAGCGCTTGCTGCAGGCTGCATGCTGAGGCGAATTTCCTCCACACCTTACTTCCTCTCATAACCATCCTGAGAGGTACTGGGATTGTCCTTCACTTAACAGGTGAAGAAACAGAGGCACAAAGAGCTCCAGTGACTTGCCTGTGGTCACATAGCTGGTAAATGCTGGCACCAGCATTTGACAACCAGAGCCTGAGCGTTAATCACTAGGTCCATGGTAGGACACCCAAAATGAAGGGGAGCAGCAAAGGTACAGACGGATGTGCAGAGAGCACAGCTGCCAGGGGGCTGGAGCGGCAGAGGGGACTTCAGCCATGTTATGAACTATAAATGGGAGCAGAGATAGGATGTGTGATTTGGCCAAGGTCCTGCAGCGCGATAGGGTGGAGGCTGGGCTAGAAATCATAGCTGTTGGCTCCTGTTTCCCTCTCCTTCCACTTTCCTTGGTACCAGCCACATTCTGGGCGCTCTCCACCCGTCTGCGTGGCCACGCCTGAATCGTTTCCCTCTTGGAAGAGGTGCAATCCACTGGCATTGAAGCTGGGTGGACTGGCTCCCTCTCTCTATCCATCTCTTTCTTCCTTTCCCCTGCCATGTTCTGGAAAGGGCAGCGGGAGGGAATGTGGGCAGGTTGCACCAGAGATATACATCTGAGAGCTGAAGGGAACATTTATTTTTAATTTAGACTTAAAAAGAAAAAAGGAAGTTATAAAATATCTGCTCTTGCTCCTGGGATTGTGCAGATGGTGCTGCGTTTTGCCTAATAGGGAATTGGGCTGGCATCCTCGTGCTTTTGGTCCCCGCCTGACTGTAAGGACCTGGAGGGCAGGATCCCTGCTTCCCTGCCTCAGCCTCACATGGCCCCCTAAGGCTCCATTTGGCCGATGCAGCTCGGTGTTCCTGTCTTCTAACCTCACCCTCTCCACACTCCCTCTGGTCTCCCAGACCTCCTCTGCAGTCAGACCAGTCTCTCTGCTGTCTCGGCTGTCCCTGCTCCTGTGTCGGCGCCCCCTCGGCTCACTCCTACCTCCGCCTTCGTTAGATAGCCGGGACACACTCACCCCTCCCTTCCTAAACTCCTGTTTGGATGTTAAAATTTATCAACTTTACACATAACCAAATACCTCATTAAACCATCTTGTCATTTTCAAGCCTCGGTGTTATAAAGGATGTCATCCTCCATTTTCTTGTCTGGTTTTTGTTTTTATTGTGGTTAAGGAGTGTGTGTGTGTGTGTGTGTGTGTGTGTGTGTGTGTGCGCGCGCACTCATTCCTCTCCTCTGGCTTTCTCCATTGGGAGCAGCAAGGAACTTGGTACGTAGAAGCAGCTCCTCATAAATGGATGCAGAGTGCTGATTGGATCTCCCCTCTCTCTGCGCTCAAGGGGATGAGCTGGAGAAGGAGTACCCTAAAATCAGAGTCCGGGCCCCCAAGCCAGGAACCAGGAGACCTGATTCTCTAGCTTGCTATGAAGCTATGGACAGATTACTGAATTTCTCTAAGCCTCAGTTGTCCCGTTTGCAAAATATCAAAAGTAATCTCTGCTTTGATCCCCAGGGTTAGTATGAGGATTATGATAAGTGAAATGCGTGGCAAAATCAAATCAGTCAATCCATCTCTTTAAGAAAGAATGAGGAGACTCATAGCAGTCAGAGGTGCCAGCATGGACTCCAGACCCATGTTAGGGTAGGAGGTTGGGATGCAAAGTGGGGATTGTCTAACAAAGTAAAAAGCTTGCTGGTCACAGAGCCATGGGCAGTGTGTATGTGTGTGGTACATAGCCCAAATACTAGTTTGGTTTGTTCTGGAAAAGACTTGATGTCACTTTTAAAAATGCTTGCCACTAAAGATAAATCAAGTGAAGATGAAAATGAGACAAAGGGAAGGTTAGGGAAGGGAAGATAAAATGAAGCCAGAAGTGAGGTTTGGGCACAGAATCCATGCAGTGTGGGTCTGTACACTTGGCAGATGGGGCTGTGGAGAGCTGGCCTGAGCTTCTGACGGTGCAAAGAGACTCAGTTGAATGGCTCAGTGTCTGCAAGGCACATGCACACCAGTTATTCAGAGGCACAGTTCCTGACCCTGAGACTGGAAAATATTTCCCCCAAGAGGATTATAAAGGGAACCCTGTGGTGTCACGGGCAGTGTCCTGGACAGCAGTTGTCTGGTAAATGCAGTGAGTGCTATTGGGCTGTATCTTACGATGTTCCTGGTGGTCCAAGTACAGTTCGAGGGGTAAGTGGGGATTCAGAGGAGAAGACAGTGTAGTCCATAAGACACCGTGTTCAGTAGACTCCAGATCAGGGGATGACGTGCTGGGCTCCAAACAGTGAACAGCCTTATTAACTTCCTCCGGTGGTAGAAGGCAGTCAGGCATGCATACGTGTACACATAGGAGCACATGTACTCTTCACCCACCCCCCTGTCCCATCCCCACCCCCGCTAGGCTCAGCTCCCTCCCTCTGGTCTGGCTTCTAACTGGGGGCCCCAACTACGAGGAGGTCCTCAGTTTCCTGGGATACTCCTTAGCAGATGGGATCCCATTACAGAAAAGACCGTCTCTGTTGACTTGACACCTACTACCCAGAATTTGGAAGTAGAATTTTAAACTGAGGTCAGCCCCTTCACTTTCATAGTTTAAGAAAGTTAGTGCCCCAAAGGGGATCATTTTCTGCCAGAGATCACATGGGGATGGAGCTGAATCTAAGACCCAGGTTCCCCTGATTCTCACTCTAATTCCCTAAGCTGCCACTGCAAAGAAAAAAAAAATCAAGTTGGGATCTCATTCTGGGGGAAAAATCTCATAATTCCTCGTTGGAGCTATGGAATAGCTTTATATTATATAATTTTATTCAAACTGATATGAGCCAATAAATATAGATTGTGTGTGTGTGTGTTAGCTGTTTTAAAACATTTTAATGTTTAAAACATGATTTACTAATGCTGCTGGGGATGTCTAGAATTTGATTTACTGCATATTATTGAGTGTTTATACTTGTTCCTTACAGAAATTCTTGCCAAAGAGCCATTTTATCTACAGGAATAATAAATAAGTCAATATGTGGATGGTTGTGCACATTTTTCCCATATGCAGTGGGACTTGGTAGATGTTACTTTGCACACAAACACTCAGAAGGTAAACTGGAGAGATGCACATGGATCCCTGAAGTCCAAGGCTTGGCCAGTGTCAAAATCAGACCATTCATCTTGACTTAAACCAAAAACACGGTCAGCAAGTCTAGGTCTTAGGTGATATTTGGGCTTTGGGAATAATGGATCTACATGTTCCCATACCTAGCCATATGTGTATATGTGTATATTTGTTCATTTCTTCATTCATTCCTTTCTTCACTCATTCAACAAATATTAGAAATCTATGTTTCATTCAGTTGCTTAAACCTGGTATAGGTTTTTGCTTCATGGAAATTCACAGATAACAGATACAAATTCCCCCAACTTGTATTTACAAAGCACTTAAGGCCTTTGAAATGATTTTTGTTTAATCCTCGCAAAAATCCTACGGGAAGGCTAGGGTGAGCAGTCAGGTAACCTGAGTGGAAACGAAGGTATTCCTTTTGTTTGCTTGTTTTTATTGCCCCCCTAATTGTGGAAATAATACATGTCTGTTGTTTAAAAGAATACAGAAATATTTAAGATTGTGCAAAAGTAATCTGCAACCCAACCTCCAGAGACATCCACACTACAGGTTTTTTCATGCTTGAAGATAATGTGTGTATGCATGTGTTTGTGTATATCGTTATATATAAAATGATTTTTCTTTAAATAAATAAGATTATGCTGTAATATAATTCTGCAACTTGGTTTTTTCCCATCACACAGCCTCTCCCTCAATGAACCTCAGTTTGTATGTACACGGCATACCACATCAGTTTGTACAGATCCAGCTCACTCATTTGTGGTAGCGTATTTTTTCTTTGCAAAAGCATAGGATGTTTCTTCTGCCTTTTTCAGCATTTCTTCTCTCTTGCTCATAGGTAGTCGGTCTTCTCTTGCCCAACCAGACACTGGCATCCACTGTCTTCTGGCAGGTAACAGTCTCGCAGCAAACAGGGCTCCTGAAGGAAGGGCCCACACAGGTGCTGGTTAAGAACTCCCTGCTGTGGTGTCTCCTGCCCCGTCCAGACCCCGTGTAGGGTCAGTCCACCCCAACACCACCCCTAGCCCAGAAGCCACTGAAGGAAAACCAGGACTTTGGCCCTGCTGAGCAGGTCTCCAGCAGCCCAGCATGTCTCAATCCACCATGTGTCACTCTAACCTTTGGACAGAGGTCATGAGGGCTGCGTGCCCCTGCCTGGAACATGCTGGCTTGTCAGTGGGGTGGCCCCCACTCTGCCCCTTGGCTGCTCATCCCAAGGCCAGTGACCCTGAGGCCCATAGCCTCATTTTGACATCAGCCTCCCCCACATCTGCTGAGGAAGCTAAATCCACCCCTAACCTGAGGTTGTGAAGTGCATCACAGACCCTGGTCCCTGCTCTTGGAGACAGTCTGGGTTGTGATGCCATGAAAACTGAGGATATCTCTGTGTTTGTGTGTGCAGAGAAAGACGGGCAGGAAGGAAAACCTGTCTGTCTTCTAGGAGAAAATGTCAGTCTTCCCTGAACTAAACTCCTGCCGGCCTCTGTGTCTGGGAACTGGAGGTGCAGGATACTGGACTGGGAGATTTTTGAAAGAATTGTAGGGCTGTCAGTCATTCTAGGCCAACTTTTGTCCAGCAGGTAATATAATAAAGATGGTGTGACAAAGGCAGTGGGGTCTGCAGGGGCAGTGAATGCCATCATTCCAAGAGAGGTGACTGTCTCAGGATCAGGTGGACTACTGGGGTGCGCAGGACCCCATTCAGGAACCGAGAGACTTCCCGAGAGGCAGGGCTTCCAGTGCTAACACCAGCACAGCCCTGGGCAAACCAGGACGGTCAGTCATGCTGACCGGCAGCATGGGCGGCACCATGTGAGCTGGAGACCGCATGCTGTGCCTTTCTGGGGATGTGTGGCCTCCTGGGGTCCAGGCCTGGCTTCCAGGGAGGTGACCACTCCTTCCCTGACTTCTCTCATCATTGCCTTTCAGTGGCTGAACCAGAGCCACAATGCCTGTGTCAACTATGCAAACCGCAATGCGACCAAGGTGAGCATCACTGCCCTCTCCCCAGTGGTGGGGTTCAGGCTAGGGAGGCCCAGTCATCCTCCCTACAGCGTGACATGCCACCATCAGTGGCTGCCTCTTGGTTAAGCATGGCCCTCCTCTAGATATCTTATTTAAAATGCCAGCCCTTCAGGTGGGTGGCCGACTCAGACATGACTCAGCTGAGGTCAGCTGCAGTTTCTGGGCCAGGAGCCCTCTGGGGAGGGGCTGTTTACATGAAGTGAAGAAGGCCCATTAAATGGGAGCAGTGCAAGGGATGAGTTCGGCTGGCTTTCAGATTCTTCTTGGGTAGCTCTTACATTTGGGTTTTGGATCATGATGGTATCAGCTACTTGGGGGCAAAATTCCCATAAAGCTTCCTCCAAAATTTCTGGAAGCTGCCTTAGCGCTCCCAGGTCCCGACTGCTGGCCACAAGCTGAAGGGCTGCTCCTGAGTGGGGAGGGTCCAGGGCTGGTAACTCCCCCCCAGAGCCCCTGCACTCCTTGGAGAGCTTGTGGTGGAGGCCCAGTCACCCTTCTGTTGTCCAGGAAGGGCTGCTGGGCCCCTGCTTTGCTGGCAAGGCCACCTCTCCCCAACTTCAATTCAAAGGCAAAGAAGGCAGGATGCATCTAAGTCCCCTTTGGGGGCCTGTCAGTTTGGGGTAGAGGAGAGTCCTAACATTTGCTCACCTTGGGGGAGAGGAGGGGAATAGGAGCTGGCCTGGGCCATAGGAATTGAGAGGCCTGATATGCTGTGGCTGCCCCCTGACATCTAAACCTCCACCCCAAGTCTCTCTCATAGGCTTCACATATGGCCATCTCTGCTTGGATGACTCCCTTTATCTTAAACCAGACACTTCTAGACCTGCAGTTGTAGCACAGGGCAAGTTCCTTAGCTTTTTCTTAATTGTCTGTGTTGGAACTTGGGGTATATTATTCTCTAGAGATATTGGGCAGCTATCATCTGTTGACATGGGAGCCCAGCTGTTCCATGGGCTGGCAAGGCCTGTGAGAGCCTTGACACTGGCATTTCCACCTAGAAAGCGCTCCAGATGCCAAATGGCCCCCTTGAAACATTTAGCCTCTAAACTGAAGACTGCTTGCCCCAGCCTTCAATGGTCCATGTTAGCCTTGCTGTTCTCCACCTCCACCCAGCACTGTCTGCCAGTGACCTTTCTAGAACAGGGCAGGAGTGAAGTGGGCCCTTCAGTATCTCCCTGGATACTGGTGATTTATATTTCTGCATTGGGAACTGAGCTGAGGGTGGCCTGATCCCTTTGAGTCCTGAGGGGCCTCTTCCTTCTACCCACTTTCCAGGCTGGTGGGCAGGATGCTTCTTGCTGGCTGGGACAGCTTACAAGGGGAAGTATGGGAGCTTTGGGCACCCAGCAGGCCTGAAATTCTGCCTCTGTTTTCCAGCCTTCACCTGCATCCAAGTTCATCCAGGGATACCTGGGAGCTGTCATCAGCGCCGTCTCCATTGCTGTGAGTACTCCCTCCCCTGCTCCTTCTTGGCTCTGCTGCTCTGGGGCCACCCCGCTCAGCATTGCAGGTGGATGCTTGTCTGAGGGCCAGGCCAGGCAAGGATTTGGGAGACAGGTTTCTGTGGGTGGAGGAGTCAGGACAGGCTTTCCAAGCCGAGAAGAGGCTCCAGTAGACAGAGCACAACCTGGTGCTCCCTGTAATGGAGAGCAGGTGGGGAGGTGAGGTTGTGCCTGGGGGCACTGAGGCAGGACATCTGTCTTGAGTGGGGCTGCGGTTGCCCAGCACTCTGCTCGGAAGAGCTGCTCCTCATGCTCGGTAACGTGGCTGGAGCGAGCGGGGTGGGGGGATGCCTCTGAATGACTCTGCAAGGCCTGCCCATGTGCCTGCTCCCCTGAGCTCTTGCTCAGCTGCCGGGGCACTGCTTTTCCCTCTCTATGGCCTTACTGGTGTCACACGTCCAGCTCTTCCTGAAGACCTGTCAGTGCCCGAAGCCAGGGGCGTTAGGCTCACTCTGAGTCTCCACAGTACTTTGAGGCCAGAGCAGCTACTCAGTAGGGGAGGTTCAGAGACTGAGCGTGAGGGTACGGCAGGTGTGGCTCCCTGCTTCCCAGAGGAGGCCAGGGGCAAGTGACACAGTCAGGGCCCTGGGCCAGAGCCAGAGTGGACGCTCAAGCTGCCAGGACCTTCTGCATGCTTGTCCCACCCCTGAGCCCGCCCCTGTACCTACGTCTGGCTGTCTCTGGATCCCCACTAGGATGGCCTTCTATAGCCGACTCCAGAGGGCGAAGGGCCCCTTCACAACTCTGTCATTTCATCCATTACACAATACATTAATGTAACTGGTAAGAAAAAAAAAATTAGAAAATGAAAACCAAACAACATTCACATAGCTGAGCACAGTGGGGCACACCTGTAGTCCCAGCTACTCAGGAGGCTGAGGTAGGAGGATCATTGAGCCCAGGTGTTGGAGTCTGTAGTGTGCTATGATTGCAGCTGTGAACAGCCACTGCACTCCAACCTGGGCAACATAGCAAGACCCCATTTAAAAAAACAAAAGGCCGGGTGCAGTGGCTCACGCCTGTAATCCCAACACTTTGGAAGGCCAAGGCGGGAAGATCACCTGAGATCAGGAGTTCAAGACCAGCCTGGCCAACATGGTGAAACCCCTGTCTCTACTAAAAAAAATACAAAAATTAGTCTGCATGGTGGTGGGCACCTGTAATCCTAGCTCCTTGGGAGGCTGAGGCAGGAGAATCGCTTGAACCTGGGAGGCAGAAGTTGCAGTGAGCCGAGATCACGCCACTGCACTCCAGCCTGGGCGACAGAGTGAGACTCCATCTCCAGAAAAAAAAAAAATAAATAAATAATAAAAAATTTAAGAAATTAAAAAACCCCAAAACCATTCAGCTGGGCAAGCTGGTGTGCCCCTGTAATCCCAGCTACTCAGGAGGCTGAGTTGGGAGGATTGCTTATGGCCATGTTGGGCAGCATAGCAAGATCTTATCTCTAATGAAAAAGAAAACATTCACATATAATGAAGAATTCACATACAATAACCTTTTGGTAAAACCCCCTTTGCTCATCTTTCCAGTGCCATTAAGTAAATACTGTATAATAACTGTTCACGGCTGTATAATTACCCATTGTACCATACGCCACAATTTAATTCACCATTCTTCTAAAGGAGGGACTTGGGGTTGTCCTGAAATGGCCTCATTTATTTCACTCCCACATAGACCAAGTCATCTCCAAATAGCTGTGAAGTGGGATGTCCCATTTCATGCCCAAGATCTCTTTCCCAAATCCTTATGTCTTCACAAAAGCAAGAAGTGAGACATTCAGGTGGCTCACCAAGAGACTGCTGACCTGCCACCCAGCTTGTCCTGCAGCCCAGCAGGAGACTTCATTTGGGAGTCAGACAAATTGGGGGTCCCTGATACTGGGGACTTGGTGGGTGAAGGCCAAAGGCTCCCCTGAGTGGGAGAAAGAACTCTTGTCACCTCCTCCTTGTTCCTTGTGATGAGAGGAGCTGATGGTCTGCTTAGCTTAGCAGCTCAAAAATCCCCTTCCTTTTTTTGAGACTCAGGGGCAAGGTGAGAGGAGGAGGCTACATAGGGAAGGATGCTGAGTGGCCTTGAATGGAAAGGCCTGAGTGAAGGGGATCATTGTCCTGGTGGACTTCCTTCACCTGCAGGCCTGGGGCTCAGAGAACAAGAATCAGCTTCTCAGCCTGAGTAACATAGCAAAACCCCATCTCTACAAAAAATACAAAAAAAATTAGGTGTGGTGGTGCACACCTGTAGTCCCAGCTACCTGGGAGGCTGAGGTGGGAGAATCATTTGAGCCTGGAAGGTCGAGGCTGCAGTGAGCCACGATTGTGCCCCTGCACTCCAGACTGGGCGACAGAGCAAAACCCTGTCTCAAAAAAAAAAAAAAAAAAACAAAACTCAGCTTTTTCTGAGAGCTCCGAGCCCTCTGTGTGTCCAGTCCTCACTGCCCCACCTGAGGGACCATCAGCCGCTCCGTCCCAACCACTTGCCAGGGCAAACCTAGCACAGATTTGTGGGGTATGGGTTCTGAAGACAGAGTTACTGGGGGACTTGGAGCCCTCTGGGGTTCCCAGAGCTGAGCTCTTGCTGGGCAGGGGCTGGGGCCTCACGCGGGGCTGTGCCTGTGCTGGGGACTCCCTCCTTTCTCCTCCCTGTGAGCTCCAGCACCCCTCGAAAGGCTTTCCCCAACCATTCCAGCCCATAGCACTCTCCCTCCTCACAAGTCCTGGAAACTCCTGTCCTCCCCACTCACACTCAGTCGCACTGTGTCCCTGTCCCCTTAGTGTTCTGCAGTCTGAGCCTCATCCCCACTGGATTACAAGTTAACCAGGGACGGGCACCATGGCTTCTCCCCCATGGAGAGGAGCACAGGGCACTGCCCCATAAATACTTATTAATTAGGCCACTGATTGATCGCTGGCCTTGAGGCCCCTCCGATCTGCGAGTCCTAGTGGTGGCGGCGTCCCTCCGCCTGACGTCTTCACACAGTGAGCGTCTAACTCCGGCAGATGGAGTGGAGTTTCTGACTTGGAAAATCGGCAGCTTGCTTGCTTTTCTTTTGTGTGTGTAAGTCACAAAACCTCTGAAGAAAGAGGCTTTATTTTATTTTCCTTTCCCTTGTTCTCTGGAACCCCAGGTCCTACAGCCTCATTAACTGATCTCTGTTTCAATTAGTGACAAATCCCCTCCCAGGGCAAGCCTGTTAGGAGGAGATGACCTGCAAACAAGTGTCACGGCCCCAGTGGTTGGCCCAGCTCTGGCATTAATTAAAACGAGTCCCTACAAGCAGGCGGCATGGATGGGGGCCGACAGGCTGCAAGCAGGTCCTTGGGACAGAGGGCAAACTGGAGTGGAGGCCAGCCTCCTCTGGGGGCCCTGAAGAGCTCCCTGCCCCACTCAGAGGAGCCCTGACCTTGGCCAGCAACCCTGGAGTCAGGGATCCCCAGTTTGCATGCCCCCAAGTGAAGACTCCTGCTGGTTGCAGGACCACCAGGGTGGGATTAGCAGCCTCTTGGTGAACCTTCTAAATAGATTTGGCAATGTCTGGCTGCTTGCTTGAGAATAAAAAAGAAATCCCGTCTTAAGTTATTTTTGAAATCTAACAGTTTGCTGTCTTTTAACAAAGGAAGCCTCTCTCAATCCTCACTGTTTTTTAGTTCAAGAGTTTGCATTAAGCACTTCTGTGGGCGGCCCTCCCTGGGCCCCGGCTACACGAGGGTGAGAGGAAGTAAGAGACATTGACTCCCATCGGGGGACTGTGATGTGCGGGTACTTTGCAGGTGCTGGGGGCTTCAGGGACTGGTATATCTTTCAAGGCACTGAGAGGGGAAGCTAGAAGGCTCTGTGGTATAATCAGAATTATGATGAAGGTGACCCCAGGGTGTGGTGGGAGCAGGGAGGGGCCCCTACTTCACACAGGGCTGACTCGTAGGACAGAATGGAGAGAGCCAGGGGCAGGCAGGGTGGGTGTTCCAGAGAGAGGGCACCGTACAAGCAGAGGTGCACAGGAGAGCATGACCAACTCCGGGCTCAGAACAGGAGGGCGGCCACCGGGTAGGGAGTGATGGTGATCGTGAGTGGAGGAGGATCAGGGCCAGTCAAGAGGTGCCATGAGTGCCTTGCTCAGGTGGAAGGAGGCCATGCCTGGAGCCCTGCCTGGGCTCGGGAACCTGGGTGTCGCAGATGGTGCAGGTGGAAGTGGGCTGGAGGAGAAGGGGTGGGGCCACCCTCATGGACAAGGGGCCTGAATGAGGGTGGACGTGGGGCTGGAGAGGAAGACTCAGGGATGAAGTGCTGTGGGACCAGTCAGGAGCTGCCTGGGGGAGCCACATGATGAGAGGCACTTCACGCCCATTCCTCACACCCTTAGCTGTCCCCAGACCTCTTAGCTGGCTGAGGTCTTTCCCTGTTGGGGCAATGCTGAGCTCCATTCTCAAAGGTTCTGGGCCCTGGGGGGTCCCTTCTGTGTAGGATGCAGTGGCTGTTAACCTTCACTACCAGACACTGGCATAGAAGAAGGGGTTCCAGGGGATCCCTGTGCTGAACCCATACACCTTCCAGTTCCCATTGCTTACTGACAACTCTGTGTCCCTGGATAGTCAGACTGGAAAGTAGTCATGAGATTAGTAATAATGGCTAGCACTTCTGGAGTGCCTACAGCACGCCAGGCATTGTTTAGGTGTTCATCCTCATTTTACAGACGAGGATACTGAGGCATGGAGGTGAAGTAAGTGACAGGGCCTACCCAGGCTTAATCACACACAGAGACCCCTTTTTCCTTTTTCCTGCTGCACCCCCTGTGGCATAAGGAGGTGGGAGAAGCCGAGTGGTGTTCTCAGCTTCTAGGTTGGAGGAGCTATTACCGTGCCGCCTCCTGGCAGACAAGTCCTTCCCCAGGTACCCTGAGAGCAGTGGGGACTGGGAGACATTTTTTGAGAGGTTCTTTAGGTATAACAGAGTTCAACCCTCTGCTCACCTTCATACTTAGTTCCTGGGCCTGTGTTTTCTGGCTATAGTCAAGTCAGCGGCATATATTTGTCCCTGGCCCAGAGCATGCCCTGCCGCCTATAAGACAGGGCCTGGCTGGCTCTGTGGTGGAGGGTGTACCTCAGGCCCTTCTGTTCTTCTCCAGGCTGGAGAGAGGTAGGGGGACGACAGCACCTGGGAATCCTGGACCAGACTATTGTCTTGCTGTGTTCAGGGGGTGGCTTTGGGTTTGGAGGGTCCATCTCATGGACCCTGTAGAGAATCTGCAGTGTTCAGAAGCCTGCAGATGGTGATGCTGGCAGTGTGAGTCAGACACAGAAAGCAGCTCTGTGTCTTTTCTAGGTAGGACAAGTTGTTGCCCCCTCCCATGTAGAAGGGGTCTGATGTAATTGATTTCCCAGCAGCCCCCTGGCCCTTGTGGGGCATGGTTCAGGGGTCAGGATTGGTCACTGTTGCCAGCAAACAAGCCACTTGGTCACAGCTGGAGCAACTGATGTTTTAGCCTGTGCAGAGCTCTGTCCCAGCTACTTGGCTACTTTGCTGCTGACCCCATTGCCAAGCGGCAGGCTGGCTGGGGTTGGGGAACAATTGACCTCCATGGAGGGTCTTGGGTCCACTTGACTACCAATGTGTGCTACTAAGTGTGCCCTCTGGTGGATATTTTTGGTACTTCAGCAATTCCTTGACCTTCCCCCACCCTTGCCCCCGGTGCCCTCACAAACCCCTAACCTTGGTTACATTATTATCTACCACCCAAGAGGGGCCCTCCTTTTAGGCGTGCCCCTTACTCCATTGTTCTTCAGGGCTATTTGGACCCCCATAATGACTGATGCAATAGAGTCTGTAGACTGTCGTCTGAGTACCCCGCAGACAACCTGGTATTTCATGCTTCTGATCCTTGGCTGAGCCCTGCTCCCTTCCTAGCCTCCTATTCAGGGCTCAGGCAGGCATCCCCTTCCTCAGGAGCCTTCATGACCCTTGGGCCCACTCCCTCACGGCACCTCCTCATACAGGTAGCCAGAGCCTTGCAAGCAAGCCAGGCAGTCCCGCAGGGCCGTGTGGCTCCTCCAGTGTCACCGAAGGCTTTAAGCAAGTCGCCATGTTTTCAGACTTCACTCCGACTGCTGTAGAGAGCAGATGGATGGGGGCAAGAGTGGAAACAGGGGGCCTGGTTAGGAGGTGCACTGTCATCCAGGGACAGAGGCTGCGTGCTGAGTGTTGGGAGCAGGGAGAGCAAACAGCTGCATTCATGACATCCGGGAGATGCACCAGGGAGCCATGGTTACACGTGGGCCCCAGGAGGCTCCTGCCCAGAACGCTGTGAGGTCTCTGGCATGAGAAGCAGAGCTGGAAATGGGCGAGGAGGCTGGGGTGTGGGTGAGGAAGAACGAGACAACCTTCATTTGGGGTGCGAGAAGCTGGAGTGCCTAGAGCCCTTGGACACAGAGGCATCCTCCAGGCAATGGATATTCAGGCTGCAGTGGGGGCACAGATGCGGGGAGAGGGATGCAGGCATTCTTCCAGCCTCATCCAGTGTCTCCTTGCTGGCCTGTTGTTGGCCCGGAAAGCCCTTGGTACTTAAGGCTACAGCCACCAGCTGTGTAGCTCATGACACTAAAGATTTGGTGTCATGAAGCTCCCACCCCACCCATAGCTCCTGGTGCTGGTCAGCCCTGTTCCCATCTCCGTGGGGACTATCAGGAAGCCGGCCTTCCCTCCTTTTCCCCTGGTCTCCTGTCAGCTGCTCATGGCAAATTCACTGGCCCAGTAGCCAGACCTTGGAGATAGGTGGTCAAGAAGGCCTATTCCCTCCTTCAGGATGTTGCTGATGTCCTGTGGGGCCTGAGCCCTGGTTTTCCAAGAAGCCCTGTCTGCTGGCCATATAAGAAATTCTTGTGCAAAATCCACACCCTGTTTGTTTTCCCCATCTACCAAAATGGAGCTCCTGTTTGGTTAATTTCTATTTTGTGGCTTATTTGGATGCTGTTAAAACAGATCCTGGGGGACCCTCAGCAGTAATTGTTCCACATCTCATTATCTTTCCTGAACCCGATTATTAGCTCTGATTTTTCTGATCGCTAGCTGCTGTTTGTGATGAGCTGTGTGCCATTAATACCAGCTGGTTCCCTTAAACAGGACCCGCCGTGCCAGGGAAAAACGAGCTGGCATTCAGAGCCACCAGCCTCTTGGCTTTTTAATTTTAACGGGCTCTACCAAATGTTCAAGGCCAAAGGGCCCTGAGGAACCAGAACAGACGGGCTCCTAACCCCTGGTCTGCAGCCATCTTGGGTTCCTTCTCAGGCCGTGGCTGTCCTAGGTGCTGGGGCGGTAAGACCTGGGCTGGGGCCTGGGAAGGGGTGAGGGTAAGTGGCCATTTGCCTTTTCCGTGTCCACGCCCTCCCTGCCACTGGGCCCATCACTGGCAAGTGGGCACTGTGACCTCACTGACTCCTCATGAGCTCACAGCTACACACATGCCCAGGTCTCCTCCCTACTTTGCTGGTCCCCAGCCCCTTTCTTGGGCGCAGGCACGTTGGCCATGCTCTCAGAAACATATGTGTGCCGCACTATATGTCACCCCATCCATGCTGGGAGACCCTGGTGACTTTCAGGGAAGGAGAGGCCAGAAGAAACCTGGGACGAGGACACTGTTTTCTCTCTTCGTTCTTCCTCCCTACACTCTGGGCTGTGCCAGGCCTAGCCAGTGGGAAGAATGGCCGACCAGGGAGGGGGAGGCTTTGGAGAGGGGGAGGGAAATGTGATGGTCACCTTTCCTCCTTTCCCTCCCGCTGCTCTCCAGCCCTGCCTACCCCCAAGAGGCTGTCATGGGGAAGGGTCCCAGCCTCTCTGCTCACTTCCGTGAATGGCTCCTGTTCCCCGCCTCTTCCAGCACTTCCTATATCTTCTTAAATTGTCAAGCAGGATTTTGAACCCAGATCTTCTGACTTCTGGCTGCTGGGGGCAGGGATGGTTCAAGGGCCCTATCTTCCCTGCAGGAGCTGCCTTCTGTTTTCCACTCGTTAGGACCCCAGCCCCAAGGTGGCCATTGTCAGGGAGGTGCTTGCTATGCAGATGTGCCGTTCAAACGCCTGGAGATATTAAAGCATCCCTCCCTCAGGTGGAAGACAATGGGAAAGTCATAGCACCCTGGTTAGGAGCAAGGCTTTGGAATTAGCAGGCCCTGCGTTCAAATGCTAGCTTTACTTGCCTCATAATAGATGTCTATCCTTGAGCAAAGTTGTTTAACCTCTCTGGACCTGTCTCTATCTGTGAAAAGGGCCAACATGGTCTATCTAAAAGCCTTGTTGTGGGGATCTCATTAAGATATTTCATGTGAATATGTGCTGAGTGGCCTCACGTAGGAAGTGCTCACTGAGTTCTCCCGAGCCCCCCTCCTCTTCATTGCTACTGCCCGTCTGCGTGTCCTCCAGCTTCCTCCCACACTTTCTCTCAATGCACTTTTTTGGGGGTGAGGGAGGCCATTTCTGAGTCACTCGCTCCTGGACTTGATGAATTCTATTCATGTGGCGGGGGCAGCAGGGCCCAGTATGAGCCGGCAGCTCCCCAGCCCTGCCCACTGTACCACTGAAGTGTGTCCACGCCGTGATGCCCCTGGCTGCCTCCCAGCCTTCCCTCGAGCGAGCTGGGAGGACAAGGATTGGACTCTGAGGATCAGCCTGAGACTTAAGATGGAGGCTGTGTTCCCGAGAGCCCAGGGTGGGCATGCCAGGAAGTACTCTGGCTCCACGGAATGCTGCGCTGCCCCGGGGCTGGCGGACCAGCACTTCCTTGTCTTCCTGGGTCTCACAGTCGCAGCCTGGGCTGGGCTGTTTCTGCCTTGCTGCACCCTGCCCCAACAGCGGCAGGCGCCTGGCAGCCCTGGAGGCCTTCCCAAGGCTCTGCGTCCTCCCCAACCACCCACAACATTAAGGCCAGAGCCAGGCCTGAGGGCACAGGGTGGGCTGCTGAGCCGCCAGGCGTGCCAGACCTCAGAGCAGGCTGCCCCGGCCCGTCAGGCCAGGAGTCCTGCCACGGCTCCTCCCACGCTTCCCAGAAAAGACAGCACAGGGGCTGGCTTTGGCCTCTGTCTGGGGAAGCAGAGGCCTCTGCAACCCAACTCCTTTTCTGGTTTCATGCATCTTGTCTTTTCTCTCTCCAGGCCTGCACTTGTATGCATTTCTCCACCAGAAAGTCCTTTTCCTCTGCCTAGCCCAACCCCATCTTTCTCTCCTCCGCAAAGCCCCACTCCCAGCCTTTGCCTTTTCCATGCCGTCGTATGTTTGTTGGTTCCTGCATTTATTCCTCAGTCACCAGTTTATTGAGCGTGTACTATGTGCCAGTGAGTGTAGCCCTAAGTGGTGGACATACAAAGATGAAAAAGGTGCAGTCACCCCATCCGGTCCCGTGACATCATGATTATATAGCTTCATTTATTGAGGTCTCTTATATGCCAAGCTCACACCCACCACTTACATACATTCTTATACCAGCCCTGGGGTGTTGTAGGTATTACTATCCCTTTTTACAGATAGGTAAACTGAGACAGAGAAAGATGAAATGACTTACCTGCCTCAGGTCCCACTGCTAGTAAGTGACACTGGAGGTGGAACTCATGGGTGGGCCTGAAAGAACAGGTGTGAACTGAGCGGAGGAGGGAGGCATCCCAGGCACAGGGACCAGCACTGCAAAGGCCCCATGGCTGGAAGGCTCACGGAGGATCTGATGGGCAGCAAACTGGACTCTCGGGGTTGAACTTGGGTTTTTGGGGGAGAGGGGAAGTGAGGTTATGGAGGCCAAGGCTGCTGTGGGAAGGAGATGACACTTTCTCAGACACGTTGGTCATAGAGAGGAGCTGGTGTGGCACACATGAGAAAGCCTGTGCTCTCGAAAGATGAAAGAGCCTAGGAGATGGACTGGAGTGACGAAGACCCCAGGCAGGGGCTGGGGTGGGGTGTCTGGCATCCTGGGCCAGGTGACAGGTATGAAGGCGATGACAGTGAGTCCAGGACATCCGCCTCACCCTCCATCCTGCCCTGAGCTATGCTGCTTAGTCCTGCAGCCTGTGGGCAGGTGTCGGGGTCTCCCTGTCCTGAGCCCTTATGGTCTGGCTGGGCCCACACCTGCATGTACCATGGGGTTTCAGAAAGATGGTGCTTAGGGCTGGGGTGGGAATGAGGCCTTCCTACACTTCATTTATTCATGGAGTATGTATTCTTCTACGAGCAACTGCCACAGCATCCTATCCCTTTTCTCCTCTGCAGTGTGTGTGTATGAGTGTGTAAATGTGTGTGTATGTGTGTGTGTGTGTGTATGTCTCTGATGCTTTACCTCTCTCCCTCTTTCTCATGGGCCAGTTACCTGGGATGACTGGGCAGTGGTACTTTAAGCAGCGACGCTGGAGCTCTGCAACCTCAGGTGACGCTGAGGATTAGGGGTGTGAGGTGCAGTTGTGGGGAAAGATGACATCCCTCACTCTCTGATGTTCCTCCAGTTCTGCCCCCTCCTCCCACAAGCCACTGCAGCATCATGTACTTTTTCTGTGTTTTTATTTTTTTCTTTCAAAGGTGGGCCTTAATGTCCTGGTTCAGAAAGCCAACAAGTTCACCCCAGCCACCCGCCTTCTCATCCAGAGGTTTGTGCCGTTCCCTGCTGTAGGTAAGACCTGCACACCACATAGATGTGTGCTGTGGGTGGGTGTGGGGGACCGCTGGGCTCCCAGGGAGACAGATGACCCTTCCACACCTCTCCTGATGCCCAGGGGGCACCCAGCTGGGAGAATTGGTGTAATATGTTTAGCTAAAAGACAAGACCATGGGGTCCCACTGACCAGCTCTGTGCTGAGATTCTGCTTTCAGCATAGGGGTTCTTAGGCTGCAGTCCCAGACCCCCAAGGGGTCAGTAGACAGAATGCAGCGGATCCTGTGAGCTTGGTCAGGGAAAAGATTTACATTAACCTCTAACTGCATTTTAACATTTCCTTCCGTTACGAATGCAGGCAGCAAACCACAGTCAGAAGCAGGACCTGTGACTTTGTCACCAGTAGAAATCACAGATGTTTTCATGGCACATTACAGTTGTTACAGAGGTCTTAAAATATTATTTATGCTCAACACTAATTCATATTTTCTTTCTTTTTTCTTTTTCTTTGTTTTTCTTTGAGTCAGAGTTTCACTCTTGTCACTCAGGCTGGAGTATGGTGGTGCAATCTCGGCTCACTGCAACCTCCACCTCCCAGCTTCAAGCAATTCTCCTGCCTCAGGCTCCCAAGTAGCTGGGATTACAGGCATGCGCCACCATGCCCATCTAATTTTGCATTTTTAGTAGAGATGGGGTTTCACCATGTTGGCCAGGCTGGTCTCGAACTCCTAACCTCATGATCCACCTGCCTCACCCTCCCAAAGTGCTGGGATTACAGACGTGAGCCACCATGCCCGGTCACTAATTCATATTTAATACATCAACTGATAGATCTTGTTTTTAATTCATTAGTTAAAAAGCACATCTAGGCTGGGTGTGGTAGCTCATGCCTGTAATCCCAGCACTTTGGGAGGCCGAGGTAGGCGGATCATGAGGTCAGGAGATCAAGACCATCCTTGCCAACATGGTGAAACCCCATCTCTACTAAACATAGAAAAATTAGCTGGGTGTGGTGGTGCATGCCTGTAATCCCAGCTACTCAGGCCGAGGCAGGAGAATGGCTTGAACCAGGGAGTTGGAGGTTGCAGTGAGCCAAGATCACGCACTCCAGCCTGGTGACAGAGTGAGACTCCGTCTCAAAAACAAAACAAAACAAAAAAAACCCCAAAAAACATCTATTACTATATCACAATATTTTGGTAATTTCAGGATGATCCCTTTGTGATCCTATGTGTTTTGTTTTATGCATTTAGAAACATTATTCTGAGAGGGGTCCATAGGCCTCACTAGACTACCAGAGTGGTTCGTGGTACAAAAGAAGCCTGCAAGCTTCTGCTAGTCTAGGTTTCAAGCCTTTGGGTATTGTGAGCCTCTAGGTTTCAGAGGCCTTGGCTCTACGCAGGTGATTGTGGGCGCACAGGTATATGTGGAGGGGATTTCAGCTGCGTCTTTGCTGAACTTGGAGTCTATGAGCTCACCATAGATGCCCCAGGCTGGGGCCCTGGAGATGCCACAAAACTCTGCTTGGCCCTTAAGAAGCCTACACCTTGTTTGGGGAGAAGGGCAAAATAGTGGAAGGAGTTTTTAAAACTAAAAAGAAATAAACAGTATTGAGAGCAGTGTAAGGCAGTGCATAGCTGTCAAAAGAGAAGGATAAACCAGTCCTTGAACCATAACAGCAGAGCTCCCCATCTGTGCCAAAGGACAACGATGGGGACAGGCCAGCACAGGGCATGAGGACTCGTGACCTCTGTGGTACCAAGGCACCATCTGAAGAGCTGGAGTCAGACCCAGGCTCATGGTCCTGACCCTGATCGTCATCTACAGGGCCCTGCTTCTCCATCTGTAAAAGGCGGGTACCAGTACCCACCTTCCTACAGCCCAGAGCTCTGGGAGGAGCAAGTGAGGCCACAAACCAGTTTCCACTGAGAGGAGGGTGCTTTGAAGCACCTGCAAAGCCCTGTGAGAGGGTGAGAGGTCATTGCTGGGCAGCCCCACCTCTGGATGACCCAGAGACTAATGAATTCCGAGAACCAGCCACCTGGCTCAGCCTCAGCCAGCCCAGATAATTGCTATAGCAACTCCACACTTTTAATGAACTTTCAGCTATTTCTGTCGTGGGCCATTAATGGAATAACCCTTTAGATCTGACTTCGTTAAGGGGCCTAATAAAGCAAACACGGCTGCCCAACTGGTGTTCCCGGCCATTCAGCTGCAGGGTCAGATGCAGCCTGAGAAGGGGCAGCGCTCTGCTGCACTGGGCTGGATCTGGGATTCGGCCAAGATGTAATCTGTCCCTAGCCAAGCTTTAGATAAGAACTTTGCCGGGGGCCCATTCCAGCCCTACTGGCCATCTTGCTGTGTCACCTTGAGGTGGTCTTAACCTCTCTGGGACTCTTTCAGGAGGAGAGTCCCTGCTTTGGGTCTGAGACTTTCTGACCTGCCCCTCTTCAGACTCCAGTGTAATTCCCCTCCCCTCTTCTTTTTGGGAATGAGGCTTCAGCCGCTCACACAGGTGCAGCCACTGTTGTCTTGAGATCCTGAACATCCCTCACGGGTTGCATAATGTGGTTTAAGCCCTGACAGTCCTTGCTTGCGGGATCCAGGGAGAGGCAGGCCCTTTGTGGCTTCTTCCTCTGGCCTGGCTGCTGAGTCCTGGCTGGGTACCTGCCTGCCTTCTGCCCCAGCCCCAGTCTCCCCTCCCACCCCCCCACAGGCTTCCATCTCTCTAGTCCCTATGTCCATCGCTCTCATCTGCAAGTGGACACTTGCGGACTGCCCTAGTCCATGCTGACACAGTTTTGAGATGATTAGGTGTGGCCCTTTCCCACCAGGGACTCAAAAGCCCCCTGGTCCTCTCAGGCCACCGTCCAGTCCCTGTACTTGGCCTCTCTTCACCTTATCCCCAGGTACCCCTGGCCAGAGTATCCCTAAGCTGCACCAGGTGCTGGCAGGGCCTAGGTCCTGCCCGGGGTTCACTGCAGGTCTCCGAGGTAGGCTAGGCCAGACCTGGCTGGGCCACTGTTAAAGGTGACCAAGAAGCTGGCTCAGGCTGTGCTTGACCTTGTGGAGGGTCCCCTGTCCCTTTAGGCTGCTTGCAGAGACAGGACTCACTGAGCAGTGACTGCACATGGGAAGGAGGTTGGGGAAAGTGGCAGTGATCATATTTAAGCTCTGTTGTTGGGATGTGAGTGGAGTGGAAGGGGGTCTTCAGGGTGATGGGGGTCCTGAAGAGGCTTGTGCCCTGTGGTCAGAGGCCGCATCCAGGCTCTCACACTTCTGAGCAGGTTGGGAACTCAAGCTCTGGGGAACAAGGAATCCCCAAGAGTCAGTTTCTTCTTCCCAAGGCTCTGCCAGCTCCTCTGCAGGCCCCAGCCTGAAGCCTGGGAGGTGGGCTACACACTGCCTAAGAGTGGCCTGAGACACACGCACCTGGACCCCACACCAAACTCCACCATTCCCACCCCATTCTACCCGCTGTCTCCTCATCTGGAAACGAGGCCTCTGACGAGACCCTCCTTCAGCCCCTTCCCACCAGGACCTCTGTGACTGCAGGCCTCCTTGAGGTTTGCAGAGCTCCTGGGGGCTGCACGGCTCCCCTCATATTCCCTAGCAAGCCTCTCTCCTCCCTCGGTTCTCCTCATTCTGTGCTGGGAGGGTCCGAAGGCAGAGCAAGCCATCACCCTCTTACAGAAGAATGAACAAAGTCAGACTTGCTAAAAGTGATACTGAGCTGGCCAGAGCCCAGGCCTCCCAGGCCTCCCAGGCCCAGCCCAGGGCTATTTCAAGCCCTGTGAGATAACCCCTCACCCATATAGCTGAGAAACTGAGCAGTGTGGCCTGGAGGCAGCCAAGGCTACGCGGTGTCCTCCCTGTTCTGCCTCCAAGTTCCCCCCTAGTTTTTCAGAGTGTGTGTGTGCACACGCCTGTGTCACGTGACTGATGCATGTGCAGGCACATGTGCTGAGTATGTGGGAAGCCCTGGGATGCTCACTGCAGCCATTTCTCTCCCCTTGGAGAGAGGTGGTTTCAGGGCCATGCTGTGTCCCTGGTCTAGAACAGCAATCGTGTGGGAGATCTCAGTTTCTATTTATACATGGAGATGTTAGGAAAGACAGTGAGCCCAGGAGCATGTGTGCTGGCATCGGAATCGATTGGGGACTGGTAATTAATTTGCTTAGACCTTAATTAATTCTCCAGTTCTTTCTTATTTGTGGACTGTCACGCCTAATTGTGTTCAGGAGCTCAAGCTCGGAGCGGGCCCTCCGTTAATTGACGTATGGTTGCTGCCAGGTGAAGTTAATGGTTTGGGAAGCTGGGCAAACAGTGTAATTAAAGGTCAGTAGAGGAGGCATTGGAAAAATACACACCCCCAGCTCTAGCCACCAGTCTCTGTGAGCAGAGTCTGTTCCAGGGGTTGCCGGCCCCACAGGCTTCTCAAGGGGCCTTGGAGGAGGGGTACCAGGAGCAGTTACCAGCAGGAAGGAGGGCCAAGTCCTGGGTCCCAGAGGTGGCAGTGGCCAGGGGAATAGACATCTCGTTGACAGCAATGGGTGGGGCAGGGGCCTTAGGGAGGTGGAGACAGAGGTGTTGTCTCAGCAAGCACATCTATAAAGCTGGCCCTCTGGACTCCGGGTAGGTGTGTGCATGGGGAGGGCAGGAAGCCCTGAAGGTCACCCCAGGCTGCCTGGCTGCATCCACTCAGAGCAGGGAACAGGCAGTGAGTGTCATGTGCTCATCAAGACCCCCAGCTAGGCCCTGAGCTCCTCATGAGGAAGGCCTGAGCTTTGGCATCAGCCAGCTGCTCCTTCCAAGGAGAACAAGCTTCCTGCAGGCACCGGAAATGCCAGCCTCAGCAGCTCCTTGCTGAGAAATGACTTCTTCCTGTGCCGTCCCCAGCAGTCTCCTATGTTAAATGTCAGGATTTATTTTATTGCCATGAAAAGATCTCGGTGTTAACCAATGAGTCCGTTGCCCAGGGTGTCCTGGCACTATTTGGGAGAAGGTCTTCTGTTCATTCACAGGTGTGGCAAACCTGTTCCCTGACGTCCATGCCCCCTTCTCCCCAAGGCCACACGGGTCTTCATGTCATTGAACCCCTCTTTGCTCCACTGCTCCCCCTTTGTGCTCAGTCCACCCTGCTTCCTCCGTCTAGGAGTGGCCATGGCAGTGCTGCCCAAGTCTGGAGGGCCTACCCCCAGGTCAGAGCACAGCTCCCCAGGCCTCATCCCCTGTGAGCAGGAGGCAGCAGTGTGCACCTGTGGCAGCTTGTCCTGGGCCCTGTGACATCAAGGTCCATCCATCAAGGTCAGTGGTGCTTCACGTGGCATTCATGCCCTTCAGGCACCTCTGGATGCCATGAGTCCCTTCTTTGACCTGGCCTGCTCTTGCCTCTCCTGTGCCCCACTGCAGCCCTGGAGAACGCTGCCGTCCTCCTCTCCTCCCTCTTGCCGGGCCCCAGGCCTTTGCATGTGGCCCTGATGTCTGGATACCTGCTCTTCCCACTACCTCAAGCACCCTCTGCCCTCCCTCGACTACCAGGCCTTTGTGACTCTGCTCAAACACCATCTCCTCTTGGAAGCCCTCGCTGGGAGTCCCAGCCAGGGTTAGATGGCAGCTACCTGTGTGTGCCGATGTCTATCTGGGGACTGCCCGTGTTGTTTCCAAGCCTGCCTCCCCCATTAGACATTGAGTGCCCCAAGGCAGGGACTGGATCTCATCTACCACCACACTCAGCCCCCTCGGTGCCTGGCACACAGTCAGTGCTCAATGTGGGTTTATTCAATGATCAAATGAGTGCTTTGGCACAAAAGGTTTGAGATGAGTCACTCGTGGCAGAACCTCACCCTGATGACAGTGGTGGCCAGATTCTGTAGCTACCTGGACATTTATTCTGGACCTTTTCCACTTTTTAAAGTTGTTTTGGAGTGCTCTGTTTTCTTGTTTACATTTTTACCATCACTGTGGTCCACTCTTAGTCAGCAGGCCTAGGGTGGATGACCAATGGGCCCACCCCTTTCCAGATCATCCTGGGCACATTATCCAACCCTTCCAGGCCATTATGGCCCCGTCTATAAAATGGATACTAGTATCTCTAAGCAAAGTTTTCATGGGGATTGAACATGTCAATTTCCCAGCGTAGCATGAGCACCTACTAAATGTTGATCCTCTTCCAGCTCCACTCTGTTCCTCCTGCCCCAATCAGGGGTGGCACATTCCTGCCATCAGGGAACTTGTTCTTTGGGGGTAAGAGGTGGTTAGATGTTCAAAATGGCACGCACACACACACACACACACACACACACACACAAAGTTCCAGTGATAAGGGCAATAAAGTTTTATAGAGGATGAAACCCATTCGATAATCTCTCTAAATCACCTTCCATCACCTCTACGATTTTAGGAATCTAATATGAACTGAATTATGTACGGAAATGGTGTTTGTTGAGAAAAGGGCGGGGATAATTAGATCATGTTATCAAAGGAATATGTGGGCGTGGTGCTGTGGATTTTGAGGAGCCATGGAAGGTTGGGCTGGGCTGGGTGCCAGAATTGGTGGCAGCCTCAGAACTGGCATGGGCCCCTGCTGTGTGTCAGGCCCCAAGAGGACACAGGCAGTGGGTCCAAGGCAGCCAGAGGAAAGTGTCTAGTGTCCCAGGGCTCTGTCTTCAGTTTCATTCCCTTCAGTTATTTTGATGCCTTGGATGGAGGAGGCCTGTGGCTCATATTCAAAAAACAGGGACACCAACCTGGCAGGGATTGTGAATTCATGGGCAAGAGCACCAGGATCTAAAAAGATCCATCGAGGTGGGCCGATGAGATCTCACAAGGTTTGATGTAAGCCTTGCTGTTCAAAAAATGTAGGTGCACAAGTGTGAGGGTGTCAAGACCTGACTTGGCTGAAGTTCTCAAGACAGAGACCCGGGGGTCTCGTGTGCCGTGTGCTCAGAATGGGTCCCTGGTGTGGTGTGTGCCTCTGATGATGCTCACTCAGATTTCAGCTGCATTACTAAAGATAGAACACCAAGAACAAAGGAGTCTGTTTAATTCTGGCTGTACACGTCAAGAGTAGCTCTGATAAGTGGTAACGCCATAAGAGTGACAGGATCTTCTGAAAAAAATGAGAGCCTGTTATTGGAATGAGCTGCCTGACTCCTGGATTTGAGGGAAATGTCTGATTAGTAGACAGGCCCCAGAAGCTGTGAGGGGCACTCGCACGCGACCAAGGCACCTGTTTCCAAGCAGCTTGCTCAGGATCTGGCATACCGTAGGTGCTCCATAAGTGCTTGTTGCGTAAATGGCCTTCCAGTTCTGGGGTTTTATAATTCCTGAAATCCAGAAGGTAGAGAAGCCCAGAGGCAGAGAAAGTGGGGAGGTGTAATGCAGAGGGAGGGAGGGGCTATGCAGGAGGGGAATGCAGGAGGGGGCAGGGGGCCTGGCTGGGCTGGCCTGGCCTGCTGGGGAACAGAGGAGGGCATGTTGTCGCTATGAGTGTTAGCTTGGGGTTTGAGCTTTATCTTTGGTTGATGAGGAACCATTGAAGAATCTCAAGCTAAGAGGCAGCTGTGATAAAAAGGGGCTTTTTAAAAAGATGGATGTGTTAGCAGGAATCACATTAAGAGATTCCAAACTTCCGAGTCAGCCTACACCTAGACTTACAGGCTGATTTTTCAATCCAGAAATTCCCGATCCTGAGTCGGTGACACTTCAATATGGGTTGTGAAACTCTCCCCAAATTCTCAAGCTACTTAAGAGAAAATTTGTGCTGCTTACTTAGCACTGCCTCTCAGGTGGAATAATGGGGATTTTTGTGAAATCAAGCAAATATGAGGGCATGCATCCTTATTTGATAATCATCACTGTCTTAAAGGCAGAGGGGTTGTATTCTGCTGTGATTCGAGTGTGAGAGAGAGAGTATGTGTGAGTGTGTAAAGGTGGTAATATGCCTACATGTATATACATAGACCTTCCCGGGCAGGGACATGAGAACCTGGCTATAGTGGTTGCCTCTGGGGAGGGGGTAAAGTTTAGGGTTGGGAAGGAGACTTACTTTTTATTATTTCCCCTTTTACACCATTTGAATCATTGACTGTGTTGCCCACAACGGTGGAAGGAAGGAAGAGAGGGAGGGAGGAGAGAAGAGAGAAGAGGGGAGGGGAGGCCAGCATTACCTCCCACTTCTTGCAGAAGAGGAAGTGGAATATGGAAGTACTTAGTCCAACATCAGTCTTGAGCCAGAATAGCAGCTGAAGTCTCATGCTTGCTACTAGAGTGCTTGTTTGTTCGTTTTAATGAAAATGGCTCTATTTCTTTCTGATAATACATAATAGAATAAGCAATCCTACTTCTCTCTCCCGAGTCATTTAGTATATATCCCTCCAAATTCAAGTTAACATCTAAAAGTATATGAATCTCTGCCTATTATATCTATATGTAGTGTATAAATATGTCTATATAAATGTAACTTAATACAAATGGGTTCATATATAGATATATATATACTATTCTGTAAACTGCTTTTTAACCTCACAGTCAATTTTAGATGTCTTTCCATGGCAGTCATAAAATTGTAACTTCTCCTTAATAGCCACAGTAGTTTGTTCCATGGCTATTTTTAAATGATTTCTTTATTTATTTATTTATAGACGGAGTCTTGCTCTGTCACCCAGGCTGGAGTGCAGTGGCATGATCTCGGCTCACTGCAACCTCCGCCTCCTGGGTTCAAGCAATTCTTCTGTCTTGGCCTCCCAAGTAGCTGGGATTACAGGTGCATGCCACCATGCCTGGCTAATTTTTGTGTTTTTAGTAGAGACAGGGTTTCGCCATGTTGACCAGGCTGGTCTTGAACTCCTGACCTCAGGTGATCCACCCGCCTTGGCCTCTCAAAGTGCTGGGATTACAGGCATGAGCCACTGCACTCGGCCTGTTTTTTTAATTATGAAATTTTTCTATTAACATAGAAAATTGAAGAAATAGAGAAAGAGAACGTTAGATACACTCAAAGCCCTCTGCCTTCTTGATTCTGGTTTCTTTCTCTCCCCACAGAAGGCACCGACCTGGAGTTAGTGTATGCTTACCATTTAGGTTTTATATTTTAGCATATGTGCATGTACCATAAGCCATCAATTGTATTGTTCATGAATTTTTCAAAATTTATATTAACTGTACCATACTGTACATATCCTTTTGAAACTTGCCTTTCATTGTGGTTTTGAAATTTATTTATGTTAATACATATACATTCATTTCAGCTGCCATAGGCATTCGTACTGTGTGGCTATCCACAGGTGATTAATTGGGGACATTTAGGTTGTTTTCAGTCTCTCATTATTATACAGTCCTGCTCTAAACAACCTTGTGCTCTAAACAGCTCATGTGCACATGAGTAAGAGTTTCTCCTGGGCAAAAGTTTTCAAACCTTCATCTGTATTATAATCACCTGGGGAATTTAAAAAAAAAACAGATCTGGGCCCTACCTCAGCTTTGGTTTCACTTGTGCTGGGAATCGCCAGGCTAGCGTGTGTACCCAGACATGGAATGGACACATTAGAGGGTACATACGTTTCTAGCTTTATTAAATATTGCCAGGTGGGCATACGGGCATTTACCCAACCTGCAGGGTCTGAATTTTTGTTTCCCTACATCCTCTTCAATATTTGATATTATCAATCTCTTAAAATTTTTGTTCATCTGGGCCGGGCGTGGTGGCTCACACCTGTAATCCCAGCACTTTGAGAGGCTGAGGCGAGTGGATCACCTGAGGTCAGGAGTTCAAGACCAGCTTAGCCAACATGGTGAAAACCCATCTCTACTAAAAATACAAAAATTAGCTGGGCATGGTGGTGGGCGCCTGTAATTGCAGCTACTTGGGAGGCTGAGGCAGGAGAATCGCTTGAACCCGGGAGGCAGAGGTTGCAGTGAGCCGAGATTGTGCCACTGCACTCCAGCCTGGGTGTCAGAGTGAGACTCCATCTCAAAAAAAAAAAAAAAGAAAGAAAAAGAAAAATGCGTTCATCTGAACTGGTTTATTTCTCATTTTAATTTGCATTTTTCCAATTCCCAGTATAGTTGGGAACCTTTTCTTAACTTTATTGGACATTTGGGTTTCCAAACAGAAGAGAGAGCAAGAGGATATCCTTATTTCATACCATCCACAAAAAAAAATTCTAGATAGATTGAAGGCCTAAATGTGATAAGTAAAAAATTAAAACCTTTGGAAGAAAATATAGATGAACACTGGAGTAGGGTTAGAGTTTCTTTTTTTTTTTTTTCCTTATTCTTTCTTTCTTTTTTTTTTTTTTCTGAGGCAGAGTCTCTCTCTGTTGCCCAGGCTGGAGTGCAGTGGTGCAATCTTGGCTCACTGCAGTCTCCGCCTCCTGGTTCAAGTGATTCTCTTGCCTCAGCCTCCTGAGTAGCTAGGACTACAGGCGTGTGCCACCATGCCCGACTAATTTTTGTATTTTAGTAGAGATGGGGTTTCTCCATGTTGGGCAGGTTGATCTCAAACTCCTGACCTCAAGTGATCCACTCACATCGGCCTCCCAAAGTGCTGGGATTACAGGAGTGAGGCACCACACCCCACCTAGAGTTTCTTAACAACACAAAATGTATATACCAGGAAGGATTCTTTATCTGACTATATATTAAACTATATGACAGAAGGCACCATGTTGTGAGAAAAACAAGTCACAGGCTGGGAATAGCTGTTTGTAAACCCTTTAACCAATGAGGTTTAGCCTCCAAAACCTATAAAGAACTCCTGCAGATTTTTTTTTCCTCAGATCTAGAAACCTAACCCTGATTATTAGTGAGATTGAGTTCATGTTTATTAGTTTTTCAGCCTTTTATGAATTGCCTACTCATATGTTTTTCTATGATTTTGATCACCATATCTTTTTCTTAATAATTGTTAAAGCTCTTATACATCGTATGGATTTTTTGGCTGAAATTAGCAGAAACCCTCAACACAAACTGTTGAGGGTTTAAATAATAAGGGAGTCTATTACTTTACAAAGGGCGAGTCTCAGGCGGGGCATCCAGGGTGCTTCCCGCAGTGTTGCTCTGCTGGCCTCCTGGTGGGCTTCATCTCAGGCTTGTGGAAGATGGCGGCAGCAGCTCCAAGCATCACGTCTGGACCCAGTGTCCAGAGGACAAGAGGCTCTGCCTGCCTCTCAACCCTTCTTAGATGGGAGGAGACCTTCCCCAGAAGTCCCCAGCAGACATTCCTGGTTGTCTGGAATCGGGTCACATGCCTCTTCCTAGACCAGTCACTGCCCGTGGGAGGATTATTACTATTAGTTTGGATTAATCTCGGGCGGGGGTAGAATAGCTCTTAGGAGTCAGTCACCATGACCCTCCATAACTTAAGATTAGTAGCCCTTTGTTTATCATATGTAATAAATATCACTTTCCAGGTCCCCATATCTTATAGTATGGTTTCTAAATCGATCTTGAATGCTGTGTTTCTAAGATGCCTGAGTTATAAGAGGTATTAACATAATAGCCTTTTAGAAGAGAACTATAATTAGTGTCCATTGGAAGGAATAAGCAAGTATTCACTTACACATTCAATACCAGTCACTTTCTTTAGTACCACAGAGTTGGAGTCTAAGCCTCCTTCACATTTTCTTGTTCTTTTTTGGGCATTGGTTGTTAAACACAGCATCGTGGCCACCACTGCTTTTTGTAGTCCTGCTTCTAATCTCCACTCCTTTAGCCTGTTTAAGATGAATAGTATAATTTCAAAGCATATAAAAGAATATTGGGAATTTTTGTTTGCATTTCTGATTTGGTTATACTTAGGTCTCATATTTGTTCTTTACTTGAAGAAAAAAAATATTCCTGAAATTAATCAGCTTCTTTAGGAAGCCGACATGTTGTAGGTACCTAAGTGTGGGACCCATGACTAGGTTACGTCAATCCCTGCTGGCTTTAAAATGTGTGTGATCTTCTTCAAGAAGTTTGGCAGTTTTTTTTTTTACTTTTTGGGTAAATGAAACATGATTATATTCTCACTGTAAAAATTTAAATATTATAGAAAATTCTGGTGTAAAAAAGTGGAAGTCTTTCAACAACCCCTAATTCTCAAATTGAATTCCTTTCCCCAAGCAGACCACTCTGTGAGCTGTGAACCTTCCAAAACATTACCTGTGGATTTATGCACACATATATGTGCATATGCCAATTACAGGGTTTTACATACAGTAAATCATCATGTACATACTCAGTAGCTTTTTTCACATAACAGTTTGTTTTGGAGATCTTCCCATGTGAGTTCCCTAATGGTGGACATTTAGGTTGTTTCTAATTATTTGCTCTTACAAACAGTGCTATAATTAACATCCTTGTAAATGTCTCTTTGTGCATATGGGCAAGCATTTCTTTAGGGTAGCTATCTATGGTTTGGCAATTTCTACTGTCTTTAATTGCATTGCCTGGTATCTGGCAGACGATCTTCTGCATGTACAATAACTTTTCATGTCCGTGCTCCATTATAGTGTAAGTTTTAGAAAGATGTTTTAGGCAACAATTAGGAATCTAAGTTTAAGTTCAAATTCTGTATGGATTGCTGTGGTCAGCTGAGGTGACACTTGAATGAATGGATACCTGTACACATGGCTGCATTCACACATGTACAGGCAATTGTGTTGAGTAGCAGGTAAGATTCCCTTCTCTGACGACTTTCATTGTAAGGCACATTATGATTTTTAAAACATTAAAATATGGGAAGGTGCATCGTAGAATTGAGGAGTTATGGTAGTTTATTTTCCCCAAATCAGTAGCCCATTGCTGCATGTCTGTGTTTAAATGGTCCTTTCCCTGTGAGTTGATAGAACTGCTTTACTACCAATTAATTTCCCTGACAGATGGGTGAGTTGCAGGACTAGTGTACTGCATTGATCTGCTTGTCTATTCCTGCCCTAGTTCAGGGGCAGGCTCCCCCATGATCTTCTTTTGGAGAACTTTCTTGCACATTTGTCTTTCTGTCTACTGCTCTTTCTTCCTCCCCACACTGCCCCTTTTACACCGGGTGCTTCATTAGCTTTTCACAATCTGCATGATTTTGCATCGCAATGGGTCGGATGTGAGAACATCTGCAGCAGGCAAGAGCAAATTCTCTTCAGGACTTAACACTGAGCTTGCCATCATCAAGAAGCAAAGTCTTTCTCTCTCCTTCTCTTTCTCTCTCTCATTCCTTGACATCTCCCACATTGCTGCTCAAACATCAGTTATGCCTGAGTCTTGAATGGTGTCAATCTGAGTTGAAAATGTGCCAGCTTTCTTAACATCATCACTAACAGGCTGCTTAATTAACCTGCTGATACCATCAATAATAGATCTTGCTGGTGTGTTGGAGAGGAGACCTGTGCCCCAGGGTTGTGCATGTTCTTGTTCTCTCTGTCTCTGTTTTTTTTTTTTTCTCTCTCTCTCTCTATCATTTGCTTAGGCTCTCAGTGTCCCTGTCACAGGAGCCGGACTTGCCAGGAGTGGGATGGGAAGGATCAGGGACAGTTTGAAAAGGATATGGCAGAATTGAAAGTTTGGGATGAGCTCATGGAAATGAAATCACTGTAACAGGCTGGCATTCCCACTGCCCAAGGGCATGGATGGCTGGTAGCCTCTGCATACGGCAGGTGCTCAATAAAGGCCAACCAATGTACACAGTCAACAGAAGAGATTGCAGGTCATGTGCCATCTGTGTAGGCTGTAAGAATTGCCGGTTTCAAGGGAGGAGCCTGGGGAGGGGGCAGGTACCATCATTCTGAGATGACTTTTAGGGTTTTCTCTGTTTTTTTTCCATTCAGGCAGCTTCAGAATTGTCCTGGAGGGGCTGGATGAGGGGAAGGAGGCTGGGTTTTCACTTCCTTTCATGCTTCATCTTTCATCTCAGTGGTTTTGTGTTTGAACCAAAGCTGTCCTGCTCGCCGCATGTTTAATGTTTGGAGATTACAGGGAGAGAGTGAGATGCCACCGTGAGTCAGGGCTGGTCCACTACCACCTCCAGATCCACACTCTCTCTTCTGTTTGTCTCCCCTATGCATACACACACAAAATGGGGGCTGGAGACATTTCAGCTGTCCCCACTTTCCCCTGACTTGGCATGGGCACAGGTGCAGAGGCTGACATTTTGTGTGAGCTCAGCCAGCACCCAGAAATCCCATGGAGACCCTACATTCTGCCCCTCCTTTTATGCCCGGAGAAGCCAAGGTGGGGTTGGGTGGCAATGGCTCAAGTCCCCAGAGTGAGCTGGTAGCTCCTGACTTTAGCAGGATGCTCGTCTCCTGGACCACATTCCTGTAACTTTGCCTTTCTGGGAGTGGCGGTGGTGGTGGTATGGTGGACAGCGTCATCAGAGGGCTAGGATTGATGCCTTTCAGGGCAGAAAACCCCACTGTCCTCTCAACGGTTTTCTTAGGTCTCCTGGGAACCGAAAGCCTGGCAGCTCCAAGGGCATGGGGGATGCATAGCCTCCCTAAGGCCACTAGAGGGCATGTCACTAACACAGAGGCCAGGTGGCTGCTTCCCAAGGCTACCCTGGGGGACCCTTCTGGGCCCTGAGCCCTGGGCGCCTGGGGCTGAGGCGGGAGAGATATGGAGCCAGAATTGGAACCCAAGCCCGATGGCCCCAAACCCAGGCTCCCATCCCCTCCTGGTCATGCCCTGCTAACCAGATCTCCTTTACCTTGGATTCAGCTTCCTAATTCTGTCTGTCACTGACTGTGGTGAAAACAAGGGTTTCTCAGTGTCAGCAATGTTGACATATTTGGGGGCCAGATGATCCTTTGGTGGGGGGACTGTCCTGTGCCTTGCGAGATGTTTAGCAGCACCTCTGGCCTCTATCCACCAGATGCCTGCAGCAACCCCTGACCCCTAGATCACAATCACTGAAAATGCCCTCAAACATGGCCAAATGCCCCACAGAACCGCCCCTGGCAGAGAGCGGCTGTTTAGGGCAGGTGAGCATGCCTGTTGTGGGGCAGGAGAGCCCGGGACACAGAGGGACTGCCCATGGTTTCCACTGCACTGAGCGTCGGTGGAAGCAGGAGAGATGCTCGAAGATGGTGTGTGTGCTCTAAATACATTTTAGAACTGTATTTGGCCTCCTGCTTTTCTTCTCCAAAGACTGCAGAGTCTCTCGGTCTTCCCCTGTTTATTCCACCTCCCCATTTTAATGAAACAGGCGACTGAGGCCCCAGGGGTCTCAAGCCACACCTCACCCACAGAACCCTGTGCCCCAGCTGTGAGCACCCTGGACCACTCGTTGGCTCAGGCCCCAGGAGCATCTGTGGTCTCCCTCCCACTCCGCCTGCCCACTAGGCCCCGCCACCCTCCAGCTCCCCAAACCCTGGTGGCCCCCCCCACTGGAAGGAGGGGGAAGCAGCAGGTGTTGATGCTAATCAGCGTTCACAGCCCAGAACTGCAGTCGCTCCCAGGCTCACACACTCCCCAAAATTAAACACTCATTATACAAAATTAATTGACATTAATTAGCAAAAATTAAAACTTTAAACACAGCAAGGCGCTTTGGGGGGAGGAGTGAAGCAGGCAGACTCTGCATTTGTCACCCCCCACTCCCCACCTGCCCACCCCTCCCAGGTCCCCCCACTTCCATCCTGCAGCGGGGCTGGGAGAGTTCAGGCGGGGTCAACACCCACACTGCACTGGGCCACGGGGCCTGGCCCAGTCATGTGAGTCCCAGGATGGGGGAGCAGAAAGAGGATCCCTGAGCTAGTTGCCAGCTAATGGGTGGCCCCAGACTTCAACAACCAGTGCTTCACTAAGGAGCCGGGAACCCTCCCCTTAGCCCAGGTTCCCAAGATCTCAGATGGCAGAGGGGCCTAGCCAAAGGCAGGCACTCAGCCATAGGAAGCAAGAATGGAGAAGGTCTGCCCTTAACTCAGCCCGCTGCTCCTGCCCCAACCCTCTTGCCCCCTGAGTATTCAGAGGCAGAGGCACTGTAGCCTTTCTGCTCTGTCCCACTCTGCTGTGTGACCTCAGATAAGTCACTCCTCTTCTCTGAGCCTCAGTCTTCCATCCATATGATGAGGGGGTGGTGCTGGGTGAACACTGAGGTTTCTGCCTCTCTGGCACCTGCTGTCAGGGAGGCAAATTTCTGGGAACTTGATTTGCTCAGAGACAGGAGGGGCTGGATGTTGGACCGACAGTTTAAGAGGATAGGGCAGCGCAAGGGCCCCAGTGATGGTGGAACATCAGGCCTCGGGGTCAGGGGGGATGCGACTTCAGGTCAGAGAGCCCTCCCAGATGGACACCCACTTTGCCTGCCTAGTGGGCTTGCCCTGGAGGAGAGGAAAGCAGCCCCTCGGTAAGTGGCCGCTCTCTGAGGCCAGAACGGGTGTCCTCCCTGATACCTGTTCTTTTCCACTTTCACTTACCAGGTTCCCAAGGGCCCCCAGATCCCTCACCAGGCTGATAGGCAGATGGACAACAGAACCACCCCTTCCCTAACCTTTGCCCATGCATTTGAACACAGAACCCCAAGGCTTGCGTAGGAAGGAGTGTAGTGACCTCCCTCCAGGTGGAATGCCATCTTCCTCCTCATCCTGCTCTCTGCATCCCCTCTCTCTGCAGCCAGTGCCAATATCTGCAATGTGGTCCTGATGCGGTACGGGGAGCTGGAGGAAGGGATTGATGTCCTGGACAGCGATGGCAACCTCGTGGGCTCCTCCAAGATCGCAGCCCGACACGTGGGTCTGGGGGTTCGCAGGGTTGGGGAGGCCAGCAACAGGGGAGGGGAGTGGTTTTCCTTTAGCGTGTGTCTTCCACAGGCTTCTATCCAGGGTACCCTTATTTTGGCATCTTGATGTCTCCTCCTCACCCCACCCCCACCTCCAATCTGCATGAGTCTGGGCCTCTGGCCTCCCGCATGTTCCCCTGGACATGGTCTCACTGCTGTGAAAAGTTCCTGTCTCTTATCGCAGCCCCTCAGGACCCAGCTTCTTGCTTGTCTCACCCAGAGGAGGTGTTAATTGGTGAGGGCAGAGGAGACTCCCTCAGAGCTCTCTTCCCCTTGCCTCTGCCCGGGCCCTACCTCCCGGGCCTTCACATCCTCTTGGGTAAGCCGAGGAAGCCTGGGAGGCCAGTGGTTTGTGGTTCTGGGTTAATAGGCACTTCTGCAGGTGAGAGCTCACCAGGGAGTGAGTGCCGTGAGGTCAAGGGATTTGAGGCTTGCAGAGGTTTGGAGAATATTTTGTTACAAGACCTTCTTTCGCCACTGGTTTCATAGGCTCAGCCACTCTAGCAATTGCAGTTTAAAAAATGAAAACACAGGCTGGTCACAGTAGCTCACGCCTGTAATTCTAGCACTTTGGGAGGCCAAAGTGGGTGGATCGCCTGAGTTCAGGAGTTCGAGACCAGCCTGGCCAACATGGCAAAACCCCGTCTCTACTAAAAATGCAAAAATTAGCCAGGCGTGGTGGCGGGCACCTAAAATCCCAGCTACTCAGGAGGCATAGGCAGGAGAATTGCTTGAACCCGGGGGGTAGAAGTTGCAGTGAGCCGAGATCACATCACTGCACTCCAGCCTGGGTGAAACAGCGAAACTCCGTCTCAAAAAAAAAAAACGCAGTCCATGAGTCCATGTGTACATCTCCCTCTGCTTTCCCAGCCTTTGTCCTGATGGTGGTTAGTGGCTCGTCTTGCTGCCCCCTGGTCTCTGGCCTCTGTGCTGGGCATGGGGTAGGATGGGTGCTAGGGGGGAGCCGTGAAGTAGTGGAGCATGCATCCCTGCTCCAGCCACTGTCCTTATCAGCTCCCACCAGGGCCCCCAAGCCTTACCCCAGTCATGAGGTCTTCTCAATCAGACTTTAGTCTGGGAAGAGCTCTCTCCAAGTCAGTGCCCCTCCAAGGTTTTTAGGGCAAGGGGCTGGGGGTGTCATGCCGACATTGCATCCTCTGCTCCCTGCACTGGCACTGGACCCTCCTGTCATTCCCATACCTGTTCCAGAGACTGGAGGGGCCTCTCCCAGGCCTTCCTGAGGCTGACCATGAAGAGCCCAGGTTCCTGGGAGAAATGTTCAGCCCTGAGCCCATCATGAGAGGGGATTTAGTCTCAGTTTCCTACCTGTCCCCAACCTCCCATTCCAGCCCTGTTCTTTTCCCCAGCCCCCCTGAGGGAGGACAGCCATGCCATGATAACTCCTGTCAGTGTCACACAGCAAGGAAACCCAAGTGGCCCCTGGCTTCCTTCAGCCTGGCTTGCTTAGGTCTTTGCTGTCCGGGGAAGGACTCCAGGCATCTGTGGGCTGTGAGCTGCTCCTGGAGCCTCCTCTGAGGGCTGAAGCTCGTGGGGCTAAAGGAACTTACCACAGTGGCTGTCGGAGCTCAGAATTGCCACTGAGCTGTGTTCTGGCAAGGACACTCCCACCCCAGGAATCCCTTGGGAGGCCCTGGAGCAAGGCCCCAAGCAGACCCCGAGGGAAACCCTGCAGACACCCAGCTGAAGCATGCTTCCCTTACAGAACCAACTTCTTGTCACTGAGAAAGACTCATCCAGAGCCAAGAGACACAAGATCTTGCAAATCTTTGTCTTTAAGAGATGTTAAAAAAAAAAAAAAAAAGTAGGCCGGGCACGGTGTCTCACACCTGTAATCCCAGCATTTTGGAGGCTGAGGGGGGTGGATCACCTGACGTCAGGAGTTTGAGACCAGCCTGGCCAACATGGCAAAACCCCATCTCTACTAAAAAATGCAAAAATTAGCTGGGTGTGGTGGGGCATGCCTGTAATCCCAGCTACTCGAGAGGCTGAGGCTGGAGAATTGCTTGAACCCAGGAGGTGGAGGTTGCAGTGAGCTGAGATCATGCCACTGCACTCCAGCCTGGGCAACAGAGCAAGACCTCCATCTAAAAAACAAACAAACAAAAAAAACACCAACAACAAAAAAAAGTAAATTCCAGAAGCTCGGTCCTCCTTTGGCTCCATGAGCCCCACTGGCTCAACAGGCCCTAGCTGACTATGCTGGCCTTGCTTTTAGAGCTGCTCCCCAGCCCCTGTGCACACTGAGTATGGGAGGTTGTGCCCACCACCCCCGAGGTAGTCAGCCACCTCCCTGAGCACTGCCCCTTCCTGGGGCTGCCTGAGTGTTCCCCACGTGTGGCAGGTGATGGGAATCTGCTCTTCTCAAATGTGTGTGGTAAGAAGAACACTGGAAGCCAGGCACGGTGGTTCACACCTGTAATCCCAGTACTTTGGGATGCTGAGGCGGGCGGATCACCTGAGGTCAGGAGTTCGAGACCAGCCTGGCCAACATGGCGAAACCCCATCCCATCCCTACTAAAAATACAAAAATTAGCCAGGTATGGTGGTGCGCACCTGTAATCCCAGCTACTCGGGAGGCTGAGACAGGAGAATCATTTGAACCTGGGAGGCAGAGGTTGAAGTGAGCTGAGATCACACCACTGCACTCCAGCCTGGGGGACAGAGCAAGACTCTGTCTCAAAAAAAAGAAAGAAAGAAAGAGAGAGAGAGGAAAGAAAGAAAGAGAGAGGAAAGAAAAAAGGAAGGAAAGAAAGAGGGAGGGAGGGAAGGAGGAAGGAAGGAAGGAAGGAAAAAGGAGACCAGTGGCTTTTTTTGTTGTTTGGAATGCAGCTTCCTGAGCAATCCCATGAATAAGGCCATTCAGACACACATGCGTTGTGGTGGCACACACCTAGGGCTCTGGGTGGTGTGCTGTCCTGTCACCAGCTGTCAGGCCCCTCTCACACAGCTTCTGCCTGCCCCTCAGGCCCTGCTGGAGACGGCGCTGACGCGAGTGGTCCTGCCCATGCCCATCCTGGTGCTACCCCCGATCGTCATGTCCATGCTGGAGAAGTGAGTTGGGGCAGCCAGGATGGAGAGGCCACCATGGGGGAGGAGGGGGAGAGGGAGGGGGAACCGGCTGGCCCAGGCAAGAGATGAGGGGGTGGCAGGAAGCCCACCCCAGTTTGTGTAGAGGGTGGAAGGTGTCTTGCTCCATCTTGGACTTTCCAGGTAGTGCCACAGAATCACTCTGTGAGAATTCTTGGACTTTTACTATGCAGGACCCTGGGCTAGGTGCCACGAGGGATACCAGGATAACAGTGCTGGCCCTCCCCTGAGGAGCTGGCAGTTGTGTGTGTGTGTGTGTGTGTGTGTGTGTGTGTGTGTGTGTGTGTGTTTTCATGTGTGCTCACATGCTCTCAGTGAATAGTATGTACAGGACCATTTGTGAAGGCAGAGTCTGAGGATTCAGGTAGGAAGACTAGATTTGGGTAGGCATCTGCTGTGGGGCAAATCACCACCTTACTGAGCCTCAGTTTCTCTGCTCGTAAAATACAAATAGTAATAGCCTCCTGCCTCCCTCAGAGGGATGTTCTAAGCACTCATATCTGTCATGACTGTGAAGAAATGAGGGAGCATAGTAACAGTAGTGGAGTGATTCTATTAATGAATGAGTGCGAAACTGAAGGGGCGGACTGAAACTCCGCTGGAAGGAAAGGCTGCGCAGAGAGGGCGGGCCCTGGGAGAAGGCAGGGGGCAGGGGAGGGTCCCCTAGGTGGAGGGGGCCTGGAGTTACAGACCCCTGGCTTGTCAGTTGACAGTGAGGAGACCCTACCCTATGGGGACACCTCAAGACAGCAGCTGGAATTGGGGGCGTGTGGTATAAGGACAGGGATGGGGTTACTCCATCTGGGGTTCTGGGGCAAAGGATTCTTCCCTGTTTGGGGACTTTCTTATTCCCGCAGTATGAATTATAATAACAAGCGACATTTATTAAGCACTTGTGTATCCCAGTCCTCTCTCAGTCAGGCCTCTGCCCGAATGCCACCCCCTCAAAGAGGCCCTCCCTGACCACCCCATCAGAATTCACCATTTCTCATTATTTCCTCTCCCTTGAAGTCCTTTATTTTTCTTACGGCCCTTATCCATATCTGAGATTGTTCCTCTAGTTGTGTACTTTCTGTCTGCTCTACTAGAATGTCATCTCCATGAGGCACGTCCATCCTTTTGTTCACTGCCCTGCCCAGCATCTAGCACAGTTCCTGCCACACAATAGATGCTCAGTAAGTGTTTGTTGAAAGGATGAATGAGTGAGTGAATGCATTCTCTCATTTCACCTTCAGGACAGCATAATAAGGTAAGTATAATATCCTCATTCTACAGCTGAGGAGAGGAAGGCAAAGACAGGCTATGTCATCCACTTACGGTCATGTACTAGGAAATAGCAGAGCCAGCGGTGGCTCAGGAGTGCGGCTGCAAAGCTTAGTCTCTTCAAGCTACACTGGCTGCCTCTTGCATATTCAGGTCATAACCCTCAATCAGCCTGTGTTTGAGTCCTGCCCTGTGTGGAAATGGGAAGAGTAGATTTGGGGTCTGATCTCAGGAAGCCTGTGTGTTTATAAGGGTGGTGGGCAAGACCCGTACCCAGGTCAGCTGCAGGTGAGAGCAGGCAGTGTGTGAACTTGGCCAAGGTGACCTTGAGAAGAGGAAGCACTGTGGGCCTGGCAGCAAGAAGGGCTGGTACCCAGAGAGGGGCTGCGGCCGACCCAGAGAGCAGGATAGAATTTTTGTGGAAAGGCGGGCTTTCTGGGCAGGGTGCAGGCCTGTGGTATAGACACTGAGGTGTCCAGCCTGGTCAAAGTGAAGTGCGCTCATGGGTCCAGCTGATGAGGGGTCCTGTGTGCCCAGCTGAGGTGAGCCCTCTCTCACCCTAGAAGAGGGCGGAGGCTCTGGGGGTACCTGAGCATGGGCATGGCATGGTGAGCACTGGGATTAAGAAAATGCGTATGGTATGGAAGTTTGCAACAGACAAAAATAAACAGGGCAGGCTCTTTTGTGCCCCTGACTCTCGTATACGTAGCCCCTTCGTGAACTGAGGTTGTCCCTGAATACCAGTGACTGCAAGTACACACAGGGAGCAAGCGGGGCAGGTGAGGAAGGTGGTTCTTCTGTCCTTGAGATTGCTGAGTCTTGAACCTTGGAATTCTGAAGCTGGTTCAGTGAGCAGTGCTTACTCTGTTACTTGTACCACAAGTCCAGTGAGGTAGAACACTCGCACAAGTCAAGCGAAGCAACTTTATTACTCACAGATAGGCCTCGGGGACAATGGACGCCTACCACTCAAGGCAAGCTGGTGCCCCATGGCTCGAGAAAGCTGCCCAGGGAGGATGGAGTCTCGTCCACCCACGTACCACATCACACTGCAACTGAGGGAGCCTGGGAGCGCTCCACCCTGGGGTTTCCACCCTGGGGGACATCAGCTTACTGTGCTAAAGTGTTGCAGGACATCCTGTTCCAGAAGAGGTAGGAACATGAGCCCAGGCTGTCTCAGACAGGCCCTCCTTATCTCAAGATGTTGCATTCCCAACACATCCTACAGCTATCCTGAGAACTACAAGAAGGCGGGGGGCGGGGTGTGAAGCTGGGTCAGCCATGCTCATCCAGGGACCTGTCCTGCAAGAATTTGCTGGGGAAAAACATGCTCTGTGATGCCTTCCCAGTTGGCAGAGATGTTTGCAGAAAGTGGAATGATGGTTAGTGTCCCATTAACTTGGGGGCTTAAACTTGGCTTTGGGAGTCATGGTGAAACAGGAAAAGTTTCCTTGTCCCCCTCAAAGGGAGTGCGATGGGGATGTGGCTTGCTTCTTCCGGGCTCTGCCGCTCAAACCTCTAGGGGAGCATACAGATGGGCAGGCTGTGGGGCTCCGACCCCACGGCAGTGTCTAGGGGTGAATGTTTATAGCTGATGCCCCAGTGGGTGTATGTTACAGGGTACTTTTTTAGTTTAGCCATCCATAGGTGGCTTGTATTAGTCAGCTCAGTTAGACCCCTGCCTTATCGCGAGGACAGAGGGCTTTCTGTATCCCGGGGTTCTTGCCTTGGTGTACTGGAAGAATCGGATCACACGTGGGCTTGGAGAATGAGTGCAAGGTTTCATTGAGTGGAAGTAGCTCTCAGCAGATAGGGGAGCCAGAAGGGAGATTGGTTTTCCTCTGGAGTCGGGCTGCTTGGTGGCCCAGGCTCTCCTCCGACTGCCCCAGCCAAACTCCGCATCATTCTGCCCGTGGGTGGCCTGCCGGCGTCTGTCAATGTGCCCTTCCGCCAGCGTGCTCCCCTCAACGTCCTCTTGCTGTCCAGCCGCTTGTGTGTTCCTCCACTGATGTGCTCCTCTGGATGTCCAGCTGCCTGTGTGTTTGCCTGCTAGGGTCTCAGGGATTTTTAGGTACAGGATCAGGGGGTGTGGCAGGCCAGGGTGGTCTTGGGAAATGCAACATTTGGGCAGGAAAACAAAAATGCCTGTCCTCACTTAGGTCCGTGGGCACAGGCCTGGGGGTGGAGCCCTAGCCAGAGACCGTGCCCTTCCCTTCCCCCCTTCCGTATCCATGGCAAGTGGGTTGATTATTCTGGGACTGAACCCGTCCAGCCTGGGACCTGCCTAGTGTCTGGGTGCCACATACTCTCACATCTCAGGCTCCAAAGGAGCCCCTCTGATAAGGTGATGAGAGGTCAGAGTTTGGTGCTCCTGGCAGCCTCATGTTTCACTGGTCCTTCCCTGAAGTTCTTTGGAGGGTCCCTGGGGAGAAGAAAAGTTCAGCCCGGGTTCCCCCAGGAAGATGAAGATGAATAAGACCCAGTTTGTGCCTTGAAGGCTTGCTAATCTCACATGTACTCTGGAAGTGCAGGACTGTGTGGTAGGGAGGCAGGGCAGTGTAGCAGAGTGAGCTGAGGCTCTGGTAGGAAAACAAAATCTAGGTTCCTGCTCCACCTCTTTCTGCCAGTCTGATGTGGCTGTGGAGCCTCCCTCAGCCTCAGTTTCCCACCTGGAAAATGAGGACACTGCCCCTTCATCACCTTGTTTGTTGGGGCTTTGCATTTTGCACCATCCAGCAGCTCTTTTGCTCTTTGCAGGGTCCGTGCCACGCACCCTATAGCCTTTGGGTGCAGGGGCACTAGTGCAGGGCTTCCGCTGAGGAGGCTGACAAGGAAGGCAGCCCCCACCCTTGGGGAGCCCCTGTTGGGTGAGGGAGTCAGGACAGCCAAGGAAAAAAGACAAAAGAACACTTACAAATTAACGGAGTGCAAACTAAAACTGCGCTCCAAGTGCTGAAGGAATGCACAGCAATGAGGGGGACAAGCTGTGGTGTGGCGGCCATGGCTGGGACCTGCCTTGCTTCGCCTCTGGCCTCGGTTGATACTTTCAGAGCCAAGGTCCCTGGGCTTCCTACTGGGAAGAGAAAGGTGGGAGCTCAGCATGCTCAGTTGGCCTTGACTCTGAGACGGAAAGGAAAAGAATCTCAAGTCAGAAGCAGAGGAGCGTCCATCCCCAGTCCAGCGCACTGGGCTGCCTCTGGGGGGTGCAGTCCACTGGGTGCCATCCTTCCCTCTCCACCACCCTCCAGCTCCCCTGAATGCTCCAGGGGTTCACACTTGACACCCTCCCTGCAGCACCAACCATGCTGAGGAGGAAGCTAGGCCCAGGGGTGGGATCACAGGTTCCTGTGCTGGATCAGGAGGGCTCTAGCTGGCTCAGCCCCAGCCCAGCCTCCCTGGCACTGGAATGAAGGGCCAGCAGGGGCACCAGGCTGGGTCTGAGTTGGCTCCGGGCCCAGGCCACAGCCCTGAGTCCGCTCCCCCAGCTTCCTTTACTCCCTGGGCTCCAGGTCTTTCCTTTCTCCCAGGCATTCGCACATCTCTCCATCTACATATTTTAACTCCCCCAGCTGCCTTTCCCTTCCCTCCTTGCCATTTTCCTCCCCCCTCCCTTCCCCCTGTCCTACTGTGTTCGCTCTCAGGCCTGCTCTGGGCTGGGGCTTCCGAGGCTCCTGTTTCAGCCTCAGGCCTGACTCCTTCCTGAGCTGGGAGCCCAGGCCTCAGACTTCTTGGACCTCTTTCCCACTGAGTACTTCAGCCAGCCACCCTGAGAGAGGAGCCTTGGTCACAGCCCCACAGAAAGGGGGTCTGTCTAGTGTCCCCACCAGCAGGTCCCAAGGACTGAGCCCATGGCCTGCTCTTCACTTGCCGGGGGTAGCGTCTCTCTTTCTTTTTCTCACCCTTCACTGCTCTCAGGGCTGTGGGCAGGGACCCTCGGGGCTGTGCTTCCAGGGACTCCACACCCTCTAGTCACTGCCACTGGAACAGGAGGGCAGCCCCGTCCTTCCACAGCCTCCTCCAAGCAGGGCCTCCAGACTCTGTATGAAGCTTGGAGAATGAGCCTTGTATCCCCCGCTCCTCATCTTGCTTGAGAAGTTCATCTCAGGGCCCTCTCAGCCTTACTCCCAGCCCCTCCACGACCCCTAAGGAAGTCCAGGCGGGCATGGGCTAGCATGGAGTAGAGAGAGAGGGTGGGGGTGCTGGATGGGGATTGGAGGATCAGAGGGGTTTGGGCTTGATTTAGGCACCTTGGTCCTACTGCTCAATCCTGTGGAAACTCCCCTTTCCAATAGCTTAATTCAGGCCGGATTTAGCAGCTGGACAAACCTTGCGGTCTGGGCCTGTGGGAAGGACTGGAAGACAGGTGGGCTACCAGGATCCTACCTTCCCGCAGGTAACATGAGCAATAACAACAGCAATAATGACACATAATTTCTGAGCACTTACTGTGTGCCAGGCCAGGGCTCACCCTTTTACTTGCATAGGATTTGCAAGTAATGGGATCTTTATTAATACCTGAGCAGGAACATCCAGGGCCAGGGTTTATCAGAAGTGTGGTCTGGGATCACCATTTTAGACTCATGGAGGGTTAAAATGCACATTTCCAGGTCCAGTGCCCACTGAATCAGGCTTTCATGGTTGTAAGCAACCCTTGGGCATTTGCATTTTTAACCAGTTGCCCAGTCCAGCTGATGCACTTTAACTTTTGAAAACTACTCCCAATTTTGCTGTCTTCTCAGGGCCAGTTGCTGTTGGGATTCTTGTCTCAAGAGGTGACAGTATATGGGGTTTACTGCCCGCCACATTGGGGCTCTGCCCCTAGGAGGGCCCCTTACCTGCCTGTGGCATGGTCAGCCCTGCTGGGGGCGGCGGATAAGAGCCTGGATTATTTCCCCTTCACACCAGGAGCCTGTCACTTGGAGGCTAACAGTTACTGAGGTCAGATTTAGTGCCTGCCCAACACCCCCTGGCAAATAGTCTAGTCATCCCAGGCCTCCCCAGGTGGAATGCTGTGGTCCCCGCTGAAGGGCCTGCTGTATTGAGCAAAACAGGAAGCTCCGATGAACACAGTGCAGGCACATTGGCCAGCTGGTATGTCCCCACGCTGTCTGGGGAGCCTGGGCCCCAAAGGGAGGTTTATCATGCCCCCTCCCCTGCCCAGGAAACCAGCTCCGAAGCCAGCCATGGGAAGAGGGTGCCAGCTGTGTTGTGTTGGTGATGAAGCTGGCACAGGGGACCAGCTGGGGTGACAGCACCCTCGGGGAGCCAGGGGTCCAGGCAGCAGCTCTGACAGCCTCCTGCAGACTTGGCCTTGGACGAGTCATTGCACCCTCTGTTGCCCTTGGGTTGAAATTGACAAGGTGGCCAGTGGGGTGTCTTCTGTTCTCACACATAGAGGAGGATCACCCCCTCCTGGCTGGCGTGTGCCCATATGTATGTGCTTTGTCATCTCCCCTGAACTTGGCACCTACTCTGGTTTCTTTGCTGTTTAATTACGTGCTGCCCTCGAGAGCGATCTTACGTCCCTATGTGTCTCCCCAGGAACAGGGGCCGACAGCCTCTTTGAGTGTCTCTCCCACATAGGGCCTTCTTGGCACGGGGCTGGACGCGTGGCGGGTGGGTGCCCCGAAAGTACTCATTCGTGACCTGAGTAATTGAGGTTTCAGCCAGCAACGTCCTTCAAGACATTGGGATAGGGGTCTATACCCGCTGGGATAGGGGTACCTATCGGGAAAAGGTCCCAAAGACAGAACTCTGCTATATCTGTTTAGCTGCACACTGGCACTGCCCCGGAACCACGCTTCCTGGGCCCAGAGACAGAGTGGGACCCAGCATGGTGGCTGGCAGCCAGCCCACCCCACCTTCGGGTCTCATGGGGCTCCCTCCTCTCTCCCTCACAGGACGGCTCTCCTGCAGGCACGCCCCCGGCTGCTCCTCCCTGTGCAAAGCCTCGTGTGCCTGGCAGCCTTCGGCCTGGCCCTGCCGCTGGCCATCAGCCTCTTCCCGCAAATGTCAGAGGTCAGTGGGGAGGGGCTCAAGGGCAGGGCAGGGCAGGGGGTGCTGTTTGGTGATTTCTGAACAAATACTCATACCGTGCCGACTCCTTAGCGCCATGCTAGGCGCTGGGGCTGGAACCGTGAATGAGGCTGGCCCAGGCTCTGGCCCTCAGAGTGAGGGTCACGCAGTCAACAGGGTGATTAAACAGAGGCCAGCAGATGAGGAGCCAGGAGCGTTAGGGTGGGAGAAGCTCCACTGGGTGTGGAAGGAGACAGCAGACCAAACTGAGCCTAGAGGGAAGTGACATTTCACTGGGACTGGGAGCGTGGCTGGAGTTGGCCAGATGAAAAGGGGTGGCGGGGGGAGATGTGAGGTCCGCGGACACCTGGTGTGAAGGTTCTGAGAGGTGAGGCAGCACACGCCATGTCCAAGAGCTGACCAAAGTCTGCAGCGCAACCAGGGAGTGCAGCAAGGTGATGTGGCCTGGGAATGAGGGGCTGGGCTGGGTGGTGTTGGGAACTTGGAAGCCAGAACAGAGAGGGTGAATGTCCTCCTAAGGGCTGTGCAGGGCAGACCACAGATGCCTGATTCTGAGCGGCCCCTGTGCTGCCGCGTGGGGCTGGGTTAGAGCTCCAGAGAAGGAACCATCAGGAGCCTGTGGCGGGCATCCAGCAAGCGGTGATGGCGGCTTGGACCAGGCTGTTGGCAGTGGGCATGGAGAGAAGTGGGTCCCTAAAGAGGGAGTCAGGAGGCGGCTTCTTCGGGATTCGATGAAGAGCTGTATGTGGTGGGAGGGAACGGGAGCCAGAGGATGTGCACTGGCTTTCTGGTTTTGAACAACCAGGCAGATGTAGGTGCTTAATGAGATGGAGCCAGGCGGGGGCAGGTTCGAGGGAGGGCAGTGGGTCAGTTGGATGGACACGCGGGGTTGAGGAGCCTGTGGGATGTTGGCTCTGGGTCTGGAATGAGGAGAGACGCCTGGGCTGGAGGGATAGAAGTAGAGCCTACCAGCATGACAACAGTGCTGGAATCGAGGGTGGTGGGTGAGGCCTCCACCCTGGCGGGGTCCAAAGACAAGCAGCCAGGGTGGTGAGGGCAGATCCGGGCCATGTGTGATCAGGGTGGGTGGGGGGCATCCACAGGGTCAGACCCTCCTGAGAGGTCACACTCCATGAGATTACAGAGTATCCATTAGTGTCTCAGGCAACGTAGCCAAACCCTGTCCCCAGAGAAGGGATCCAGGTGACAGGTGAGGGGAAAAAATGAGAAAGACAGGTCCACAGCCGCAACAAGATGTGGGATCAGGAGGGGCTTTTATTTATGTATTTGTCCTTGTTTTAAATGGGAGAGACAGGGGCTTGCGTAAATGCAGTAGAGAAGGCACCAGGAGAGATGTCGAGGACGCTGACAGGACGATTTTGGGAAAGTCTATGAAGAGGAGGGGGGACCAGAGCACAGACGAGGGGATCAGCCTTGGCACGGGGAGACCCCTCCCCACTTCAGTAGGTGGAAGAGGAGTGGGGTGGGAGGAAAATGCTGCTGGGGGTAGGGTTCAGGGGTAGGAAAATTGAAGAAGTTGTTCCAATGGCTCCTGTGTTCTTGTGACTGAGCAGACAGGAGAGAGTAGGGTGGGGAAGGGGCAGGAAGTCAGAGGTCTGAGGACACAGAGAAGGGGTGAGACATCCAGGGGAGAATGAGAGGTGAGGAGGCTGAGCAGCACGTGGTCTGGGAGTGCAGCCGGGCCTGTTCACCAGGAGGTGCTATGGGCCAGTACAGGGAGGGCCACAGATCCTTTCTTCTGGGGTTTTGTCAGGTTGGGGGTGAGGGGGGCTGAGAGATGGGTGACAGCACGGAGGAGCAGAGGACCACGGGATCCACGCTGGGTTGGAGTGAAGGTGGGAGCTAAGCTGAGGGGAAGGCACAGACCCAAGAGGGCCCAGGAGGTGTCTGCATTGAGCTCACAAGAAGGCGAGGGCTGTGGCCAGAAAGCGGCGCTTCTGAATCTGTGATTTCACCATGGACCTGCTTCAGGCAGGGCCCCAAGAGAGGTGGAGGAGAGGTGAGGGCTCCTGGAGACAAGTCGGGGAAGTGAAAACAAGAGGCCGGGGCTGTTGGGGCTGCGAGGGCTGGAGACCCAGGCTCTTAGAGCAGGAGGAGGGGGTGACCCGCCTTAGGCCCTGGAAGGTGAGAAATGGGGTGGCTTCCTTCCAGAGCCCCAGAGTTTGAGGAGGAGACTCTGTGGGAGTGGGGCTCCTGTCTTGGGGGACACCATTCAACGCACACCAAGATTAAAGCTAGCAGGACCTCATCTCATGCCCACAGCGGCCAGCCTTGTCATGGGTGCTGGGATGCTCCTTCCCCCACCTCTCACCCTGGGAAACCTGCAGCCTGGGACTCCAAATGGAGCCATGGGCTCTGGGTTGCCTAGTAGCCCTGAAGAGGGAAGGCGGGTATTTCTCAGTGGTCTCTGACATCCCTGTCCCAGCCCAGCACTCCCTGAAGCCATTGCATCTGTCTGTGCAATCAGCCTGAGCCCAGGGTCCTAGGCCAGGGCCAGAGTCACCCATGTGTTTATAGGTACCTCTGTGCTTCTAGTAGCTGTCATAACTCCACCTGCCTGCACAGAGAAGGGACCCAGGGCAAAGAAAATACTGATGCAGAATCAGAGACCCTCCCAGTTAGAAGGATTTTCAAGGTCATCCAGTTTACCTTGCTACTGACTTTGCTGGGGAAATGGTGGCCCAGAAAAGCCATGGGACCAGCCCAAGGTTGCAGAAGTCAGGTGCCGATAGGAGAGGAAACACCAGAGGTCCACACTCCAAGTCCAGGCCCCTAGGAAGTGCTACACCTGATCATTTCCTGTGGCTGAGTTTCTCTCCCTAGTCAACCACCTTACCTACCTTGGGACAGCCAAGAGAAGAGGGAGCTGGGGGCTGCACTGTGGTGGGTGGTAGGAAACGGTCTAGAAGAGCTGTAGGTCTTTGGCAGGTGTTCCTCTGGGGCATATAATGGGGAGATGCCTACCATTCACCCACCCAGGCCTCCAGCTCTGGCTGCAAAGCAATGATGGAAAGTGAGCCACCCTGGTCTCACAGCTGCTGCAGGTCAAAGCCCAGGCTCCCCTCTCCCCACATGCCTACTTCAAATAGACATGGGAGTTAGTTCTTCTGCATATTTAACCAAAGTCCCTCTTATTGCAATCCAAGCCTCTTTCTCTAGATTGGGAAGAAGATAGTCATTGCATGTTAAGTCTTTGTTCCTCTGGGAAGGGAGGGTACAGGCATGATTTTCAGAGCTCCCTCCTCAGCTATGTGGATCCCAACAAGATGCAGGCTAGCCTGGGCATTATGGGGTGTTTTGAGCCCTGTTTGGGACCCATGGCACCAAAGCCTTCAGCCAACTTGCCGAGAGGGCCTTGTTTCCGCATTCACTCTCCCAATTAATTCTCCCTAACAAGGTGCTTCTTCTGCCATACAGGGATCATGTCTCACATCCCAGAAGCCAGTGGGATTTGCCACAATAAGTCTGGACTTGCTTGGGCTGACCCAGCCTTGCCAAAAGCCACCAAGGTTGTCAACAGAAGTAATCACTGGAACACCAATTAACTAATCAGGGGACTCGGAGGTAGAATTTAGGAACTAGTTCCTAGAGTGGCTGGCCTGCAGTGATTGTTGTGGAGTTTCCAACTCACTAACCCCAGAGATTGAGGCAAGGACTTCAATCCTTCCTTCAGTTCCTGGGGGAGAGTTTTATCTGCTCTTTTCAAATTAGTAGTTCTGCTTATTAAAATGGTACTGAGGGTCAAACTGCAAATAATAATAATGGCTACCATTTGCCAGATATCTATTGGACCAGGCAGCATGCTGGGAGCTCGGTGTACCTTACTGTATTAAGTCTTCCTAATGCCCCTTAAGTCTAAAACATTGAACATCAAGAGATGATTCCTAGACAGTCAGATGGCTCTGGGGAGAGAGTTTGGCTGGAGATACGGAACCTTCAGTGTATGGGGGGGAGTTGAAGCTGAGAAAGGGGATGTGGTCCACTATAGGAGGAAGAAAAACCATCAAGAAGGGGAAGAAGCAGCCAAGGGCACAGGGAGAACCCAGATGGAGTAACTTCATGGAAGCTGAGGACTTGGGCGATTCAAAGAGGAGGGGCTGTCTCCAGAGTGGGTGAGTGCAGAGGGGACTAGGAGTGGAGGAGACTTAGGTGGCATAGCTAGACATGGCAGTCTAGGAGGCAACATGGTATTCAGTTTCTTCTTTGTTCAGATGATTGAGCTCAAAGATGGGGAACTGTGGGAGAACAGCAAAGAAACTGTGAGATGGAGGTTGGGGGGCTTGGAGAGAGGGCAATGATGGGGAAGGAATGCCCAGAGCCCAAGGCGGGAAGGCATGGCCTCTATGGAGTCCCTGGGTCCAGTGAGTAGAGGGGGCTACCTGGCTGTGGTGGAGAAATGGGGGCCTGGATCCTGAGAATTCTCCAAGGTAGGTATCAATATTCCTTGTTTACCAATGAGGAAACTGAGGCACATTAAGGTTAAGTACGTTGTCCAAGATCCAAAGTTGTTGACGATGGAGCAGGCTTTGTACCCAGGCAGAAGAATTCTGTGACCCTCCCCAGCCCACCCACACCTCACTATAGAAAGAGGAGGCCCACTTCTGGGCTCCAAATTGCTTGCTACTAATTTATCAGCAGGAACATCCCAGTGCCCTCACCCAGCCCTCCTCCCCTCCACAGGAAATCTGCGTTTTCACAGGGACCTTTTGGAATCAGTGTTTATGTCTTTTCCAACCCAGAGCTGAGGAAGGGGCTGGGCAGTGGAGGGGCTGGAGGGAGGCTAAAGGGCCAACAGGTAGGGCAGGGAACCTCATGTCGTGAGAACTGGGGAACAGGTCCTGGGCTCCCTTCTGGACCCCAGTCCTCTTGCCCATGCAGGGAGTACAGGGTCTGCCCTGGCGGATCTGGTGGATCTGGAGGTTACTGCTGTAGGCCTGCCCCACCAGCCTGTCCCCAAACATGGATGGGCCCATCACACCCAGAATCTGCTCTCTGCCCCATGGAGCCTGGGCACTTTCCCATTTTTCTTGTTACCAGGATGGCCACGTAGGACCCCTGTGGTCTCAGTGAATCTCCCCGCTGGTGGTGGAGACAAAACTCAATAAACAAGAACTGTCAGGTGACAGCACAGGTCATGATGGACCTAAAGCAGAGGCTGCGCGGCAGCTTGCCGGGGCCGCTATAGGTGGGGCTGGTGCTGGGTGCCTCCCTTGTGGTAGGGCCAGATTGTGGTGGCCTTTCTGGCCTTGCCCCCTTTGGTGATTGGGGCTCTGGATTCCAGGCAAATGGGGTCCTCTGTGTCCTCCCCACTGCAACACAGACATACACTGGGGCCTCAGGTTCCCTGAGGGAGATGTGCAGGGTCCAGTGTCCAGGAACACGGGCTTGGCTACCACAAGAGGCTGTAGTGGGTGGTGGCAAATGTCCCTCTAACTCTGACAGCCGGTGTTCCCTACCTGGGAGCACTTCCAATCCTGTTTAATGAACCTCATGTCTCTCTGGAGCAAGAAGCAGTACCTTGGCCAAGGCCCCTCCCCACATCCCTGCCTCTGTTTCTGCTTCAATCTTTCTTTGTGCCTCTTTCTCCCTTCCTTGATTCCTCTCGGGCTCTCCCCCACCGCAGTCCCCTCTCTTTTCCTCACTCTTCCCCTGGGAGCTCGGGGGCTGGGGAACGGGGCTGCACATACAAGCCGGAGCCATTGTTCAACAATCTGTTTTTGTCTTCATCTTGTTGGCAGGCGGCAGGAGAGGAGCAAAAGGTTAATGAGGCACTGTGCAGCGGGATTACTGCGTGAACGGGCGGGCGGCGGGCGGGCGAGCGAGCCAGCCGTGGTGACAGGGAACTAATTAGGAGCAGTTTAACAGGAGGAAAAAGTGAAATCTCCTCTTCACCAACTGTCAATAATTAGCTGATTTGGTGAGGTTGAAATGTGTCCACAGAAGGTGGGGCTTGTCTGTGGATGAGTGAGGTACGGGGAGCAGGGGGGCAGCCGGGAGCTCGAACCCATCCCTAGGTGATGTTGGGGTGGAGGGGCTGTCCCGTGGCCCCAAGGCCTGCCCTCTGCCCCTCTGGCTGGCATCCCTCTACCTCAACTCTCCATATGACCTTGGGTCTTAACCTCAAAGACCTCAGTTTCCCCAGCTGGAAGATGAGGTGTTGGAACTAAGTTTCTTCCTGTAAGAACCAAGTTTCTCCCAGTAGGATTAGGGAAGTGAAAACTCAAGACAGGGCCCTGGTGCTAGACAGTGGACTGAGTGAGTCCACTTGAGTTACATGCTGCCCCTCAGGTGCCCGGCCTGCAGCAAGGGTGTGCCCTCTGGGAGCCACCCTCTGGGAGCCATGTCTGGGCACGGCAAGTGGGCAGGGCCTTAGCCTTCCTGGGAACGTGTCTTATGGCCCCTAGACCCTCACTGGCTCCTTTGTCCTCCCTGCAGCTGTGGGGGCTGGGGTGGGGATGAGAGATTGGGTAGTGTGCTTCCTGGCTGGGGCTGCGGGCAGGGGAGAGGGCCCTGGGGCGCCCTTGTAGGGGCTGGCGGCTATGAGCGTGTGTCTCTTCCCTGCCTCAGCTGTTGCAGGGGCCCCTGGGGGCAGGAGTGAGGTTCACTGGCCAGGAGGCTTGTTTCCTGTGGGCCTGTTCCCTCCTGGCTGTCTTGTTGGTTTGTTGGCATCTGCCGTCTGCCTTCCCTGAAGCCTCAGCAGAGAACTGACCTCCCCCGGTACCCCCACCACCTGTTCCTGCCCCTTCTAGCTTTTGCCAAGCACCTCAACTAGAAGAAAAGACAGCCTAAGAGTCTCCCAGGGCCAGGGCTTCCTGCCCTGAGCCTCCCATGTCAGCCCTGGGAACTCCCCATGTCCCTCCCTCTCAGCTGAGCCCCTACTCACCTCAGCTCTAGAGGGTTCTGGGGATTAGAAGCCATGTTCTGAGGAAGTCTAAAGCCTTCCCCCGATGTCCTCAGCCCGTTATGAGCCTTGTCTCGTCCTGGCCTCAGAGGGTGGCTCTTACAGGCCACACCCATGTGGTAGACGAGGCAGGAAGGCCAACCTCAGCCACCCCATACTCCTTCCTGCCTCCCCACTTACAGCTTTCAGGGTTAAGAAACAGAGAGGCATACCCTCCCTGTATGGGCAAAAATGTGGGTACCCTCAGTGGGTACCAGAACCTCCACTATCTCTACCCTCTTACCAGCCCTGATGAAAATGGTGGTTTTGATGAACCAGCCTGGCTAAACAGCTGTGAGCCACCAGAAGCAAAGTCCCCCCAGCTTATCTTTCTTTGAGAAAGTATTGGGACCCCCAACCAAGAATGGAGAAGAGCTGGGAATAAGCTGGAATGTGAGTCCACATTCAAGCTGGTCTAGAAATGGCTCCTCCTCCAGGAAGTCCTCCCTGATCTTCCCCACTAAGATCTGTCTCACCTCACCTGTGTAGGCTCTGGTGGTGTGTTTTCTGTGTTCCATCTTCCCCCTTAGGACAGTAGACCTTTCTCCCTTCCATGACACAAGGTGTCCCTGTGGCAGAGAACTGGTGCCCTTTATCAACACCTAGTACAGAGCGTGGCTCATCTGGGTTCACCTTGACTTTGTTGGTCCCTGCTTCTCCCACTCTTCCAGGGTTGATGCGAGGCCAGAGACAATGTCTAGGGCACATTGCATCCCTCCTGAGTCTACAGCAGCATTCAGCGTCTCCCAGAGCAGGGGCCTCCTTCCCTCCAGTCTCAAATCCATCTCCTACTTTGCTTGGAGATGTTTGTTTGGGGTTTTTCTCATTTACTGGTTTAATCAGTCCCTACTGAACTCTAAAGTGGGCTATTTTTGCCGTCAGAAATCTGCTGCCTCCCCGCCCGCTGCTTTCTTGGAGTTTGCCCACAGGACCCCCCAGGAGGGATGGATGGGAATGGCAAAGCCGCTCAGAGCCCAGGAACGCCAACGCCACCTGTCATTTTGCCTGTTCCCCACACCCCCACCCCAAACCTGCGCGTGCACACAGGCTCGCACACATACACGTGCACGCAAGAACATGTACACATGCCCGGGTGGCAGGCCTCGGCGGGGCTGCCTGACAGCCTTTCCCCCACAGTTCTTTTTTCCAGGACCTTCCAGGACACCTAGCTGAATCCAGGATAGGGAGGGAGAAGGCTTGGTTGTGCAGAGCTTCCATTAAAGGCATTAATACATGCAAAGTGGAACATGCCTGGCCTGCAGCAAGGCTCAGCCCTGTGAGCTTAGTGAGTGGGGCTGGGGCTGAGTGTGGGGACCCTGGGTGCTGTCCTCTTTACACAGCATCACGCAGGTTTTCTAAGCCTCCAAAGGGCCATCCTATCCATTTTGTGATATAATCCTCGTGGCACCAGGAGATCTTAGAAAATCTTCCCATCATACATGTGGGGAAACTGAGGCCTCAAAGCTTAGAAGACAGAGGACAGAGAATGATTCTGAGATTGGTCCACCAGAGGGCACCCAGGAATGGTGCAAAGCTCCAAAATGGTAGGGGGCGGGGTGTGGTCTGAGCACTTGCTGGGAACACATAGCACAGGGGAGCCGGAAAAGTGTAAGACAGGATTCTTGCCCACGAGGCACTTCAGTGTCACTTAACTCAGCTGTTACTGAGGACCTACTGTGCACAAGGCATAGGGATACCGAGCTGCCTGGAGCGGCTCACAGTGGGGTGGGGCAGGGGACTACTGTAGTCACCCCTGTTTAGAGTGCAAATGAGCCTGTGCCTGGGGATGGGATGGAGATAAAAGCATGTGCTGGGGACACAGAGGCAGCAGCAATGGATTTGGTCTAAGAATATCAAGGGAGGCTTCCTGGAGGAGGCAGCCTTAGAGGGTCAGGATATAGCCTGGACTTAGGACTCAAAGCGTATACTTAGAATGTACAGAAAATGGACAGCAGTTGATGGGTGAAGAAGCTGGAAAAAGTCCCAGAAGGCCTGGAGTGTCCAGCTGAGGGTTCTTTCACTGAGAAGGTAGTGGGAGCCCAGAGCCAGCACCAGAGGCCTAACTCAGGGGTCCAGGGGTCTAGGCTTAGGCCTCAACTGCTCCCCAGCCCCAGCCTAATGCCTCTGCTCTCCAAAGACACTCAAGATAGCTCTCCCAAAGGTGGGGCCTGGATGTGTGTGTGTCGGAACAGGACATGGGGCCTGCCCAGCCCTGGTGAGAAAGGATGGGATGTTGTGCCCAGTGGACAAAGCGGTCCCAGGCCTGGCAGAGGCCTCAGGCACACAGGGTCAGCCAGGTGCCTGCTTGGGCTTTGGGCCCTGCGTCAATGTCGCCACCTTCTGCAGACCCTCAGAAGCCCAGACCTCTGCCCAGGAGCAGGTGGTGGCTTTGAGCTATGTCACAGGGTCACACCGAACACCCCACCCCCCCAGCCCCATGCCTTTGAAAAGGAGGCAGAAAAGCCATCAGAAGAAAGGCCAGCAGGAGGAAGTTCTTTGTAGTAGGTAAAAGCCCCCAAGAATGGGGCACAGGCAGGGGATCCAGTTTCCTGTTTATGTCTCCGCACCTTAGCTCCAGGTTCAAATATGTAAACTATCTGCTGGCCTGGCTGCAGGTGTGTGTGTGCTCCCAGGCTGTAGAGGCAGAGGTGGCCCCAAATGCATTCCTGACTCTAGCCCCCCACCCACAGTGAGGCAGGAGACAGAGACAAATAGCTCAAGGTTAACCCTTCCCACACCACAAGGGAAGGTGCTTGGCTATTCTAGCTGGGCCTTAGGGTGCCCGGGAGGCTGGGGAGACGCTGGATAGGATGCTCCATGTCTGGGGATATCTCCTGGAGGGGCAGCAAGGTCTGAGCGGGGTTGGGAAGATGGGGTGGCACTCTGATACGGAGAGGGGCACATCCCGAGGAGGCTGGCTGGGAGCTGGTGTGCAGGTTCTGCCTGGGAGTCAGGGAGCGCTAGCAGGGCGGCACTGCTTCCTTCATGGCAGGGCAGGGTGATCCTGGCAGCCCACTTCTGTGGCGGGGGCGACCATCAGGCAGTGCTCCCTGGTCCCTGCAGCCCCTGCCCTCCAGGGCTTTGGCTTTCCATCCCAGACACCCCCTCCCTCGGGAGCCCCTGTTGACTGGCTCTTGGGTGCCCGGGGAGGAGCCTACCAGATGGAAGAGATGATGGGCCCACGGATTCCAGCCCGCCCCGAGCTGGCTGCCTGGGCCTGGGCCACCCCTTCTCCCTATGGCCACTCCTTGTCCTCTCTCCTCATCCCCTTATCCCCGGAGAAGGCCCCTCAGAGCCAGTCTGTGGTCACAGCCAAGTCCCTGCCCCTCGACCCACTGCCCTGGGGCTCTGGCCTTCTGCGGGGTGGAGTTGGTTGGGCAGCAGGAAGAGATGCTTTATTGCCTTTGCTCAGACCTGAGTCACTTTCACTTATCCATGGGTCCAGAGGCCACTGCCAGGCAAGGCCCTAGATGTGGTTCCCTTGGAGAAAACTTGGCCCCACACTTACCTCAGAGAGGTGGTCTTCAAGGGAGATGCTTAGTTTTTGGTGGACAGGGGAGGAAACATCACATATAGGTGAGCAGGCAACTCAGGGGTTCCTGCCCCAGCCTCCCCTAGCCAAGCCCAGCAGGGAGTACCCCAGTGGTCCCAATACCCATGAGACCTAGAGATGGTGGCCACTGACCCAACACCTGGCCATGGCCAGAGAGCTGGAGGGGTCCTAACAAATGACCAGTTAAGTTGGCCTGGGATAGAGTGAGAGGCTATGAACCAGGATCAGCATGAGGTGGGGGTCGGACAATGTGGACCCCAGGCAGTCACTGAAATCCAGTTGCCAAGACCAAAGCCTCTCAGCCCTCACTGGGACAACTCTCAGAAAACTCTCTCTGACGCTCATGGCTGCTCAGTGTTTGTGGCACCCTCTGTCATTACGTTCGCTCCTCGGGCTGGTCCCCCAAGGCCACCATCACAGGCTTGTTCCCTCCGCTTGCCCTTCAAATGTGCCTGTTCCCCAGGCCTTGGCACCCACCCCTCCATCTGCTTCCCTGGGCGAGCTCCTCCACTCTGAAGGATCTGGCTATGCTCACACATCCCGGGCGCTTTCTCCTGCCCAGAGCTCCAGAGCCCTGGACCCATCTGCCTCCCAGGCCTGTCCACCTGGGGAACCCACTGGCACCCCAGACTCCATGTGGCCATCCTGAGCCTACCACCCCCAACCCTGGCCCATCCCCTCCCATATTCCCTCCGAGAATGGCGTCACCAGCCACCCCAGCTCCTGAGCTAGAATTAGGAGTCATCCAACGCACAGTCATCCTCAACACCTCCCTCTCACCCCCACGTGGAATTGGTCATCAACTCCTGTGGATTTCATCTTCAGAAAGGCTCCTCCTGTCTTCCCCCACTGGCAGCATCATAGGGCAGGACCTGGCACTTCTCTGATTCCCACAGATGCTCCCCAGGAGGCCTCCCCACCCCCTCCTTACCCCTCCAGTCCATCCTCCACACCCACCATCCCAAGAGAGACCTTTCTAAGACAGTCTAAGGCCAGGCACGGTGGCTCATGCCTGTAATCCCAACACTTTGGAAGGTGGAGGATCACTTGAGGCCAAGAATTCAAGATCAGCCTGGACAACATAGCGAGACCCTGTCTCTGTAAAAATTTTTAAAATAATTTAAAAATTAGCCAGGCATGGTGGCATGTGCCTGTAGTCCTAGCTACTCAGGAGGCTGAGGCAAGAGTTTGAGGCTGCAGTGAGCTGCAGTCACACTACTGCACTCCAGCCTGGGTGACAGAGCGAGATCCTATCCCAAGAAAAAAATAAAAACAGAGGCTGGGTTATGGTCCACTCCTGCTCAAAGTCCTTCTGTGGCTCCCTATTGCCCTCAGGTAAAATGCTGACACCTTCATGTAGCCTACAAGATTCTGCCTGTCCCAGCCACACCTCCATTTCCTGCCACATTTCCAAGTCCAACATTGCCCCGCCTCCCAGAAACAGGCCATGCTAGCCAGCTAATATTTTTTTCTTCACCCAGCAAGCTTGGCCTGCCCTTTCTGATCAAAATCCTCCATTCTCTTCCTGGCTCACCACCTCTGAGAAGTCTTCATTCCTTGTTCCCTTATCAATACATTGGAACTCCCAACCCCTCCCCAGTTGCCATGGCACTCTGCTTGTCTCTCTGGACTCCATCTGCATTCACCAGCCAACTCCTCTCTAGACTTTAAGCTTCTAGAGGGCATGAGTTGGTCTTGTCCCCCTCTGTGTGCCCAGCCTGGGTGTCTGGAGTTGGTGACCATCAACATCTGCTGACAGGAGGGTGGATTGACTTGAGAGAGGAAGCCTAGGATGTCAGCTCTGTCCTGGGGCCCCTGCTCCTGATCCCTCAGCCACCTCCCCCAGGAGCCTTCCCACTGCCTGCATCTCCCCCTGCTCCTACCTGCTGCCCTGTGTGTGGCGGGGAGCCCATGGGAGACGGGGTGCCAGGAGGAGGAGGCCTCGGTCTCCCCCGGGCCAGCATGCTCTAGGGAGTGGGCACAGTGGGCCGTGGCCCTGGGCCGTGGTCCTGCATGGTGGTGCTGAGCAGCCTCTCTGATTTTAATGTGGGCCTCAGTGCTTCAGTGAAAGCCGGCATGGGAAGTTGCTAATAATGGCACTAAAATAAAATATGCTACATCTGTTATGGGTAGCAGAACAAAATTAGCTGCTCACACCTCTGACATCCAAGATGTCTTAACTTAAAATACTCCTTGGCTTACTTTACATCATTTACTGATTATATTTAAAAGAAATACAATTTTGCAATTACTGTTCTTTCCAGCGTGATATCTATGCATCATTTTCCTTTTATGTTTATATATTTCTCCTTCATTAGTGCAGTCTGAAGGGTGATTAGGATTCTTCAAACATTTTACAGAGGTTAAACGTTGATTAAGATTTAATTATTACTGTAAATAGCTTGGAATGACATATGGTGCAAAAGCCTGACATATGTGCATTTGAATAAATGAAGTGCTATTTCCCAGGATGCCTCAGTAGCTGTTTAACAGCTTTCCCGAAGGGTTATGTTACACCTCATGGTAAGATTGCTGGGATGTTATATTTTGTTGGTTTTTGCAGCTGAAAGCTAAGAACAGTTTTCCAGTTTTTTAAAAACATTGAATATTTTAAATACCTAAATTGTTTTGCACAAATTTTTGCTAATTTGTCTAACTAGGTTAAACATTTTCAAAAGCATTTAGATTTTTAAGCGTGGGCGCTGTGCATTGTGTCAGTGGCAGCGTGGGGACGAGGGGAGCCGGCAGGGTGGAGGGGACTGGGGGTGGCAGGGGTGGGGTGGGAGAAGGTGGTTTGAGAAGACGGAGTGGCGAAGAGGCCTGGGCCCTCAGCCTGGCTCTCCTCTGTTTGGCCCTCTCGGGTGACCAGACTTGGGTAACGGGGTACCAGCGACTACAGAGGAAGGGTCCTCTCTTCTCCCACTGTGCCCACCAGCTCTAGTCCTCACTACACTCCCTCTTATGGGGACTCCAATGTGCACAGCCCAGACATGACAGAGCTCTCCGAAGGCCAGGCTGGCCTGTACCACCTTCTGCCCACTTCCCAGGGTTGCCACATCTTGACATATGGCGGGTGTCTAGAACCAAGTTCAACCAACCTAAGTTGCAAGAGGCCTGGTGCCTCCTTGACTCTGTCCAGGGCAAATGTCCGGCGGGGACCTTCTCACTGCAGTAGTGTCTTTCTCACCTGCCCCCCTCTAGCTAGGGGCTCAGGCATCCCCACGGGCTCAGTCCCTGGAGATAAAGCCCAACATCGGGGCTGATGTGGTGTCTCCAGGGGAACCCCGTCTTCCAGTGCCTATTCTATTCCAGTGCTCTTTTCTTTCTGCCCATGTATTCCACACTGAGGGAGCACCTACTGTGGACCAGCATTGTGCTAGGCTTTGAGGACACAGGGGCGAGACAGATCCGCACGTCCGCTGCCTCAGGGAGCTTGTGATCTAATGTGGAGAGGTGGGGTATGAGAAGTTCAGGGAGCTATGGGGGCCACAGAGGTGGCCACGCCCAGCGTAGGGGAGGGAAGGTGTCTAAAGCTGAGACACGAAAGATGATGAGCTGAAGACGGGAGAGCAGAGTAGGGGCAGGAATGGAAGTAGGACGGGGTGTCTCTGAACAACTCAGGCAAAGACTGGAGTGGGGACAGAGCCCAGGGTGTGCGAGGAACCAAAATCAGTCCATGTGCCCTGTGTCTCCAGTCCAAGGAGCAGGGTGGCGCGGGAGTCTGACTTGATCCCTGAGGATCAGGGTGCCATGGAGCCATTTCACAGTGAAGAGAGGCATGGGAAGACTTGCAGTTTAGAAGGCCGGCACTGGCTGTGGTTGGGGACGGACTGGGCTGGATGAGACCTTGTGGGGAGGGACGGGGAGAGGACGCAAAGAGGCTCCAGAGTCTTTGGGCAGAGCACCACTGGATGGCGGCGTCATTCCCGAGATGGAGAGCTGAGTGGGGCCAGGGGAGAGGGCAGGTTCAGTTCCATTTCAGGTGGGTTGAGTTCAGGCGCCTGTGAGACATCCACAGCAAAGTTTGGCAGGCAGGCGGCTGTGAACCTGAGGCTCCAGGGAGAAACAAGGCTGCAGAAATCTTGTGTGGGGGTAACCCAGGGCATGTGCAGAGAAGAGGGCCCAGCCAGACCAAGCCCCAAGGACCCCGAGGAGCATGCAGTGGGTGTCGTGAAGTGGGGGGTGGCAGTGACCTTGGAGAGAAAGATTTTTCTGGAGTGTGGTGAGAACAGAAGCCAGATTTACTGTGGGTTGAAAAGTCAGTGGGAGGGAAGGAGGTGGACACAGCCAGTGTAGACCAAGTTTTTTAAAGAAACGTGGCTGCTGGGGAGGAGAGAGACCAGGTAGTAGCTGGGCCTGCCTTGGGATGAAGGGGAGGTGTCATCAGAGAAGGTTCCTGCATGTGGAACACTAACGGGCAAAGGTGGGAGAGAGGGAGGATGACCCAGGAGGGGGCCCCGGAGTGGGCAGGGGAGGTGGAGCCAGGTGGGGTCCTGTCCTGCGAGGGGAGGGATGGCAGCTGTGGGGTGGGAGGAGGGCAGGTGGAAAGCCATGCATGGACACGGAAGGCAGCGGGTTTGATGATGGGAAGCTGAGGGTTTCGCCTCTGACACCTTCAGCTTTTTCCCTAAATAAGAGGAAGTGTCACCTGCCCAGGATGCGTGGGAGCAGGGGGTGGGTGGCCAAGGAGAGGAGAGCAGAGCAGGTATCCAGTGGCCTCTGGAGAGTGGGCGAGGGAGCTGACCTGGCTATGGGGGCAGGGGTGGGGTGGTTGTCTGCAGTGGTTGGGGGTCCAGCCAAAGTCAAGGACAGGGAATTTTGAGGGTCTCCATTACATGGTCAGGTTCAAGTAGGAGTGGGGTGCATGGTGGGGTTCTCCGAAGCAGGGCTTCTGCCAGCAGCGTGGGAGGGACCCTTGGGCTAGGGAGTAGCTGAAGGGATGGCCCCTGGAATCGGGACTGCAGGGGAAGATGTAAAGACTGAGTGGTCGGAGTGTGGAGTGTGGGCGCTTAGGTCTAGGGGACTGGAAACAGAGAAGCAGGAGTGAGTGGGGTGCTGGAAGGACAGGCGACTGAGGAGCCCAGGAGGGTGGGGTTTGGATGGAAGGAGTTGAGGTGGAGCAGCCCTGGGTGGTCATCAGGTCCAGGGAATGGCCCTGGGCAGGGCTGTGGTAGGTCTGCAGTGCAGTGGACATGGTTCTTGGGGGTGAGGGAGATGCAGAACTCAGAGGCCAGTGTGTAGGATGTCCACCCACGTGGACACACCATCAGAAGAAAGAGATCTGGTCTGGGCTGGAAGGGATGCTGTGAGCCCCGCGGCGGGAGGGCGGTGGAGAAGGAAGATGTGTCACTAGGTAGGGCATGTGAGCCCTGGCTGGGGTGGACACGGGGGTGCAGGGGGCAGAGCTCTGGGGCCCAGGGTGGTCCTCACTGCAGCTCCCAGCCCCACTATTTGCCCCTTCCCACTCCCCCACTTTTCCTCTCTGTTCTCTCTCCACAGATTGAAACATCCCAATTAGAGCCGGAGATAGCCCAGGCCACGAGCAGCCGGACAGTGGTGTACAACAAGGGGTTGTGAGTGTGGTCAGCGGCCTGGGGACGGAGCACTGTGCAGCCGGGGAGCTGAGGGGCAGGGCCGTAGACTCACGGCTGCACCTGCAGGGAGCAGCACGCCAACCCCAGCAGTCCTGGGCCCCCTGGGAGAGTGCTCAACCTACAGTGGAGGGAGACTGACCCATTCACATTTTAACATAGGCAAGAGGAGTTCTAACACATTTCGTACAAAAAAATAATCAAGTGCATTTCTGGGCCTTATGTGGGGTTGTCAAAACTCCACTCAGCACAATTATGTGTGAAGCTGAAAAATTGTAGAGTGCCCATGGGGTAGAAGTAGAATCCTTTTATACTTTGGTTCCTTTTTTATTTTTATTTTTTATCAGAATCAAATCTGAGCCTTAGTTTCAGCTGACCAGAAGTGGCAGGAGGACAGGTGGAGGCGAGCCAGATTAGGCCTGGAGTTGGGCTGGTTTGGTGGCCAGGCTGGTAAATTTAGGATATTACAATGGCCAGCCCAGATGGCTCCCTGGGCTGGCATGGGGAGGGGAGAGAAGGTGGTCTGCACCCCACAGGATGAACTAGCCATGACTAGGGTCCTCAGGCAGTGGCCCAGGGAATCAGGGAGCACTGGAGGCCTCTGCAAGATTCTGTGGGCAGCTGGCTCTGAATGTAGCCAGCCCACATCCATTCCAGAGCTGCAGAACCAGTCCCTCTGAGTGAAGTCCAGTGACCCTGGAGCTAGGGTCCCCCTTCGTGGAGCTCTAACTGATTCAGGGCCCCTGAAGTGACCCCAGCTCCAGGCAGGAAACCCCGAGAAGGAATGGTGCTTGGCAGGAACCATGGACCTGCACTTGGCCTCTTCGGGAAGATCCTCCTTCCAGGCCCCAGGCTGGATGCTGGGTTCTGGGGCTGAGAGTGGGGCTAGACTGGGCTGGCTGCCTTCTGCGGAGCTTCTCCAGCCACCAAGGCTGCCTGCCCCATCCCATCCCTTTCTAAGCAGGAAGGTCTCATGCCTGAGAATGCCTAGGCCAGCTCCTTAGACACCTATCAGAGAAGCAGCATCAACCTAGGAGCAGTGGGCCCTGGCTCTGTCACTAAATGGCAGTGAGATGTCAGACAAATTCATTCCCTTCTCTCAGCCTCCACTCCCTGTCTGAAACCAGAAGACTGGATCAAGGGGTTCCCACTGGCTCCTCCAGCAAGACCTCGTCTTTGCTTGTCCTGCTCAGATGCTGGTCATCCTGGGCATGTCCCCAGTGTGGACTCTGGACTGGGAAGGGGGCAGGCCCCTTTGGACCTGCAGTTGGCCTCAGCAGAAGGCCTTGCCTTGTGTATGTGACTCCATATCCCGGGAGCAGTTGACCTTTGCCAAACACTTTACAGTTCTGGAGGAGGAGGTAACATAGATGCCTGGGCCTGATGGTGGGGCCATACCCATGTGTCGCCTCTCACTCTGGCAGCCTCAGAGGCCCCTTGCTGCTGGCTCCCATCTCCCTCCCATTTGCAGACCAGGAAGGAAGAGCAAGCTGTACAAAGGGAAGCAGAGCCTGGGGTGGGTGTGAGCAGGGTGACCCCTCATCTGAAAGGCCCAAACCAGGGGGAAGCACCAGCCTCAGTGCAGCCCCCTCCTGACCCCACCTAGAATGGAAGCCTCCACCTGCAGCCCCAGGCCTCCCTCCCCCGGGGTCTCCACCTCAGGGGAGACTTAGGCCAGAGGTGAACATTCATGTGTAGGAAGAGGCCGCTGCAGGGTGGCATCTTAGGGTAGGGGAAGTGTGCTGAGGTGGGCCTTCCATGGGCATGGCCGTTGCCTCTCTGCCAGCCGCTGGTGCCCACCAGCTGGCTCTGCAGCACATTGCCCTGAGGGGCCTGCCACTCTCCTGAGGAGCAGCCCACCTGCTGCCCGTGAGGAGGGGGAGAAGGGTTAGACAAGCCTGGAGGACAAAACAGCGGGAGTGTGGGGGTGCCATGGTGTTGGAGGGGCAGGCCTTTTTGAGCCAATCCCACCATAATGTGAATATGCCAGTGACTGCTGCGCTGTGCTGGTCTCTAGGCCTGAACTAGGTGCTGGCATGTCTGGGTCGTCTTTTGAAAAGCTCACTTCAAGCTCACCCTGCTCCTACCTATCATAAGGTCTTATTCTTGTGCACTTTATCTTGGGACCAAAACTGCCTACCCACCCCTTCCCGCCCTCCCCCTGCCAGAGGCCTGGTGCCCTGGCCCAGCCTGTGGCCTCAGCATCTCATAACTCATTTGCTTTGTCTCCCGGATGATTTCCGTCATGCTCCCAAATGCAGCTTCAGGTGAGCCAAGGGGTCTGCTCCTGTGGCGGTGCAGTGGCAAAGGATCCAGATAGCCTAGGGTGAGGGTGACAGAGGGACAGTGGGCTATGCCACTAGGCCCTGGTCTGGCTTTGGAAAGACCTGTGAGGGGAAACCTTCACCCAGCACCCATGCCCCACTCTGCTGAGGCCAGAGGAAGGGAGGCCTGAGGGGCAGATTGGTTCATGCCTGGGGTGGAGGCTAAGCCTGGACACAGTCAGGGCGGGGCTGGCCAGCTGTGCGAGAACACAAGCCACGCCTGCGATGGTGCTGCACCCCTGGTGTCCCTGCCTGGCCCTCCTCTGGTCACTTCAAACATGCCCTCAGGCTTGGGGATGCCCTTCTTCCATTCCCAGACAGCAGTGTGAGGGTGCAGGGACCAAGATGTCAAGCTGGCCGTGGAGTCGAGCTGGCCGACGGACCCCTTTCACCTGGTTATGAGCCGACTTCTTTGGTGTTCTGGCCTCTGGCCTGGGAAAAGGGCAGGAGCCTAGAGGAGGAAAAAGGCTGGTGGACAGACCCAGGGTGGTCTTCAAGCCTGGCCCAGTGAGAGTGAGGCCCCCGCACGCAAGCCTCAGCCACTCCCAGGGGCCTTTGCAGCGTCTTTTTAACCTCAGAAAATTTCTCAATCTATGTGATTTGTGTAATACTAATGAGCTTTGGGCAATAAATACGGGATTTAAAGCATCAGGGTGTGGTTTTGTGAATTGTGGGTGGGAAGGGGAGTGGCGTATGGAACCCAGTGGGAAAAGGGAAGGACTGCCTGAGGATTTTGTGGGAATACCTCCAGGGAAGGTGCAGACCTAGGTTCCAGGCTGGATCGGGCCAGCTGGGAGGCCCAGAGGGAAGGGGAGAGGAAAGGATGGAGACCATGTGAGGACACAGGGCAGTGAAATTCTGCAGGACTCCCCTTACAGAGCTGTTATTGAGCGCTCACTAAGGAGCCCGCCCTCAAGGAACGTGAGTAAGACTTTTGGTAGATTCCCATACTGTTTATATCCATGAGGCTGGGAGGCCGGAGGGGGTCATTTCTGGACCACCTGGGGCCAGGAGAGGCCTCCTAGGGAGGGAAGGTTTGAGCCAAGTGGAAAGGTGCTTCATGGCTGCAGTGTGCATGGTACCAGCCCTGAGATCTCTGCCTCTTCTTAACTCCTCCACTATCCCTTGGGGCTAGGACTTGGGCATCTCCTGATAGCAATGGTTCCTCCTCTTCCAGGCAGCCCCCAGAGTTCCCAAGTCCAGCCCTGCAGAGAAGCGGGCAGGGAGGTGGAAAGCCATCCTGGCTGGGGTCAGATAGACCCCAGTTCCAGCCGCAGCTTGGCCCAGCATGACTGGGGCTTCTAGCCAGATGCTTCCTCTATTCACCCATCAATTGGGTCAGACATTTATTGACACCTACTCTAACTGAGCCTTGGTGACCTTATCTATAAAATGCCACGAACAGCATCACTTGGCTGGACTGTTGTAAGGATGGAAAGCTGGAGGAGGAATGCACCCAGACTCCTCTCCCCGCTCCCAGGTGTGTGGGGGAGGGCCTGCCTCCCCTCCTGGGTGCTGGGACCTTCCCCACTAGAGAGAGAGGAGAGAAAGGGAGAGGGGAGGGAGCTGTTTGCAAAGTGATGCCTCTGGGCCAGGAGGCTTCTGGTCTCTGGGGAATTTCTTTGCTAAGAGCTCCACAGGCCACAGCCTCCATCCGGGGGCGGAAATCCTTGACTCTCAGGACAGACACAAATCCCTCCTGGGAGCTGTTTGTTGTTTTTAGCTGGTTTGGGGGCTCAGCTCCTGCCCAGCCCAGAGATCATTAACACTCCAGGAATGTGGCCTCCCCTGCCCCCATCCCCTCCCGCCTGGCCCATCGGACCTCCCTTCTCTCACTCAGGCCACGGTTAGAAGGAGAGTCAGAATGTAAGGGGATGGAGGCCACGATGAGTGACCCTTCCTGATGCCCCAGGGGCCTAGCCTCATTTTCATAGCTCCCTCAGTCCCCTAAAGCTGCTGCAGCTTCTGCCATCTCAGCCATCCCTCTGCCACCAATTAGCTCCCAAAACAGGAATGCCTCAGCCACTTCCAACAAGGCCTCACCCCTGCACGCCCACCCTTCCCTGCAGAACCAAGAGTCTCTCCGAGCAGTGGCTGAAAAGTGTTCACTCTCCACCCTGCACACCGAGGCAGATGCTGGCAGCCTTGCATAAGGCCAGGGCCAGTCTTCCCTTCCCCACGAGGACACCTCCTCAGCCACAGCAAGAATCTGGGGCCCACCCCAGTTCCCTGGGCCTTACGGAGGGGTGGAGAAGAGAGCAAAGGAAAGAGAAGATGGACAAATGGACAGACAGGCCCCAGACCACCAGACCGTCTCCTGGAAGACCCCATGTAAACCCATGGGGAACTGAGGGAAGGGGCCCACCCTCCGTCCCAGGCCAATGGATGCTGGTTCTCCTCCTCTTCATAGGTTAGTGTGACAGAGGGAGGGACAGTACAGCAGAGCCCTGAAGCAGCTCCATGTCATTAGAGAATAGAGAGGAGGCCCAGGAGCGGCGGTGTGACCAGGTGCTGCTGGGCCAAGGCCAGCGGAGAGCCCCTTGAGGCTTTAAGTAGAGAAGTGGAGTGACCTGGCTGCAGAGTGGAGGGTGGAGTGGTCACAGCAAGGTTGCTGGGGAGACTGGGTGAGGGGCCCCTGCGGCAGTCCTGGTGAGGAAGATGGGGCCTGGGCCATGTGGTGGGGATGGGGAAGGGGAAGGAGAGAAGTGAAGATTCAGGACTGCTCAGCTCTCCGTGAGGGTGGCAGAGAGAAGTAAGGGGTGACCCTAGGTTCCTGCCTGAGGCAGCAGAGAAGGGGCCATTTCTGAGCTAAGGCACAGAGAAGGAAGAACAAACCCACAGGAAAGGGGATGCATTCTGATTTCCAAGGCATCGGAGGTTCCTGGGAGATAACCAAGTGGACACCAAGAGACGAGGAAGTCTGGAGCTCAGGAGACAGGTAGGGATGGGAAATGTGGATGTGTCTGTTATCCACGTCTAGGGAGCATCTGGAGCTGGAGGAGCAGAGATGGCCACCCAGGTGGAAGGAGCTCTGAGGAGCCCCACCTCTGAGGCCTGGGCAGAGACAAGGAAGCTCAGCCATAAGGGAGGTGTGAGGGCTGAACCACGTCCTCCCAGAACTCATCTGTTGAAGTCCCAATGCCCTGTGCCTCAGAATGTGACTGTCTTTGGAGACAGGGTCTTTACAGAGGTAATTAAGTTAAAATGTGGTTATTAAGGTGGACTCTCATCCAAAGGAGAATCCAAAATGACTGATGTCCTTTTAAGAAGAGGAGATTGGGCTGCAGGCATGCTAGAGGAAGAAGCTCCTGTGAAGACAAAGGCACTGTCCACAGGCCAAGGAGAGAGGCTTCAGAAGAAACCCACCCTGCTAACCCCTGATCTTGGGCTGGCAGCCTCCAATGCTGGGAAGAAATAAATTTTGGTTGTCGAAGCCACTCAGTCTGAGGTGCTTTGTTGTGGCGGCCCAGCACACCAAGGCAAGAGGCGAGGAAGGCAGGGAGGGCGTGGCATTCCAGAGGACAGCGATGGGAGTGCTTCAGGTAGAAGGGGCTTCCATGTGCTTCACTGAGGCCGAGAGGTGAAGGGAGACATGGACCAAGGCGGGCCCCATGGAGGACCCAGAGAGAGGAGCCTCAGTGGGATGTGGTCAGGGCAAAAGACAGATCTTCACGGGTCGAGAAGTCAGGACTACCACGGACAGCCGGCATAGCTAATTCCTTCAAGAAATTTGGCTGATGGGCAGAAGTGGGACATTGAGAGATGGAGCTGAAGAGGCGCTTAGAAGGTGGACCCCTCAGGCAAGAATCAGAAGAGACTGTGTCGCAGAAAGAGGAAGAACAGCCTAGCAGTGAGCCGCTCCAGGTGGGGAGACTCTGAAGCCCAGGTTGGAGGTGGGGGTTAGGGGTGGGGTTCTCCTGGGCCAGAAGGAGAGAAAGTGGCGGGTGGTGACAGGAGGCAGGTGGGGAGGAAGGGCTGGCTGCAGGCAGCGTGGGGTTGAGGGTGAGGAGCCCCCACCCCTCCAGATCCATTCTGCATCTGTCCACCTGCTCTGTCCCTGGAAGCTGACTAAGGGCTGGCTGGCTGGCTTCCACCACCAGGAGTCCCAGCAGGAAACTGGGGGATTGGAGGAGTGACGCTGGGGGATTTTTTCCTCCTGGTCCCTCCTGCCATCTCTGGGCCCCTCTGTACTGAAGGTTACGGCTCCTACCTGGGGGCCCTCTCCAGCCAGCTGTCTCCTCCAGGTTCCAGTAGCTGCCCCTGCCTCCTTCCTCTTCAGGCCTCAGGGCCATATGGGCTCCCCATTATTACCAGCTCTGGGGTACTGCACCATCCCTGTGGGCTCCCCAAAATTTAATTGTTCCTGTAGTAAACTGTCCTCCAAGTGCTCTATCTGAAGGTACCATCTGACTGATACAAAGGTGTCCCCTTCCAGGGCTGTCTCTGAAGGTGGGAGTAAGGCCCTCTGCTGAGTCAGGGGGAAGAGAGGCTTGGAGGGAGGGTGGCAGAGGACTTCTCAATAGGGCGAGGCCTCAGCTGAGGCTGGGACCCGAAACAATGAGGGGCGCCATCCCGCACGCCTGCCTGCTGTCCTCATGGACTCAACTGCACGGGCAGGTGGAAAAGCAGGTTCAAGCAGGGTTTCAATTCTGCCAGGCAGGTGCAACCAAGGAATAGTGGGACAAGGATGTGTCAGAAAGAGAGCAGAGGAGGTTGTGGCCTGGGGGCCCCCGCAAGGTCCCGCACTGCTGCAGAGGGAAAGGAGTGAGCCAGCAAATGGGAAGAGCTCAGGGTTCGACGGGAAAAGACACCTGAATGTGTGATTTGAGAGAAGGCCCCATTCTGGGCTCTGATCATCCCTGAGAGAGAGTGGTGAGGGGAAGATGAGGGAATGAGAGGCTGGGATGCCAGGTGGGTTGTCCATACAGACCCCAAGGTCTGGGGGACAGGAAGACTGTAAGCCGTAGCCAGTTTTTAACAAATCAGGGGGCATGACCGGGCCATGCAGCCACAGACGGCACACGTGCACAGCCGCACACATGCACAGCCGAACGCCCACAGGCACCCACACAGTCACACTCACACGCACGCCCACAGCCCTCCCAGACACTCCAAACACCCTCACATGCACTCACCCTCACACACACCCCAGACAGCAGATGGGGCGCTCGGGTAATTGGTTAAACCTGTTCCGATGTCTGGCTCCGCCTTGGCAGCGCCCGTCTGACAGGAAAGCTGGCTGGGCCTGCACCGCTCAGCCTGCTGGCCGCCCCTCCCCTCCTCTCCCCTTGCCTGCAGGGATGCCCTGGAGCAGGGCTACAGCAGAGGCCTGTGGGCCCTGGCCGGCTCCCTCTGGGCAGAGCCCGGTTCACTTAGCCAGAGCGCCTTGATGCCTCCTGGGAAGCGGTCCCAGCACGTGTGAGGAGGAGTTGGTGCAAACCAAGTGCAGAGATGCTAGGAGCGTGAGCCATACTGCTGCGAAGGCCATGGGGATGAGTCCTGGAAAGTTCCACGGACAAGAGGATGTGCAAAGATCAGTCCCTGAAGGTGAGGCGTGTGGATTAGGCCACCAGGGTTCAGAACAGGTCCCCTGAGCTCCCTCTACTTCAGCTGCGTACAATTTGGAGCTCCTACAGGTGCTCATGATACCTCAGCCCACGCGATCTGCAGGCCCTGGGAGGCCAGCCCAGCTGAAGGGAATGGCTGACCTAGGCTCCCTCAGGGAAGGGCTGGCCATGCAGCACCTGCACGCCGAGGCACCAGCAGGCCAGTGTCTGCTGGTCCTCACCCTCTGCAGGGCACCCGCTCTCCAGGTGGGAGGAGCCGTTGGGGGAGGGAAGGGAGCAGCAGTCCTCGTCTTCTTCCCTTCTCGGCTGCATCTGTGTCTCTTCAAGAGAGACTTTGGTTTGTTCCCTGGAGAGGGCCCAAAAACTCCCAAATTAGCAAACCTGGCAAGCCCGCAGCTCAGAAAATAGTTCATCCTGATTCCATGTTTTTCAGGCTCACAGAAGCCTTTATTAATGAAGTCACAACACCAATATTTACCGTCTGCAGGGAGAGGCACAACATGGGGGGTGGATGGGAGTGCGGCAGGGACTCCCCGCCCCGCCCCCCGCAGGCCTGGCCTCGGGAGACTGGCAGGTTTCCTTGGGTCCCTTCCAGCCCTTTATTCGGATGACAGGGGGTGCTCTGCTGTGATCTTCCTGGACCCCCTCCCCCTACCAAGTGAGGCAGGATCTTGAGAGGAACAGCTCACCCCTTTCTCTGTCCCCCACTGGGGCCAAAAGGATGACTCTTCCTCCCACCTTCCTTCCACACCTGGGCATGTGTGCTCCCAGAAGTGATCCCACCTGCTTGGCAGTGAGGGTCGCCATGTGGGTTAATCTGGACTTATCCATGTTAGGACTTTCAAGATGTGCAGAATGCATTCCTGACTGATGGAGGGAGAGGGGGTGTTGGGATGGGACAAAGCCCTTTGGTTTCTAGCACTGACTGGACACAAGTGAGGTGGGCAGAGGTGGGAGAGAGACGCTGAGAGTGCGAGTGGGACCTGGGTCTGTGCTCCCAGCAGAAGGACCTTGTGTGCTTGGATCCCTGCATGTGGCCCAGACAGCAAGGCTGGGTCTCTGACATCTTTCCAGTGAGTTCCACATTGATCAAGCACCCGACATTCCAGGTGGGAAGAACAGCATGAGCGAAGGCACAGCACAGGGAAAACCTGTGGCTCACTCAGGGACAGGGATGGGGATGCTGAAGCAAAGGGTACCGGGAGCAAGGCAAGAAGATGGGGCAAAGGGGCTCAGAAGGGGGTGAGTCTGCCCTGTTTGGGTGCAAGGAAGAGAAACCTAGCTGCAACATGGAGGGCCTCCTTTGAAGTGGACCTCATCCTTGACATTCACAGAAACCTCCCTAGAGGAGCAGGGCCCAGGCCAGGCCGGTGGCAGAGGGAGCTGGGCAGGGGGGTAGGGGGTGCTGCATTAGGGAGGTGTGGTTGGGAAGCCAGTCTAGACTCAACCCACTAGATGGGAATGGATGGGGCTGGGGAAGAGGAGAGGAAGCTTGAGGAAGATTCCCAGATTTCCTGTAGCTTGGGAAACTGTGTACATGTCTAATGCTGTTTGTCGAGGTGGGTGATCCTGGAGAAGCACAGATGGGTAGGTGCGTCCGGCTGTGGATGTATGGGCTTTGAGGTGCTGAGGGGCAGGGGGTGGAGCAGGCAGCTGGCTTGACGGGTCTGCAGCTCAGCAGAGGTCAGCTAAAGACACAGGCCAGGGAGCCAAAGAGAAGTCCTGGAAGTGGATGTGATCCCCACAAGGCAAAGGACATAATGAGGAGTCAGGGAGAGCAAGGACTGACCTGGGGGTGGCCAGAGGTGACAAGGCATGGATCACACTGAATGAACTCAGGCTGAAGGAGGAGTCAGAGCTACCGAAATGAAGGCAGAGCGGGGTGGGAGAATCCAGGAGGGCATAGCCAACAGATCAGGGAGCAGGTGAACCCAACAGGAAGTGGTTGAGTTTGGCCACAAGGGGGTGGCCAGTGACTGTGGTTGGTGACTGTCATTAGCACCGGCAGAATGGTGGCATGGAGGCCAAAGAGCAGAGGTTTCATGAGCACATGGGAGGTGAAGAAGAAAGAGAGGGGTCTGGATGTCGTAAGGGAAAGACTTAGGAATGCAGATTTGCTTGTCAGGAAACCTTCATCCTGACAAGTGGGACAAACAGAAGGGCAGGTGAACACAAGAGCTCAGCGGGCCCTGGCACGTTGCTCTTTCTTGGGCTGAGGAGGCCCTGAGTCACTGGGGACTGGTTGCAGGCTCAGCCTTAAGCCCTGTCTCTGCAGTCTCAACCTGCCCAGCGGTTCTCCAAGGACAGGTGAGCATCCTGGTGGGCCCACGACTTCGGACTGGAACCGTCAGCCTTTGTGAATGGTGTTCCCTCCCCCAGACCCCAATCCTCCCCTTTCCTCTGGTTTCTCCTCAACTGGAGAAGCCACCAGAGTCTCTAGGCAGAGGGAAGCACTCTCCCTCTCCCATTGAACTACCTGGGCCTGATTCCCACCTCTCAATACGTTAAGAAAGACCTGGGCCTGTCCTCCCTCAAGATACAGGATGGCCCTTCCCTATGTCTAGCCTGTTTCTCCTGCTGTGGAGCTGGAGGTAGAGACCAGGGTCCCCCAACAAAAGAGAGGAGTTAATGAATTACCCTTGACCCCCTCCACCAGTACCCCACCCCAGGCTCCCAGGCCCTGAACGCGTTTGCTCTACCAGCCCCCACTGGCCCTCAGAGCCGGAATCTACCACCCCAGGCTCTGGGGCTGGAGCTGGATGCCCGTGTCATTAAGAGAGAGACTTTTATTATTCCCATAGGGAAGGGGGACACTGGGGATCACTAAACTACAGTGGTGCCTGGAAAATAAATTAAAACAGAAATGCATCAAAACAAAAGGGAGATTGGAGACACGGAGAGCAGCTGGGAGGCTGCGGTGGCGGGCGGGCCCGCCCAGGCAGGCAGGCTCTCCGAGGAGAAGGCCAAGTGGTCCCAGGCCTCAGCCAGCCCATTGCTTGTCCCTCTGTCAATGGCGGCCCCGGGCTTCAAGCCCTGTGGGGCCATGACTCCAGGCCTCCCCAAAGCCTGGCCAGGGAGTGGCCAGAGTCCAGCTTGGGCCCACGCAGGGGCCTGGCCAGCAGCAAGCAGCACTCTGCCCTCGTGGGTTTGTGGTTGCCCACCCTAGTCATTGGAGGTGACATCGATGTCCTCCCCATTGGCCTGCTTCGTGGCAATGCGCCACCGGTTGATGTGATGGGAGCCCTTCTTCTTCTGCTCGGACTCAGGCCCTTCCTCCTCCAGCTTCTGCCGTTTGTACTTTGTCCTCCGGTTCTGGAACCACACCTTCACCTGGGCCAGGGAGGGAGGGGCACAGATGAGAAACTCAGGAGGCCCCCAGAGCAGCCACTGGGGCCTCAACACTCAGGCTGAGCTGAGAGCCTGATGGGAAGACTGAGGCTACATAGGGTTAGGGGCCCCAGGCCGGGGTCCCCTCTGACCAGCTGCTCCCATGGGTCTAACATTCACAGAAGGGGATGGCAGGGCAGGAAGAGGACACAGTGGGCCAGAGAGAAGGGTGGTTTTCCTGTTCCTCTCAAACAAAGGGTCACAGAGCTGCTGTGCATCCTAGCTCCTCTAGCCCCAGCAAAGCCAAGCCAAGGTGGAGGAGTGCAGGCTCTGGAAGCCGGCAGACATGGGACTCTACGAGTTTCTAGAGGAGAGATCATAATCGCTTCTTCACAGAGTGGATGTGAGTAGTAAATGAGAGAGCCTATGACCCACTGCGTGGGTTCCCATGATCTCCCACAGGGCCTAAAGTGGACACCACCCCACGGGCCAGCCCCATGCTCTTTTCCATACAGAGAGGCAGAATGGGCATGGTTTCATAACTAGGAGGTGGTGTTTATATCAAGAGCAGTGCCTGGACAGCCAGACTATCCCTGGGGGCACAGAACCCGCTGCTAGAGACTCCAACCTCACACACTGTGTGGTCTCCTTCAGGGGAGGCTTTCTTAGCAACCTCATGTAGCTCTCTCCCACCCCTCATCAGAGGCTGGAGCTGGGCAGGTGGGGGGCCTTGTCCCTCAGGTGCCAGCTCCTCAGGGTAGTCCGAAATCCACCAGTGAGACCTCATTCTCCTTGGACAGACAAGGACAGGGAGGAAGCGGGTCTGAGGGCAGCATTCTGCCCTTCACGGGCAGCTCCAGACCTTCTGTCCCCACAGCACTGGCTCCTGCAGCCCATCCAGATGTGGGAACAGGTCACACAAGGAACAGTCAGGAGAAGCCCAGGGGACAGAAGTGAGCTCTACTTTGAACCCAGGGAGCCCCCTATTCTGTGTCTGGCAGTGAGAGCCCTGGCAAGGTATGGGGTGGGGTTCAAACAGAAACTGGACAACCATCCTCCATGATGGAGGAGGCATGAGGCAGAGGGCAGGTCTATGGTTCTAAGCCATCTCCTCCAGGAAGCCTCTTTTCCCTCCTCCTCCAGCATCTGTTCAGTGTCCAGGACACAGCCCTTAATGTCCTCTCATGCATAATCTGGGAGGCTCATCCTGGCTCCTGGACTGGACTTAGTGCTTGTGGGCTGTGGAGAAAGCCTTCATCTGTCAACTCTCCCTGACTCCGTGGTTCTTTACTTGGCTTTGCAGAGTCAGGCCAGACCCAAACCATCTTCAGCGTTGGCAGGAGGATCCTGGGTACTGATTCTCAGCTAAGTCCCTTCCCCCTCTGGGCTTCAGTCCTTCATGCATAGAGGAAATGTTCTGGGGACACTTGCAGCTGCCAGGGCACCTCTTGGATTCTTGCTCCAGAGGCCCCCCTTGGGGAGGAGGTGCAGAGGGCAGGCTACAAGGCCTGGATGGTTTCCAGGAAATGACAGCACATTTAAAAGCAAGTGGATGTGGCCAACTGCAGCTGTGCAGACGGTGCTGCGTGGCAGAGTTGCGGGTGAGGAATGGTGGGTAGCCTCTTGGTTTTGGCAGCAGCAATGATGCTGAGGAGAGATCCTTGAACCCTGGGCAGGGCTGAGGGCAGGCCTCAGAAAGACTGCTCCTGCTCCCAGAGAACTGGGTAAAGCACAGGCCTTAGCCACAAGGCCAAGCAGTGCATGCAGAGGCAGGCCTGGCCCCTGTGCCCTGCAGATGGTTTCATGCCCAGGAGGTGCTGCCCCTACACCCTTCCCAGGCAGTCCTCTCTGTCCCACCTACCCCAGGACTTCCCCTCACAGTCCCCTCTTGCCAGAACTTCCACTGCGCCATCTGCCCTTGTTTGAGAGCACTGATTTTAGAGCACTGGCATGGGGATGGGGGCAGCTGGCATTCAGTGCCTGCAGAGCAGCCAGCCAGGGGCTGGAAAGCTGGCCCAGGAAGGGTTGGTGCCCGGCCTCGATGGATGGAGTGAGGGCAAGGGGATTCTCCCCTCATTTCCAAGCCCATAGCCTGCACATCTCACCTAGGCCGGCCGTGGAGGATGGCAGAGGCTCTGGGCACAGGCTGCTGGACTCCAAGCCCACCTATCTTTGGGCGCAGGGCCACCTGGACCCTGGGTGGTTCTCAGCACAACCATTTGGCAGCAGCCTGGCCCCTGCCCCCCACCCTGGAGCCTGCTATGACTGTGCCAGTCAGTGGGCGGGTGAGCTCACCCTGCCTCCTGTGCGTGACTCAGGGCCAGATGCAGGGCCGGGGTGTCATTCCTGAGAAGCCCAAGTGGGCTGGCCGAAGGTGACTGTCAGGTGATGCGGGCAGTACCAGGGACCGGGGGCCCTTTTCTGTACCTTCCTCTTTCCACATGCATTTCCAAGTGTCCTTCAGGAAGGAGACTGACGGTCACATTGGCCTGTAGTGGGACGGGCCCAGCATGCTGCCCTTGACTAGCAACACTGGCTCAAAGAAGGAAAGCTTTGGATGGCGACTTCAGGCACAGGATAGGCCAGAGGCAGCTTCCTAGGGCACCCAAGTGAAAGGTGATTCTGAATATTTTCTCCATGAAAAATACTGGGGTCAAGTAGGCATCTCTCTAGAGGCAGGGACATAAACCCTCTCCCTGTGCAGCCTGGCCATCTTCCGGAGAACAGCCTTGGGCTGAGTGTCCAGATGCTGTTTACAAAGACTGCAATAACAGGGTAGTGCTTATGACTTCATAGCATTAATGGAAACGCCAGGATGCACAAGGCTGGCACAGTGTGATCACAACCATAGAAAAACAAAATCTACACACGGGGAAAAAAGACTAGAAGGAAATATACCTAAAGTGTGGGTGATGTTTCTTTCTTCTTTCTACTTTTCTGAATTTTCCTTAATAGATTATTGATAATGGTAGTTATTTTTTACTTGGAAAAAGAAAAGGAACTGGGCTCTGAGTGTATTAGGAGATGAGAGTGACATTTCATGACCTCTCCAACCCAGCCAGGCAACTCTGGATCCTTCAGAGCCCCTTCCCTAGAGAAAACAGGCCCTGGAAAGGAGCTGGGTCATATGGTATGGCTTGGAGGCTGGATCTGTCCTGCACATGCCTCCCCATCCCCAACACAAACACACTACTCACCTCTCTCTAAGCCCCGAGGTACAGTTGGAATGTTAGCTGGAGGACCCCTTGCCCACTCTGACCTCTCTGCTGTAGCAAGAGGTCCCTTGTGGTCTCCCAAGTCCTCATTTCACTGTGAAGTGAACATCTCAGTTTCTCAGAGGCCACATCCTTCCAAAAGTCTCCATTCTCCTGACTTACCAACCCTGGAATACTCTCCTTAGCCTTCAAGACCCTGTCCTGATGTTCCTTAATGGTCCTGCCCCATCACCTGCCTGTAGTTCCTTAGTACCTCTTCCCAGTCTCAGTAACAGTGACCCCCACTGTGCACTAATTTATTTATTTACGTCTGCCTCCTCACCAGACTATGAGACTGGAGAGCCAAACTGTTATGTTAGTCCCAGTGCCCTGCCCAGAGGACATGTTCCATGTATAGTCATCTGGCTGGACAAGCCTATGCTCTAGGCAAGAGGTACCTGGGCCAGACCTGGAAAACAGGAGAAAATGAACAGAAGAGGGGTAGAATTCTAATCAGCAAAGGCTTTGAGAAGTGCTCAATGATGGAGAAACTGGATCTTTTTCTTAGTTTTGTGGACACTTTTGCAAGAGGGCCAGTTTTTAATATTCCACATGGTAAATTGGATTGGCCACTTTTAGGGGAAGTTGGAGGAGGGACACCTACTGCTGGGCAGAAGAAGGGTTGGCTTGAGTCAGGCAGAATGAAGAAGGTGAAACTGCTATGGATGAATGAATGTATCAGTTTGCTAGAGGACTGATCAATGTATGCATTAATAAATGAAGACATGCATGCAAGAACAAAGGGAAAAATGAACTAACAAACAAGCAAACTATGGCTCCAGCCGATATTTCAGAACTAATCAGACTTTACTTTGGAATAATCTGCTATTCTGAATGAACGAGGTCTGGATCCCTTCTTTTTCACCACTCCTGCAAATGGAAAAGTCTGTGGCTCCAGGCCCCTGCACACTTTCAGGTGAATACGTGTCCTGTCTTCAAAGATTTCAAATATCCCAGAATGGACAGGAGCCTGGAGATATCAGTCAAGTCACCCCTCAGCTTTCTCTCTTCCCTGGGGACCCATTTCCTATCATTTGATCATGTGGGCTGTTCCCACTCTCAAGGTCAAGCCCAATCAATGCCATGCTAAGTTCAACCTTCACCTCAGTAAGCTGAGGTCACCTCCAGCTCCCCACCAACCATAACCATGATCTCCCTAAGCCTCCCTGTCTCCTCCTCTTTCAGCCCAGCCTGGACCCTTCCTCTGTCTCTCTCAGGGAGACATCATAAGATTCACCTCAGGACATGTTGGTCCCAGCTCCTCACAGAACCACTCTAATCTCCTTTATCTCCCCCTCATCCTCCCACACAGGACTCCTGGAACATGAGATGCAGAAGTTCTTGAAGAAAAGCCAAGACTTAGAGAAGAGATGTGGACACACCGTGAGCTAGGAACAAATGTCTCTTGATTTTTCCCTAAAATTCAGGTCACTTGGATATCCCCCTCTTATCCATCCCTCTAAGGCCAGAACATTCCAGAGCAGGAAAGGACCCTCCAAATCCTCCTTTCCATGCCTCTGAGGGGAAAAAGCCATAGGCAGGTGACCGTAACTCCTGCCTCCCAAGATCTCCCTGCCCTTGGGCTCCAAGATGGTGGCTCTATCTTCATCTGCCTGCCTCAAACCCTGCCCTTCTTTCCCTCCAACCTAGGATCCTAGGCATCCCCCCAAGTCTTCCAGGTCTGAGGCCTCCTGGAGCCATCTTCTCAAGCGTTTCTATCCTGACACCCCTCAGCCCACAGCTGTGACCTCAAAGGGGACCCTAGTCATTCTTCCTGTGCATGTTTCACAAATGTGCAAGCTTTGCACTTAGCCTTCATCACTCAGTAAGAAATCTTCAAAGCCACAGGCCACGTTTCTGTACCCTTTGCCTTCACCGCTCAGCTAAACTCTAACCCAGGCAAGGTCAAGAAACACCTGCTGATCTGTTCAGAGCAGAAGGAGTAGCTGGAAACACTGACCAGTTGATCAGCCTGGAGCAACCAGGTGCTTTCTCTCACTCCCCCTAAAACTAACTTACCCCTGCCCCCGACACACACACGAACACACACAAAAGCATGCAAGCTGCACTCCATGTCATATGACTGCCTAATGGCATCTAATGTGTACCTATGCTATCATCTGACCTTTGGGCATCAATCACATAAAGCCCGTTGGTGCCCCACATGGGCAGACACATGTTGCACACACCCATTACACATACTCATTAAACTTGAGCCTCTGCAATGACCCAGGCCCAGGTCTGCCCAACCAGCCACCAGGACTGAAGCTTAGACTGGTACCTTCCTGGTCATACTCCAGGGCGGCACCCAAGCAGTGAGGAACAAGTCATTAGAACCTGAAGGGAGAACTAGCCCTTGCCCAGGGCTCTTCCCTCATCTCCTAGATTGAGGCACTGGCCATCCCAGCACGAATACCCCACTCCCACTAAACACACAGAGTCACCCAGGTTGCCCACCTCCTAGCACCCGGCTAAAGCTTGGGGAGTGCACAGACTTCTGAGATCTGGATTAAGAGCTCATTCACACACTGATCTGAGTAACCCTCCGAGAAGTTTTATCCACAAACTGGTATATGCATAATCTAAATCAACAATCAGCTGTGAAAGTACAAGGGAAAGATAGAAGGAGAGGGACAGGGAGGGAGCAATGACAGCAGAGAGCAAGGGGAATGACTGATAAAGTTAGTGTGTATTTGTATGGGCAAAGAGAAATGTGCTCATTAATTCAATACATGTTTATTGAGCATGTACTCCATCCCGGGCACTGAGCTGGGTCCTGTAAGAAACAGACAGGCTTGGCCTCTGCCTCCCAGAGCTAAGATGCTCAGGCCTGTTATTAATCATGATCACCCAAATAACTGTTTTTAAACTTTTTCCTGCACCCTATCCTGGACTTCCTAAGAGAATCTCCTGGGTGAAACCCAGGAATCTGTATTTTAAGATCTCCCTGAGAGACGCATACTGCTGGTCTACAGATTGATGTTTGGACATGGCAGATAATTAAGTAATAACAACAAAGTTTGATGCATATCATGATAGGCAGGGGTTGTGTGGTGAGCTCTGAGAATGTGGAGGAGGTAGTATACAGAAACACAGAGAAGTAGAATGTAGAGGAGTCACAGAAACTCAGCACTAGAAAAAACCCTGGAATTTGTGTCATTCAATCTCACAGATACAGAAACTGAGGCCCAGACCCAGAGAGAAGACAAAGCCAGAGCCAATAATAGATAACCATTACCAGACATATGAATATACTGTTTGTCAGTTGCGAAATAGCTCTATGGAGATGAAGTTTGAGATGAATGGTGGAAACACAGAAGGTAAAATAGATGACAAAGATAATGAACAAATGGGTAAATAGTTCTTATTGTTAGGAAGAACATATAACTAATAGAAAATCGGAAATATAAATTAGCCAGTTTTGGGGAGGCAGTTTAATGAGAGCAGACAGAAGTATATGGCTAGATGTAAAACAGCTACGGGGTGGGACAGATTAGAGAGCTCTGGAGACAGATACAGATATTAACAGTAGAAATGCATGGCAGGGGGGCTGTTGGGGGTGACTGATGCTTGACAAATAGCTGATAGCTGGAAATGACAGGTAAGCTTGCCTGGTAAGTACCAAGAGGCGGATAGAGAAGTAGCTAATTATATAGCCTGGCTCCGTATGATAAGTTATGAGGGCAACAGAAAGGCAATGTTGATGACGGAAACTGCATAAGGGAGGAAGAACGCTGGACTAAGAGGACACACAGGTTTGGATCTTCTTATGCTACTAATCTGACATACTACCTTAAAGGGAAGGGACTAGGGATGGGGATTAATATTATTTGAGCTCATATGAGGTACCTTTAATCATTAAACAACTATTTTCTCAATGAGGAAACCAGAGCTCAGAGAGGTTAAGTGACTTGCCCAGGGTTACACAGTAAGTTAGCAGGGAGGCAGGTATTTAAAATCGTGTTTGCCCACCTGGGAAGCTCTGTCCAAACCATCTCTCCATCTCAGGGTCTTCACCTGGAAGGACAGGCTGCCACGGCAGGTTCCCCAGGCTCAAACCTCCCCTCATTCTTTTTGTTGTACCATATGCAAAAAGCAGCTCATTTACAGACGGGAAGAAGATTAGCCCTGAGTTTTGATAGTTAATGAAGCAGGATACGTTTATGTTATTCTATCTGGTTTTGTTTTAAATATATGTTTGAAATGTCTCATAATAAAAATGAAAGAAACAATCAGTCCGTTTACTAACTGGCATTGTTAGGAGCAAATATTGACAGGCAGCTAGGTTCAGTTTGAAAGAGAGTTAATTAAAAATGCTCTCACTGAGCTAAAAAATTGAAAGTTTAAAAACAATGACATTATTTCAACAAGTGTTAATCTGTGGGTGGTAGGATTAAAAACCATTTTTGTTTTCTTACAGTTCTGCAATTAAAATTTAATAAATATTACTGTTTAAATGAAGTTAATTATAAACACCATTCTTAAACTGACACCTTGTTTCAAACAATAATTTTAAAACACTGCCAGGAGGGAAAAGGGAGTGTTATTTTATTAACTTATTTTTAAAAACACATCTTTCTTTGAAACGTTTTTAAAATTAACTCTTGTTTTGTAAGCTTTTTCCCTGCAGTTAGAACAGCCCAGCTAGTACATCTGAAAACGCACGGGTCCTGCCTCCGACCCGTGAGCGATTTGTAGATTAAGTGGGGCAGCAGACAGATATGACGACAATAGATGCCAAAATGCCACTGAAGGAGGAGAGGGTAAGGTCCGCCGAAGAAAGCTGCGGATGAAGTTTGGGTCTGGGCTCCCTCACTAAGCCCCCTTCCTACTCTGGCTGCTAAAGGGAGGCTCCGGCTGCCCCCCATGCCGGGCATCTTCTCACTGCCCGGGACTTGGGAGGGGACGGTGGTGTAGTAGGGTCGAGACTAGGAGGAAAGGGGAGCGGAAGGTGAAAAGTCAGCCGGGAGGTAGCTGGGAGACCGCGGAGCCGGCCTCTCGCAACTCTGGGAGCCGGCCGGCACGCAGAGACTGAAATCCACCTCCAGGGCAGCAGCTAGGCTGAGGGTCGCTGAGCCCCACTCCAACACGTCGGACCTGGGTGGACCAAGAGCTTATGCAGTGATCCCAGGCAGCATTTATTTATGGCAAAGTCTACTTACAATGAACCCAAATCCACCTCCCTATAACTTTCATCTAATTCTTTAATTTTTTCCCTTAAATTAACGATCAGTTACAAAAACACTACACGGTAATTGTTAATTTCACTCAGTTCAAGCCCAGGCGCCGTTGGAGTTTATTCCTTCTCCCATTCGACAGCCTTTCCAGTGATTCAGAGAAGCACCTGAGTACCCGGGGTCTATTTCCCACCAGGCCCAGGCCACTCAGATGCTCTGCGCGCGCACACCGTGGCTTCCACAGCCCTATCAGCCGGCCTGGGCCGGATCAGAGCAACCCTCGGGCCCCAAGCAGGGGCTGGCCCCTCCCTGGTTAAGCCCCTCTGTTGGTAGTCTGAGGACACCTGGGCTTTCTCCCCAGACGCTCCTGGCTGGTGGGCAGCCAAGGCCCCGCCAGTTTTGCCCAGGAACAGCAGCAAAGCCAGTGCGGACCGGCTCCCCGCAGGACTATGAGCGCCCCGACACAGTGGCGGGAAAAGGGCTGCAGGAATGCCAGGGCTGGAGCCAGCTCCAGTGGCCTCGGTGCTGCCTGCGCTGCCCGCTCCCGAGGCGACCCGCTTCCTCCAGGGAACCTGGTCCCCCCGTGAGGAGCTTTGGGAGCCGGGCTCGGGATACAGTTTGCATTTACTCTGCCTCCTGCTAGGTCTTTAGCGCTTGACAAAAGTCCTGCGGGCTCAGCAGGCTGCACGCAGTCTCGAGGAAGAGGCTCTAAAGACGGGCTTGACCGCAGCGCCGCGGGGAATGGGGGCCTTTTGGAACCCAGCAGGGCTGGGCTGGGGCGGGCTCAGGGCCTCTCCTGCACCCGCGCACCCTCACCTCCACCCGGGCTCCGGGCGCAGGGCAGGCCGCGACCGGGGGTGATTACCTGCGTCTCGGAGAGGCTGAGACTGCCGGCCAGCTGCTTCCGCTCGGCGCCCACCACGTAGTGGTTCTTCTCGAAGGCGCGCTCCAGCCGCAGCAGCTGCGAGGGCGAGAAGGCCGTGCGGATCCGCTTGGGCTTGCGTGCGAAGGGGCCGTGCAGAAGCAGCCCGTCCTGGGGCACGTCGCTGGCTGCGGCCCCGCCGCCGACGGCAACACACGCAGGTACAGACAGAGAGAAGGGGCGCCGTGAGCCGGGGCCCAACAGAGCCTGGCCTCGCGCCCTGCTCCCAAGCGCCCTGCCCTCTCCATTCCTTGACACGCACACACACGCCATTTCTCCCTTTGCCCTTTTGCCGCCCCTTCCCTAAGTCCACTCCCCTCCGCAACACCTCCCCGCACTCGAGAGCCACTCCGCGGGGGAACGCGGGGAATAACAGCTCTCCAGATCCCTCTGTTAAGCCAAGAGATGGGGCAGGCCGGACGAGGCGTGGACCCACATTCACAATGCCTGGGGCAGCGGAAGAGGCCAAGGGGTGGGGAAGAAAAGTCCATGGCGCTCTTTCTCCGCCCTTTCCCAGGGGCGCTGCCCTGGCCGCCAGCCCCAACGATTTGCTTTCAGTTAACTGGTCGCAAAGCATCTCCCTCCAAGAGGACCCAGGGTAGAGGCAGGGCTGGGGGTCAGGAACGTGATAAGGGGAGCAGCGGGGTGCTAGGCACACCTTTGCCAAACACAGATTCAAGAACTAGAAGGTACACAAGGAGCAATCCCTTCACACCTGCTTGCACTAGTCTTGCGGCTGAATGCTCAGGCTACTAACTCATTAAAAACTCCTGCCAGCACGCTCTAGCTCTGTCTTGCAGGGGGTATAAATAGGCCAGTGGCTAGGTCAGTGGTCCAGGCAGCACCTGGAAGTGGAAAGTCAGGCTCCTTCTTCCCCTTTCTCCACCTCTCTCTCCCCCAGGCCTTGGCGGTCCAGAGACCCAGCCTCTAGGGTAAGCCCCCAACCCCCTATCCCAACACACACACTGGAGACTCCAAGTACTGTCTGGTGGGAAAAGCTTCATCCCTGCTTCATCCCTGAATAGTCCCTTGCTAAAGAAACATGTGTATAAATATCTAGATGTCATCTTTCTCTCTAATATATATAGATATAGATATATTGGTTTCTGCATGGGCGTGTGTAAATATATGTTCCAGCCTCCCTACTGTCTTTTTTCCTATCTACTGTATAGGATTTTTAGAGTGTGACTGTCCCTTAGCAAATGTTGGCCAGCATAGGGACTCAGCTCCCACATGCAGGAGGAAGGGATAACACTGGACTGGATGAAGCTGGGGTAGGGGAGATGGGGTCAGAAACTATCAATGCCAAAACAAGCCTCTACCCACAGCGCCTGTCTCAATGAACACCCCACTAGGCCCTCACACAATCTCTGGCTTGGTTGCACATGCTAACAGACTCATAACAGGCCCTGACAAAATCACCCATGGATTCTCATGTAAGGGCACATAACAGCCTCCTGATGCACCAAAAACACGGAACCCTAGATGGATTATTTTGACAGAATTAGCTGTTGGGATTGACTGATCCAATTAATTTCTTCAGAGATGGCTACTGGTTGGACTTGATTTGACCTGTTGCTTTGCTCTAAGACAATCACCTGGATAATTCAGTTAACATCTCCCATCTCTGGAAACATCTATGTAAGTGAATCAAAAGCAGATAATTGAGATGCTGTAGCTAAAACTCTCCAGGTAACTGTTCTTGTCCCTCTGTTGGTGGAAACTCCCTGACCTTACTTCCTCCAAGTCTCTGGGCTTTGGTTACCTAAAGAAGCCAAGTTTTTGCTGGAGTTTTCTGTGGAACAGAGTTGCTAGGATTGCGGGGCTAGTGCCTGGAAGGGGTCAGTCAATAATCTCCAGTCACCTTATCAATTTCAACTGGTTGGATCTGTGCAGCCACAAAAATGGTGGGACCACATCACAGGGAGATGGGTGAGGGACACCCCATTTGATTATTCAAGTGGCGCAGATCTAGGGCCCTCAGGTCCGACTGAAGAGAAGTTTGACTTGGGATAGTGGAATAGACAGATGGTCAGGGGAGGTGGTCTGGCAGAGATGAGTAAAGGGCAGAAAAATATGGAGCCTGCTCCAGGTGGGGAATAAGGAAGATTAAAGTCTCTGGGGTGGGGCCAGTGAGGTAGGCCAGGGAAAGGTGGGTGGAAAGCAAATGCTTCTTGTTAATGTTAATAACTTGCTTCAAAAAACAACATTGTTATGAACCTGGGTGAAGTCCCAACAGTGGTTTCCTCTGGACAAATGAACCAGAGAGGGAGAGAGAAAGCCTAGCTCATCCCAGCATTGGCAGGGTTTGGCCTCAGATGCTGGGCTGGCCCAGGTTGGTCAGAAGTGAGGCTGCAGTGTGGAAAGCCCCGTAAGTGTGTATGAATAGGAGGCAGAGGTGTGAAGGGCAGTGTGGGGCTGAGGAAGCAGGTCTGCAGTCTGCCCCAGTGTCTCTGACTTAGTGATTATTTTGTAATTATGTGGTATATGTCAGTCACCTGTGTGGTGGAGTGCTCTGTGTTTGTCTTTATAAACCCAGATGAGAGGATGAAGGCAACAAGCTTCTGTACCAACATACATGCCCCTTTGCCTCAAGTCTGGTTATTTTAGGGGGATGCTAGGTTGCTTTGGGTCTACCTTACTGAGAAAATGGCCCCAGGTCATTGTCATGTCCAGTTGTGGTAGACAGCATGTGTCCTAAAGGGTATATTCACATGCATGTGCAAAAATACAGGGGTCCTTCTAACCCTATCACAGAGAAGCAGGAGACTGCAGGATGAGTCAAGATGCTAAGTGATGACAGGTTATTTGATTCCAAAAGAATAAGGACGTTTCCCTGTTAGAAAGAGGATGTTTAGTACAACACCAAACATCCTGAGAAACAGATCAATTGCTACATGTTTCTGCAAAGACAAGGGTGATGCCTTAGGTGCACAGGTACCTGTACCGCCCCGCCCCCCGACCTGTGGGAAGGAGGCCTGAACCACCCCTACCAGGGGTTCAGTTTCCCTTGCCTGGACCACAAGGGCAGAACAAACTTGGGTCTAGGGTGCGGCCTGTTTGGACGCAGTAATTCTGGGCTGTGAGAACGGGCTGTCAGTTTCGGACTAGGACAGTTAGCAAAGTGGAAAGGGACTGGTATAGCCGTCCCTGGAGCTAGGGAAATGAATACCCCTCTCCTCCCTGCTTCCCTACCCCTCCGATTTTTCTACAGCCACTCTTTTAGGGCCCCTTCAAGGCAATGGCTGGGAACTAGCACAAGAGATTCCCAGGAATGAGGGAGCTGGAGGTGGGAGCTAGGGATCCGAAGCACCCGGGGTCCGAGCTGCAGTCTTCGAGCCGCAGTCTTCGCTGGAGAGGCCGCCGCCGGCCAGGGGCTCAGGGCCGGACGGCTGGGCGGAGGGCCCTAGGGCTAGGAGAGGGAGAGGCAGGACAGGCGGCGGAGATAACCTCATTCCCCGTCCTCCTGCCAGAACAAAGGCGACCTTAGAAGCTCCGGCCCATTGTAGTTGCGGGTCCCGGGGGGCTGGGTCTCTACAGCCCCCTCCAGGCGTTGCTCCTAGACCCGGAAAGTTCCTGATCTCGGGGAAACAGTACCGAAATGCGGCCCACTCCTGGTCTTCGTCGGCTCCTCCCCTTCGGTGCTCGCGAGCGGCCCCGACCTTCGGAGTCCTGGACGATTCCGCATTCGCTTTTCCCCTTCCAGCGCCTCGGTTAGCGGAGACGCCGCTTCCCCGCGCGCCGGGACCGCGCCGCCCAAGCGCTGCGCAGAGAGCGCAGACATGTTCCTTTTCGTTCGTGTGGGGTTTCGTTTGTTGCATTAAGACGGGGCTGAAATGAGCATCGCTGAGACCCGGTTCTCTAGAAAACGCGGCGCCGGAGGGCCCGAGACGGCTCGGCTCCCAGCCCAGAGGCCTGGCCGGGACTGGAGGGCGTAGAGCCGCCGGGGAGCGCATCCGTCTGCAGCGGCGACGATGGACCGCGAAGCAACAGCGCTACAGGGTTCGAAAAGTCCTTCAGTGCCCAACGGATTTCCGGGTCCGAAAATGCAGCCACACTTGGCTCCATCTCCGCGTCCAGACTCGGTTCTTGAGGGAAAAATCCAACTGTTTGTGCTACTCGATAACGTACCCGCTGGGACTGATGGCTCAGGAAGCGGCGGCAATTTCCAAGAGGGTTTTGCGAAGGATTTATCCGCCTCGCCTGACTGGAGACGCTCAGAGCCGGAGCTGGATTTCTCTCCAGGCGCCCCCGGCCCTCGGCGCCCGGAGGCAGGAACCGCGGTGCGGAGGGCGTCAGGGGCTGGATTCGAAGCCGAGGGTGCGGCCCAGGATGCCGACTCCGGACAAGCTGAACGGCTGGAGGCCACAGGACTTAGGAACGACCCCGCCCTCTCCTCCGAGCCCCTATCCCTCCACAAGCCTCCAACCCGCCAGCCCCTCGGCCGCGGCGGCCCGCGGGCTCACACACCGCCCCAACTACAACTCGGCCCCTGGGCGCCAGGTTTCGAGACCCAGGCTTCGGATCGAGCCCACGGAGGACCAGGGTAGATTGCTCAATTTTAAAGATATCCTCATGTTATCAGTAAACATTTATTTTTAAGTGGCAGAAACTCTTGCCCAAGGCAGATGACATTGTAGCATTTTTGTTTTTTCGGATTTGGATTTGGGCAAGTCTTTGAAATCTTCAAAGAGGAGGCAAGGCTACCCACAACAATTCTTATTCTAGTAATTACATTCTCTGGTTTTGTGGTATCTGCCAGGTCAGCATCTATTGGCCAGGTGGGACTGAAAAAATTGCCTGACAAATCGGGACCTGGGAAAGCGGTTTTCTGTGAAAGTCAAAGTGTCAAGAGATAATTTTCATTTTATTATCTAAACAACTGTGCCAAACATCTAATTGACTGTAGACCTAGACTACAGACCGTCACATTAGCTCCTGGAGCCGAAGCTCCAGCCATGTCCCTTTCATTTGTTTCTCTAAAAGCCGGGTTACCTAGCTCTGAGCCATAGACCCTTCTCACAAGGCTGTGGTCTGGTCTACACTAACAAAATAAAACTGGAAACTAAAGTGATGCCTGTACAAATCAAGGCCACTCTTTAAAATAAAATTTAAAAAAAAAGAAAAGAAAAAAACAAACTCCAACAAATTTCAAGGAAGAAAACGAACTCCAACAAATGCAACTCTCTTTTCTCCGGGAAAGACAAATAATTGAAACGTGTGTGTGTGTGTGTGTGTGTGTGTGTGTGTGTGTGTAGGGCCAGTGGAGGATCTTTATTAGCAAGCCGATTGCTGGATGCAAACTCCGGGGTTCGGACTGGCTACGACCTTAAAAGCCCTCTGCCCCCGCCCCCTGCCCGGGAAAACTGTCCTCGGTATTCCAGCAGCCGGGTGGGCTCCCTCCCGAAGGCGGCGAGCAACGGCGGAAGCCAGTTTGCTTACTGCAAACCTTCCCCACCTTGGGTAGGAGAGGCACGTGTGACTTGGAGAAGTCGGGCCAAGGTTGCCGAGAAACATCCCAAGACAGCCAGGCCCTCCACACTGAACATTAACTCTCCGATTCGCCCTCCCTGCTGCCCTTGCTTCCCCCAGAGCTGGGGCACGCGAATGGACTTTCCCCCGCCCGGACGCGCCAGCGAAGGCTGAGGTCTCGGAGGTGGTGGTGGACTTGCGAGAGAAGCGTGGTGCGAGGTTAAGCCGGGCGGAGGGAGAGCGGGAGGAGTTGTACTCTGGTCTGAGACTGGCTCAGCTGGGAGAGAGAATTGGGCAGGCTGTGGCGAGGGCCAGCACAGGCTCCGAGGACGCGCCTGGGCTTGCGTCCGAACTGGTATATTTTCTAGAAAAGCCTGGAGGTCTCCACCTGCTTTCCTGGGAGGGAGACCTACGCGGCGAAGGCGCGGGTGGATGCCGCACAGCTCTTCCCTGCCTGGGAATCTACCTCCGCGGACCTGCAGCCTTCCCGGCAGTAACTTCTAAACAGCCCCGCGCGCCCCCGAGCCTCCCCCGCATCGCCGCAGCACGGGCGCCGGCCGGCCGCCTCGGCGGGCACAGCGTGGACACTCACCCTGGAAGCGGTGGCCGAAGAAGCGGTTCCGCAGGACCCAGGGGTAGAAATGGAGAGGGTCCCGGTGCTGGGCGCCGAAGAAGGAGTGCGGGGGCTGCAGCGGGGAGGCGCCCAGCTGGTGCGCCGGATGCACGGTCAGCGCGGGGTGGTTCATGGCCTCGGGGAACACGAGCTCGGGCCCACCGTAGAGCGAGCGGCCCGCGCCCGCGGCGGCCGCGGCAGGGAAGCCACTCACGAAGGCCGCCTCGGCCGCGCTGGGGTGAGGGTAGTTGAGCGCCGTGGGCCGGAGCGGTTCCTCGGAGGCGGCCGCCGCCAGGAGATGGGAGCCCGCGCCCCCGCCGCCAGTGCCCCCGCCGGTGCCGCCGTCCTTGGCCACCAAGGACTCTATGGTAAAGCCGCGCTTGGCCGCGGGCTGGAACATGGTCGCAGCCGCGGGAGCTGTGCGAGGCAGCCGGGCTCTGGGGAGCGCTCCGCGTCCTGGCGCCGCCGCCTTGCGGGGTGTGCACCCAGCCAGGCACATGCACACCCGCCCGCACCCCTCACCTCCCCCGCCCGCCCGCTCGCGCTCGGCCCCCGCGGGCGAGCCAGGCGCGGAGCGGCGAGGGGTGTGTGAGCGAGCGACCGCGGGGTCCGGCCACAGCGTACGGCCAGGCGCGGCGGCTGCTGCGGCGGAGCGGGCAGCTCCAGGCGCCCGCACAGGCGCGGGCTCCGTGCTAGGCTGCGAGCTGCCAGTAAGGCCCGAGGGTT